>NC_000005.10:55109807-55734807 GCF_000001405.40 Homo sapiens | reverse complement strand
CCCATATCTCAAGCAACATTCTAGTGGAAAGAATGGCAGTGGCAACTGGAATTTAAAATCTTCAGACTGCTGTGTCAAATGATTAACTAGAAAGCTTAGGTGAAAAAAAAAACTTTATTGTATACAGTTTCCTCCAAATTCTCTAAATCCCATTTTTAGAAGGACGGATTAAAGCAAAACAATTTCCTCAAAGAAGTCTCAGTTTTAAATCAAAGTTTGTAGTTAAGACCCTTCACACTTTTGAAACACTGAATTCTCAAAGTTAATACAAATAGAGAGAACTGATATTTTAGTCTTTTTATATTTTCAGCATTATCTTCGTCTTATTCAAATAATGATTTTTTATTGATGTGGATTGTGTCTAGCGTCATGTCGACACTGTTAAAAATTCTTTTAATCCACCAGTAGGCCAAAATTAATCACCTCAAATGGTAGAGTATATGTTCATTCTTAGGTACTATAAATATTTGAGAATAGTTAGAAAATATTCAAGAATATTAGGTACACAAATATTTGAGAATCTCTTACTATGCACAAAATCACAAATACTAAAGATAAAATTTCATATTTTATCTTTCAAATACTGTAGGTTGAAGGCGGGGCATGGGGGCTTACGCCTATAATCCCAGCACTTTGGGAGGCTGAGGTGGGTGGATCACTTGAGGTCAGGAGTTCAAGACCAGCCTGGCCAACATGATGAAACCCTGCCTCTAGTAAAAATACAAAAATTAGCTGGGCATGCTCATCTGTAATCCCAGCTACTCGGGAAGCTGAGGCACGAGAGTCACTTGAACCCGGGAGGCATAGGTTGCAGTGAGCCAAGATTGCACCACTGCACTCCAGCCTGGGCAACACAGCAAGACCCCATCTCAAAAAAATAAAATAGAATAAAATACTGTAGGTTGGAGCCCTGTAAAATCAACACAAAATAGAGGGGGTGGGTACAATGATGGTACAAGATACCATGACGCTAGTACACACCTGAGGAAGAAATTCAACAGAGGTGTTCAACACACCAACTAGGATTCAGAGAAACTTACGTATTTTATTTTTCCAGTAATGGCTAGGGCAATATTTACTAAGGTGTGGTATATACACCACTGAGTTTAAGCAGTTCATGGACATTTTCATTTTGGTAGTTATTTTAATGTTTATATTTATTTCAATATGTGTTAGAAAACTAGCACACCAAATATGATTTCAGAAATATAATTGCTTAGAAAGAAGCTAAAGTAAATGTTTTGTTTTAAAAACTTATTCAATTAAGAAAACTAAGGGCCGGGCGGGGTGGCTCACGCCTGTAATCCCAGCACTTTGGGAGGCCGAGGCGGGCGGATCACGAGGTCAGGATATCGAGACCATCCTGGCTAACACGGTGAAACCCCGTCTCAAGTAAAAATACAAAAAAATTAGCCGGGCGTGGTGGCGGGCGCCTGTAGTCCCAGCTACTCGAGGCAGGAGAATGGCGTGAACCCGGGAGGCGGAGCTTGCAGTGAGCAGAGATCGCGCCACTGCACTCTAGCCCGGGCGAGAGAGCAAGACTCCAAGGAAAGAAGAGAAGAGAAAAGAGAAGAGAAAAGAAGAGAAGAGAAGGAAAGAGGGAAAGGGAGAGAGAGAGAGAGAAGGAAGGATGGAAGGAAGGAAGGAAGGAAGGAAGGAAGGAAGGAAGGAAGGAAGGAAGGAAGGAGGAAAGAGAAGGAAGGAAGGAAAGAAAGAAAAGAAAAGAAGGAAGGAAAAGGAAAGAAAGGAGGAAGGAAAAGGAAAGAAAGGAGGAAGAAAGGGAGGGAAGGGAGGGAAGAGAAGGAGGGGAAGGAAAGGAAGGAAAGGAAGAAAACTAAGTATGTGTGTATTGAAATGCAGGAATGGTAAAATCATAAAGGTGGTATTCAAATGACTGAAGCTTGGGAAACACTGGTGAAAATTTAAAAGACTCTAAATCTGGGGGCTGGCCACTAGAGAAGTGTTCTCTATTATGAGTAAAGATATTTCATCAGCACCTGTTCTGATTCCATGCTTACTTAGCAACTTCTTGACTAATCACTCAATTTCCCAAGTGATTGGATACTGGGAAAGGAGGTGGCATAAATAAGACATACAAGCCTTACTTGCTCCTTATTATGAATTCATACATTGAAATTCTGGTTTACAAATCAGTCTTGTTTGAGCTTAACTAGTGTTCCTGAGAGGTCCTGTTTGCAATCAACCAGCCTTCCTAGATGACATTAACACATTCAGTGGCACCTAAACTCTGTTATAAGTGTGTTTAATGAGAGCTTAAAGTAAGTGAAGGATAAAAGTCAAACACTGTGTCAGGTTACCTTGGACAATACTTCCTTAGACCAAGGGGTCTTATTGGCCCTTTGTCACAGAACAGTGTTTGACCAGTGAACTATGGAATTTAGTGAAGAGTCACTAGGAAAGCATAGTACCCTAGGAGGAGAAGCAGTGACCAGACCCTGTCCATGAACCTTGGCCAGGAATGAATCTCTTTTTGTCTACCTCTCCCAAGACTGAAGGATTATAGCTTTCAAATAGGAGGAAAGTCACCAGGAATTGGCTGTGAATTCAACATTGGTAATCTCTGATTATTCATTTATTAGCCATATGACCTTGGGCAAGTTATTTAATCTTTCTCTGTAAAACGGGGATAACCAGGGCCATCAGATACAGATATGGAGGTTGTATCCTGCACAAAGGCACCAAACCAAAAGGCAAGAAATAGCTGAACCCTCTCTGCCTGCTCTCTAACGAACAAGCCAGGCACCTGCACAGCTGCATCGACTCATATGAGGCACCATTCCAATTCTCACAAAGGTTAAATTCCCTCTATTTTAAATACTTAGAATGGTTTCTATTTGCCTGATTGGTCCCTGACTGATACAGGGGTTTTATTGGAAAACTTCTTTGCCTGAAATCTGTCTTTTGGAATTCTGAAACTTATATGTAGTGCCTAATAAAAAGACTATCAATTTAGGACCTCACAAAGAGTTATCTACACTTGTTCCTTCTACTTCCTCACCTTTCAATCCTCAATCCACTGCAATCTGACTTCTGCCTCATTGCTTTATTGAAATTGCTACTGGCAAGGTCACATTGACCTCCTTGTTACTAACCCTATTGGCAGTTTTCAGTTCTTAACCTAGGGGACCTCTTAGCAGTCAGTGACACTGTTGACCACTTCTTTATGAAAATACTCTATATGTAACTAGATAGCCATATGGAAAAAGACAAAATCTGACCTGTTTCTCACATTATACAGAATAACAAGTTCAAATATGGAAACAATAATACTATGCAAAAACTAGAAGAAAACACTGATGAATTCTTCTGTACTTGCAAAAACTTTTCTACCTATGATTTAAAATCCCGAAGGAATAATTTTATGTAATGTGACTAAGTAAAGGTTAAAAATAAAACTTCATAGCAAAAAATAACTATAAGAAAGCCAAAAGACAAATGAAAAGCTGGAGAAATATATTTTCAACATACACCCAGTAAAAAGATTAAGATCTGTAATATGGAGAGAGCTTCTAAAAGTAAAAAAGAAAAAGATTAACAAATCTCAAGAAAAATGGGTAAGAGATATAAACAAAGAATTTCACAGAAAAAGAAAAGCAAATAGTCCTTAAATAAATGAAGAGAATCTCAACTTCATTTTAAGAGCAATGCAAATGAAAACTACACTGAGAAACAATTTTTCACCTATTAGAATGGCAAATGTTTGATAATGTACTCTGTTAGAAAGCTGTAAAGTAATAGGCACTCATATATTGCTCTTGGGAATGTACCATGGCATAACCCTGAGGGAAGGGAATTTGACAAGATCTAGCAAAATTACACATGCATGTACCCTTTGATCCAGCAACCTTCCTTCTGGAAGTTATCTCAGAGATACACTGGCAAAAAATACAAAAGGATTTTACACAAAGTTATTCACTGCACAACCAAAAGCTAAAGACTGAAAACAACTGAAAACTTGCTCAATAGCAGGCCAAAACATCTACCAATGGAATACTCTGCAGCCATTAAAAGAAAAGAGGATTATCTCTATACACTGCTATGGAGTGATTGCCAGGATGTATTATTGGAAAAAAGCCAGAGTAGTGTGTCCAGTATGCTAGTTTATATCTAAAAAGACATATTTGCTCATTTTTAATGGAAGGATAAACCAAAATTAATAAAATGGAAAGAAAAGAAGGAACCAGCAAAGGATAAGAACGTGTGCTAGGCCGGGCACAAAGAGATTTCCCAGCCAGCAAATCTCTTTCTTACAGCAGAATGCTAGCTAACAAACGTAGAAGAACTAATAGAGGAGTTTTTTGGTTACCATTTTGCAACTATCATACTAATATTTGACTCTGGCTTACTAAAACTAGCAGCTGAAAGTCTGATGAAAAAAGGACATTAATAAGGTCTTATAGTGTCTCCCCATGAATTAGTTATCAATTATAAGGAAAAAATAACTGTACAATGGAGAAACCTGGAAGACACTATCTTAACCAAGTGACCAAAGTTTACAGTACTGTTCTGGTGATCTATTGCTGAATAACAAACTACTCCAAAACTTGGTGGCTTAAAACAATTTATTATTATCTTTCATGGTTCTGTTGATTGAGGGGGCTCAGTTGGGATCTCTCATGCAGTTACCTTCAGATGTTGGCTGGGACTTGATTCATCTTAACGTTTGATATCAATTTGTTTAACATTCAAGATGGCTTCTTTCTTCAGCTATCTGGTGACTGGGATACCTGGAACAGCTGGGTGCTGGCCAGGTGTCTCTCTCTCTCTCCAAGTGGCTAGCTTGGGCTTCCTCACAGTTGGTGGTCTCAGTCAGACTTATTATGTTGGTTGCTTACCCCCAGAGTGAGCATTCCAACCAAGCAAACATTGCAAGGACAAAATTCCAAGAGACAAGGCCACTTGTCTGCAAGGCTTCTTCAGATCTAGTAGAAGAAGAAACAATCACATCTGCCACATTCTATTAGTTAAAAGAAAGTCACTGGGCCAGTCCAGATTCGAGGAGAGGGAACAACATAAGGCCATGAAAACTGGGGACATAGTTCACTGAAGAACTTGGAGACTAGCTATCAGTGACGATCAATATGCATCATGTGCCTCCAGATGTAATGCAGTAAGAAAGACACTACAATACTCATGTGCTATTTCTGCCAGAAATGTTTAACTTGAACCTCATCATGAGGAAACTTGGGATAGATTCGAATTAAGGGACATTCTACTAAATAGCCTATACTCTTCAAAAATGTCAATGTCATGAAAGACAAAGAAAGGCTAAGGAATTAATTCAGATTAAAGGAACCTAAAGAGACATGAAGACTAAATGCATGATTAATCCTAGGTTGGATGCTGGATGAGAAAAAAAGAATGCTATAAAGGACACTATTGGAACAATTGGTGAAATTTGAGTAAGGTTTATAGATTAAATAAGAGCACTGTGTCAATAAAAAATGATCTAATTGTAATAACCGTACTGTGAACATCCTTGTTTTTAGGAAATATACACTGAAGAATTTAAGGGCAGAGGCATATTGTCTGCAACTTAATCTCAAGTGGTTTAGGAAAAACTATATGAGAGAGAGAGAGAGAGAGAGAGAGAGAGAAAGCCAGGAGCGGGGAAGGAGGGAGAGAATAAAAAAACAAATATGGCAAAATGTTAACAATTGGTAACTCTGGGTAAAAGTATATGGGAATTCTTTGTGCTATCTTTGCAATATTTTACAAGTTTGAAGTTTTTTCAAATTAAAGAAAATATCTTCAAATGACTGAAACATATCAAATATATTTTTAAATTTTATGACTTCATCATTAACGATGCAAAAAAAGTCAAAACCCAAAAACTTTATTGGCCCCCTTTGCTGGATGCTAGGGAATCAACCAATTTTGAAAACTAGTAAAAAGAAAGAAGCAACCAGGTGCAGTCGCTCACGCCTGTAATCCCAGCACTTTGGCAGGCCTAGGTGGGTGGATCACGAGGTCAGGAGTTCGAGACCAGCCTGGCCAATACGGTGAAACCCTGTCTCTACTAAAAATACAAAAATTAGCTGGGCGTGGTGGCATGCGCCTATAGTCCCAGCTACTCAGGAAGCTAAGGCAGAAGAATCGCTTGAACCCAGGAGGTGGTGGTTGCAGTGAGCTAAGATCGTGCCACTGCACTCCAGCCTGGCCAACAGAGTGAGACTCCGTTCCCCCCCCACCAAAAAAAAGAAAGAAGCAAATGTTTATACTACATTTCTTAAGCACACTTTATCTTGGGGTAACCAAACTGTTGAGGGAAAATTCTTCTCCTTAGAAGAACTCCAGCTAATAAATGAAAAATTCCTCTCTATTTTGTAGGCCAGGGGTCAGGAAACCAAGGTCCTCAGGACAAACCTAGCCCAACACCTGTGTCTGTAAATAAACTGGAATACAGTTGTGTTGGCCCGTTTGTGCTTGTTATAACAAAAATACCTGCAACTGGGTAATTTATAAAGAACATAAACTTATTTCTCACAGTTCTAGAGGCTTGGAGTCCAAGATCAAGGCACCAGCAGGATCAGTGTCTGGTGAGGGCTCAGTTTCCAGTTCCAAGATGGCACCTTGTTGCTGCATTCTCTGGAGGGGAAGAACACTGTGTCCTCACATGGCAGAAGAGTAAAGAGAGCAAACGTACTCTCTCAAGCCCTTTTATAAACGCCCTACATTCACGAGGGCATGGCTCTCATAAGCATCACTTCCTAAAAAGGCCCCACTTATTGCAATGATGGTGATTAAGTTTCACCATGAATTTTGGAGGTAACACACATTCAAAGCACGGCAACAGTCACTCCATTTGTTTACATATTGTCTATACTGGTTGCATTCACACCATAAAGGCAGAATTGAGTAGTTATGACAGAGACCGCGTGGCTACTAGGCCTAAATATTTACTACTGGGCTGTTTACAGAAAAAGTTTGCCAATCCTTGCTCTAGTCTGGGAGAATAATGGCCAATGACCTCCAGTGCCCAAACCGTGAGGGCACTATAACAAACTCACAGGGACATCACAGTAGGTATTTTAAATTTTGGGGGAAACAACGATGACATCTGTCAGAAGCCATGTGAACTACCAGCCTGAGGTAATTCAAACTTTCAACGTTAGAGCAAATTACATTCTTTTGACTAACCTATCTTTGCAGTCAGGTTTTCAGTGGTTGCTATGGTCTCAAGAAAGTGTTGTGCAGAATCCAGTTAAGAACAGGAAATGAGGGTAGTGGTGTCCCACCTGATTTCAAGGTTTCAGAAATTATGAGGTGCCCAAGAGGTATAGACATCCCATTAGTAAGCGAATGTGGTTATTTAAGAATGAAATTAAAGTATTACTCTTTCAAATTATGTGTATATTTTAAAGTCGCTACTAAGTTATTAGGACATAAATACATATGTTAAAAGTAGTAGCAAAAACCATAATTACTTTTGCACCAACCTAATATTAATTTGTTTGACCCTAACTACTTAATAAACAGAAATGTTAGGTACTTCTATTGACCTATGGGAACTGAGAAAAAATTATTCAGACACTAAAGGTGTCATGAACTTCTGATCAAGTGGATGATCATCAACGGCTGCTGAAACGATTAGGTGAAAAGCAGATGAGGAACTTTGTCGTAGACAATATTTGAGCCCACTGAACAGCCTTAATCTCACAAAAGAAAGACCTCCAGAAATCATGTGCTTCCCAAAGTGTTACAATAGAAGTACAAAACACTATCTATAAAGGCTTGATTTTAAAAAATCAAGTGTGAATATGATCAATTGTTCAACTCTCCAGACTTAACTACCAGCCTACAGCAATTAGAGGGAATAGAGAATGTTAAATAACATTGCAGGGATATAATCAGCAAAATCTAGACTACAAGAAATTTTACTGGAAAAAAATACTTCCGTTTCTTTAAAAAAGGAAAAAAGAGGTGGTTAACTTAGAGACTAAAGGGGATGTAAGAAACATAACTAATTGCAATGTGTGGATCTTGTTTGGATCCTGACTCAAACCAACTGAATTAAATTACAATACAATTCAAGAATTTGTAAACTCATGATACTAAATGATACTAAGTAAATATTAATGTTTTAGATATGATAATTATATTGTGGTTATAATTTTTAGATGAGTCTTTTGATGTTGTTTTGAGACAGGGTCTCACTCTGTCACCCAGGCTGGAATGCAGTAGTGCAATCTCACTGCAGCCCCAAACTCCCTGGGCTCAGGTGATCCTCCCATCTCATCCTCTCAAGTAGCTGGGACTACAGGTGTACACCATCATGCCCAGCTAGTTTTTGTATTTTTTTGTAGAAACAGGGTTTCCCCATGTTGCCCTGACTCTTCTTGAACTCCTGGACTCAAGGGATCTATCTGCCTCAGCCTCCCAAAGTGCTGGGATTATAGGCATGAGCCACTGCACCCGGCCTTAAAAGAGTCTTTATCTTTTAGAAATACATACTGAGTTGCCAGGCACAGTGGTACACACCTCTAGTCTCAGTTACTTAGGAGCCGAAGGCAGGAGGATCCTCGAGCTCAGGAGTTTGAGGCCAGCCTGGGCAACACAGATGAGTGATATCTGTGATAACACAGATAAGGCAACATCTATAAGTGATAGATACAGGGAGTCTCTACCTAGTCCTTAAATGTTGGGGTTGCTTGGAATTTGTTGTCAATTCCTGGCCCCATACTTTCTTTGTCTTGAGTGATTTTATCTTCTCTCACAGTGCACGAGTGTATTAATCAAAAATGTTTTAGGGCCTCTGGCTACAATGGCACGTGCCAGTAATCCCAGCACTTTTGTAGGCTGAGATGAGAGGGTCACTTGAGGCTAGGAGTTGGAGACCAGCCTAAGCAACATAGGGAGACCTCGTCTCCACAAAAAATTTAAAAATCAGGCAGCTGTGGTGGTGCACGTCTGTAGTCCCAGCTACTCAGGAAGCTGAGTAGGGAGGATCTCTTGAGCCTGGGAGGTAGAGGCTGCAGTGAGCTGTGATCGTGCCACTGCACTCCAGCCTGGGCGATAGAGTGAGACCCTGTCTCAAACAAACAAAAACAAAGTTTTAGTGGCTATGATGTTATGATATATACTGGTTTTTTGTCCATGGTTCCTGACCCCTATCTCCCATAGTCCTTGTTACAATGTTGGGGCACTTAAGGCCTTAGGAAATAGACTCTCTCTCCTTCTTTCTCCTGTCCTCCTTTTACCTGCCCAAGCCAAGACTGTAATCTGATTGTGGGTCAACACACCCTTATTCCAGAAAGCACCCTGCCCCACACCTTAGAGGAAGGAATACAATACAGAGAGGCTAAGAAAAATCTGAAAAGACAAGCCTTGCCGGGTTTAAATCAAATTTTTTTTGTCCAATCACATTTCTACACAGTTGTCAATCATGCCTATGCAATGAAGCCTCCATAAAAACCCAAAATGACAGGGATCAGAGAGCTCCTGGATACCTGCACATGTAGAGGTTCCTGGAGGGTGGTGCACCCAAGGGGGTGCATGAAGCTTCATGCCCCTTCCCCCATACCTCGCCCTATACATGTCTTCATTCATATCCTTCGTAATATCCTTCATGACAAAACAGTACATATAATTAAGTGTTTCTTTGAGTTCTGTGAGCCACTCCAGCAAATTAACTGAACCCAGAGAGGGGGTCATGGGAACCCCAACTTGAAGCTTGTCCACCAGAAGTTCCAGAGGCCTGGACTTGCAACTGGTGTTGTGAGGTTGGCGGCAATCTTGGGCACTGAGTCCTCAACCTGTGGAATCTGTTGCTATCTCCAGTATCAGAATTGATTGGAGGACTCCCAGTTGGTGTCCGCTGCAAAATTCATTGCTTGCTTGGTGGTGGGGAGAAACCCAAGAAACACGCTTGGTCACAGAAGACTTTTTCTGTGTTGATGACTGTTGTCATGGTAGTATGAGAGCAGAGGAAAAACATGCATTGAGAGTTTCTCCCAAACAGTAACAAACCTTATTCAACTCACTTTAAAAATAACAAAACAAAACAAACAAACAAAACAGTGAAGGAGATTTATCTGAGAAGAATACAGAATGAAGATCAGAGTTGTAGGAACCCAGACATCAGTCCTAGACTTAGTGCCACTAGTCTAGGCACTCTAACTCCATGCATCAAGCAGAGATGTCTTTGTTCTAAAGACAGGCTCTCTTTATGCTGCAGGGAAAATGATGACTACCGTCAGCCCCAGAATCAAATTCATCTAGTTTAGCCATCTGGTGAACAAATAAGCAACTCCAGGAAGAGAGTTTCTTTCTCTTCCTGTCTAGACACCAATTCTAGGGAAAGACTCTGATTTGCCTTTTGAGTCATGTTCCCCATATGGGAGGATGACGTAGAATGACGAGGCCTGGGTAAGACCAAGGGAGCAGGGTCTACTATCAGAAGAAAGGGAAATTTTTACTGGGCAAATAAGAGTAGCTATCTCCGTTCCCTAAAGAAAGCTACAATGACCCCTTGCATGTTGATAACTCTCAAATGTAGAGTTCCACATCTGGCCACCCAGCAGCCCACTAGATACCTACAGTCAGATGTTTTACAGCTACTCTTCACTCAGCGTTTCCAGTGCTGAATTCATCCTCTCAACCTCTCCTCCCAATCTGTTTTCCCTCTTTATTCTCAATCTCAATGAAGGACACTACCATTCACAGACTTGTGCAACTCCCAAACCTGGGAATCCTATTCTTTACTCCTCAATATCCACCACTCCCCACATTCAGGTAGTAAAATCTGTCAATTCTACCTCGGATATCTTGAATATCCTAATATCTTATACGTTGAATGCTCATTTATCTGTTCTCCACTGTCACTAATGTAGTTTGGTGGTTATCATCTCTCATCTAAACTACTCCAGTATCCTTTTCTGACTTTTTGATTTAAAGTAGTACCCTCAAAGCATTATACTGTACAATGGCACCCAGTTTATTTATGTAACAGAACTTACCATAACATCTATTTATTAAATAAAATGTTTACTTTTAATTGTTATTATTATTGTTTTTCTCCTTGACTTGAATATAAGTTCCTTCTTGGAAGAGACCATGTCATTCCTATTCACTTCTAGTAGATTAGGGTGTCTAAATCAACTCAAACTGGTGTGGTGAGGTGGGGGGCAGACTTGGGGACTGAGTTTTGTCCAACTAAGCAGGCACGGAGTTTTTTACAACACACAGAGTTTTTTATAACTTATATTTATTGCTAAATAAATATGAATTTTTCTCTTAACAAGCAGGCATAAAGTTTTTTACAACTTATATTTTATACCTTTGTATTTTTACAACCTATATTGCTAAATAAACAAATATTGTAAAAAAAAAACTCTATGCCTGCTTAGTTAGACAAAAAGTACCATTAAACAGGTAGATTTTGTTAGAGGAAGGAAATGAGTGGAGAAAAAGTGTGGCACTCAAATTTTTCCCTTTGTTAATCTTTTTTATTTTATTTTATTTTTTGAGGAAGAGTCTTGCTCTGTCGCTCAGGCTGGAATGCAGTGGTGCAATCTTGGCTCACTGCAACCTCTGCCTCCCGGGTTCAAGCAATTCTCCTGCCTCAGCCTCCCAAGTAGCTGGGACCACAGGTGTGCACCACCAGGCCTGGTTAATTTTTGTATTTTTAGTAGAGATGGGGTTTCACCATGTTGGCCAGCCTGGTCTCGAGCCTCTGGCCTCAAGTAATCCACCCACCTCGGCCTCCCAAAGTGCTGGGATTACAGGTGTGAACCACAGGGCCCCACTGTCCCCCCAATTAAACTTACTGTGTTTCATTAATCTTCTTGAATCTGAAGTTTTATTTTTCACAACATTAGGGGAATTTTCCAGATTTTATTTTTATTTATTTATTTTTTTGAGACAGAGTCTCACTCTGTCACCCAGGATGTAGTGCAGTGGTGCAATCTTGGCTCACTGCAACCACTGCCTCCTGGGTTCAGGTGATTCTCCTGTCTCAGCCTCCTGAGTAGCTGGGATTACAGACATGTGCCATCATGCCCAGCTAATTTTTTGTATTAGGTTGTATAGGGTTTCACCATGTTGGCCAGGTTGGTTTCGAACTCCTGACCTCAGCTGATCCACCCACCTCAGCCTCCCAAAGTGCTGGGATTACATGCACGAGCCACAGGCCCCAGCTGTCCCCCAAATTAATCTTATTGTGTTTCATTAACCTTCTTGAATCTGATGTTTTATTTTTCACAACATTAGGGGAATTTCCCACCTTTTATTTCTTCAAATATTCTCTCTCTCCTCATTTTCTAGGAAAATAATTTCATTTATGTTAGAACTTTTGATATTGTCCCATATCAAAAGGGTCCCTGAGGCTATTTTTTTCAAACATTTACTTCTCTGTTGTTCAGATTATACAATTTCTGTTGATTTATCTGCAAGTTTACTGACTCTTTTCTGGCACTTCCATTCTGCTGTTAAGCCTATGCAGTAAAAAGGTGAATTTTTAATTTCAGATATTAAAATTTTCAGGGATGTTTTGTACTTTATATATGTCTGGTTTTTAGTTCTCTGCTAATATTTCCTACTTTTTCATCATTGTGATCTTATTTCCCTTCACATCCTTGACTTAGTTTAATAGCTACTTTAAAATCTCTGTCTACTAATTCAAACATCTGGGCATCTTAGAACTGGTCTCTCTGTTAGTTGTCTTTCCTCTTGAAAATGGGGTGTGTTTGGCTGGGCGTGGTGGCTCACACCTGTAATCCCAGCACTTCGGGAGGCGGAGGCGGGTGGATCATCTAAGGTCAGGAGTTCGAGACCAGCCTGGCCAACATGGTGAAACCCTGTCTGTACTAAAACTACAAAAATTAGCTGGGCATGGTGGCAGGCGACTGTAATCACAGCTCCTCGGGAGGCTGAGACAGCAGAATCGCTTGAACGCGGGAGGTGGTGGTTGCAGTGAGTGAGATGGCGCCACTGCACTCTAGCCTGGGCAACAAAGAGTGAAAATGTGTCTCAAACAAAAAAAAAAAGAAAAGAAAATGGGGTGTGTTTTCCTGTTTTTTTCTCATACGTTGAGTCACTTTGTATTGTATCCTAGACATTATGATTTAAAAAAAATCTTCAAGTAAATTTTTATTGCTACTAAAAATGACACAGAAAAATGAAAGCAGAGGATTCAAATGAGTTAATATTCATATTAAATATTATGATTAACTGCCACATGATGCATATGATGCATGTGTACTATATAGTCAACTGTCTCTAGCCATGCATAAAATAAAACATAATACAATCCCAGCATTTCCTCTTTTATTAAGAGCTTAGAATATGACTGATCCTTTAATGTCATTTTTTAAGTATGGTATTTTGTAGAAACTGTGGATTATTTTATGTTCCCTCAAAAAAACATTGATTTTCTTTGTTTTAGGAGTCACTTCACTTATTTGGACTCAAACTGCAAACTCTGTCTCATGGGTGGCAACTCAAAAAGCAGTTTGGGTCTTTAATTTTTAACTGGACTACTTAGAATTTATTCTACATGCATGATTTAGTGGTCAGTGAAAGATTGGGTAGAGTTTATGCATAAAATTTGGGGTTCTACCCTCTTTTTTACTTATGGTATTCCCCCTTACTTTCCAGCAGCTGATCGTCTCAAATTCTGTCCTCTAGTTTTTTAGACCAGAAAAGCGGTGATCTACCAGATTTCCAGCCACTTCTCATGATGCAGACTGGAGCCTACTCTCATGCTGGAATCTGCAAAAACAGGGGAAACTGACCTAGTGCTGTTCCCTTGTTTCAAATGTTATCTACCCTCCTGCTTTTGCTTACTCTTTAGTGCCACAGATGGCATTTATTGTATTTTGTGCAGAGGTCAAGAATTTAGTTACAAGAGAAGGTTCGTGTGTTTGGAGCTTATGCAGCTCTTACAAGAAAAAACTCCACTCAAACATTTGGTATGAGGTTTAAATTTTTGTAGAACAATTGAATGAGAATTGAGGGTTGTAGTGTGCAAGAGCTGTAGATTCCAGATTAGAGAATTTAGAAGAATTTGGATCAATCCTAGTTGTTTCCGACACTGTAAGTCTTTGCCAATCTATTTTTGATTCAATTACATGCTTTTGGTAGTTTATCCGGACTCTTCCCAATCAACTCTCATTTTTTCATCACATACCAGTCAATTTTCTAAGAATCTGTCCATTTCTTCTAGCTCATTGAATTTGTTAACATATAATTGTTCATAGTATTCTCTCATAATCCTTTTTATTTCTGTTAAGTTTGGTAGTAATAACCACACTTTCACTTCTCTTTTAGTAATTTTCTTCTTTTTTTCTTACCAGTCTAGCTAAAGGTTTGTTGATGTTGTTGATCTTTTGGAAGAACCAACTATTGGTTTTGTAGATTCTCTCTATTGTTTTCTATTCTCTATTCCTTTTTTTTTTTTTTTTTAAGAGAGACAGGGTCTTGCTCTGTCACCCAGGTTAGAATGCAGTGA
Source organism: Homo sapiens (assembly GCF_000001405.40). NCBI lineage: Eukaryota > Metazoa > Chordata > Mammalia > Primates > Hominidae > Homo > Homo sapiens. The sequence continues at coordinate 55,720,337 of NC_000005.10, read as the reverse complement.
CACAATCATACAGCTCACTGCATCCTTGAACTCCTACGTTCAAGCAATCCTCCCATCTCAGCCGCCCAAGGGATGGACTTCAGGTGCATGCCACCACACCCAGCTATTTCTCTATTTTTTTGTAGAGACAGGATCTCACCATGTTGGACAGGCTTATTTTTTAAAAAAAATCAATTATCTCGTCTAAAATCCTAATTATTTCCTTTCTCCTGCTAGCTTTGGGTTTACTTTGCCCTTATTTTTCAAGTTCCTTAAGGTGGAAAGTTTGATTATTGATTTGAGATCTTTCCTTTTCTTTTTTTTTTTTTTTTTTTTTGAGACAGAGTCCCACTCTGTCATCCAGGCTGGAGTGCAGTGGTGCAAGCTTGGCTCACTGCAACCTCCGTCTCCCAGGCTCAAGAGATCCTCCTGCCTCAGCCTCCTAAGTAGCAAGGATTACAGGCAGGCACCACCATGCCCAGCTAATTTTTGTATTTTTAGTAGAGACAGGGTTTCACCACATTACCCAGGCTGATCTCGAACTCCTGGGCTCAAACAGTCCTCCCACCTCAGCCTCCTAAAGTGTTGGGATTACAGGCATGAGCCACTGCACCCTGTTCAATAAGTTTTAAAAGACTAAAATCCTACAAAATATTTTTGGATTTTTCGTCTCTAAAAAAATACAAAAACTAGGTGGGCATGGTGGTGTACACCTGTGGTCCCAGTTACTGGGGAAGCTGAAGTGGGGGGGCGTATCACTTGAGCCTGAGAGTTTGAGGCTGCAGTAGGCCATAAGCATGCCACTGCACTCCAGCCTGAGTGACACAGTGAGACCCTGTCTCAAGAAAAACAAGAAAAAAAACAAAGAAACGAAAAACAACTTATTGAGACTTGTTTTGTAGCCTAACGTATAGTCTATCCTGGTAAATGTTCCATATGCACTTGAGAAAAACATACACTGTATTAGTCCTTTTTCATGCTGCTGATAAAGATATACCCATGACTGGGCAATATACAAAAGAAAGAGGTTTAATTGGACTTACAGTTCCACATGGCTGCAGAGGCCTCACAATCCCAGCAGAAGGCAAGGAGGAGCAAGTCACATCTTACATGGATGGCGGCAGGCAAAGAAAGAATGAGACAGAAGCAAAAGTGGAAACCCTTTATAAAACCATCAGATCTTGGGGTCAGGCACAATGGCTCATGCCTATAATCCCAGCACTTTGGGAGGCTGAGGTGGGAGGATCACCTGAGGTCAGGAGTTTGAGACCAGCCTGACCAACATGGAGAAACCCTGTCTCTACTAAAAATACAAAATTAGCCGGGCATGGTGGCGCATGCCTGTAATCCCAGCTATTCAGGAAGCTGAGGCAAGAGAATCACTTGAACCTGGGAGGCAGAGGTTGCAGTGAGCCAAGATTGTACCATTGCACTCCAGCCTGGGCAACAAGAGCGAAACTCTGTCTCAAAAAAAAAAAATCAAAACAAAAAAACCATCAGATCTCATGAGACTTACTCACTGCCACAAGAACAGTATGGGGAAGACCACCCCCATGATTCAATTATCTCACACCACGTCCCTCCCACAACGTGTGAGAATTATGGGAGTACAACTCAAGATGAGATTTAGGTAGGGACATAGCCAAACCATATCATTATGTCCCTGGCCCCTGCCAAATCTCATGTCCTCATATTTCAAAACCAGTAATGCCTTCCCAACAGTCTCCCAAAGTCTTAACTCACTTTAGCATTAACTCAAAAGTCCATAGTCCAAAGTCTCATCTGAGGCTGGGTGCAGTGGCTCACACCTGTAATCCCAGAACTTTGGAAGGCCAAGGTGGGGGCATCACCTGAGGTCCGGAATTCAAGACCAGCCTGAACAACATGGTGAAACCCCATCTCTACTAAAAATACACAAATTAGCCAGGTGTGGTGGTGGGTGCCTATATTCCTAGCTACTCAGGAAGCTGAGGCAGGAGAATCACTTGAGACCAGGAGGTGGCGGTTGCAGCAGTGAGCTGAGATCATGCCACTGCACTCCAGCCTGGGTGACAGAGTGAGACACTGTCTTAAAAAAAATAAAAGTCTCATCTGCGACAAGCAAGTCCCTTCCACCTATGAGCCTGTAAAATCAAAAGCAAGTTAGTTACTTCCTACATACAATGGGAGTACAAGCATTGGGTAAATACAGCCGTTCCAAATGGAAGAAATTGGCCAAAACTAAGGGGCTGCAGGCCCCATGCAAGTCCAAAATCCAGTGGGGAAGTCAAATTTTAAAGGTCCAAAATTATCTCCTTTGACTCCATGTCTCACGTCTAGGTCACGCTGATGCAAGAGGTAGGTTCCCATAGTCTTGGGCAGCTCCACCCCTGTGGCTTTTCAGGGTACAGCCTTCCTCCTGGCTGCTTTCATGGGCTGGCATTGAGTGTCTGTGGCTTTTTCAGGCACATGGTGCAAGCTGTCAGTGGATCTACTATTCTGGGGTCTGGAAGACGGTAGCTCTCTTCTCACAGCTCCACTAGGCAGTGCCCCAGTAGGGAGTGTCTGTGGGGGCTCCCACCCTACATTTCCCTTCCACACTGCCTTGGCAGAGGTTCTCCATGAGCACCCCCACCCCTGCAGAAAACTTTTGCCTGGGCATCCAAGCGTTTCCATACATCCTCTGAAATCTAGGCAGAGGTTCCCAAACCTCAATGCTTGACATCTGTGTACCCGCAGGCTCAATACCATGTGGAAGCTGCCAAGGCTTGGGGCTTCCACCCTCTGAAGCCACAGCCTGAGCTGTACCTTGACCCCTTTTAGCCATGGCTCTGGAAGGAGTGGCTGGGATGCAGGGCACCAAGTCCCTATACTGCACACAGCACGGGGACCCTGGGCCCAGCCCATAAAACCATTTTCTCCAAGGCCTTGGGCCTGTGATGGGAAGGGCTGCCATGAAGGCCTCTGACATGCCCTGGATACATTTTCCCCATTGTCTTGGGGATTAACATTCTGCTCCTTGTTACTTATGCAAATTTCTGCAGCCGGTTTGAATTTCTCCTCAGAAAACGGGATTTTATTTTCCATTGCATTGTCAGGCTACAAATTTTCCAAACTTTTATGCTCTGCTTCCCTTATAAAACTGAATGCTTTTAACAGCACCCAAGTCACCTCTTGAATGCTTTGCTGCTTAGAAATTTCTCCTGCCAGATACCCTAAATCATCTCTCTCAAGTTCAAAGTTCCACAAATCTCTAGGGCAGGGTCAAAATGCCACCAGTCTCTTTGTTAAAACATAACAAAAGTCACCTTTACTCCAGTTCCCAACAAGTTCCTCATCTCCATCTGAGACCACCTCAGCCTGGACCTTATGTCCACATCACTATCAGGCGTTTGGTCAAAGCCATTCAACAAGTCTCTAGGAAGTTCCAAACTTTCCCACATTTTCATGTCTTCTTCTGAGCCCTCCAAACTATTCCAACCTCTGCCTGTTACCCAGTTCCAAAGTCGCTTCCACATTTTCAGGTATCTTTTCAGCAGCATCCCACTGTACTGGTGCCAATTTACTGTATTAGTCCATTTTCCCGCTGCTGATAAAGACATATCTGTGACTGGGGAATTTACAAAAGAAAGAGGTTTAATTGGACTTACAGTTCCACATGGCTGGGGAGGCCTCATAATCATGGCAGAAGGCAAGGAGGAGCAAGTCTCATCTCACATGGATGGTGGCAGGCAAAGAGATAACGAGAGAGAAGCGAAAGCAGAAACCCCTTATAAAACCATCAGATCTCATGAGACTTACTACCACAAGAACAGTATGGGGAAAACTGCCCCCATGATTCAGTTATCTCCCACCAGGTCCCTCCCAAAACATGTGGGAACTATAAGAAGTACAATTCAAGATGAGGTATGGGTGGGGACACACAGCCAAACCATATCATACACTTTGCTGTTCTTGGGAGGGAGTGATGTCCTATAAATGTCTGTTAGATCTAGTTGGTTTATGTGTTGTTCAAGTCTTCAACTTTTTTGTTGATCTTCTATCTGGGCCTTTATGGAATGCAAGGTGTTGAATTCTCCAACTATTAGGGTAGCACTGTCTAAAATTACATCTTTACATATTATGTGCTCATTAACATAGATTTATAATTATTCTTTTATGCATTTATTTTTTAAATCCTTTTTCCTTAAAAAAGAGGAGTTACAAATCCAAAAATAGAAAACTACTTACTTTTAATTTCACCTATGTAGTTACCTTTACTGATATTCTTTAGTTCTTCATATGGCTTTGAGCTACTCTCTCCTAGCCTCTTTTCAGGCTGAAGGACTTCCTTTAGTATTCCTTGTAGTTATGAACTCCTTCCGTTTTGTTGTTCTAGGAACATATTTATTTCTCCTTCATTTTTTAAGGATACTTTTGCCAGATTCAGGATTCTTTTTTGGCTTTTATTCGCAGCACTTACGTCATTCCACTGCTTTCTGAGCTCCATGGTTTCTGATGATAAGCCTACTGTTAATCTTAATGAAGATTCCTTATACATGACCAGTCATTTCTCTCTTGCTGTTGTCAAAATTCTCTGTTTTTGTCTTTTAACAATTTAATCACAATTTGTCTTGGTGTCGATCCCTTTCAATTTATCCGCCCTGAAGTTCATTGAGCTTCTTAGATGTGTAGACGCCTGTCTTTCATTAAATTTGGTAATTTTTCAGCTATTATTTCTTCAAATATTCTTTACACTCCTTTATTTTCTCCTCTCCTTTTGGAATTCCCACTGTGCAAATGTTTGTTTGATAGTGTCCCACAATCCTTACAGGTCTTGTTCATTTTTCTTATTTTTTCTTTCTGTTCCTCAAACTGTATACTCTTGATGTATCTTCAAATTCCCCAATCTTTCTTCTGCCTGCTCAAATCTGCTATTGAACCCCTCCAGTGAACATTATATTTCAATTATTGTGCTTTTCAACTCCAGCAACTCTATTTGCTTTCTTTTTATAATTTCTACCTCTTTAATAGTATCCTCTATTTATTGAACAATTCACTTTTCCTGGTTTCCTTTAGTTATTGTCTATTATTTTCTTTGTTCTTTGAGCATATTGAAGACAGTTGACAATGTCTGGGCTTCCCAAAGGAATGTTCTTTAAAAATGTTTTCCTTATAAATAAGCCATACTTTTTTTCTTTGCATGCCTCATAATTTTTTCTTGTTGACAACTGGACATTTTGTATATAATATGGTAATTATGGACATCTGCTTCTCCCACTCCCCACCAGAGTTTGTTGTTGTTTATTTCTTTTATTAAATGTCTCAAACCAAAAAATAAAAAGATAAAAGCCCAAAATGCGAGAAAACACTCCCAGTCTTTGCCAGTTAGCTATGTGTTCTGGCACCCCTTCAATGCTTAACGAGGTAGTTTACAACGCCACCTTAGCCTTCACTTCCTGCTTGCATGAAAGCTGACGGTCAGTCAGAGGTGAGAGTTTACGGTGTTCTTAGGTTTTTCTCTGAGTATGCATCCAGACCAGGGCATGCCGATGGCCTTCTAGATTCCCCAGAATAAAATGAAGCTTTCCAAAGCCTTTATTCCCCCAACTATCTCCTTCTCCAGCCTCTTCCTTCCCAGGATTTTTGGTCTGTTTATTGCTTGTCCTGGCTTTCATACCTTGCTTTCTGTGACACTGGCTGTTTGCCTTTAATGTTTTTGACAAACACTGCCTGGGAAGCTGCCTGAGCCCTGAGGAAGCTCTGAGGCAGGTGAAACAAAGGCAAGCCGTTGAGTTGAACCTTCAGGAAACCATCAGGGAGGTCAAAACACACCTACAATTCCTTGAGGATAAGGTCCATAGTGCTCCCTCTGGTGCCAGCAACCCACACCAGGAATGTGGCTGCCATCTTCAAGGCCACTGACAACTTGGAGAATAGAAGATGACCACAGAACTCTCTTACCAAAATTCAGCAGTTTTTTCTTCATTACATGTTCCCCTGGATTTTGTGAGTTTTTTTTATCAGTTTCAGAGTTTCCAAAAAAGGTGCTCCTGACAGTTTTGCCAGCTTATTCATTTTTGAGTTCCCTACTTTTTTCCCATTTTTTGCTGACATCATTTCATACTATTTACTTTTGTGTTTCCCAGCCTTGCTTGAAATTATTTTCTCAGCCTGGAATGCAGAAAAAAAAGAAAGGTTGCTATCACTGAAACTATCAAAAGAATGTATTACTGACTTGTGTTACTTGACCAGCCCTGACTTGAAGGCAGGGCCAATGAACAGTTAAAAAAGTTTTTGAACAAGAATACCATCAGCAAAACAACTTTTATCTCCCTTAAAGACAACATTCATTAAATCGTTTGCCTTGCATTTGTCAAGCCCTCCATAATAGACGCAATGTTTGAGAGCACGCAGGCTTTGGGATAAGATCTTAGTATGAATTCCAGATCTTCTGCCACTTAGTAGTTGTTTAGCCTTGTACAAGGCACTTAAATTCTCTGGGACTATTTCCTTTTCTGTAAGACAGGAAAAATATACATTTCTAGAGCTGTGATAAAGACTTAAAGAGATATTATCATTTCCAGAACTGTGGTAAAGACTTAAAAAGATATACACGTAAAATTCTTGGCATTCAATGTTAGCTATTTGTTAAATTTGAATTTTTATTTTATTTTATTTTAGAGACTGAGTCTCGCTCTGTCGCCCATGCTGGAGTGCAGTGGCACAATCTTAGCTCATTGCAACCTCCGCCTACCGGATTCAAGCGATTCTCCTGCCTCAGCCTCCAGAGTAGCTGGGATTACAGGTGCACACCACCACGCCTGGCTAATTTTTGTATTTTTAGCAGAGACGGGTTTCACCATGTTGGTCAGGCTGGTCTCAAACTCCTGACCTTGTGATCTGCCCTCCTCAGCCTCCCAAAGTGCTGCAATTACAGGTGTGAGCCATCGCACCCAGCCTAAATTTGAATTTTCAAGTTTAGGTTTTTTGTTTTGTTTCGTTTTGTTTTTGAGACAGGGTCTTGCTCTGTCACCCAGGCTGCAGTGCAGTGGCACCATCATAGCTCACTGCAGCCTTAACTCCTGGCCTCAAATGATCCTCCTGCCTCAGCATCCCAAGTAAGCTTGACTACAGGCAGGTGCCACCCTGCCCAGTTAATTTTTTAAATTCTTTTGTAGAAATGGGGTCTCCCTATGTTGCCCAGACTGGTCTCCAACTCCTGGCCTCAAGTGATTCTCCCACCTCAGCCTCTCAAAATGGTGAGATTACAGGCATAAGCCACGGAGCCGGTCTAAATTTTTAGTTTTTTTTCTGGCATTACAGACACTGTTTCTTCTGGTTTAAACAGAAAAAAGAAAAAGAAACAAAAAGAGCCACTGGCTTCCTTTGTAAGAAGAGCTTAGGGTGGCCATATGCTTTTCAGGGACTGACCTTGAACTGATTTTCATAACAAGCACATTAATTTTACTTAGACTGTATGTTTACTTGGGGAGGTTTTGGGGAAAATTGCTGGGTATGTGGGGTGGGCCTCTAAAATCCTTCTAAAGCCCCTTTTAGCCTAGAGACTAATTTGCAAACACATTTTTAAAAAACAAACCCAAATATCTAGACGACGGAGGGAGCATGCCAACTCAACAGTTTTTTCAAACCAGCTTCCCTTTGTGTCTGTAGGGTCCAAGGACGTAACCAGATCATACAACACGCGCCAGGAAAGCCCAAAAGAGGGGTGATCCCTCGATGGAGGTGCCGCATCAGCGTTTTCTCACGTGGCCTCCGGGGCTCTATGAATGGCAAGAGATTGCATTCCTTCTACTACCCCTCCCAGCCTCCAGCCGGGACAAGGAACTGGAGCAAACTCGGGGCTGCAGTTCCGACTGGACTCGCCCACCTGGGCGCGCCGGCTGCCCAGCCTCCTGAAGCCTCGGGGCTGGGCCCTGCGGTGATGGGCGTGCTGGCCGTCGCAGAGCCCTCTGGGAGTTGTAGTCCGTAGCGGCGAGAGGTTTGACAGCGACCGCGGGCTTGGCGCATTCAGAACTCCAACTCCCGCCGGCCCCTGCGACCCAGGCTATTGCCGCTTCCTGTTTGGACTAGGAGCCCCGCGGTCGCAAATTGCGAGAATTTGGGAAGGGAATCTTTATCTTCTCGTCTAGTTCTCCGAGGTTGAAGGCTCGGCCTGCTCAGGTAGATCACGTTCCCACGTCTAGCAAACTCGCCCCTCGGGGAGGTGGGAAGGTATCCGAGGGAAGGCGGCGGGAAGGGTTGAAGTTGGGGCGAAGCCGGCTGTCACCTGGGATAGTTCTTTGCAGCGCATCGGAACCGTCTCTTCTTTTGGGGCTCAGGGAGGCCATAGCCTGGAGCCGCGGAGACTGCTCCGGAGGCACGGCGCGCGCTCCTCAAGGGCTCAGGGAAAGAAAGTCAGGAGTCCCTCGGGGTCTGAGGAAATCCGAGTGTCTATGGGAGTCGGTGTCAGCTGGAGCCTTAGAGAAAAGATAGGGTTGGGGTAAATGAACACCCTGACCCTCGGGTGAGAGAAGGAGGGAGTAGGAGAATTGTGGGACTTGCAGGAATGGGAGCACCCTTCTTTCTCTCTCTTGAGATAGGGTCTTGCTCCGTCGCTTGGGCTTGAGTGAGGTGGCGCGATCACGGCTGGGAGCACCTTTCTCCATCCCGAGTTGGGGACATCTAGAGGGGGAACATGAGGGAGGAACCCCCTTTGGGCCTTGAGCTAGGACCACAGAGGGGGTGAGGGCCATGACTGGTAAGCCCTCGCCACGCTTTTCACACGACTCAGTTGTGAGAGTGAGTGTGTTGATAGTGGGTAGCTTGACATCTCAGCATAGTAAAGCTGGAAGAGGGGTTTGAGAGCAGCTAGTCAAGCGCATTCTCCTCATTTTACAGAGAAGGAAACTGAGGTCCACCGAGTTGGAGAAACCTACTCAACACCAGGTAACCATTTAATGGCAAACTCGACCAACACCTAATTGTCATGACTCCCAGGCAGTGTCTTATCCATTGCCGTGCTCTGTAGATGAGCACACTATAAGTTGTAAGTTGTACCTCCACCTTGTTTTCTTTTTTCTTTTCTTTTCTTTCTTTTTTTTTTTCAGACAAGAGTCTCGCTCTGTCGCCCAGGCTGGAGTGCAGTGGAGTGATCTCGGCTCACTGCAACCTCCGCCTCCCTGGTTCAAGCGATTCTCGTGCCTCACCCTCCTGAGTAGCTAGGATTACAGCTGCCCGCCACCACGCCCCGCTAATTTTTGTATTTTTAGTAGAAACGGGGTTTCACCATGTTGGCCAGGCTGGTCTTGAACTCCTGATCTCAAGTGATCCGCCTGCCTTGGCCTCCCAAAGTGCTGGGATTACAGGCGTGGGCCACTGCGCCCAGCCTCTTTTTTCTTTTTAATACCTTCAGACATGACAAAGATCTGACATATGTAGGATAGGCAGCTGCTGAGGAGAAAGATTTTTTAAAAACGTTTTGGCCAGGTGCCGTGGCTCACGCCTGTAATCCCAGCACTTTGGGAGGCTGAGGCAGGCAGATCACGAGGTCAAGAGATCAAGACTATCCTGGCCAATATGGTGAAACCCCGTCTCTACTAAAAAAAAATACCAAAATTAGCCAGGTGTGGTGGCACATGCCTGCAGTCCCAGCTACTCAGGAGGCTGAGGCAGGAGAATCGCTTGAACCCAGGAGGCGGAGGTTGCAGTGAGCTGAGATCGTGCCACCGCACTCCAGCCTGGTGACAGAGTGAGGCTCCGTCTCAAAAAAAACAAAAACAAAAACTAAACAAAAAAAGTTTCAATAGGTCAAAATTACCCATGTCCTAACTTGAGAAAAATCTCTCTGCCTCATAAACAACTACAAACTTCGTGTTAAGATAGAAGGTTCGGCGGATTGCGGTGGCTAACGCCTGTAATCCCAACACTTTTGGGAGGCTGAGGTGGGCGGATCATTTGAGGTTAGGAGTTCAAGACCAGCCTGGCGAACATGGTGAAACCCTGTCTCTACTAAAAATACAAAAATCAGCCAGGTGTGGTGGTATGCGTCTCATCTGTAATCCCAGCTACTTGGGATGCTGAGGCAGGAGAATTGCTTGAGCCCGGCAGGCGGAGGTTGCAGTGAGCCAAGACTGCACCACTGCACTCCAGCCTGAGCCACAGAGGGAGATCCTGTCTTAAAAAAAAAAAAAAAAAAGTTGTCACCTATATAGTTGCTTTGTTTCTAAGAAAATAAAATTTACCTTTCCTTCCCCTAGACTTCTGAGAACAGTTAGACTTAGATTCCTTTTCTTTTCTTTTTCTTTTTTTTTTCTTTTTTTTTTTTTTTTTTGAGATGGAGTCTTGCTCTGTTGCCAGGCTGGAGTGCAGTGGCGCAATCTCAGCTCACTGCAACCCCTGCCTCCCGGGTTCAAGCGATTCCCCTGCCTTAGCCTCCCAAGTAGCTGGGACTACAGGCACACGCCACCATACCCGGCTAATTTTTTGTGTGTGTTTTGGTAGAGATGGGGTTTCACCATGTTGGCCAGGATGGTCTTGATCTCCTGACCTCTTGATCTGCCTGCCTCGGCCTCCCAAAGTGCTGGGATTACAGGCGTGTGCCACACACGCCCAGCCAGTTAGCCTTAGATTTCTAATCACAATCTTAAATACTATATATTTCAGTTACATACATAAAATAATATGCTTTTAATTGTGATTTTATAATACTCTAAATACTTACAATAAAGGGTAAACTCAGCATAGGAGGATGGAATACCAACCTGAACTACAAATTGAAATAGTATTGTTTAGTATTTTTTTTTTCTTTTTGGGGTTAGGGGCAGAGTTTTGCTCTGATACTCAAGCTTTAGTGCAGTGGCACTGTCATAGCTAACTGTTACCTTGAACTCCTAGGTTCAAGCAATCCTCTTGCTTCAGCCTCCCAAAGCATTGGGATTACAGGCATGAGCCACCACACTGGACCTATATGGTATTTTTTAAAAAGTATATATGGGCTTAAAAGTTAAAAAAAAAAAATCACTTAGAGGTTAAAAATGTCTACCAGGCCTGCATTTTGTAACATACTTAAATTTCTGTCGTTTGCTAGGGTTTTTTTCTTTCTTACCACTGAAATATAACTTGAGAGCATTTAGTGTTCCCATTGTAGAAGGAGAGATTCTTTGGTACCACAGCGTTGCTTTGGTAATTTTTTTGTGAGACCACACTATCCTCCAGCACTGTCAAATTTAACGCCTTTTGAAGCATTTATTGATCAGGTTGGAAGCATGTTCCAACTGTCACATCAGAATAGGAGCATTATAGATCCTATTGGCTAACCAGTAAATGATTCATCAGGAAGAGATTTAGATAAGTTTGTTATTGGAGTTTATAGCTGTTACAGACTAATACAGAAGAAAATATATATACATAGCATAACTGCTTCCACCAGGGTGACTTTTTTGTGGTGTGGTTCCATTTGCTTTTATGTTGGCATACTACAGAGGTGAGTAAACTATGACCAAATTTGGCCTGCTGACAGATATATTTTTTTCATAAAGTTCTATTGGAACACAGCCATGCACACTCAATTGCCTTTCATGCTAACAGGTAGAATTGAGTAGCTGCAGAAACTATATGGCTCAAAAAGCCTGAAATATTTATTATCTGACCCTTTACAGAAAAAAATATGTCAACCTCTAGCCTAGGACACTGAGTATAAATGTAGTATCTGAAACTCTATAACATACACAAAAGTATTCAGTAATATTCATTTTTAGTCTCTGAGAAAGAACATATATAATAGTTGTATGTGGGTCCATAGTCACATTTATTTGGGCACAAGCTAGTGTATTCTATTGCAGATTGATGCTAGCATCTTGGCATAGATTCTATAGATTTATTTTTGCAAAGAATTGTGAAAAGACATTTCTGAGCCTAGTATGGAAAGGGCTGATATTCTTTGAGATACGCCAATAATCACAGTCAATACCTTTTTAAAATAATGTCATACCAGTTTACTTTGATTGCTCTCTATGTCCTTTTTACGGAGAGAAGTGCTTCAGTACAGGCACTAACATTTTTTGTTCTTTTAGAGACAGTCTCACTCTGTCACCTGGGCTGGAATGCAGTGGTGCCATTGTAGCTCGCTGCAATCTCGAACTCCTGGGCTCAAGCAGTTCTCTCACCTCAGCCTCCCGAGTAGCTGAGATTACAGGCATGAGCCACCATGCCTGGCTCAGTCACCAACATTTTAAATAAAAGTCGAAAGTACCAAGCAAGTCAACTAAGCTGTTCATTCCCTACTGGGACCTATCTCAGTCTCTTGGTGCTGCTCTAATGAAATACTTGAGGCTAGGTAATTTATAAACAATAGAAATTAATTTCTAGCAGTTGTGGAGGCTGGGAAGTCCAAGATCAAGCCACCTGCAGATTTGATGTTTGGTGAGGACCCGGTCTCTGCTTCCAAGATGGTGCCTTGGTGCTGTGTCCTCACATGGGGGAAGGGATGGAAAGACAAAAGGGATCTAGCTAGTTCCCTTCAAACTTTTCATAAGGTTACTAACTCCATTCATAAGGGTTCTGCCTTCCTGACATAATTACCTCCAAAAGGGTCTACCTGTTAATACTATAACATTGGCAATTAAGTTTCAACATATGAATTTTGGACGGGACACAAACATTCAAATCATAGCTGGACTCCTTATTAAAACCAATCTTAAACAATTAGAGACTCATTTAATGACTTAGATTTGACTTAGTGGTCTTGCATCTGGGACTTTGTTTTAAAACTCAGAGATTGAGTGAGATGTTAAAAGTGATTATGTCTGGGTTTTGTTTTGAGACAGAGTCTTGCTCTGCAACCTCTGCCTCCTGGGTTCAAGCAATTCTCCTGCCTCAGCCTCCCGGGTAGCTGGGACTACACGTGTGTGCCACCACTGCTGGCTAATTTTTGTACTTTTAGTAGAGACAGGGTTTCACTATGTTGGCCAGGCTGGAATATGTCTGTTTATGTCATCTTGTATATTTAGCCCCTACCAAATTATATCAATGTAATGTCTGACAAATTAATACTATAGAAGTATTTAGCATTTTTGTTAATCATTGATAAACTATTCTGCATTATCACCTATGTAATATTTGCTGTGGAACTCTAATTCACCTCTCAACCTAAGTCATCAAACTTCGGGATATTTTATACTTCTCATCAAGACATTCAAAAAAGCTTTAAGACTAGGCATGGTGGCTCATGCCTATAATCCCAGCACTTTGGTACTTTGGGAGGCTGAGGCAAGAAGATTACTTGAGGCCAGGCTGGGCAACATAGTGGCGCACAGCTGGGATCCCAGCTATTTTAGAGGCTGAGGTGGGAGGATAGCTTGAGCCTGGCGGGAGGAGGTTGCAGCAAGCCCAGATGGCACTACTGCACTCCAGCCTGGGTGACAGAGTGAGACCCTGTCTCAAAAAAAAAAAAAGAAAGCATATCTGTTGTCACCTGAAATTCTCAGGAGCAACGAGTACAGTTGTTTCTGTTGTGACAAAACTTGCACCATCTACACAAAAAAATAAAAATTAAAAAATTTAAATAAAAAAATTCCACCTTGGCTCTGTGTGGGGAAAAAAGGAGGGGACATTAAATTTCTGTTGAAAATTTAACATCATGCTAATTGACTAATTGAGACAACTGCAAATTACCAGTTTTCTTACAGTTCTTCATATTTACTTGAATATTATAAATCTTTGAAAGGCACCAGGGACTTTGAACTCCTCATTTATGATTTGTTATTTGAAATCATCAGTTTTCTACTTATTTAGAATAAATAGCTAATTCTGCTATGCTGCAGAACTTTGGATTTGCTCAGAACAAATACACATAGGTGACTAAACTGGAAATTTTAATTCCTCAGTGGCCCTTACATTTTTCCCCAACCTTGATTTCACTTTTTGATAAGGTTCACTGAAATCCAAGGATCTTTCTAGATTTCTCCTCTTTCCTGGTTTCTTCACTTTCAATCTTTAAGTAAAGTATTAATTTCCAGAAAGTGAAAGGATCTTCTCTCTCTAAACTCACCCACATTCTCAGTTTAGTTTAGGAACCAATACTACAGAGTATATTGGTTTACAAAGTAAATTAGAAAGTATAGCCATATATTTCTGCCATTGTTTAGGCAGATATGTTTTTGCTACTCTGACTTGGCTTCTGTCCTTTCCCTTGTTTCACTGCCACTGGAAGGGTTGTTGCTGGGTAAGGAAATATTGAGCCTTGAGACAAAAAATTTTGCAACAAAAGAAATTTACCTAAACTAGCTTGCTTCAAGAAAAACAGATTCATGGTGTTTAATGTGTAATCCGGATACCCAGGCATGAAATTTCACTCATTCTAGCCCTGATTATGTCTTAAAGAGTTTAAAGCCAGCCAGGCACGGTGGCTCCTGCCTGTAATCCCAGCACTTTGGGAGGCCGAGGCAGGCAGATCACAAGGTCAGGAGTTCGAGACCTGCCTGGCCAATATGGTGAAACCCCGTCTCTACTAAAAATACAAAAAAATTAGCTGGGTGTGGTGGCAGGCACCTGTAGTCCCAGCTACTCGGGAGGCTGAGGCAGGAGAATTGCTTGAAATGGGGAGGCGGAGGTTGCAGTGAGCCAAGATTGTGCCACTGCACTCCAGCCTGGGTGACAGAGCGAGACTCCGTCACCAAAAAAAAAAAAAAGAGTTTAAGGCCATTTGCCATTATAGCTATTATTTTATATTTACAAAACTAAACAAAGAAGACCTGATTTTCAGATGCTTCTTTTGTCTTCCAACCTAACTCCTCCTTTTTAAGGCAGACATCAGAGTATACTGGAAATAACATTTAGAATCAAAGTGACCTGGTTTCAATCCCAAGTATGGTTTTCTTAGCTTAGTGATTTAGGACAAATTACTTCTCTGAGCTTCAATTAATTTCTTTCTTTTTCTTTCTTTCTTTCTTTTTTTTTTTTGTAATATGAAGGTAATACCCATTTCCCAAATTCTAAGGATTTATTGGATTTAAACAATAACATGTAAAACATTAGGCCAGTATTAGGCATTCAATAAATAAATGTTAGTTCCATCTCCCACTATCTTCTATTAACTTGTGTTTTTCTCTCAATTTTCCTTCAAAAATGACACCAAGTTTTGTCTTTTTGATATCCTTTAGTGCTATCTTGTTTGTGGCAGTTCAATAATTCTATTATATAAAGGTCAACCTTTTTATTTTTCTTACCTTGCTGAGTTTGCTCACTTTATACTAAAGGCATGTAGATACATCAGCTGATTTTGTTCAGGCCGCTAAGTTAAGGCAATACATATTTTTTCTTTTTCTTTTAAAAAAAGTTTCTTCTTGTATGTCCTTCCAACGAGTAATTTTTCTAGTTTTAAACAGCCAAATTCATAATAAAAGTGATAGCTATGTTTGTTGAATATTCAGTGTGTACCAGCCACATTATATGTATTATCTCATTTTAATCCGAAACCCTGTAAGACTAGTATTTTTATTATCTCCAAAACCAATGAATCTTAGGGAATTTAAGTAAGTTGCCCAAAGTTGCACAGTTAATAAATGGCAGAACCAAGATTCACATCCAGGCAATCTTACTTGTGAGCTATCAACCACCACACACTACTTGATAGCACCAGAATAGCCCAAATCTCAAATTACCCAATGTGTGTAATTCAGACAAATTAATGCCTTGCAGTTCTTTCTGAAAGTGCTTTTATGCATTGTTGGAGATTTAGGAGTGATACGGTTCTGGCTACTTATCAATATTAAAATTTTTCTCTAGCATTTCTTAACAATTCTATGGATTGCTGTTCTTCCCTACAATATAAAAATTTTATTAACCTTCGTTAAGTTCAAAAATAATAATAGTAAACTCTTACACAGACTTTGGTAAAAGTTTGACATTTTTCTAAATGCTTGTACTTACTAACTTATAGGTTTTTAAAATTTTCATGTGTTTCAGAGTTTCCTGAATAAGTTTTTCCCAAGTTCTGTGTTATTCTTTTTGATGAAAGGATACTGGCTTCCCTACAATCATCTTTTCAACTTCTAAAATGTTTAATTTTTTAAATTGAGGTAATGCTTTAAAAATCAATAAAGCTATAATACAATTCTAAATAGAACTTCTCTACAATATGTTTATTTCTTTCCTAAGCTTTTAATTCTGGTGCTACACCCAGGTTAATTTAAAATGTATTTTCTGTTGGTATTGTATTTTATTTTATTTTTTGAGACAAGGTCTCACTCTTCCGCCCAGGCTGGACTGCAGTGGTGTGATCATAGCTCACTGAGACCTCAAACCCTCTTGCTCCAACTGTCTTCCCACCTCAGCCTCCTGAGTAGCTGGGACTGTAGGTGAGCACCACCATGCCTGGCATGCATATATATATATCAATCAAATTTTGTAGAGACACGGTCTTGCCATGTTGCCAGGGTTGGTCTCAACTCTGAATCTCCTGGCCTCAAAGGGTCCTCCTGCCTTAGCCTCCCGAAGTGCTGGGATTACAGGAATGAGCCACCATGCCAGGCCTATTTATATAGAATGTTTTCATTTATTACATCTGGGGAATCATCTTTTCAAGTTAATTAGTCAATTTGACAGTTTTAAACTAAGAAGATTTAACAGATTCTATCAATCCTAACTTCATTCCATCTTAATGTCATAAATTAGTAGGTTAATTTTGAAAAATTCTGCCTTTTAGTTTTAAAACTTAAGACCAAACAAGTCAACCGAATTGTTAATCAGTTTTATTATGTAAAGGAAGGAAGAGAAAGAGCAGGCTTTTGTTTTTTGCTGCTCAACTATTTTAATGAAATTAACAGTAATGAGTAACTTTATCTCAGTTGGTCCCATCTTACTGGGATTTTTGTAACAATTATCACTGAATTATGTACTTTATAGTCAAGAACATTTTTATGCTATAGATTTTTGAATATGTATAATACATTATATGAATCTGTGTCTCAAAGAGTCAACTTACTTATTCTTTTTATCTTAAAAGAATAAATTTTACACTGATCTATTACTAAGCTAATTTGACAGCTAGAGCTAGCAATTGGTATAGATTTGAGCTGAAAGTGAAATGATGAACTGAAAATTGGAATTGGTTATTAGCATCCTAATATGTTTTATTATTCAAGTGATTTAGGACAAGTTACTTGACTTCTCTAGGCTTCATAAATGATTTTTTTTTTAACTTTATTGAGGGTAGGGATCATGACTTAAATTTTTTTTCTATGTTTTTCAATACCTCAGTATATTGTAGGGACTTGTTGAGAACTTGTTGAATGAATATATTGTTCAGAGTTTACCATTACTCAGTATTTTAGTTGTCACATCTTAAAATAGATAATCATTTTTACCATCACACTCCCTTCATAAGATATAGAAATAAAGCCCTTCTTGTTTGGAAATGGTGGTATTTTGGTTTTACTTTTTTTTAAGTTACTGTTGTAAGGTACTACTTTAATATTTTTATTTAACTTTATTTGTTTGTCTTTAGTAGGACTAAGCTAATGAGAGCTTTGACTTGCTTAAACGTTGGGCAGGAAAGCAGAAGAGAAAAGGGAAGTGGAAATCAAAACAACAGAGAAAAGAAAATGCACATATTTGGGAAATAGAACATGTTACTAACATCTGTGTCACATAATAATCAGTGGTAGGTTGACATCATTTGCCTAGATGTTCATGACTGAAGAAAAATTTTTCACTTAAAAAAGGGAAAACCTCAAGAGGCTGCCTATGTTTAAAAAAAAAAGAGCAAGTATTTTCATTTGGTTTTTGATGGAAATGATAATACATTTGAACATTTTTTTTCCCATTACAAAGTACTAAATGAGGTCAGACATGGTGGCTCATGCCTTTAATCCTAGCACTTTGGGAAGCTGAGGCAGAAAGATTACTTGAGGTCAGGAGTTCAAGACCAGCCTGGGCAACATAGTGAAACTCCGTCTCTACCAAAAAAAAAAATAGCCAGGCATGGTGGTGCACACTTGTAGTCCTAGCTACTTGGGAGGCTGAGGTGGGAGGATCACTGGAGCCCAAGAGGTCGCGGCTGCAGTGAGCCATGATCATGCCACTGCACCACTCCAGCCTGGGTGACACAGTGAGAACCTGTCTCAAAAAAAAAAAAAATTAATGCTAAAATGTAATATGTATAATCTCATTTAATCCTCAAACATTAATTTGTTTAAATTTTGAAGATGCAGAGATAGTCTCATGGAGATTAAATTGTTAATGCTAAGTTACACAGGTAGTGAGTGTTAGATACAGGATTTCTAATTCAAAAACTTTATTTTCTTCCTACTGTTTCATAAATGTTACATTTAGAAAATTAAGAAAAGTGGACATATGAGTCCGTTAAACAAATATGGCAACAATAAAACTGTACTTGTTAAGTAGTCTGGGCAGTAACAAGTAACAGAAGAAAGTGAAAGATACAAGGGACTGAGAAAGAAATGACAAAGAACAGGAAAGACAGCATAGCATAGTGGTAAAGAGAACAGGCTCTGGATTTAGACTGCCTCGTTTTTAATTCCAACTCTGCCACTTACTAACTTTGTGATCAGTTACTTCTCTGCTGTGTATACTTATCTATAAAATGAGGATAATAATAGTAATTTACAGGGTAAGTAATAAAGCTACATCCCTTGCTTTTACATGTTAAAACCTATTTATTTCATCAGCATCCCCGACCTCTACCCACTGGGTGTCAGTAGCACTCCCTTTAATTCTAACAACCAATTGGGTAAGGCCAAATTCCTTATTACCCTTTTCTACAATTCTTGACATGCTGTGTAGAGTACAGTGTAGGGGGATAAGGATAGAAGCAGGGAGCTCCATTAGAATGCTGTTGTGGTAATCTTGGTAAGAAATGGTAGTGATTAGATTCTGGATATATTTGAAGGAAAAGCCAATAAGATTTCCTAATGGGTTGAATGTGGACTGTGAGAAAAAGAAGTCATGAGTGATTCTAAGAATTTTGGCCTGAGCAAGTAGAAAGAGATTTTATCAACTGAAATAGGAAAACACTAGGTGGGGTAGTTTTGGGGGAAGAAAATCAGAAATTCCATTTTGGACATGTTAGGTTTGAGCTGTCTATTACATCTAGCTAAAGATGTTGAGTAGGCAGTTGAATAAGCAAGCCTGAAATTCAAAAAAGAAGTTTAGGCTAGAGATATTAGTGTGGAAATTGTCATTGCCTAAATTAATAGAACTTTCTACAATGATGGAAAAATGTTTATGTCTATACTGTCTAATATGGTAGACACATGTGGCCACATGTGGATTTTGAGCACTTCAAATGTAGCTAGTGTGACTGAGGTATTGAATTTTTTTATTTTAGTTAATTTAAGTAGCCACACCTAACTAGTGGCCACTGTATTGGGCAGCACGAGCTATGATAGTAAAACCATAAGACTGCATAAGATTACCAAGAGATCAAGGGTAGGTCAAGACTGAACCTTGGAACTCTGCAACTGTAAAGGGATCTGAGAAATGAGAAAGCAGCAAAGGAGACAGAGAAGGAGGAGGGACCAGTGACGTAGGGAAAAAACCTGGAGGCCCAGTGAATCCAGCTTGTCAAGGAGGAAAGTGATTCTTTTGGCAAATATTTCCAATAGGTCAAGTAAGTTAAGGACTGAGAAATAACCCTTGGGGTTACCAATGTGGAGATCTTTAGTGATCCAATAAGAACAGCTTCTGTATAGTGATAGGAAAGATATCATGATTAGCATAGGCTGAAGAAAGAATGAGAGGATCTTATTTATCTTGTGCTTTCTATTTTTTCCCACCTATTTTATATTTTTTTCTCCTCTTTTGCTTTCCTTTAGTTCAGTTATTTTTTATCCTTCTTCTTTCCCCTCTACTAAATTTAAGGTTATACACTGCTTTCTATTAATAGTTACCTTAAAATAACAACATCAATGTGTGATGTTGATCTGGACAACATAAGGACCTTTGGACATTTTAATTCCAAGACCTTCGTCTGACTTTTTTTTTCCCCTTTGGTCTGGGATTTTAGTTCTTTTTTTTTTTGGCTTGTTTTATTTTTTTTAATTGGGGTCTCACTCTGTGACAACCAGGCTGGAGTGCAGTGGTGCAGTCTTGGCTCACTGCAACCTCTGCCTCCCTGGTTCAAGTGATTTTCCCACCACAGCCTCCCAAGAAGCTGGAATTACAGGCGCCCACAACCATGCCTGGCCAATTTTTATGTTTTTAGTAGAGACGGGGTTTCACCATGTTAGCCAGGCAGGTCTCGAATTCCTGACCTCAAGTGATCTGCCCACCTCGACCCCCGCAAAGTGTTGGGATTACAGATGTGAGCCACTGTGCCCAGCTGTAATTATTTTTTTCAAACCCTGTAATGTTTATTCTCTTACATTCATTAAATTTCATAAATCTGTAGATAGGTATCTTTAATGGTCAGCCATTATCTCTACAGATATTACTTCTGTCTTCTTACTTTCTGATTCTCCAATTACATGCTTTTCAGACCATCTCATTCTATCCTTCATGTTTCTTAAACACCTTCCACATTTTCTGCCTTTATTTTTCTCTCTCTGCCACATTCTAGGTAGTTTCTTCTGACTTATCTTCTATGTCGTTAATTTTCTCTTCAACTTTTAAACTCATTCATTGAGTGTTGAATTTGGGCTCTTGAATTTTTTTTTTCCTAAAAATTCACTCTGGTCCTTATTTAAACATACTAAGTCACTTTTTGAAAATGTCTACTTTTTCTGTTATTTATTTAAACATAGGAAACATTATTTTATATTTTTATTTCATTGATTTTTGTAGTTGAAGTTCTTGTGGGTCTGTTTCTGCTTTTGTTTCTTGTTCTCACTCATAGTACTTTATTTCCTCATATGCTAGGTTATTTTTGACTCACTGTTTGTTGTCTTTAAATGATTGTTAGCAGGACTTCTTTGAGGCCTGCGATGAAGGTGTATCTTTACAGGAAAGATTTACATTTGCTTCTATTGGTTACCTAGAAGTGCTACCAAGCAGGTTAATCTTAAATTACATTCATAGCTTTAAGTGTTCCTTGCAAATTCTCATGAGGTGCAGTTTATGGTAACAAAAAAGCTCATACACACACATGATGTGGTCAGTAGTTTTGGGTGTTTTTTTATTTATTTTTTTGAGATGAGTCTAGCTCTGTCACCCAGGCTAGAGTGCAGTGGCACGATCTTGGCTCACTGCAGCCTCCACCTCCTGGGTTCAAGCTATTCTCCTACCTCAGCCTTTCAAGTAACTGGGATTACAGGAGCGTGCCACCATGCCTGGCTATTTTTCTATATTTTTAGTAGAGACAGGGTTTCACCATGTTGGCCAGGCTGGTTTTAAACTCCTGACCTCAAGTGATCCACCCACCTCTGCTTCCCAAAGTGTTGAGATTATAGACGTGAGCCACCACTCCTGGCCAGTTTGTTTTTTTGTTGTTTTTTGTTTGATTTGAGACAGGGTCTCACTCCATCATCCAGGTGGCTGGAGTGCAGTGGCGCAATCATAGCTCACTGTAGCCTCCAAATCCTGGGTTTAAGCAATCCTCCCGCTTCAGCCTCGGCCTCCAAAGTAGCTGAGACTACAGGCATGTGCCACCATGCCCAGCTAGTTTTGTTTGTTTTTTAGTGGAGATGAGGTTGTGCCATTTTGCCCAGGCTAATCTCAGACTCCCAGCCTCAAGCGATCTGCCTCAGCCTTTCAAAATGCTGTGATTACAGGTGTGGACACTATAGCCTCTGGTCCATTTTAAGAAGACTTCTTTGTAGTTCCCTTGTGAGGGAATAAGCCATTTTACTTCTTGTTAAACCTTACTCTTATTGCAAAGGTCTTTATAGTTCCAGCTGTATTGTGGTGGGGAAGTGGGGAAAGGGGATGATTTATTATTATAATAATTCCTTACTTTGGATGAACACTGAGCTTTGACTTCTGTTTCCCAAATACTACACAAGGCTTTGAAAACCTCAGCTGGAATTCTTCTGGTACAGCAAATACCCTCCAGGCAGCAGCAGTTTCTTTCAGTCATTTTCCTCTCTTGGTTCTTTAATTTCACCTACAAATGGCCTGATTTTCCTTACTGTTTTTGATGCTTTTCAAAGATTTTAAAAATATTTTATTCAGTATTTTTAGTTTTTTTTCCGCAGGAAAAATGAGTCCGAATAGCCTAATCTGTTTTATTACTGAAAATGAATTGCCCCACTTATTTTTTAGTAAGCTGAAAAACAAGAAATAACTCCATTTAAGGTTAGCAAGTTTCTGATAAATATTTCAGGCATATACCTCATTAAGATATCTTCAGCAAATTCCAGTATTTTTCCAATTTGTTATTCATGAATATTTATTAGTGATGGATAATAAAATATTTTAAAATTAAACTAAATTATTTATCTTCTTTGTGTAGGACTAACTTCTTCAGTGCTTAGAGTGTGAGAAAAATGGCAAATATGAATAGTGATTCTAGGCATCTTGGCACCTCTGAGGTAGATCATGAAAGAGATCCTGGACCTATGAATATCCAGTTTGAGCCATCGGATCTAAGATCCAAAAGGTAAGCATTTAAAATAAAACACATTTCATAATTAGGGTCTTTAATGATTAAAATACATCTAATTATAACCAAACATGTATAGATTTGATTATAAAATATCCACTTTCTTACAGGATTTGTGTGTATACATGTGGAGAGAAGTAAATAGGAATACTATTTACTGGTTTATATTTTTTTTTTTTTTTTTTTTTCACTAAACTCAACATCTCTGTTGGGGGAGTGGTTGGGGTAACTTTACAAAGTAAGGTACATTGATATAATTCATTTAACAAATATGTATTGATTACCCACTTTGCGCAAGGTAATATGCTAAGTGCTCGAGGTAGAAGAGTAAAAGTAATAGAAAATCTTCATCTTCATTGAGGTAAAATTTCAGCAGATAGTTTAAAATAATTTGAGTTTAAATTTTATTTCATTGTATACCTGTAAAACCCAAAAGAATCCACAAAAAAATTATAAACAGTAAGAGAATTCAATAAAGTAGCTGCTTACAAAACAGGCAAAAATAAATAGACTTCCAATGAGAAAATGTAAGAAAAAATAAAATACATAGAAATGGTCTTGAGTGCTCAATGGCGCCCAGGCTGGAGTGCAGTGGCGTGATCTCGGCTCGCTACAACCTCCACCTCCCAGCCGCCTGCCTTGGCCTCCCAAAGTGCCGAGATTGCAGCCTCTGCCCGGCCGCCACCCCGTCTGGGAAGTGAGGAGCGTCTCTGCCTGGCCGCCCATCGTCTGGGATGTGAGGAGCCCCTCTGCCTGGCTGCCCAGTCTGGAAAGTGAGGAGCGTCTCTGCCCCGCCGCCATCCCATCTGGGAAGTGAGGAGCGCCTCTTCCCGGCCACCATCACATCTAGGAAGTGAGGAGCGTCTCTGCCCCGCTGCCCATCGTCTGGGATGTGGGGAGCGCCTCTGCCCCGCCGCCTCGTCTGGGATGTGAGGAGCGCCTCTGCCCGGCCGCCACCCCGTCTGGGAGGTGAGGAGCGTCTCTGCCCGGCCGCCCCGTCTGAGAAGAGAGGAGACCCTCCGCCCGGCAGCCGCCCCGTATGAGAAGTGAGGAGCCTCTCCACCCGGCAGCCACCCCGTCTGGGAAGTGAGGAGCGTCTCCGCCCGGCAGCCACCCCGTCCGGGAGGGAGGTGGGGGGGTCAGCCCCCCGCCTGGCCAGCCGCCCCGTCCGGGAGGTGAGGGGCGCCTCTGCCCGGCCGCCCCTACTGGGAAGTGAGGAGCCCCTCTGCCCGGCCAGCCGCCCCGTCCGGGAGGGAGGTGAGGGGGTCAGCCCCCCGCCCGGCCAGCCGCCCCGTCTGGGAGGGAGGTGGGGGGGGTCAGCCCCCCGCCCGGCCAGCCGCCCCGTCCAGGAGGTGAGGGGCGCCTCTGCCCGGCCCGCCCCTACTGGGAAGTGAGGAGCCCCTCTGCCTGGCCAGCCGCCCCGTCCGGGAGGGAGGTGGGGGGGTCAGCCCCCCGCCCGGCCAGCCGCCCCGTCCGGGAGGGAGGTGGGGGGGTCAGCCCCCCGCCCGGCCAGCCGCCCAGTCCGGGAGGGAGGTGGGGGGATCAGCCCCCCGCCCGGCCAGCCGCCCGTCCGGGAGGTGAGGGGCGCCTCTGCCCGGCCGTCTCTACTGGGAAGTGAGGAGCCCCTCTGCCCAGCCAGCCGCCCCGTCCGTGAGGGAGGTGGGGGGGTCAGCCCCCCGCCCGGTCAGCCGCCCGGTCCGGGAGGGAGGTGGGGGGGTCAGCCCCCCACCCGGCCAGCCGCCCCGTCCGGGAGGGAGGTGGGGGGGTCAGCCCCCCGCCCGGCCAGCCGCCCCGTCCGGGAGGGAGGTGGGGGGGTCAGCCCCCCGCCCGGCCAGCTGCCCCGTCCGGGAGGTGAGGGGCGCCTCTGCCCAGCCGCCCCTACTGGGAAGTGAGGAGCCCCTCTGCCCGGCCAGCCGCCCCGTCCGGGAGGGAGGTGGGGGGGTTAGCCCCCCGCCCGGCCAGCCGCCCCATCCGGGAGGTGAGGGGCGCCTCTGCCCGGCCGCCCCTACTGGGAAGTGAGGAGCCCCTCTGCCCGGCCACCACCCCGTCTGGGAGGTGTGCCCAACAGCTCATTGAGAACGGGCCAGGATGACAATGGCAGCTTTGTGGAATAGAAAGGGGGGAAAGGTGGGGAAAAGATTGAGAAATCGGATGGTTGCCGTGTCTGTGTAGAAAGAAGTAGACATGGGAGACTTTTCATTTTGTTCTGTACTAAGAAAAATTCTTCTGCCTTGGGATCCTGTTGATCTGTGACCTTACCCCCAACCCTGTGCTCTCTGAAACATGTGCTGTGTCCACTCAGAGTTAAATGGATTAAGGGCGGTGCAAGATGTGCTTTGTTAAACAGATGCTTGAAGGCAGCATGCTCATTAAGAGCCATCACCACTCCCTAATCTCAAGTACCCAGGGACACAACCGCTGCAGAAGGCCGCAGGGTCCTCTGCCTAGGAAAACCAGAGACCTTTGTTCACTTGTTTATCTGCTGACCTTCCCTCCACTATTGTCCTATGACCCTGCCAAATCCCCCTCTGTGAGAAACACCCAAGAATGATCAATAAAAAAAAAAAAAGAAATGGTCTTAACATGAATGTGTAAAATCTATATGAGAGAAACTAAAATGCTTCTGACATAAAATAAGATTTAGAGGATTTCATAAAATCTGAGATGCTACTGATTATAAATTGCATATTAAAAAAATTTAACACTAAGAAAAACTGCTGCCCATAACTCTGATGCAATAACCTCTTAGGACTTAGAGTTTTTGTTTTGTATTTACTGCAAGAGCTCTTGGGCCACGCACGGTGGCTCATGCCTGTAATCCCAACACTTTGGGAGGCTGAGGTGGGTGGATCACTTGAGGCCAAGAGTTCCAGACTAGCTTGGCCAACATGGCAAAACCTGGTCTCTACTAAAAGTACAAAAATTAGCTGGGCGTGGTGGCGCACACCTGTAATCCCAGCTATTTGGGAGACTGAGGCATGATAATCACTTGAACCTGGGAGGCAGAGGTTGCAGTAAGCCAAGATCGTACCACTGCACTCCAGCCTGGTGATAGAGCAAGACTCTGTCAGGAAAGGAAAGGAAAGGAGAGGAGAGGAGAGGAGAAGGGTGGGGAGCGGAGGGGAGGGGAGGGGAGGGGAAGGGAAGGGAAGGGAAAAGGGAAAAGGGAGAACTCTTGGACTTATGTGATATTTTATCCTATATTTCTTGTGCAATTATAAAAATGAAAATAGAAACAAAGTATATTGATTAAGGTATTACTGACACCTCACATTTAGAATATGATTCTTCTGAATTATTTTTTGATGTAGAGTCATCAAAATAGTTGTTTCCCCCACCACACACACACACACAGAATTGTCCTTAGTGCCATTAAGAACCCTGGTGCTGTAACATTTCCTGAAAAGATTTTCTTCCAGGTCACTGACACTTAAGTTTTGATGCTTGCACTTTCCTGATCTTACCAGAAGATGTCACAAAAGGTTTTCTAACAAGAACATGACCCATCTGTCTTCCTCAAATGGTCCTTAAATGGTTTGTCTGACATGACCACGGATGGCAGTTACCTGTCATGCCATCAGGAATAACTACTATCATATTGTCACTTGCTGACAGTGATTTTTTTTTTTTTTTTTGAGACAGGGTCTCACTCTGTAGCCCACACTGGAGTGTGATGGTGCAATCATGGCTTGCTGCAGCCTTGATCTCCTGGGCTGAAGCAGTCCTCCCACTTCAGCCTCCTGAGTAGCTGGGACTACAGGTGCATGCCACTGTGACCAGCTAATTTTTTTTTAAATTTTATTTTGTAGAGAAGGGGTCTTGCTGTGTTACTGGGGCTGGTCTTGAACTCCTGGGCTCAAGCAATTTGTCCATCTTAGCCTCCCAAGTAGCTGGGACTACAGGTGCACACCACTGCACCTGGCTAATTTTTCAAATTTATTTTTTGCAGAGATTGCATCTCACTTTATTGGCCAGGCTGGTCTTGAACTCCAGGGCTCAAGCAATCCTCCCACCTTGCCCTCCCAAAGTGTTGGGATTACAGGTGTGAGTCACCACGCCTGGCTCTGGCAGTGATGAAAAAGTGTTCTAGATTATGAGATTCATCCTTAATTAGAAGTGTTTAAATATGTATATTAGAATCAGTAAAATATGATGTAATAAAAAGAATTAAATGAGGCATATTCTGCTCTCATTGGGAAGACTCTGAAGATGTCATAGTCTTCAAATTTTAATCCATAAATTTAATGTGATTTCCCCCCTAAAATGCCAGCAGCCTATTCCAAAGTTTATATGGATCAGTAATTTCACTTCTAAGCATTAATTCACATTGTCAAAAATTGTATGTGTACAAGGTTGTGTAATGCAGTATTTTTTATAGTAGTAAAGATTAAAAGCAATCAAAATTTCTTACAGGATTGGATAAATAAGTTGTGGCACATTTATACAATGGAATATTTTTTCCTCTTAAAAAGGAGGTGGCTTTATTACATATCAAAATGGAACAAGTCTTCAACTTATTTTGTTAAGTGAAAAATTGAAGTACAGAGCAGTGTGTATAGTATGCCACCATTTGGGTAAAAATAAATAAATATAATATGTATAAATGAAGTTTTGGGTAGTAAATAGGAAACTGTAAGATGGTTGCCCCCTCAGAGGGAAACTGAGTGCTTTAGGCGGGATGGTGTGGCAGATACTGTTAGGTAGACACCCAACAATTAATCAGCAACCCTACCTATTCCTTAATGTCAACAGAATCCTTATTTTTTTGAGTCACAATGGGTCTTCATCCAAGAGATGAAAGATGGTTGGTTTAAGCTAATCTTGATAATCCTATTTTCATTCGCACATACTTAAGTTTTTAGTCTTTCTTAAAACTAGAGGTGGAAATGTGAAATTTATCACATGAGAAATTTATCATTGTCATTTATAGTGGCCATCAGAAAAGATAATGAAATAAGACTTTTGATTCTTACTTATATAATCCAATGTCAGTAAATATAAGCACTAATGAATGCTGACTTGAATGCTCAGGGTTTTCTTGAAAATTCTAAATTCTGTGATAAATAATTGACCACTGTGACAACAGAATGTAAGTCATTAAAGTGCATTCCATTACAGTAAGTTGGCAGGAGTTCAAACAGTTCTCTGTAAATTTGTTTAACTGCGTAGATTAAATGGCAATATATTTTCTATAATGAAACTTGTTGAAATGAGAGGGAATCAGCTATTTACAATCATGGCATAACTACCTAGGTAAGCATGTTTTAAGAAAGGCAAATATAGAGACTTAGCAGTACTAAATGCTAATTTGCTTGTGGAATAATTTGTTTAGGAAAACAAACTATTTAATGAGAAAAAATGTAAGTACCTTCAAACATTGTTATTTCTGTTAAAATATGGATTACTTCACATTACATATATAAATAAAACTCATCTACACTGTGGGAAAATTATCTTCCATTTGAAGAACCAGATTAGGACAACTATTTCCAAAACTGTAGTCATTTTAGAGTTACCTTATGACTTTGGCAATATCTTCAATAGTACCTGTATAATATAAGTGAATGTTTCTTCAAAAATCTATTTACTTTTTAAAATTAGGGTTAATTTAGCCTCAACCCAGCTTTGTAAAACGATGGATTTGAAGTGTTGTTTATGCTTTTTTTCTAATACGCATTGCATTAAATACCAACTAGTTTAAATAGCATTTATTCTTGTGCTACTTACAATCATCTTACATATTACCATACTTTGAGAAACTGTCTTTGGCTGTCAGAGTATGTCAAGTATATATTTAGATTACTTATCCTCAGTTTAGCTTGTGGTTTTCTATCTCTTCCACTAGGTGGCAATAAAAATCACATAATTTTAATAACTGCTTTGGACTGAAAGTATGATGGTTCGCTTATCCTTTTAGTGGAACTGGGGTCTAACTAAACTTAGGTGGAGGAAGGAGCTTGTTGTTATAGGGGAATAATATATGTCAAGTCATTTGGGGGGCTTTTTCAAACTATGCAGGCCTACTTTTTATTCTGCATACCCCTCCCCCACCAGTTTTCCCCCTGATTTGGGGGTGGAATAAGGAATGTGAGTGGAGGGACAGAAAGGTTTAGAAGTCTCCTATCTTGATATATGTGCTACATTCCATTAGCAAGTACCAGTCTAAGAGGTTACTTTCCTGTTTTTCTCAGACTTTCTGGTAGCCAAAGATAGAACCTGATTTTCAGTATTGCTTGATGTTGCTGCATATTCAGGATTGCTGCTATTCTCGGACTATGCCCTGGGGAAGTTGCCCATCCAGCTAGCCTACAAACAGATTGTGAAATAGTTAATTTGTTTTTGAGCTTCTCTTGTTTTTCAGTCTTTCTCTATCTCTGTTTCCTCTTCTTCCATTTTCCCCAGGGCCTAGGGATTTCATATCCTTCTCTGTATGCCCAGTATTACCCAGGGCAGGAATTCACTCAGACTTAACCCCTTAGGCAATTCTTTGTAAACCATATTTTTCTTCTGCCCCTTATTCACCAGTACTTATCTGTCCTATTCCCTCCAGGGCTCTGTTGTCAGCTTGGTATTATAATGGAAAACAATTGGATATGTCAGAGACTTAGTCTATTACATTTCCATGGCTATTTGCATTTTAACATGGAGAATCCGGTAAATATGAAGTCCTAACCAAAAGTTTCAAGATTTTTCTAACTGAGAACATTTCAGGTGCTCTGATAAGCCAAGTGGGGTACAGGCAGCATTCCTACTGCCCTTCAAACAACCTAGGTATGCTGTGGCACTCTTTTTTATAATGTCCTCTAGCGTGCACATCTGTAAATTGGTCTTTCTGTTTTACCTGTCACTAATACTGTCACTATAGAGCAGCCTAAGTTGACTCTTTTTGGTACTTAAGGTCTTAGGAGAGAGGAAGAAGGAAAAATATATAAGGACAAAGAATTTGAGAGAATAAAAGGATTCTGATGGGATTGTAAATAAGGTCGCAGTCTAACAAGTTTATATTTAGATTTAAGACATCTCTAACTCCACATCTCAGATTGTCCTCTTAGCACTTTACAAAAAGTTCCTTTGGGGAATCTAGTACAATGATATTTACTAAGGCAAAGTGAAGAGTTTATCTATTAATAGGTAACAGTAGATAGATCCTGGCCCAGTGACAGTGATTGGAAGTAATTGAGGCTTGATGGTTTCATAGCTGGGATTATACAGATGTTCAACAAAAGACAGAAAAGTAGTTTTCCCAGGAGGGGTGGTTTCCAGAGTTGTATAAATTATATTTTGAGGAACTTGACATCAGTGTTAAACAGATGGACTAGGACCTTGGTCATTAATCAGTGGCTAGTGCGGATGGCCAACTTGCTAATTGTATTACTTTTATACCCTTCTCCATCCTCTTTCCCTTCCATTCTCTCACACTTGGGCCTCCCTCTCTTCTCTCCAACTTTCCACTGTTACTTTTCCTCAAAGGAACTGTCTTTTTGCTAAACACTTGAAGAGTGTTTAGCAAATCCTGGCCTTAGAGTCAGAGATGCCTTAAATCTAAATACAGGCAAGGCACAGTGGCTTACACCTGTAATCCCAGCACTTTGGGAGGCTGAGGGAGGTGTATTGCTTGAGGCCGGGAGTTTGAGACCAGCCTGGGCAACATAGCGAGATATATGCAAAACTTAGCAAATTTCTACAAAAGCAAAAAAAATCTAAATACAAACTTTGTTAGACTGGGATCTTATTTCTAGTCCCATTAGAATCCTTTTATTCTTACAAATTCATTGTCCTTATATATTTTTCTTTCTTCCTCTCTTTTCAAATAGTTTTGTTTGCTTAATTGCCCTTTTGTATCCATAATTGCTTGCCTGAGTGGCTTCTTTCTTTCCTAGATCAATCTGTTCTAATTGATTTTACTATTTGTTTACTTGCCTGGAAGCTAGTTTTGCTTTATCATCTTTTCTTCCTGTCTCATTATTATTATGATGCTTCTCCACTTATTTTGGGGTGTTCCTGATAAACCCATCATAAGCCAAAAATATCCTAAGTTGAAAATGCATTTAATACCCAGATAAAACCATCATAAAGTCAAAAAATCATAAGTTGAACTGCTGTAAGTTGGGGACTGTATTAGAGAAGCCTGAAGAAAGAGGGAGCCTCGTTGGGTTTGACTGGTACTCGTTAGGGCCAAATCAAAAGTGTGGGTTTTTTGGAGGAAATAATATGAAGGGTTGGGCTAGCATTGTTCTCTGTCTGCTCAATATTGTAACACATCCAAGTATATATTTAGTCAAAAGGGTTTTAGTGTAATAGTATAATTATGCTATAAAAGCAGTAAAACCAATTGCAAGTATATAACAAGAGATTTGAAACTTCTTTTAACAAGCAGACTTAAAACCAAATATTATTGAATTGATGGAGGCACATGAAATGCCAGTGTCTTGTTATAGCTCAGTGGCTGACTATAGGCCAATGATAAGGAATTGGTGTGAAAATTACACATTGAGATTATGCATCTTTGGCTTGCCTGATACTTTTTTTAGTCTCATTCTGAAATTGTCCCCGAAGTCTATTACATAGCTTTTCTATGCCTTATTTTAAGTTAGGAGATATGTTTTCTGTAAAATCATATTGGGAATTGTTTTGGTGCTATACTTATAAAAAGCCCTGGTTCATTTGCTAGAACATCATGCTTCCTTATTTTTTCTACTTCAGTAGTTTATAGTTTATCTTGGTATATTATCACTACTTCAACTAAGGTTATTTTTATCTTTGTTTAGTGTATACAGATCTGACCTGATACTTATTCTAACACTAGCTTTTTAAAATAACACTAGTTTTTACTTATGTCTATCAAAACTTCTGCTTTTTTATTTACCTATACTTCATATACAGAATGGCTTCTAGTTTTACTTCTCTTAAATTGTCTTATTAATTTCAAATAGAGGCAAGCATTGGCCTTCTTTATTATGTCTTTGAGTGTAGCTATGCCTGGGAATTTACATGTTAAAATACAATTTCATTATGTTATTTTCATTTCTTTCTCTTTTCTATTATAGTGAGAGTTATTTTTATTTTTTAAAAATTATGTCTCTAGGTAGTTATATATTTTCTATTTTATTAAGGCTAGTAAATGGGGTATTAAAAATAATTGCTTAAAGAGGTCATGCCCTAGGGCCGGGCGCAGTGGCTCACCCCTGTAATCCCAGCACTTTGGGAGGCCGAGGCGGGCGGATCACGAGGTCAGGAGATCGAGACCATCCTGGCTAACACAGTGAAACCCCGTCTCTACTAAAAATACAAAAAAATGAGCCGGGCATGGTGGCGGGCACCTGTAGTCCCAGCTACTCTGGAGACTGAGGCAGGAGAATGGTGTGAACCCGGGAGGCAGAGCTTGCAGTGAGCCGGGATCGGGCCACTGCACTCCAGCCTGGGCAACAGAGTGAGACTGTCTTAAAAAAAAAAAAAAAAAAAGAGATTATGCCCTAATTCATACATTGCTGGTGGGATTGAAACATGGTACAAAGACAAGGATGCCCTCCCTCACTACTCCTATTCAACATAGTATTGGAAGTTCTGGCCAGAGCAATCAGGCAAGAGAAAGAAATAAAGTTCATTCAAATAGGAAGAGAGGAAGTCAAACTATCCCTGTTTGCAGATGACGTGATCCTATATCTAAAAAACTGTATCGTCTCAGTCCAAAAGCTTCTTAAGCTGATAAGCAACTTCAGTGAAGTCTCAGGATACAAAATCAATGTGCAAAAATTGCTAGCATTCCTATACACCAACAACAGTCAAGCCGAGAGCCAAATCTCGAATGAACTCCCATTCACAATTGCTACAAAAAACTAAAATACCGGCCGGGTGCAGTGGCTCACACCTGTAATCCCAACACTTTGGGAGGCCAAGGCGGGCGGATCATGAGGTCAGGAGATTGAGACCATCCTGGCTAACACAGTGAAACACTGTCTCTACTAAAAATACAAAAAATTAGCCGGACATGGTGACACGCACCTATAGTCCCAGCACTCGGGAGGCTGAGGCCAGAGAATCTCTTGAACCCAAGAGGCGGAGGTTGCAGTGAGCTGAGATCACGCCACTGCACTCCAGCCTGGGCGACAGTGAGACTCTGTCTCAAAATAAATAAATACATAAATACATAATAAAAAAATAAAATACTAGGAATACAGCTAATTAGGGAAGTGAAAGATCTCTACAAGGAGAACTACAAACTGCTGCTCAAAGAAATCAGAGATGACACAGACAAATGGAAAAGCATTCATATGCTCATAGATAGGAAGAATCAATATCATTAAAATGGCCATACTGCCCTAAGCAATTTATAGATTCAATGCTATTTCCATTAAACTACCATTGACATTCTTCACAGAACTAGAAAAAACTTTTTTTTTTTTTTTTTTTTTTTTTGAGACGGAGTCTCGTTCTGTCGCCCAGGCGGGAGTGCTGTGGCGCGATCTCCGCTCACTGCAAGCTCCGCCTTCCGGGTTCACGCCATTCTCCTGCCTCAGCCTCCCGAGTAGCTGGGACCACAGGCGCCCGCCACTGCGCCCGGCTAATTTTTTGTATTTTTAGTAGAGACGGGGTTTCACCGTGGTCTCGATCTCCTGACCTCGTGATCCGCCCGCCTCGGCCTCCCAAAGTGCTGGGATTACAGGCGTGAGCCACCGCGCCCGGCCTAGAAAAAACTTTTAAAAATACATATGGAGCCATAAAAGAGCCTGAATAGCCAAGGCAATCTTAAGCAAAAAAAAAAAAAAAAAAAAAAAAACAAAGCTGGAGGCATCATGCTATCCAACTTCAAATTATATTACAGGAGTACAGTAACCAAAACAGCATGGTACTGGTACAAGAACAGACCCACAGACCAATGGAACAGGATAGAGAACCCAGAAATAAGACCGAACACCTACAACTATCTGATCTTCAACAAACCTGACAAAAACAAGCAATGGGGAAATATTCCCTATTGAATAAATGCTGCTGGGATAACTGAGTAGCCATTTACAGAAAATTGAAACTGGACCTTTTCCTTAACCATATACAAAAATTAACTCAAGATGGATTAAAGACTTAAATATAAAACCTAAAACTATAAAAACCCTGGAAGACAACCTAGGCAGTACCTTTCAGGACACAGGCACAGGCAAAGATTTCATGATGAAGATGCCAAAAAAATTGCAAAAAAGGAAAAATTGACAAATGGGATCTAATTAAACTAAAGAGCTTCTGCACGGCAAAAGAAACTATCAATGGAGTAAACAGACAACCTACAGAGTGGAAGAAAATTTTTGCGAACTATGTATCTGACAAAGGTCTAATATCCAGCATCTATAAGGAAGTTAAACACATTCACAGGAAAAAACAACCCCATTAAAAAGTGGGCAAAGAAATGAATAGGCAGACACTTCTGAAGACATATATGCAGCCAACAAGCATATAAAAAAAGCTCAATATCACTGATCATTAGAGAAATGCAAATCAAAACCACAATGAAATACCATCTCACACCAGTCAGAATGGTTATTATTAAAAAGTTAAAAAGTAACAGATGCTGGTGAGGTTCTGGAGAAAAAGGAAGGCTTATACACTGTTGGTGGGAGTGTAAATTAGTTGAGCCATTATGGAAGATAGTGTGGTGATTCCTCAAAGACTTAAAGACAGAAATACCATTCGACCCAGCAATCCCATTACTGGGTATATACCCAAAGGAATATAAATAGTTATATTATAAAGATACATGTACACATACGTTCACTGCAACAGTATTTACAATAGCAAAGACATGGAATCAACCAAAAGGCCCATCAATGATAGACTGGATAAAGAAAATGCATACACCATTCAATGCTGTGCAGCCATAAAAAAGAATGAGATCATGTCTTTTGCAGGGACATGGATGAAGCTAGAGGCCGTTATCCTTAGCAAACTGACAGAGGAACAGAAAACCAAATACCACATGTACTCACTTTTAAGTGGGAGCTAAATATTAAGAACACCATGGACACATAGAGGGGAACAACACACACTGGGGCTTACTGGAAGGTGGAGGGTGGGAGGAGGGAGAGGATGAGGAAAAATAACTGATGGATACTAGGCTTAATGCCTGGGTGATGAAATAATCTGTACAACAAACCCCCATCACACATGTTTGCCTATGTACATAGGCACATCCTGCACGTGTAACCCTGAACTTAAAAGTTAAAAAAAAAATGTACAGCCATTTTTGAAAACAGTTTGATAGCTCCTCAAATGTTAAATACAGAGCTATCATATGACCTAGCAATTCTAGTTCTAGGTATCTATCCAGAGAATTAAAAACATATGTCTACACAAATACTTGTAAACAAATGTTCCTAACATTCATGATGGTCAAAGTGGAAACAACTCAAATGTCCATCAACTGATGAACAACAATATGTATCAACCTTGAAGACATTATGCTGTGTGAAAGAAACCACACAAAAAAGACTACATATTGTATGATTCCATTTATATAAACTTTCTAGATTCGGTAAAGCCATAGAAACAGAAAGTAGATTAATGGTTTCCAGGGGCTGGGGAAAGGGGAAAATGGGGTCTGGGACTTCTTTTGGGATGGTAAAAATGTTCTAAAATGGATTATGGTGATGGCTGTACAGTCATCAATCTGTGAATTGAGAGATTAAGGAATTTGGGCTGACCAAGTTGTTGAGAATAACTAGAAAAGCTGACAAAATGTTTTTAAAAATATGCTTGAAGACATAGGACAACTAATAAGACAATGTAGAATACCGAGGTCTAAATCAGGAAGAAGACAAAGCCAGAAAGGAGAGCCCAGCATTTCCTCAAGAATATCTGCCAATTCCAGTTTATTAGCTGAGAGGCTTAAAACAGAGCTTTTGGCCAGGCGTGGTGGCTCACATCTGTAATCCCAGCACCTTGGAAGGCCAAGGCAGGTGAATCATCTGAGGTCAGGAGTTCGAGACTAGCCTGGCCAACATGGTGAAACCCTGTCTCTATTAAAAATACAAAAATTAGTTGGGCATGGTGGCAGGCGCCTGTAATCCCAGCTACTCGGGAGGCTGAGGCAGGAGAATCGCTTGAACCCAGGAGGTAGAGACTGCAGTGAGCTGAGATTGCACCGCTGCACTCCAGCCTGGGCGACAGAGTGAGACTCCATCTCAGAAAAGCAAACAAACAAACAATAACAACAACAACAAAAACCAGAGTCTTTGCCAGCCTATAGGGCTAGAGGAAGAAAATTTGGAATCCAGGGCCCACTAAGAGAGACTTCACGTAAACTTTAGGTTGGAAGCCCAAAGGGCTACAGCCTAGAAATGTGAATGAATTTGAAATAGAATGGCCTCCTTTCAGGAACTGAAGCCCAACTTTAACTCATCTCAATCCCCCAAACTGGATTAAGGTGATCTAGGATTGCTCCTGTCTCAAATTGACTTCCCAAAGCCAATATAAACTCTTTCTAAAGAAAATACTTTAGGTTTCAAGTTATTTATACAGTTTTTTTATTTACAATGTCAGGAACTTGCTAAAAACTAGCCAAGTGTAAGAGAAGCCAGGACAAGATGATTGGAAATTAAGAAACTCAATACACAATAGAAAGAGACTTACAGGTGATCCAGATAATGGAGTTATCAGGAACAGACTTTTAAAGAACTGTCTTTAACATGTTCAAGGAAATTAAAATAAGACTGAGAATTTGGCAGTGACTAGAGATAAATATGAAAAAAATAAATTTGTGGAAAATGTTTTTTCAAAAAGAATCAAATAGAAATTCTGTAATTACAGTACCCAAATTAAGAAATCAGTGACAATAATGAATGTTGACTAGAATGTGGAACAGTGGGAATGCTCATATAGTACTAGAGTAAGTATAAGTACAGTCATTTTGGAAATGAGTTTGTAATTATCTGCTACCATTGAGTATACACCACGTTTATAATCAGTAAAAATGTATGCACATTGCACAAAGGGACATGTAAGAGAATATAAATTAGAATTGATTTATAAGAGCTCCAAAGAAACCCAGATACCCATCACAGGAATGGATAAGTAAATTGTTGTGTTTTTATATAATGGAATGTTATACAGCTATGAACATGAACAGACTGTAGCTACATACAGAATATGGGTGAATGTCACAAAGATAATGTTGGCAAAAGAAGCCAGACAGAAAAATATATATTGTATTATTCTACTTTATGAGAAGTTTGAAAGCAAATGAAACTAATTTCATTCATGTGTGTACATATATGTGTCTAGGAAATGCACTAAAATGTTAACAGTGGTTATTTCTGATAGGTGATTTCATTTTCTTCAATAACTTCTTGATTATCTTAAATGTAGACAATGTGCTACATTTCTAATGAGAACAAAGTTATTCCGAAAATATGGCATTCCTATAACTTAGGATAAAAATGGTATATACAAAATGAAAAACTCATTTTCTTAAAACTTTGTTTAAATTACCTTGGTAGTCTCAGCTACTCAGGAGGCTAAGGCAAGAGGATTCCTTGAGCCGAGGAGTTTGAGTCCACAGTGCACTATGATCGTGCCTGTGAATAGCCACTGCACTCCAACCTGGACAACATCATGAGACCTCATCTGTAAAACAAACCAAAAAACCTTTTGGTATATTTACTGTATTTACTCCTAGCCTTCTTTTCTATGACGTTTTTAGGTGAGATCACATAGTATATGTAATTTATTGTGCTGCTTTTTCATTTTAAATTTATATTACATGCCATCATTACTTCTGCAAGTTATTCGCTAGTTGTCTGTCTGCCTGCCTCCTTCCCTCTCTTCTTCTCTTCTTCCCCACCTCCCTGCCATCTTTCTTCCCTCCCTCCCTCCCTCTTTTCCTCCTCTGCCTGCCTGCCTTCCTTCCTTCTTCTATTCTTTTGTCAGCAAACATTCATTATGTTCCTTCTGTTTGCCAGACACTTTACTCAAACACAGCTTTACTGAAACACAGCTCCACCCTCCAGTGGGGGAGATGGATACCTAGCAAAAAATAAGGGGTGCTAAATACTTAATTTTATGTGTATAAACACACACACGTCTGTTTTTGAGGCATGGTCTCATGCCATGCTGGAGTGCAGTGGCACGATCATAGCACCTTGTAACTTTGAACTCCTGGGCTCAAGCAGTCCTCCTGCCTCAGCCTCCCTGGAGGCTGAGAGTACAAGTGCATGTCAGGATGCCTGGCTGCTTTTTCTATTTTTTGTAGAGAAAGGGCCTTGCTGTGTTCCCCAAGCTGTTCTTGAACTCCCGGCCTCAATCAGTCCTCATGTTGGGATCACAAGCATGAGCCACCACACCCAGCCTATACATGTATATATTTAGAACTCATTTTTCATTAGGAAAAATACAAATTGAACTCATCCTGTACTAGCATTACCAAGAATCCTGTGGCATACTCCTGTGAGTGACTATGCTATAGGTTCTGGTTGTACCAGCAGTGGAATGAGGCCATATGTAATATTGATGACCAGGTGCCTTGGGAAGGTTTCTGTGCAGGTGCTGCTCTGTGCAAGAACATTTATTGTAGTTGTTTTGGCTGAGGTTGAGGATTTTTTGTTTGGCTTTTGTTTTTAAATGTGAGAGGTAAATTTTGCAAGGGATTAAGCCTAATGACACCTAGGGACATCTGGTTATAAATATTACCTATTTTCCTGAAGGAAAAACCTATTCAGATGCTCCCTGGCATGGATCTGTTAAGGGCATGTAGGCTCCTCCCTCATTCATCTCCTTTGCCCGTCAAGGAGGAGAGTGGAAGACTCTTTTCCACATCTGAGTCCTTAAGGGGGCCTTAAGATGGTCTAGGACAAGAGTTGGTAAATTTTTTTCTATAAAGGACACGTTAGTAAATACTTTAGGCTTTGTGGGCATACGGACTCAACTTTGCCGTTGTGGAGTGGGAGTAGCCATAGACAAAACATAAGTGCATGGGCCTGGCTGTGTTCCAGTAAAAATTTTATTTACAAAAACAGGACATTTATGAAAACAGGACATGGGCTTGGATTTGTTTTATCAGGCCATAGTGTACCGACCCCTGGTCTGCACAGAAGGACTCTAATGTCAGCAACCATAGGGACTTGTACTTCGTACTGCTGTGACACCCATAGGGATACCTCTTGCCTTGTTTCTGAGGAAGTTAATAAAAAGGTCAGGCTCGTTCACCTTAATTTCAGTCTACCCCCACAGTTCTAATAAAAAATGTTCTGATCAAAATGGCTCTTTGGACAACAAAACAGCAAAACAGTCTCCAGCCTCTCCTAAACCCTGAAGCAAACCTGCAGTCCTTTGGCAAGGTCATCCAAAGATTTTAACTGCCATAAACCATAGGGGTAGAGACTGAAGCTAAGAATGATAGATAAGGGGAAAGTACTGGCTTTCAAACAGTAGTAAAAAGTGGTATGATAAAAATTGTCCTTAAGACTCACTGAAATGCCAAAAGAAGAAATTTGTTTTACAAGCACTCTTCCATATTAGGAATTCTTTCTAAATATCATCTTAAATTTAAATATACATAATTTAAGAGTGTTTTAATATTAAAATGTTTACATTTTTAATTATTTTAAATGCGGTTATTAGCAGCTTTCTGCATAATTTTTATATCATATTTTGATTTCTTTCTAACAGAGTCTCAAAGATATAAGTATTATAATGAAGGGTATGAACAGAATTAAGGTTCGTAATATATATTGCAAATTGCTTTCTAGAAAGATTGTGCCAACTTATACTTCTACTAGCAATGTGTGACAGTTCTTATTTCAGCATATACTTTCTAGCACTACTTTTTTCTTTTTTTCCTAAAATATCTCATATTTAGTTTGTAAAACTTTCCTATGGATAAAAATTAGTTGATAGGAGCCAGTTGGCAGGGCAGGTTTCACTTTGAGCTGTTGCCTTTATCTGTTCTGTTATTCTGGGATTGATCTGCAGAATGCGACTAGCAATAGATTCTGATCAGGCTACTACAATATTTGCCATCTGGATTGAAAATACAGCCATCATCTTTTGAATGACCAGTTTGTGTAAACCATTTGTTGACAGTGTCTTTCCAGTGGTAAAGCAGAATTTCTCTTTGTCTGTCTGCCTTTCTTGAGAGCTATGATGAGGATTTCTAAGGCTTGATGTATAGAATCCTTTCCTTAAGTGCCTTGTCCATTTGGTGCTGTGTAAGGAATACTTGAGACTGGATAATTTATAAAGAACAGAAATTTATTTCTCACAATCTGGAAGCTGAGAAGTCTGAGATCAAGGCACTGGCATTTGATCTGACACGGGCCTTGTTGCTGTGTCATCCATGTCAGAAGAGCTGAAGAACAAGCTAGCCAAATGCTATGCTAAGCCTCTTTTGTAAGGGCCTTAATGAGGGGGGACCCCTCCCGGCCTAATCACCTCCTAAAGGCTCCACCTCTTAATATCATCACATTGGCAATGCCTTAATTTTGGAGGGAACACACTCAAACTATAGCATTAAGATATGGGAAAGGAACAAGAAAGAGTCTATTTTTCTTTGGTGATCTGTTTAAGGAGTAGATGTGTTTCGTTTGCATCACATCTATGTACAGTATTAAAAATAAAATGTATCTCTCTCTCTCTATATATATATAGATATATACACTGAAACCTTTACTGTCTTTCATTGTCTTTCTAGTTTTTAAGGATAGGAAATTTTAGTTAAAATGCTAGCCTGGCATTTTTCTTATTCCCCACTTTTATTTCCCCCATGGGGAATTGGGTTATGAAACTGGAAATTTTATTAATTTTCCAGAAATTGTTCTGGTGGGTTTGTGTAAGGAGGAGAGTAATAACTGGCATGGCATTGCAGTTACTCTTTATTTATAATTAAGACATGCTCTTTATTTCAAAATATTAAGTTAATAATACTCTTAACTTATTGCACTTAAGTAGATTGAGACAATTTGCGATTTATTTTGACATCCTAATAAAGTGGATAAAAGGAGAAGCTGCTTGGAAAACTTTCCCACTTGGGAATTTTTTCCACATTCCTAATTTTCCTTTGTGGAATGTCACTCACCATTTCCCATTTGGAACTGCTCTTTCTAGATAGTAGATGGAATGGAGTGGTTGCAGTGGTGGTGGTGGTGTTACTGTTTACATCAACCTAGAGAAAAATGGAAGCATCTTAACTTGGTTAAAATGTTTCTGTTGTTTATATAATTCTTTAAGCCTCATTCCAGTGTTGCTGCTATTAAAAAAAAAACAAAAAACTAAAAACTTGCATTTCTTTTACTGATCATTTTGTAGACATAGAAATAAGAGATTCTCAGCATAGTAGAATTTTTAAAAATTAATGGATTTTTTTAAAACCAAAATTTAAGAACATAAATTGCATTGAAAAGAATTTTGAAATTTATTCTCAGCAGAATCTGTAATAAAATACATGGGCCGGAGAATTAATTTTCAGGTCAAGTTCTTTGTCTATATGTTGTTGATGAAGTTGTTTTCTTTCAGCTAAGTAACAGTTTGGAATTCTAAAACAGAGAACTCATAATCTTCAACCAAGTGTTTATTAACATTTACTTTCTTCAAAAGCTTTTTCACCATGCCACTTAGTTAAAAAAAAAATAACAATCTTAAAAAAATGAGACTGCTTATGTGTGTGTGCATGCACATATTCATTTGCAAATTATGTACATATACTTCTATACTTACATATTATATACTCTATAAAACATAATAGAAATTTTTAATTATTAGAAAGACATAATCTTGATAAAATTAACTTTAAATTTGATTTATTGGCAGTATAGTCAATTTTTTGTTTTCACTTTAACATTGTAATAGTCTTTATTATTTAATAGTTTGTCACACAGTAATTTAAACTGATTCAAAGTTTACTCCAGGCCAGGCACAGTGGCTCATGCCTGTAATCTCAACATTTTGGGAGGCCAAGGTAGGAGGATTACTTGAGGCCAGGAGTTAAGACCAACCTGGGCAATATAGCAAGACCTCATCTCTACAAAAAATTAAAAAAATTAATCAGGCATGTGGCACATGCCTGTAGTCCCAGCTACTCGGGAGGCTGAGGCAGGAGGATTACTTGAGCCCAGGAGTTCAAGGTAATAGTGAGCCAATGATCATACCGCCACTACACTCCAACCTGGGTGACAGAGCAAGACCCTGTCTCAAAAAAAAAAAAAAAAAAAAAAAAAAAAAGTTCATTTCAGTCTTATCCAACAATTACATGTGATGTTTTTTGTTGAAATTTGCATGATGAATTTTCATCCTCCATAATATCATTCAATTCTTACATTTAGTGATTGCAGTACTAGTTTGTATATTTAGTATTCCATGCTATTTTTTAAGCTCAAAATACTAGTGTTTTCATTGATTTAATACTGTTAATTTAGAAACAACCAGTAATTGGCTGGGCACAGTGGCTCATGCCTGTAATCCCAGCACTTTGGGAGGTGAAGGCGGGTGGCACACCTGAGGTCAGGAGCTCGAGATCAGCCTGGCCAACATAGTGAAACCTTGTCTCTACTAAAAATACAAAATTAGCTGGGTGTGGTGGCACATGCCTATAGTCCCAGCTACTCAGGAGACTGAGACAGGAGAATTGCTTGAACCCGGGAGGTGGAGGCTGCAGTGAGCTGAGATTGTGCCACTGCTCTCCATCCTGGGCAAGACAGAACAAGACTGTCTCAAAAAAAGAAAAAAAAACCAGTAACCTTGTTCACCTTTTGTGGTTTTCTGTCTAGTCTGAGTTTTTCTCTCTAGCCTGTCCCCTAAGCTCTCCTCTCTTCTACTTTTCTGCCTTCCCCTTCATTTCTGACACCCTCCTAGCTCTACTTTACCACCCAATTGTTCCAGCCACTACCCTCCCTCCCAACACACTACACACACACACACACACACACACACACACACACACAATAAAGAAAAAAAAAGTATTGATTTAGAGGGACCCCTCAGAAGGTGGCAAGTTTCTCTGTTGGGGGAAGGAGAAGAGTTGATAGACAGAACAATTCTTGGGCAGGCATGTTGGCTCACACCTGT
This sequence comes from Homo sapiens, assembly GCF_000001405.40. Lineage (NCBI taxonomy): Eukaryota > Metazoa > Chordata > Mammalia > Primates > Hominidae > Homo > Homo sapiens. The sequence goes on along the minus strand of NC_000005.10, from coordinate 55,677,802 downwards.
AATTCCAGCATTTTGGGAGACAGAGGCAGGAGGATCAGTTGAGATCAGCCTGGGCAACATAACAGCCCCATCTCTACCAAAAAAAAAAAAATTTTTTTTTTTAATTAGCTGGGCACGGTGGTGCACACCTGGAGTCCTAGCTTCTTGGGAGGCTGAGGCAAGAGGATCACTTGAGCCTCTTGTTGCTGCTGCGAGCTATCAGCGCACCACGGTACTCTAGCCTGGGCGACACAATGGAACCCTATCTCAAAACAAACAAACAAAAAAAGACCTACAATTCAGTAGCTTCTGTACAGAGTGAAGGAGCTGCCTAGCTGGTCTGAAAGTTCCATTGGAGGAGTACTAAACACTTTAGGAAGGTCCTGAAGTCTTTCTGGACTGATTACTTGAGAGGTGTCATTTTGAAAGACACACTGGGTGGAAGTTTACAAAGGGTAAAGAAGCATTGCATACAGTCATATTGAATACTTTACGTTAGAATCATAACTGTTTAATGTTTATGTTTTTATTTTTTAATGTTTATGTTTTATATATTAATGTTTTATTTGATACTTTATAATGTTTGTAAATTTCCACATTTGAAGTATGTTGAGTATTTAATTTCACTGATTTCTAAACATTGTTACACTTCTGCACACTTTTCAATTAAAATATTAGTATTAATACTTGCATTACATGGAGTAAATACCTAGACACTGGTAGTGCAATTTGCTTTAGAATTATAATTATTACTTTGATTTTTCTGTCATGTTTAATGTCAGGTTCAAAGACCATTTAAATTCTTCATTTGGAAGTTTTTAAATCTTAGAAAATTTTGAATCCATGTGTGTGAAATTGCAGATGGGAGTTTTTATTGGTGACAGACATGTTCAGCAATAAAACCATCTAACAATGGAAACATTTCTAAACATTTATTATCAGAATGTTCTTTGTGTAACATGTTTTTTTTTTAAAGCAACTACTTTCTCAGACGATTAAAATACCATCTTTATCTTGAAGGGAGATAAATTAAGTATGTGGGATGGGGTTGTTTTTGTTTTTAATATCTGCTGTGTACCTACGTAGCATACTATTGACACCTATGTGTCGTCGTAGAAAAAGTCTTCAAATTCGGAGCAGTTGTTTCTTGTAGAAGAAAAATAGGTAGCTTGTTTAAGTTTGCCACAACATAACCAATACATTTCTGTATGATACAAAATATTTTTGAGTCTCTCTACTAAATTTTGAAAGGATGTGTCCACTTAAAATCTATTTTTAAAGGCTTATCTTTGGTATATCACATGTACAAAGAAGTGCATTGTATATGTACAATTTAAGAAATTTATAGGCCAGTATGGTGACTCTTGCCTTTAATCCCAACACTTTGGGAGGCCAAGACAGGAGGATTGCTTGTGCCAGAAGTTTGAGACCAGCCTGGGCAATATGGCGAGACCCTGTCTCTATAAAAAAATTTTTTTTAATTAGACGGGCATGGTGGTGTACGCCTGTGGTCCCAGATACTTGGGAGGCTGAGACTGAGGCAGGAAAGTTGCTTGAGCCCAGATGGCTGAGGCTGCAGTAAGCCATGTTAATGCCACTGCACTCTGGCCTAGGCAATAGAGTAAAATCCTGTCTCAAAAAGAAAGTAAGAAAGAAAGAATAATAAAGCCAACACCCATCCAAGCAACATAAGGTCAAAACACAGCAGTAACCTAAAAGTTCTCCATGTGTCCTTCACCAAACACATCCTCCATCCTCCCTAGGGATGACCACTATCTTGACTTTGTATAATAATTTCCCTACGCTTTATAATAGTTTTATTGTCTGTATATCCCTAAATACTGAATTCAGTTGTACCTGGTTTTGTACCTTATTTGGGGTACAGACCTTCTTAAGAGTGATGGCATTGTTATTAAATTTCAGAGAAGCATAACTGGTCAGTAGGAGGGTGGAGACAGATGTATAAGCCAAAAATTTTTAAGGAATTTAAGGAGTGGAACCTAGAAAAGGTGTTAGGTAGAAATAAGGTTTCTCTGTTTATACATGTATTAAATGAAAATATGAGGTTTGACTCATATTTTAAAATATTTTGTACATTTTGCTTAATATTAAAAGCATTTTTTCTGTGGCATGACCATAAATATTTATAAGGTAAGACAAATATGACTTATTTATTTTTAGTGTGGCACAGCTGAACTACATTTCAAATGAGAAGTAACATTGATAGGGAGCAGTAATGTGAAACTATGTTCAAAAAAAGAAAGCCCAAGTTTCAAAAGTCTTATTCTGAATATTGTTCTCTGTATAGTATTGTTTAATTTTAAAAGTGTTTTCAGATCCAACTAAAGTTCAATTTAAAAATATAGTTATATTTTTTCTTCTCAAATGAAGCTTTAAGCATATGTTTCTAATAATTCAGTTAAATATGCTGAGTTGTATATTTTTTGAAGAGAATCTGTTTTGAAAAGATTCCAAAATATTTGTTTGAACAGGCACTCAGCATCTCGATGAAAACTGTTGGAAAAGAAAAACTTTCAGAGTCATTCTGCCCTCAGAGTAGTCAAGCCAACTAAACTGGTACAGTTAACACTTCTGTAAGAAACCAGGAGCCAAGAAATTTAGCACTTCCTGACTGCTTTTCAGCAAGCAGGCCTCAAACCAACTTAGTGGTTGGAACCAATAATATTGAATTTTTAAAGTAAAAGGCTAGCAGTAGAACATCTACATCTCTTTCTATCAGTATGATATTTATCAGTCTCTTTTGGTAATCCATGACTAGCTTCAATCTTTGCCTTATGTTGGTATTAAAGCTATCATTCTTTCTTGAATTTTGTAGGGCATCATTTTTGCAAAGCAAAAAGAGAATGCACTATAGAGTGTGACCCCAGGTATAATTAAACCATCTGCCAGACATAAATATTTTTATGTTGCTTTTTAGTACCACTGAGTGTCATAGTGGAGATGCAAATTATATTGGACATCATAATGCTTTGGGATAATTGGTAGTTACAGCAGACTACCAAATTTACAAGTAGGGATTGCTTTTTCAGCTTCTGATCCATTCATTTTTATTATATCCCTTTGAAATATATTGACACCACTTAATTCACTTAACAATAATATGCTTATTGTCTTAGTTCCTTTTATTCTGCTGTAACAGAATACCTGAGACTGGGTAATTTTAAAAGAACAGAGATTTATTTCTTATAGTTGTGGAGACTGGGAAGTCCAAGGTCAAAGGGCCCACATGTAGGGAGGGACTTCTTGCTTATCACAACATTGTGGAAGGGCCAAAGAGTACGTGAGAGAGGGTAGGGGAAAGGAAGGGAACTGAACTCATTCTTTTACCAGGATCCCACTCCTATGATATTAACCTGCTCCCAAGATAACGTCATTAATCTGTTTGTGAACTCAGAGCCCTCATGACCTAATCACCTCTTAAAGGTCCCACTGTTGGGACTGTTGAATTGGAGATTTTCTTCCAACACATAAACTTTGGGGGACATATTCAAACCACAGCACTAGTATATATAATATGTCATATTGATCCCTATATCCACATATTTGCTCTATAAGTGCTCTATTTACATATTCATTGAGTTGACCTATATAGTACCCAGCATATTTAGGTTTTGCGGTAGAGAACAAATAGTAAAAGATTCAAAGATTCTGTATGCTAACTAGAGAGATAAAACTAAGTTTAACACCTCTGCTACCATTTCTCAAATATCACAGAATTAATAAGAAAAATAGCAGAAATTAAATGTTCAGTCACTTGGCTTTTCAAGTACTTCCCACAAGATTAGATTAACGGCTGGGTGAGGTAGCTTATGCCTGTAATCCCAACTCTTTGGGAGGCCAAGGCAGGTGGATCACCTGAGGTCAGGAGTTGGAGACCAGCCTGGCCAACATGGTGAAATCCTGTCTCTACTAAAAATACAAAAATTAGTCAGGCATGGTGGTGCACACCTGTAGTCCCAGCTACTCTGGAGGCTGAGGCCAGAAAATTGCTTGAACTCAGGAGGTGGAGGTTGCAGTGAGCCGAGATCGCACCACTGCACTCCAGCCTAGGCGATAGAGTGAGACTCTGTCTCAAAAAAAAAAAAAAAAAAAAGATTAGATTAACAGTATCTCCAGAAATGGTTACCATATGTTACTACATTTTAAGTTCCTTTCAGAACCATAAGTATAGAGGAGTTAGTGGAACCAATGATAAATCTGGATTTTTTTTCTTCTTTCTTTGGATCTGTGCCTGAAATGGCAAATTATGTGCAATTTGGGGCACAGTGTCACTTATGATTTCAAGGAGCCTAAGAATCAGCAGAGGGATACAGTCTTTTGATAAAACTCTGCCTGGTCTTTTCATTTTGGATAGTATATTACTGGAAACTTCAGAAGAAAATGAGGGAGTTTCAGAAAGGAACTGAAGAGGTTGATGACTGAAAAGGATGATTGAACACCAAAATCTGCAGTTGATTAGGATGCAGACGTGGAAAGGAAGCATGTATATAAATAAAAGGGTATGTTACTAAAATCCGCAAAAAGTAGAATGAGGCAAAATATCTCCATTGTCATGATGTTCCATTTTATACTGAGTTGGATAAGTCTCATAAGGGATCTGATAGTTGAGGTCACTAATCCTTAATACATGAACCAAGGAATAAGAATTCTGTTTATCATAGGAAATAACTTGGGCCCATAAGGAAGGAGTAGAGACTCTTCAGGAGAGGGACATTTTAGTCCATAATTTCTCTGATTTAGTGCCAAAAGCTTTTTTGAGAGACTATTCAAAGCTGTCTTAAGTTTCATTGTTGGAAATTGATAGCTGCTGTATTTCTTTTTAATAACTGTTTTAAGTTCTTTCTGTTTTGTCTTCTCGGTTGCTAAATTCCTGAAGATTACAAAAAAAGTGTGCTTAAAGTAAAAGTGTTATGAGACAAAAGCTTTATTCTGTGGATAGGATAATACTTCTTTTGTAACATTTTCTGTTTGCACCAAAAGTGAGAAGTCAATGCCTTGCCTTTGTGCATCCCATTACTAATGGAGGATAAGAAGTTATTTTCTTCAAAGGCTGACTTCCAGAATTTTTGGCTGAACACTTTTTGTCAAGTGTATATTCCCTTTGTAGGCCTTTCTGTATAGAGCCCACAAACATCGTGAATGTGAATCATGTCATTCAGAGGGTTAGTGACCATGCCTCTGCCATGAACAAGAGAATTCATTACTACAGCCGGCTCACCACTCCTGCAGACAAGGCACTGGTAAGAGACAAAACATTACTAATAGTCTAAAATTCAGTTGAAATGAACAGTGAACAATATAAGCCAGGGCACCTCCCAGTGATTGAACTTCTTTCTGACTGTATTTCAAGGACAGCATCATGCAAAGTCAAAGATAGTAATTAACACACATCCTACATCTCAGGCCAGTTCATTCTTATCTAAATTTGAAACAATGTTTCTATGTTGACAACAACCTGGAGATTTTTTTGGATTAAATTCTCCTGATCCCCATTCCCCAAATCTCTGAGGAGGATAAATTACTTTTGAAATGGCAAGTTAGGCCATTGACTAATAGCAAATAATAACATGTTCTGCTTAGTGTGGACAATTTTAACTTTGAAGCTGTAAGGGAAATATTTTTTTAGAAATTTTCTACAAGAATGGGAAACTGGCCAAGCACAGTGACTCACTCCTGTAATCTCAGCATTTTGGGAGGCCAAGGCAAGAGGATCACTTGAGCCCAGGGGTTCAAGACCAGCCTGGAGAAGATGGTGAAACCCTGTCTCTACAAAAAAAAATTTTTTTAATTAGCCAAGCATGATGGCTCGCACCTATAGTTCCAGCTACTTGAGAGGCTGAGACAGGAGGATCCCTTGAGCCCAGGATGGATCCCTTGAGGATGCAGTGAGCTGTGATTGTGCCACTGCATCCCACCCAGACTGAGCAAAAGAGTGTGACCCATCTCTTTTTTTTTGAGATGGAGTGTCGCTCTATCACCCAGGCTGGAGTGCAGTGGCGCAATCTCGGCTCACCACAACCTCTGCCTCCTGGGTTCCAGCCATTCTCCTGCCTCAGCCTCCTGAGTAGCTGGGGTTACAGGTGTGCGCCACCACACCTGGCTCATTTTTGTATTTTGAGTAGAGACACGGTTTCACCATGTTGGCCAGGCTGGTCTTGAACTCCTGACCTCGTGACCCACCCACCCTGAGGTGCTGGGATTACAGGCGTGAGCCACTGTGCTCCCAAAGTGCTGGGATTACAGGCGTGAGCCACTGTGCCCGGCCATGTGACCCCATCTCTTAAAAAAAAAAAAAAAGAAGAATGGGAAACTGAAATATGTACACATAAATATAGTAGTTTCTTATTTAGCATTATTCTTTTATTGATCAAAACCAGGAGTCAAAGAGCCAGATACTAAATGTCTTAGACTTTGAGGTCACATGATATTCTTCATTTTGTTTATGATCATCAAAATTATAAATTATAAAATTTATAAAATTATAAAAACCATTCTCAGGAAAGAGGCTGTATAATAATCAGGTTGAAACCAGATTTGGCCTATGGGCCGGAGTTTGTTGACCCTTGATCTTCTAAAAATCTCTATTACTATTTTAGGATAAAAAATATATATAAGTAATTTGGTAGTTTATAAAAACTACCGCATATGAGATAGTCAGAAACTTGCAAGTTTAACTGAAAATAAGAACATTCTGGGAGAAAACAGGATTTTGAAATTAGTATTATTAATAAAAAGAAGAGAACCAACATTCATTAACATTTAATAAGGACCAGTGATTGGGCATCACTGGAATGTAGCTATCTCATTTAAGCCTAAACAATAGCTATGTGAAATAAATATTAAGATTTCCTCTTGTATGGCCAAAATAGGGATTTCCAAAATGTTCTGGGTAGGATAATTTTTTTCCCAATTTTTTTTTCGGCTTTTTCCCCTTAGGCCTTGACATCAGTAGTTGTGGCGAAGTCTTAGTTCCATAATGGAATTACTTAAGCCCTTGGAGGAGTAGAGATAATCCTGTATCTCTGGGTCTAGTTGAGACCTTCTAGAGGCTCTGCTCTTGGAAACAAACCTCCAAGATCCCAGATGAGCAAGTTTATACCTGCATGTATATTGTTTGCCTGGAAATAGAGTCAGCATGTGCACCAAAGTTGAATGCCATTTGTTAACTGACACTGAGATGAGTCTAGGAAGTCAAAATATATAAACAGTGATGTAAAATTGACAATGATATAACCATTCTTAATGAATGTGTGTATACATCCACACTCGTTTTCTGAAAATCCCAAAACTATTTTGGATTTTTAAACTCTTGCTTTTTTAGTTAGATTTTCTATATTTGAAAAATAATTTTTAAATTCACTAATCAGGGATGCATAGTACTTGCATCCACACTCGTTTTCTGAAAATTCCAAAATTATTTTGGGTTTTTAAAACTTGCTTTTTTAGTTAGTTTTTCTATATTTGAAAAGTCATTTTTTAATTCACTAATCAGAGATTCATAGTACTTGTTTATGATAGTTAAAATGTGTCTAGAGGGCCAGGCGTGGTGGCTTACGCCTGTAATCCCAGCACTTTGGGAGGCCGAGGCGGGTGGATCATGACATGGTCAGGAGATCGAGACCATCCTGGCTAACATGGTGAAACCCCGTCTCTACAAAAAAATACAAAAAATTAGCCAGGCGTGGTGGTGGGCACCTGTAGTCCCAGCTACTCGGGAGGCTGAGGCAGGAGAATGGCGTGAACCCAGGAGGCGGCGCTTGCAGTGAGCCGAGATCGCGTCACTGCACTCCAGCCTGGGCGACAGGGCGAGACTCCGTTCAAAAGAAAAAAAAAGGTGTCTAGAGTCAGGTGTTCTGATGTGTAACAAATATCCTATTTTGCATTTCCTGGTTCTGAAATTTATCTATGTTTCCTTTTTACCAGATTGCCCCAGACCATGTAGTTCCAGCTCCAGAAGAGTGCTATGTGTATAGTCCATTGGGCTCTGCTTATAAACTTCAAAGTTACACTGAAGGATACGGTAAAAACACCAGTTTAGTAACCATGTGAGTGAAACTGCTTTTTGGAGCATGACTTAAACTGTATATGGATGAAAATTACTGGTTTTTTAAATTTTTGTCTCAATTAAAATGTTTGAAGAGTGAAACTCCATTTTTTTACTGCTATTACTCTGTGTTTTCAGTTTTATGATTTGGAATACCATGATGGGAACATCTATACTAAGCATTCCTTGGGGCATAAAACAGGTAATACTAATTTTTCAGCACACTTTTTGCCTAAATGTTTTTCTCTTTATATTGTAAGTTTTATAACAGAGGTTTTAATAAATCTACATAAAATTCATTAAAGAAAATAGATGGTTATATTTAGTTTTTCATGAGTTGTCAAGTTTTTATCATGATTGTTTAGGGTAAAATAATTGCATATGAATTTATGCTTACATGATGATATATGCTGTTTTATACTTTTATTTTTAAACAGGCTGGATTTACTACTGGAATGTGTGTCATCATACTGATGGGCCTTTTAACACTTTATTGCTGCTACAGAGTAGTGAAATCACGGACTATGATGTGTAAGAATTTGACACAGTGACAATAGATTATGGGTATTAATAAGCATTTCCCTTTGAGGCAGATCACTAGTGTGTATATGCTACATGTGTGTCAGCTGTCTACTTTGTACCTAAAGATTTACTTCTGTAATTCATCGCTTTCAGCTAAATTGATTTGCTAATAATATTTAGTGGCTGCTTTTGAAATTCAGAGAAGCTGGGAGTTATTTGCAGAGTGCATTCACTTTGGTGCTAGTTTCTTCATAAGAATCATTTAAAAACTCATATTTATAAAATAATGTCTTTGCCAAAACTAAATTGAGAATTCTGTGCTTCCTGTCAGTTAATGGTGACTTGTTTTGACCTATTCATACCAAAAGATCTAAATGTTAGAATCTGCTAAAAGTAGAAATTATAACTAGAAAAATATGAAAATGTAAGCAACTCCCTAGTAATGAATATTTGAAGTTGTGTGAACACCTTACCTCTACTCGTATCTACAAATTCTGGATCAGGGAAATATCTTTTTTAGGTTGTTTTAAAGTAGTCTAGGACCTAAACAAACATGCATTATTTCATTAAATCTTAGCAAGTATGAATCAACAGGCCAGACTTTGCCTCCAGTTTTTTTCTGTGCCTACTAAGCAGCTTCCTTCTTTATGTTAACCAGATCTCCTATTAGTCACTGGGCAAGTATTTGTTTAAAAGTCTTGAGAAGCCAGACCTGGTGGTGTGTGTCTGTAGCCCTAGCAACTCAGGAGGCATAGGTGGGAAGATCACTTTAGCCCAGGAGTTTGGGGCCAGCCTTGGCACTGTAGCAATACTTCATCTTAAAAAATAAAAAATAAATAAAAAATAAAAAAGTCTTGAGAGAAGATTCATTCTGGTTTCTAAATGGTAAGAGGAGATAATTTTAGCCTCTGGTTTCTAAGGCAAATTGTGGCTGAACTTGGAAGACTTCTTTAAATGTATACAGTAAGTTCATGTCTTATCTAATTCAGCATCTCATTTAAAATTGGAACAGAGCCCCCACAGAGTTCTCTCTATAACTGTTTTTTCTTTTATTTTCCTTTTTTTTGGAGACAGGATCTCACTGTCACCCAGGCTGGAATGCAGCAGCGCTATCACAGCTCACTGCTGCCTGGACTTCCCGGGCACAGGTGATTCTCCCACCTCAGCCTCCCAGGTAGCTGGGACTACAGGTGCATACCACCATGCCCAGTTAATTTTTTGTATTTTTCATAGAGACAGGGTTTCACCATGTTGCTCAAGTTGGTCTCGAACTACTGGGCTCAAGTGATCTGCTCACCTCTGCCTCCCAAAATGCTGGGATTATTGGCTCTATAACTGTTAACTTCCATGTTATTAAACTACTCCACACCATTTAAAAAGAAGAGAGGCTGAGGCACGAGAATTGCTTGAACCCAGGAAGTGGAGCTTGCAGTGAGCCAAGATTGTGCCACTGCACTTCAGCCTGGGTGATGGAGTGAAACACTGTCTTAAAATAAAATAAAATAAAATAAAAATAATAAAAAGAAGAACTTCCACCAATTCATTTTACAAAGTCCACACACCCCTAACACAAAGCCTGACACTACCAAAAAGAAAGAAAATAATATAGAAACGTAAAATTTATTTGTAAAACATTATCATATAGAATCCAACAGTATATCAAAACATATCCTGTGCCTAAGATAAGGTTTATTCCAGTAATGCAAGGATGTTTCATTATTAAGAAATCCAACATAATTCACTACATTAACAAATTAAAGAAAAATTCATAATTACATCAATAGATATCAAAAAGGCACTTAATAGAATTCAGCACCTGTTTCTGATTAAAACTCTAAGTGAAAAGCACTACTTAAAAATAGCAAAGTCTATTTATTCCCAGACAAGTACCGGCACCATTCTAAAATTATGAAATGCTAAAGCAGTTTTCATTAAAGTCAAGAAAACATAGAAATATTCATAATTAATCAGTTTTTTTTGGAGATATTGTCAAATGCAGCAAAAAAAACCCTAAATAATATAAAAACTAGAAGAGACTTAGAATTATATTATCAGTCAAAAGATAATTTTATTAGAAATGCTAAGAGTCACTCAGCTCAATGCAACCTCCTCCTCCCAGGTTCAAGCAATTCTCATGCCTCAGCCTCCCGAGTAGCTGGAACTACAGGCGCCCACCACCACGCCTGGTTAATTTTTGTATTTTTTGTATTTTTATTTTTTTTGAGACGGAGTCTCACTCTGTCACCCAGGCTGGAGTGCAGTGGCGCGATCTCAGCTTACTGCAAACTTGGCCTCCCAGGTTCACGCCATTCTCCTGCCTCAGCCTCCCGAGTAGCTGGAACTACAGGCACCCACCACCACGCCCGGCTAATTTTTTGTATTTTTAGTAGAGACGGGATTTCACTGTGGTCTCGATCTCCTGACTTCGTGATCCATCCGCCTCGGCCTCCCAAAGTGCTGGGATTACAGGCGTGAGCCACTGTGCCTGGCAATTTTTGTATTTTTTGTAGAGATGGTGTTTCGCCATGTTGGCCAGGCTGGTCTCGAACTTCTGACCTCAAGTTGATCCACCTGCCTCAGCCTCCCGAAGTGCTGGGATTACAGGCATGAGCCACCGTGCCCAGCCGAAACAGTTATTCTTGATAGTGATATTGTCCTCATGTTCTTTATCTAGATGTGAATTCTCATATTCTAATGTCCCCAACTTTTCAGGCTTATGACTGCTTTCTGCCATGTACTAGCTGCCATATTTTGCTTCAAAGGTGGCAGAACTTCAGTTTTTCTGTATTCATCAAACATAATTATTTCAAAGTAGTTCAAAGCATGGGATCATAGAGGAAAAAAGACTGTAAAATTATCCTTTGATGACAATTAAAATACTCTTTCATAGGTTATACTTATCTATATTCTTTCTTGAACATTGAAATGTAAAACAAAAAGTTTATATTACTAATATAATAATCCTATCATGGAAAAGCAAATGGTTTTAGTTTTTTGTTTTCTTATGTAAATTTCTATCCTAAATGATAGGAATCTCTAAATACATGCTTTTTAAAGTTAATCATATTGTATTTTAGTTGTCTTCTACTTTATCACCTATTTTTTAGTACATGTTATGTTTCTACGATCACCATTTGTGTCTCTTAATGATTGTATACAGTTGCACACGGCAGCTCTATTGTATTTGCATAATCATTGCCCTAGGTCTTATGTTAAAGTCATTGCTAGTTTTTGCTATTCTAAAGAATACTCTTCTAAAAATATTTTATATATACTTTCTGTATTCTTTTAAATTACTTTCTTTTTGGTGCAGTGGTGGGATCATGGTTCACTGCAGCCTCAACCTCCTGGTCTCAAGGGATCCTCCCACCTCAGCCTCCTGAGTAGCTGGTACTACAGGTGCACGCTGTCACGCCTGGCTAATTTTTGTATTTTTTTAAATATGGGGTTTTGCCATGTTGCTCAGGCTGGTCTCCAACTCTTAGGCTTAAGCATTCTGCCCACCTCAGCCTCCCAAAGTGCTAGGATTACAGACCTGAGCCACCATGCCCAGCCCTGTTTGTCTTTTTCATTGTAATTTGTTTCTTCGGTTGCTAGAAGATAAACTTTCATGTTCTATTTCTACATTATGTTTTCTAACTTTTTTATTATTTGATTTCTTTCTTTTGTTTTTTTTCTTTTTTTTTTTTTGAGATGGAGTCTCACTTTGTCATCTAGGCTGGAGTGCAGTGGCATGATCTCAGCTCATTGCAACCTCTGCCTCCCAGGTTCAAACAATTCTCATGCCTCAGCCTCCAGAGTAGCTGGGACTACAGGCGCGCCACTATGCCCAGCTAATTTTTTTGTATTTTTTGATAGATATGGGGTTTCACCATGTTGGCCAGGCTGATCTCAAACTCCTGACCTCAAGTGATCTGCGTGCCTCGGCCTCCCAACGTGCTGGGATTACAGACATGAGCTGTCGTGCCCGGCCTGTTTGACTCAATTTTCTGAAATTTATATTGGCATGTGGTAGAAAGTGTGACTCAAGAAACTTTCCGCAATGTTGTTATCTGAATATGCCAAATATTAAGTAATATTTTCTGGCCCTTACTGATGCATTTGTCTAACCTTAGTTTATCACTTGCTTTTATGAATTATAAAATGTTATGATACTATAATCTGTTTCTCAGGTTATCTGTACTATTTTATCTACATTTCTTTTATTTTTCTATAATGTTTTAATTTTATTATCTTATAATATATTCTAATGTCTAGCGATAGAATACCCATAATCTTTCGCCAAATATTTTGAGTTTATTTGGGGAACACAAATTATGAATATGGAATATATGTTCAACATTTAGTTTTATTCTTTCTCTTATTTTATCTAGTTTCGTTGGATACCACTAGCTGGGAATATCCAGATGTCTGCAGACATTATTTCGGCTCCTTTGGGCAGTGGTCGAGTCTCCTTTTCTCCTTGGTGTCTCTCATTGGAGCAATGATAGTTTATTGGGTGCTTATGTCAAATTTTCTTTTTAATACTGGAAAGTTTATTTTTAGTAAGTATCTATATCATATGCTTTTAACACAGTACTTTCAAATACTATTACCACTGTAATGTTAGTTCTAGCCTTAAATTCTAGGACTTGGGATAAATAAAATAAGAAGTAACATATATAATTTTGGAAAATATATTTTATTCAGTTGGCTTTCTGTGGTTGTGCTCTCAAATATAGTGTATGCTTATTTCCAAACATTAATCTTTGAAGGAATAATATTCCTCCAAAATCTTTAGTTAAAATAAAATATGTCTATAATCCAACAGATCTTTTAAGTTTGTTTCACTAAAGAATTTGGTATGTAGACTCTAGGGAAAACAAATTTCAGCCACTTATTTTCAACATGTTAGGATATAAGATTAGGAAGTCAAAGAATAATGGAATTTATGTGATAAATATATTATTAATATTTACATATCACAGAATTATAATTTACCCAAATCAGCTACTTAAATTCTGAGGAGAGTCTTAGAAATCAGTCCAAATACTTCTTATAATTTTTTTTAGGTTAGATAGAGGAAGTTCATTTTTTTAATTAATGAATTTTTTTTTCTTTTTTTGAGACAGGGCCTTGCTATGTTGCCCTGGCTGGTCTCAAACTCCTGGGCTCAAGTGATCCTCCCACCTCAGCCTCCTGGTTACAGACTCACGCCACTGTACCGAGCTGGAAGTTTATTGTAAAAGATACCAAACCTTTTTCTGTATAAAGGTTTTACTAAAGTTTTCACTAAACCTAAAGTTTAATATATGTTTAGCAGCTTTAAATAAAGCATATATTTAAAATCTGGATTTACGTGAAAACCAAATTTCAAAGTAAGTCCTAACATAATCACAACAGCTAATTTCCCTAAGAGCCTTTGAATGAGGGAGATAAATTCTATTTCATTTTAAACATTAAAGAATAAAATTAGCTTTATAATTTTTATTGCCAAGCATTTTTATTTTTTGAGAGGTTTTTTGGAGACAGAGTCTTGCTCTGTCACCCAGGCTGGAGTGCTGTGGCGCGATCTCGGATCACTGCAACATCCACCTCCCAGGTTCAAGTGATTCTCCTGCTTCGGCCTTCCGAGTAGCTGGGATTACAGGCACCCGCGGTAACACTCAGCTAATTTTTGTATTTTTAGAGATGGGGTTTTACCATGTTGGCCAGGCTGTTCTCGATCTCCTGACCTCAAGTGATCCTCCCACCTCGGCCTCCCAAAGTGCTGGGATTACAGGCATGAGCCACCGCACCTGGCCCCAAGCATCTTTATTGTTTAAAAAACTATGAAATATTTCAAACTACAAAAAATGCAAAAGCTAATATAAATACCAGTATACTGACTAATGAGTTTTTGTGTCTCATTTTGTCATATTTTTATTAGATCTCCTTTTTTTTTTTTTTTTTTTTTTTTTTGTAGAGACAGAGTATCAGTATGTTGCCCAGACTAGTTTCTACCTCCTGGCCTCAAGCGATTCTCCCACCTCAGCTTGCTAAGAGGCTTGAATTATAGGCACAGGCCAGGCACGGTGGCCCACGCCTGTAATCGCAGCACTTTGGGAGGACGAGGCTGGTGGAACATCTGAACTCAGGAGTTCAAGACCAGCCCGGCCAACATGGTGAAACCCTGTGTCTACTAAAAATACAAAAATTAGCTGGGTGTGGTGGCACATGCCTATAATCCCAGCTACTCGGGAGCCTGAGGCACGAGAATCTCTTGAACCTGGGAGGCAGAGGTTGCAGTGACTGAGATTGCACCACTGCACTCCAGCCTGGGCAACAGAGCAAGACTCTATCTCAGAAAAAAAAAAAAAAGAATTATAGACACAAGCCACTATGCTTAGGTAGTTCTGTATTCCTATAAAAAGAAAATATTATGGATAGAGTGGAAGCCCCACATGCACTCCTTCTCAATCTCATTTTCCTTCTCTGAATTTGGTGTTTATCAATCCCATGCACTTTTTGGACTTTTACTACATGAATATATGAGCAACATACACTATTTGTTTTGCATTTTTTTTTTTTGGTTTTTTTTTGTTTTTTTGAGACGGAGTCTTGCTCTGTCACCAGGCTGGAGTGCAGTGGTGAGATCTCGGCTCACTGCAATCTCTGCCTCCCAGGTTCAAGCGATTCTCCTGCCTCAGCCTCCTGAGTAGCGGAGATCATAGGCGTGCACCACCACACCCAGCTAATTTTTGTATTTTTAGTAGAGACAAATTTTCACCATGTTGGCCAGGATGGTCTCGATCTCCTGACGTCGTGATCCGCCCACCTCAGCCTCCCAAAGTGCTGGGATTACAGGTGTGAGCCATGGCACCTGGCCGCTTGTTTTTAATCTACATAAACGCTTTTGCAACTTGCTTTCTGTCTTTCATCATCTCTGTTAATACACAAAGTTCATTCTGATTGCTTATAGTATTTAGTAATATGAATATACAACTTTTTTATCTGTTCTCGTTGATAAACATTTAATTTGTTTTCACTTATTGTGCTATTACAAGCAAGGCTTTATTAAACATCCTTATTTCTGTTGCCTTGTATACATGGGGGAGAATTTCTCCAAGTTATGGACCTTATAGACACATTTCTGGAATTTAAGATATTCACATTTTCAACCTTACTTGAAATTGCAGAATTGTTCTTTATCATGCTTGTACTACTTACACTCCTGCCAACAGTTTATGAAAGTTACCCTTGTTCCACATCCTCACTCACACTCAGTATTATCAGACTTAAATTTTGCCATCAGGATGTGGTTTTAATTTGCATTTCTCCTCATAAGGAGTGGCATTAATCATCTTTTCTTAATTATATTGACCATTAAATAGCTTATTCATATCCTTTGCCCATTTTTCTATCGGGTTGTTGGTCCTTTTCTTACCTATAGGAACTCTGTAAAGTTCGGATACTAACCATTTATCCATTATTGTGTTGCAAATATCTTCTAATTAGTGGCTTGTCTTCTCTTTTTATATGGTAGCTCTGTGTTATTCAAAAGTTTTTTATTTTAAAATTAGTGTTTTTCTCCATTATGATTCACAACTCTTCCATATACATTTTAGAATCAACTAATCAAGTTCCACAAAATTCCAATCAGAACTTGACTGGAATTGCATTGATTTTATCAGTTGGTACACCGTATAGTAATTGATATTGTAGCGTATTGGGTTAGAATTTGATTGACATTGCACTGGATTTATTGATGTGGAGAGAATTGATATCATTTAGATACTGAGTCTTCCTTTTTTTTTTTTTTTTTTTTTTTTTTGAGACGGAGTCTTGCTCTGTCACCCAGGCTTGAGTGCCGGGGCGAGATCTCGGCTCACTGCAAGCTCCGCCTGCTGGGTTCACGCCATTCTCCTGCCTCAGCCTCCCCAGCAGCTAGGACTACAGGCGCCCACCACCATGCCTGGCTAATGTTTTTGTATTTTTAGTAGAGACGGAGTTTCACCGTGTTAGCCAGGATGGTCTGGATCTCCTGACCTCATGATCCGCCCACCTCGGCCTCCCAAAGTGCTGGGATTACAGGCGTGAGCCACTGCGCTCGGCCTAGATACTGAGTCTTCCTACTCATGACTTTGGCATGGCATAGTTCTTTGTTTATTTAGGTCTTTAAAAAAAATTTTAAGTTTTTCTTGATAAAGATCTTGTGTATCTTTTTTTTTGGACTTTTTCCTCGGGATCTTAACATTTTTTCTGTAACAGTAGTTCTAATATACAAATATGCAGTTTTTATTATAAAAAATCTCAAACACATACAAAAAAACAGAATAGTATAATTTCTCCTTACCTAGTTTTAACAGTTATCAACATTCCGTCATTTTTAAATCATCTATAGTAGTGTTTTTCAACCATTTTTTCATTATTGTCCCTTCAAGGAGCCTTTTAGATATTTTTTTCTGATCACCCCCCCCATGAAATTTTAATACCAAAGATATACTGTAAATCTCTTTATGAACTGTATGCATATATATGCTTTATCTGTAGGAAGAGTTTCTTTCACACCCTGAGAATGAATTTTGTGCTTCTTGAGAGTAACATCCATTAAGAAGACATAATCCATGCTATTCCCACTCCCCACCTAGTTCAGCTATTAGTATATGTATAGTTCTTCTTTTAGATAGAATTTATTCATTGAAATAAACAAGTCTTAATTATACATACATACATCTATACACCTCCTTCAAGAAATAGAACATTTCCATCTTCCCAGAAAGTAATGATAAATTTTTGATTATACATTCAAATTATTTGTTGCTGTTATAAAAGAACCTAATTACATTTTGAATGTTTTTTTGAGACAGAGTTTCACTCTTTCACCCAGGCTCTGGGGTGCAGTGGTGTGATCACAACTCACTGCAGCCTTGACCTCTCCAGGCTCAGGTGATCCTCTCACCTCAGCCTCCCGAGTAGCTGAGACTACAGGCAAATACCACCACCATGCCCGGCTAATTTTTATATTTTTTGTAGAGACAGGTTTCGTCATGTTGCCCAGGCTGGTCTTGAACTCCTGAGTTCAAGCAGTCTGCCCGCCTTGGCCTCCCAAAGTGCTGGGATTACAGGCGTGACCCACCGTGCCCTGCCCCTTGAATGTTTATCTTTAATCTAGCAAACTTGCTGAACTCTTACTGATTCTAAAAATTTTGTAGCCGGGCGTGGTGGCTCATGCCTGTAATCCCAGCACTTTGGGAGGCCAAGGCGGGCAGATCACGAGGTCAGGAGACCGAGACCATCTTGGCGAACACGGTGAAACCCTGTCTCTACTAAAAGTACACAAAAATTAGCCGGGCATGGTGGCGGGTGCCTGTAGTCCCAGCTACTTGGGAGGCTGACGCAGGAGAATGGCATGAACCTGGGGGGCGGAGCTTGCAGTGAGCGGAGACCGTGCCACTGCACTCCAGCCTGGGCAACAGAGCTAGACTCTGTCTCAAAAAAAATAAATAAATAAAAAATAAAAATTTTGTAGATGCACTTTGTGTTTCCTTTTTAAATAATCATATCATCTGTGAATTAAAAAAGCTTTCTGTTTGGGCTTAGTGGCTCACGCCTGTAATCTCAGCACTTTGGGAGGCCAAGGCAGGTGGATCACCTGAGGTCAGGAGTTTCAGATCAGCCTGGCCAACATAGTGAAACCCCGTCTCTACTAAAAGTACAAAAATTAGCCAGGCGTGGTGGTGGGCACCTGTAATCACTGCTACTCAGGAGGCTGAGGCAGGAGAATGGCTTGAACCCAGGAGGTGGAGGTTGCAGTGAGCCAAGATCGTGCCACTGCACTCAAGCCTGGGCAACAAGAGTGAGACTCCATCTCAAATCAAAATAAAATAAAAAAAAAAACCTTTCCAGTTTTTTTAATAGTTCATATATGTATACATACATTTATATTTATATACGTATGTAATTATATATACGTACACAGACATATACGTATAAATGTGTATCTATATGTATATATTGATGGTTTTTTTTTTAATGTGAAGTTGCATTGAAGCGGTGCTTGTAGATATCCTTATATTGTTCATAAGGAAATCTTTCTGATGTTTCACAAATATTATGTTTATTGTGGGATATCAGTTGTACCCTTTAATAATTTAAAGACATTCCCGCCTATTGTCTACTTAAGTATTTTTATTAAAGTGGTTGAATTTTATCAAGTATTTATTCTGCATCTCGAGATAATCAAAAGATATGAAGAGACAATCAAGAGATTATCTTAATTAAATTTCCTCCTTTATCAATATGATGAATTAAATGAATACTTTTTGTAAAATTTAAACCATCCTTGTATTGTGGGGTAAACTTAAATAAGTTCATTAGTCATGACATATTTTTCAAATGCCTTACTGGATTGAATTTGCTTTTTTGGAGGGGTAGGAGCTAATATTTGTTTAGATCTTTTGTGTCTTTTCCTAACAAATATTGGCCTATGGTTTTTCTTTTTCATGCTGTCCATGAACCTTGGTGTGTTAGTTTCCCAAGGGTGCAGTAACAAATTACCATAAATATGCTTACAACAACACAGATTTCTTCTTTCATAACTATGGAGACTAGAGATGTGAAATCAAAGGGTGAACAGGGCCCTGGTCCCTCCTAAGGCTCTAAGGAAGAATCCTTCCTTGCCTCTTCCTAACCTTTGTTGGTTGCTGGTGGTCCTTGGCATTCCTTGGCAAGTAGGTACATCACTCCAGTTTCTCCCTCCATCTTCACATGGCCTTCTTCCCTCTGTGTGTCTGTGTCCAAATTTCCCTCTTCCTATAAATTGGGCTGGGCGCGGTGGTTTATGCCTGTAATCCCAGCACTCTGGGAGGCCAAGGCAGGCAGATCACCTGAGGTCAGGAGTTTGAGACCAGCCTGGCCAACATGGTGAAACCCTGTCTCTACTAAAAATACAAAAATTCAGTGGGTGTGGTGGCAGGCACCTGTAATCCCAGCTACTCGGGAGGCTGAGGCAGGAGAATTTCTTGAACCTGGGAGGTGGAGGTTGCAGTCATGCGACTCTACCCCAGCCTGGGTGACAGCAAGATTCTGTCTCAAAAAAATTAAAATAAAATAAAATAAAAGACATCAGTCATTGGCTTTAGGGCCCACCCTAATCTATTATGACCTCATCTTAACTTGATTGTATCTACAAAGACTCTATTTTTAAATAAGGTCACATTCTGAGGTTTCTAGTGGACATAAATTTGGGGTAAGGGGAATGCTATTTAACCCAGTACACTTCGTGTCAAGATTTTACTAGCCTTACTGTAAGTCTTTGGCATCAAGAAATTACACAAAGATTCATAAATTCCAATCTTAAATCATAAACAACCTTTGGAGATATTATAAAAACCCAAAGTACTATACTGTTTCTTTTATTCTATCTTGAGAAACATACGGTGAAGATGAATAATTTAACTATTTAACTTACTTTTATGACCTTAAAACCTAACCCAGCACCTTTTACTATCTTATTCAAGTTTCACAACAAATACTTTTATTAATGCTTACTCAGGTTATAGAAGGTTAATATCAAACAGAATAAAGTAAACCCCCTGAGGCAAGTAAACACATTCTCTGCCTGTTCTCTCTTTCACTGTAGAATGATGAATGCTCAGCCATCTGCATGTGCTTTGTTCTTTGTTACTTCCTTTAGTCTAACTCAGTGGTTCTTATGTAAATAACAATTCGTATATGGCCTTAGATCTATAAAAGTATGTATTGTACTTTGTAAAAAAAAAAAAAACTTTGATTTTCCAGGTAAGATCAGCTGTGTATGAGTGTTGGTTTCCCCTTTTTGCACACTTTAGAACTGTACTCTGTGTGAAATATAACTTTAGTGTGAGGATAAGAGAAAACTTACATACATATCTTTATTCCGGGGCTTTAAACTATCATTAATTCAGTGTTGTGGATAGATTTTTTTGAAATCTTCAATTTACACGTAAAGATTTTCCACAGTGGAACTGTGAAGACACTAACATTATCATGCCCATAAGTGAAGAAAACTATAGAAGGTGAAGCTATGTTAACAGTGAAGTAGTCTTTGTTCAGTGTACTAGATTACTACACAGATATTAAAAGATTTTTATAGGCTGGGCCCGGTGACTGACTTTGGGAGGCCGAGGTGGGTGGATCACGAAGTCAGGAGATCGAGACCATCCTGGCTAACACGGTGAAACCTGTTTCTACTAAAAAAATACAAAAAATTAGCCAGGGGTGGTGGTGGGCGCTTGTAGTCCCAGCTACTCGGGAGGCTGAGGCAGGAGAATGGCGTGAATCTGGGAGGCGGAGCTTGCAGTAAGCCAAGATCGTGCCACTGCACTCTAGCCTGGGCAACAGAGCAAGACTCCGTCTCAAAGAAAGAAAAAAAAAAGATTTTTATAAATAAAAGACCTTAAAGGGTAATAGATTTAGTGTCTTTCATTCAGTGTTAAACTATATTTTTTCCTTTATTTTTAGATTTTATTCATCACATTAATGACACAGACACTATACTGAGTACCAATAATAGCAACCCTGGTAAGTAGTTTGGGATGTTGTTTGTTTCTTTACTCTCCACCTTGCTCCAAAAAGGATTTAAGGTAGAACATGTGACCTTATTTTAGGTAAACGATTAGTAGAAAATTATTATGTTTACTGAGCTGCTACTAAATTGTTGGTAGTGTGTTTAAAAAAAAAAGAACCTCCAAAAAGGCTGTGTTAATGTAACCAAGCAATAGGTTGTATTAATGTGAGCTAGGCAACATTTAGTTCATATTATACAATTCACAATTTTATCTACAGTATCCATATTTGCCTGTGAATAATCAGTATTTTCAAGAATCTATATCACTATTAATTATATCAGATGTCTAGAAGCATAGTTCTCAGTTTAACTTAGTTTTAGAGGTCTATTGTTTTAGTTATTAATATATATGCTATACAAATTTGTAACCTGTAAAAGAATTCATTTTCTAGTAATAAACAGAGGTTAGTAACTAAATATGGAAAAATAAATTGAAGCTTTTTCAATTTATTTATTAATACAACCAAGCAATAGGTTGTATTAATGTGAGCTAGGCAACATTTAGTTCATATTATACAATTCACAATTTTATCTACAGTATCCATATTTGCCTGTGAATAATCAGTATTTTCAAGAACCTATATCACTATTAATTATATCAGATGTCTAGAAGCATAGTTCTCAGTTTAACTTAGTTTTAGAGATCTATTGTTTTAGTTATTAATATATAGGCTATACAAATTTGTAACCTGTAAAAGAAATTAATTTCTTAGAAATTTTTCTTTATTTTTAAAAAATAAACCCTTGTGAGCCAATGAGTTTAATCCAGTATGGCCGTTACAGGGAAAGTGAATATAAACATTAATATAACTTTGGTAACAGTTATGCTGTTAAACTTGAACATCACCTAAAGCTTTATGTATTTAGATTTCAGGGATACTAAACTGATGTCATGTTGATGGAGATGCACATTGATCACTAAGAGGATGATTCATTAAACACATTTATTAAGCCTACTATGTGTCAGGAACTGTTCTAGGCTCTAGGGATATAATAATGAACAGACAAAAGTCCCTCCTCTCATGAAGTTTACATTCCAGTGTTTGCTACTCAGTGTCTTACTTTTCCCCCTAATTAAACCTGTCTTTTGTTAATGCTAGAAAATGAGTGAGTAAAGTACTAGCTTTTATTCCTGTGGACACATACACATATACCTTTGAATTATTATCCTAAAATCTCTTGTGCCCTATTCCTTACTTCAGAATTTTCAAAGGATCAAATAACATCCTTGTATTTAAAGAGAAAATTATTTTACTATACCTATTCTGATATTAATTGATGAAACTAGTTTACTAATATCTAAAGTTAATAGTACTTCTCCAGTAGGGAGTCAGTTCATCATTAGGGTAATAAATATTAATATCACAGTCACATTGATGATTTAGAGAACCCCATCAGCAAAGTCAGTTTATATAGTGATATCTTATATCCAGCACTTCTTGATTTCTCTGCTAATGTTTATTTTGAACAGTGTAGTAAACAATGAGAGTATGAAACAATCCATTTCAGTTAGTGTAAAAAATTTTAGCTGCTGAGCATGGTGGCTCACGCTTTTGATTCTAACACTTTGGGAGGCCGAGGCAGGAGGATTGCTTGAGCCCAGGAGTTTGAGATCAGCCTGGGCAACATAGCAAGACCCTGTCTCTACAAAAAAAAATTTTTAATTAGCTGGCCATAGTGGCGTGCACCTGTAGTCCGAGCTACTCGGGAGGCTGAGGCAAGAGGATCACTTGAGCCTGAGGGGTTGAGGCTACAGTGAGCCATAGTTACGCCACTGCCCTCCAGCCTGAGTGAGTGAGATCCTGTCTCAAAAAAAAAATTACAGCTAACATTTATTGAATGTTAACATTTATTGAATGCCTGTGTGCAGGCATTGCATTAAATGTTTTATAGCAACCTTAAATGGTAGATACTGTCAACACCATTTTCCAGGTGAAGAGACCAGGGAACATAGAAGTTAATTTCATCCAAGGACACCTAAATATTAAGTGGCAGAGTTGGGATTCATTATTCAGTCAATTAACTTCCATCCACAGCCTGTGCTCTTTTTTTTTTTTTTATTTGAGACAAGATCTCTCTCTGCTGCCTAGGCTGGCCTATAGTGGCAATGATCATAGCTCACTGCAACCTGGTACTTCTGGGTTTCAGCAATCCTCCCACCTCCACCTCCCGAGTAGCTGGAACTACATCCCATCCAGCAAAATTTTGTTATTCTTTTAGAGACAGGGTTGCCATGTTTTCTAGGCTAGTCTCAAACTCTTGGCCTCAAGTGATCCTCCTGCCCCAGCCTCCCAAAGTGCTGGGATTAAAGGAATGAGCCACTGCGCCCAGCTGCCATAGCCTGTGCTTTTAACCACTATAATTAGCACAAGAAAATTTCTGTCTAGAGCGTAGAAGAAAAAAAGCACACTAAAATGTTGACTAAGAAGGAGAAAGAAAATTAAATGTTTGGCTTTGTGGCATGCCAAATAATGGATAGAGAATAAAATTAAAAATAGAACTGACAATGAATATTCTTTCTCTTTGACAAATGATGAGCATAAGGGTTACTTAATACGAGTATTTTCTACCTGCATTAAGAGTTCTTTACGAAAAGCTGATTATTAGCAAAAGCTCTACTGTGACATTAGAAACAATGAGAATGGCTGGTACTCTGTCTGATAACAGAAGAAATTGCCACTTGTAGATCAGTATTTAAGAAACATACGTTTAGGCCCAGTGCGGTGGCTCAGGCCTATAATCCCAGCACTTTGGGAGGCCAAGGCGGGCAGATCACGAGGTCAAGAGTTCGTGACCAGCCTGGCCAGCATGGTGAAACCCCGTCTCTACTAAAAATACAAAAATTAGCCGGGCATGGTGGCATGCGCCTGTAATCCTAGCTACTCAGGAGGCTGAGGTAGGAGAATCACTTGACCCCAGGAGGCAGAGGTTGCAGTGAGCCGAGATCGCACCACTGCACTCCAGCCTGGGTGACAGAGCGAGACTCCATCTCAAAAAAAAAAAAGAAACATACATTTTACTGATTTCCCAGTCATCTGGATACCATCTGGACTCTTAGGCTTCTATCAAATATGATCAACTTCCAGAATTATTTTGGATTGTTGGGATTCAAGATTCTTGCATTTTTATCAGTGATTATGATATCATGGCAGCTGTTTCAATGATGTTTGCTTTTTATTCCAAACCCATAGATTTTGTTTGTTGTTAAAAGAAATCTGCTCTTTGGCCTTTTTATGGGTTATTCGTGTGATAAACAGTCACCCTAAATGATATTTTTTATATTATTGTGTAAATAAGACCAAATACCATCCAGCCCAGTATTTTCTCTCTGGCAATGGAACCAAGGGATATTTGGTGGGATATTTTTATAGTTTCCAGTAGAGTTTAAAGATAATATCTCAGGGCTGGGCGCAGTAGCTCACGCCTGTAATGCCAGCACTTTGAGAAGCCAAGGTGGGTGGATCACCTCAGGTCAGGAGTTTGAGACCAGCCTGACCAACATGGTAAAATGCCCTCTCTACTAAAAATACAAAAATTAGCTGGGCATGGTGATGTGTGCCTGTAGTTCCAGCTACTTGGGAGGCTGCAACAAGAGAATCGCTTGAATCCAGGAGGCGGAGGTTGCAGTGAGCCGAGATCACGCCACTGGACTCCAGCCTGGGCGACAGAGCGAGACTCTGTCTCAGAAAATAAATAAATAAAAATAATGATAATATCTCAGAAATTTTAAAGATTCCCTCACCCTTATTTATTTTTAGGTGAAAGAGTCCTAATATTCCTAAAATTAACCCTCTATTTTTTCCAGAAAAGAGAAATTTAGGCTCCTAGGAAGAGTTGAGGTTGGTAGAGCAAGTGTCTGTCTCTAGAGGCAGTCATTTTCTGTTTTTTGTTTTGTTTTGTTTTGTTTTTTGTCATCTTCTTTAATCTGGTGCTTTCCTATTGCAGTGATTTGTCCAAGTGCCGGGAGTGGAGGCCATCCTGACAACAGCTCTATGATTTTCTATGCCAATGACACAGGAGCCCAACAGTTTGAAAAGTGGTGGGATAAGTCCAGGACAGTCCCCTTTTATCTTGTAGGGCTCCTCCTCCCACTGCTCAATTTCAAGTCTCCTTCATTTTTTTCAAAATTTAATATCCTAGGTAAGTAGTAGCACTGAATTATGGAGACTTTGTGTAATAGAATACGTGGTGGAGTCTAGGGAAATATGGTCTGATTGGGGAGTTACCTTCCAAGCCTGTTCATCTGTGTTTAATTTGTTCATTCGTTTTTGTTTTGTTCTTTCTTTCTTTCTTTTTTTTTTTTTTTTTTTTGAGACGGAGTTTCACTGTTGTTGCCCAGGGTGGAGTGCAATGGCTCAATCTTGGCTCACTGCAACCTCTGCTTCCGGGGTTCAAGCAATTCTTGGCCTCAGCCTCCCAAGTAGCTGGGATTACAGGTATGCGCCACCACACCCAGCTAATTTTGTATTTTTGGTAGAGGTGGGATTTCACCATGTTGTCCAGGCTGGTCTCAAACCCCTGACCTTAGGTGATCGACCTGCCTCAGCCTCCCAAAGTGCTGGGATTACAGGTGTGAGCCAGCACGCCCGGCAATTTGTTCATTCTTATGATAACCTGATTTTTTCTATTTTTTTTTATGGAGTTTGGCATGGAGAAAAGTGTAGATGACCATTTTTGGTTTTGTTGTGTGTGTGTGTTTTTTTTTTTTGAGACATGAATTATTTGGTTTCTCATTCTAAACTTACTGAACAATTCTTCCTCATTTTCTCTGAGGATACAACTAGACGAAATACACGAAAATTTCAGGAGGAGAGATCCAAATTGGATATTATAGGAATTCTTGATTCTAACGGTTGGAAACAGAACTTACTAAGGAAAGTTATAGAATGTTTTTTCCTACAGTCTCTAAGAGTATTGTGCAGAATTGTCACCTGACTTTGAACCTGGGAAATCATTCTCTATCTCAGGCTTCGTAGGTTTATTTTGCTTTTGCTCTCTTCCTCAGTGCTTTTTTTTCTTAGAACGCTATTGCCTTCTTCAAGGAACAGACCTCTTTCTGTGAGCCCTGCTTTTCAGAAACCACTAAACGAATGTTTTTACTCCACTTAAGATGGCAAAAGGGGCCAGGTGTGGTGGCTCACGCCTGTATTCCCAACACTTTGGGAGGCTGACGCAGGTGGATCACGAGGTCAGGAGTTCAAGACCAGCTTGGCCAAGATGGTGAAACCCTGTCTCTACTAAAAATAGAAAAATTAGCCGGGCGTGGTGGCTGGTGCCTGTAATCCCAGCTACTTGGGAGGCTGAGGCAGAGAATTGCTTGAACCTGGGAGGTGGAGGTTGCAGTGAGCCAAGATTATGCCACTGCACTCCAGCCTGGGTGACAGAATGAGACTCTGTCTTAAAAAAAAAAAAAAAAAAAAGATGGCAAAAGGAACCCCCCCAGTGAAAGTTCAGATCTGGCTAACCAAGGACAAGGATATCATTCATAAGGAATCGATAACTCCACATAAACCATACGATTTCACTTCCTCCCTGTGGATGTGATCTCTGGCAGGCAGTCTAGAGCATAAAATAGATAGGCTGGGTGCGGTGGCTCACGCCTGTAATCCCAGCACTTTGGGAAGCTGAGGCAGGCAGATCACCTGAGGTCAGGAGTTCGAGACCAAACTGACCAACATGGAGCAACCCTGTCTCTACTAAAAATACAAAATTAGCCAGGCATGGTGGCGCATGCCTGTAATCCCAGCTACTCGGGAGGCTGAGGCAGGAGAACTGCTTAAACCCAGGAGGCGGAGGTTGCAGTGAGCCGAGATCATGCCATTGCACTCCAGCGTGGGCAACAAGAGCGAAAACTCTGTCTCAACAAATAAATAAATAAATAACCCAGCATATCAAGGAACAAGGCAGTGGCTTCTAGGTTTCCAGAAGACCAAAGGAAAAGTTAAAATTATTTCTCTTTGCCTGTCTGCCTCAGGAACAGGATTCACTGTAAGCTGCCATAGACACACAGAAGATGAAGAGTTGTGGTTATATAAGCTCTGGCGTCCTGTTTTCATCCTTTCTGAATCAGCTAATCTCCAAACCCACAGTACTGCTTATATCGCTCATTCGTGGTTTCCTGATTTGCTTGCCAACTTTTCTGTGAAACAGATCTTTTAAAAGAATATAAACTTATAGAAGGATTTGCTCAATTGGGCACAACAATCACCAGACTTCCAACCAGGTTGATTGTTCATTCTTCAGCTCCTTAAGGATATTCTGCTTTTGTTCTTTTCCTTGGTACTTTCCCTTTCTCTTAAAACCATAGCTTCATTAGAGGAATTAGCATCTAAGGCCTTCCTGAATTTTCTGACTCTACTCCATAATGACTAGACTTAATTTCTTAAAAGGAATAATCTTCTACCTTCTACACTACTAAAATATTCTGAATGCCCATTTTACCTTGTATATAATACCTGAGAATGGAGTCTGGAATCTCTGTCTAGCAAGTAGTGCTACCCAGTCAAAACCTCATCTAGATACTAGATCAGGATTGTTCATGTATTTGGCTTCTCACCTTTCTCAAATATGCTTTTGATCCACATTCACTGCTTTTCTTTCTTTACCCTCTTACCATCTCACATTAAATACTGTGACAGACTGACTCTAACACTTCCAATTCAAAGAATAAAAGTAAGTTTCATGTTGTTTTTTTCAATCCTATGTAATCCTATAATTTTGTAATGGACTCTCTGCTTGTATCTTCTGCTTAAACTCAACTCATAAGTAAATGAAGCAGTTTTGCATTCAGCATTGTATGAGCTACCTTCATCTGATTCTTCTTTTCTTATTCTTTTTTTTTTCCTTTGAGATGGAGTCTCGCTCTGTTGCCCAGGCTGGAGTGCAGTGGTGCAATCTTGGCTCACTGCAAACTCTGCTTCCCGAATTCAAGTGATTCTCCTGTCTCAGCCTCCCGAGTAGCTGTGATTATAGGCGTGTGCCACCACACCTGGCTAACTTTTGTATTTTTAGTAGAGATGAAGTTTCGCCATGTTGGCCGGTTTGGTCTCGAACTCCTGACCTCAGGTGGTCTGCCCACCTCAGCCTCCCAAAGTGCTGGGATTACAGGTGTGAGCCACCATGCCCAGCTCATCTGGTTCTTCTTAGGCCTACTACATAGAGTGTTTTGTTTTTTTTCTGGTAACTCCCTCAGCTTGTTTCTAGTCTTTAGATCCCAGCTGGGTGTTAGTGGAGATAATCAATGCAGTTAACAGTTTCCCACACTTTGCTGAGACTATGGAAACAATGCTTGATTTTAAAATAATCTGTAAAACACACAAAGATAATAAATGGTTTCTGAATTTTTTCCTCACAGGCACAGTGTCTGTCCTTTATTTGATTTTCCTTGTCACCTTTAAGGCTGTTCGCTTGGGATTTCATTTGGAATTTCATTGGTTTATACCAACAGAATTTTTTGTACCAGGTGAGCTTTTTGGCAAAATAATAAATTATAATAATGTGATCTTAACCATTGTCATATGCTATTCTAAAACAAGTAATGATTTTTTTTTTATGCTGAGCATTTTTATAAATGCTATTAAGTTAAAAACAGGACTACAGTTGAGATTATTTTGGATTTCCTGCAGTTAGTGGTAACCAGGGCCCTTTGTCATTTCTACTTGTTAGTTGAAATTCATTTAAGTTATAGTGCACTAATACTTGAATTTTCTGTGTTTTTCATCTAGCCTTTCTTATGGGTATATAATGTGCTATTACATTGTGGTTTTGTGGTTTTTAATTAAACATTTTTATTGACATATAATAGTTGTACATATTTGGGGGGAACATATGATATTTTAATACCTCTATGCAATGTGTAGTGCTCAAATCAGGGTAATTGGGATATCCATCACCTCAAACATTTATCTTTTTGTTGGGAACGTACAATGTGGTTTTAATTTGCATTTCTGTAATGATCAGTGGAGTTAGCAACTTTTCATATGTTTGTTGGCCATTTGGATTTCATCTTTTCTGAAGTGCTTCTTCTGTTTTTCTATTTAACTGTCTGTTTTTTTCATACTGATTTATAGGAGTTCTTTACACATTCCAAATATGAATCCTTTCTCAAATACATGTAATGCAATTATCTTCTTCCTGCTTACATCCTTTCTTGATATGCCTTTTCAAAGGAATAAAGTAAGCAGTTTGAAAATGATGAGAAGTTTGGAGCTTCTTTAAAACCATTTTGTGAAGGAGTCTGTTATTTAATGTATTATGTAATAATCATGGTGTAAATGTCTATGTTCTTTAAAAAAGTGTATTTTCCACACAAAAACTTGTACATGCATGTTTATAGCAGCATTATTCATAATAGCCAAAAATAGAAACAGCCCAATGTCTATCAATAACAAATGGATAAATAAAATGTGGTATATCTTTCTTTTTTCTTTTGAGACAGAGTCTCACTGTGTCACCCAGGCTCGAGTGCAGTGGCACAGTCTCAACTCACTGCACCTTCCCCCTCCCAGGTTCAAGTGATTCTCCTGCCTCAGCCTCCTGAGTAGCTGGGATTACAGGCACGCACCACCATGCCCGGCTAATTTTGTATTTTTAGTAGAGACAGGGTTTCACCATGTTGGCCAGGCTGGTCTCAAACTCCTGACCTCAGGTGATCCACCTGCCTCAGCCTCCCAAAGTGCTGGGATTACAGGTGTGAGCCACCACACCCGGCCAAAATGTGGTATATCTGTACAATGGGATATTATTTGGCAATAGAAAAGGAATGAAGTGCTGTGGTTATGGTTGTACAACTCTGTGAATATGCTATTCAGTTAAAAACTAGTTGTACACTTCAAGTAGGTGAAACATGAATTTTATTTCAATAGTGCTATTAAAAAGAATCTCAGGTTTTCAAGAAATTTTCTCAAAAAGATAGCTTTTGTTAGTTAATGGGAAAAAGCTGACTATTTACCCACTGTAATATGACAAGTTAGAAACCTAACAGTGGTCTTACTTGCCTTAATTAGAAAAGATAGAAAAGGATTAGCTAACAAATTGCTTTACAGGGTATCTTAACTAAGTAACAGAATTGATTACTCTGAGAGACAGGAAATTCAGCTAAATTGAAAAGAACGTGTTGAAAACTAATAGATCTTATTTTATTTAGATTTGTTTATTTTATTTTAGAGCTAGTGCTTGATTCTTGTTTTCTCTTCTTTTCCTAAAATAATATAGCAGAGTCAGTGGACTTTTTATACGTTTCTACTTTTTACACTAAGGAATCCTCTGAGATGGGTTTGGCTAGACCAGCAGTATTTTCAAGTAAATCATGGTTTTATTCTACATAAAATCATTTTTTTTCTTTCTATTAGCAGTCAAAACAGAAATTGGCAGTGCTTTTGCAATGTTATTTTATTCTCACTTTAAAGCAGCTTTGTGTTTATTGCAGAACATTTAGAGATTATAGGTAAGTGGTTAATTTAAAATAAATTGCAAAAAAAAATAAAAAATAAAATAAAATAAAATAAATTGCATAACCTGACATAACCACTATTTATATTTTTGTGGATACCCCCTCACCAGTCTTTTTTCTTTGCATACACACATCTATATACACACATATATTTTAAAAATAAAAGTAGGCCAGGCACAATGGCTCATGTCTGTAATCCCAGCACTTTGGGAGGCTGTGGTGGGAGGATTACTTGAGTTCAAGACCAGCCTGGACAACATGGTGAGACCCTGTTTCTACAAAAAAATAATTCTTTTAAACTTAGCTGGGTGTGGTGGCATGCACCTATAATCCTAGTTACCAGGGAAGCTGAGATAGGAATATCACTTGAGCCCAGAAAGTTGGGGCTGTAGTCAGCTGTGTTTGTGCCACTGCATTCCAGCCTGGGTGACAGAGTGAGACCCTATCTCAAAAAGAATAAAACAATAAAAAGTAAAATCACAGTATGTATGCTATTTCAATCATAGGGAAAAAAAGAAACTGCCTCCACAACATAATTTTTGATACCATATACCACTGCACAACTGTATCTCAATTTAATGAATCCTCTGTAGGTGGACACTTATTTCTAATATTTTTACATTATGTTTTTTAGATTTGTCAGTGAAGAAAGTTAAATGACCAGTTTGCCCTTTCATAATTCCTTTTCTAGAGGTACTTTTCTGGCAAATTCAGGTATTAAAAAAATGAAGGACTTTAAAGTCAGACAGACCCTAAATTTGAATCCTGCCCTTCTCCATACCAGTTGTATGACCTCAAATAGGAATAATTGATATAAAGCACCTGCACAGAGTATACTTTTTTTTTTGAGATGGAGTCTCGCTCTTTCACCCAGGCTGCAGTGTAATGGTGTGATCTCGGCTTACTACAACCTCTGCCTTCTAGGTTCAAGCGATTCCCCTGCCTCAGCCTCCCAAGTAGCGGGGATTACAGGCTTCCACCACCACGCTAATTTTTGTATTTTTAGTAAAGACAAGGTTTCGCCATGTTGGCCAGGC
Source organism: Homo sapiens (assembly GCF_000001405.40). NCBI lineage: Eukaryota > Metazoa > Chordata > Mammalia > Primates > Hominidae > Homo > Homo sapiens. Next base: position 55,646,180 of record NC_000005.10, on the reverse strand, counting down.
TGGTCTCAAACTCCTTACCTCAGGTGATCCGCCCACCTTGGCCTCCCAAAATGTTAGGATTACAGGTGTGAGCCACCACACTCAGCCAGAGCATACCTTTTTTTCCCCCTTTTGAGTGCTTCGCCCAAGTATAATGCTGGCCTCGAGGAACTTTGTAAAGACATTTTAATATTCTTATTCCCTGGATAAAACAGTGACAACTGATTTTTAGTAGTCAACTTTTGGCTACCAATACTCATTTTCTAATTGTCAGTTTTAATGTTCTTGTTTTTATTTTTCTCCTAGAGATAAGATTTCAGTTTCCACAGCTGACTGGAGTGCTTACCCTTGCTTTTTTTATTCATAATTGTATCATCACACTCTTGAAGAACAACAAGAAACAAGAAAACAATGTGAGTAATTATCTTTGGAATTGACTTTTGTATCTCCCGAGGATAAATTTTTTAAGTCAGTATTTGAGGCACTTTATATTTAGAGTACAATTAGGCAATTTTGTTACAAGATCTTAATTTTTAAACTTAAACCATAGAGCAGTCGTCAGCAAATTTTTCTGTAAAGGTTCAGATGATAAATATTTCAGGCCTTGTAGGCCTTATGGTTTTTGTTGCAGCTCCCCAACTGTGCTGTTATGTTATGAAAGCAGCCATAGATAATACATAAACAAATGGGTGATGGCATTGTTTCAATGAAACTGTTTACAAAAACAGACATCAGACAAGATTTGGCCCATGAGTCATAGTTTGCCAGTGCCTGCCATAGAGCAACCACTGAAAAAATAGAGGTATGGCTAATAAGCCATTAATGGTGGTAAAATCTTTTAAAGATACCCTGGGCGTGGTGGCTCAGGCCTGTAATACCAGCACTTTGGGAGTCCGAGGCAGGAAGATCACTTGAGCCCAGGAATTCGAGACCAGCCTGGGCAACATGGTTAGACCCTGTCTCTACAAAGAAAATTAGCCTGGTTTGGTAGCACATGCCTATAGTCCCAGCTACTTGGGAGGCTGAGGCAGCAGGATTGCTTAAGCCCAGGAAGCCAAGGCTGTGGTGAACTGTGTTCATGCCACTGCACTCTAGCCCGGTCAACAGAGCAAAACCCCATCTTAAAAAATAAATGCGGCTGATAAAAAATGATGAGTTCATGTCCTTTGTAGGGACATGGATGAAATTGGAAATCACCGTTCTCAGTAAACTATCGCAAGGACAAAAAACCAAACACCGCATGTTCTCACTCATAGATGGGAATTGAACAATGAGAACACATGGACACAGGAAGGGGAACATCACACTCTGGGGACTGTTGTGGGGTGGGGGGAGTGGGGAGGGATAGCATTAGGAGATATACCTAATGCTAAATGATGAGTTAATGGGTGCAGCACACCAGCATGGCACATGTATACATATGTAACTAATCTGCATATTGTGCACATGTACCCTAAAACTTAAAGTATAATAATAATAATGCGGCTGGGCATGGTGGCTCACGCCTGTAATCCCAGCACTTCAGGAGGCCAAGGCGGGTGGACACGAGGTCAAGAGTTCAAGACCAGCCTGGCCAAGATGGTGAAACGCCGTCTCTACTAAAAATACAAAAATTAGTCGGGTATGGTGTTGGGCGCCTGTAATCCCAGCAACTCAGGAAGCTGAGGCAGAGAATTGCTTGAACTGGGAGGCAGAGGTTGCAGTGAGCCGAGATAGCCACTGCACTTCAGCCTGGGCAACAGATCCAGACTCCATCTCACAAAAACAAACAAACAAAAAATGCAACTGATCCAAAAGAAGCCATGGAAAAGGGACCAAAGAATAGATGTGACAAATAGAAAACAAATAGTGACAAATAGAAAACAAATAGCAACATAGTAGATTTAAACCCATTGTATTGATAATTACATTAAAAGACTCTGCAGTTAAAAGATTAAAAGAGGCCAGGTGTGGTGGCTCACACCTATAATCCCACCACTTTGAGAGGCTGAGGCAGGTGGATAACTTGAGGCCAGGTGTTCGAGACCAGCCTGGCCAACATGGTGAAACCCTGTCTCTACTAAAAATACAAAAATTAGCCAGGCATGGTGGTGCACACCTGTCATCCCAGCTACTCAGGAGGCTGAGGCAGGAGAATTACTTGAACCCAAGGGGTGGAGGTTGCAGTGAGCAGAGATCGTGCCACTGCACTCCAGCCTGAGCAACAGAGCAACACTCCATCTCAAAAAATAAATAAATAAATAAAAGAGATTTTCAGACTTGTTAAAAAACAAAGCCTAACTATATGTTGTCTACAAGGAATTTATATTAAACATAAAGATATACCATGCAAATATTAAACATAAGAAAGCTGGAGTGGCCAAATTGATATCAGATGAAATAGACTTTAGAACTGGCAGTATTGCCAGAGATAAAGAGGAACTTTACATAATGATCTGTAGGGATCAGTTCATCAAGAAGACATAATAATCCTAAATGTATATGTACCCAGTGACAGAGCTTCAAAATAAATGAATTAACAATTGCAAAACTGAAAAGAGAAGTAGACAAATCCACAATTATAATTGGACGTTTTATCACCCTCCTTCAAGTAATTGATAGAACAAATAGATTAAAATCAGTAAGGGTAGAGGAAGCATGAAAAACACTGTCAACCTATTTAATCTAATATATATTTATAAAGTTTTCTCTCAACTGCGGAATGCACATTCTTCTTAAATACATAAGAACATTTTCCAAGATAGACCATATGCTGGGTCATAAAACAATTCTCAATAAATTTGAAAGGATTTAAATCATACAGAGTATGTTCTCTAACCATAATGGAGTGAAGATACAAATCAATAACAGAAAGAAATTTGGGAAATTCACAAATTGTGGAAATTGAACAGCATACTCTTAAATAACCAATGGGTCAAAGAAGAAATCACAAGAAAAATTAGAACTACTTTGAGTTTACTTAAAGCAGTGCTTACAGGGAAATGTATAGCTGTAAACACCTACACTAAAAATGAAGATCTGAAAAACCTAACTTTCTACCTTAGACGATAGAAAAAGTAAAGCAAACTAAACCCAAGGCAAACAAAAGTTAACCAGTTACTTGTTGGCTTGTCTGCAGATTTTGTGCTCAATTTAACAGCTTCTGACCTTGTAAACAAAAGTCATAATGAAGTTCTAATAGAGGTCTATACAGTTGTTACTGAAATGCAAAAGAAGGAAGGATTTGCTGTGCCTGGAGATTCTGAGAAGGCTTTGAGTAAGGGGTAATGTTTGGCAGTCATTAAGAAGGCAAAAACCTTTCTAAGTAGAGGAAGTAAGCTCTCTAGAGCAAAAATATAAATTAAGCTTTTCCATCTTCATCTTTACTGACCATACATGTAGCATGTTACCTGTAAATGGAGTTGGACTTGAGTCAATCTGGATTTTTCATACTTCCTATCTTGGTGAACTGATCTCAAATTCCATTTTTGTCATATGTAAAAATTATAGCTACCTATCAGGGTTGTGATGTTAACATGATCTAACATACAATAGAGGCTGGAAATTTTTAGTATTTTTACCCCTCTTACCCTTTCTTTCCTGATATTTACAGTCTGTTCTTGTAAGCCAAGTTAGCCCAAGTGCCCTAGAAACTCATTTTGTTAAGTAGAATTCTCATGTATTGGATGATCCTATCCATAAAGCTGTGCTTCTCAAACTTTACCACCAAAGTCTCCCTAATAACAGAACAACCTCATGTACCTAGGAATCTAGGGAAGACAAACACAATCTTATTGAAGTGTCATGTTTTATCTTAAACATTTACACATATTTTTATCATGCTCATTATTTGTTTGTATTACTAGAAAACAGTCTCAGGCTGGGCACGGTGGCTCACGCCTGTAATCCCAACACTTTGGGAAGCTGAGGCGGGCGGATCACAAGGTCAGGAGATTGAGACCTTCCTGGCTAACACAGTGAAACCCCGTCTCTACTAAAAATACAAAAAATTAGCCGGGTGTGGTGGCACATGCCTGTAGTCCCCACTACTCAGGAGGCTGAGGCAGGAGAATCACTTGAACCTGGGAGGTGGATGTTGTGGTGAGCCGAGATCGCGCCACTGCACTCCAGCCTGGGTGACAAGAGTGAGACTCCGTCTCAAAAAAGAAACAAGGAAGGGAAAGGGGAAGGGGAAGGGCTCAAAATGAGTTAGATTACAGGCAGTTCTCATGTTGCATGGTTCTTACATGCACCAGTTTCATTAATCTGGTTTAGTTAAATTACATCAGTTCCTCCTAACAACATTTGTTCAAATCTCAGTTACCAAAGAATTTGAACTATTAGTACTTGTAAAGTAGTAGCTGCTAGCCCTCACTTCACAAAGCACTACATAAATAACAAGTGCACGTGATAATTAGTAACCAATCACATAACTTCTTTCAAAGTCTGTCAATGACTGGTCACTGTGTATGTTTTTCACTGTACAGTCTGCAAAGCAGATAGTTGTGTTAACTCCTTGTCTCCCAGTGATAAACTGACATGATATTTTACAAAAAATGGATACTTGAATGGGGAATTGTCAAACAAAGTGCTACAATGAAACAAAACAATAATGCAAGAAGTGAAATTTGAATTGAACTCTATATAGAGAGTTATAAAAGAAATAGCCAACTGTGGAAATGTTGACACTGCTGCCATACAAGAGACTCCAGATATGCAGCTAGAGAAACTTAAGGAAGGTGAGCTTATCAACGTGCATTCAGAAAGTGGTTATGATTACAAGAATGAAGATATCCCAGAGGAATTGACATTGTCAGAAAACTTCACATTAATCGAATTCTCAGAGATGTCTCACAACATTGAAAGCACAAAAGATGAAATGTTAGAAGCTGGTGCACAGTAAGGATAAAGGAGTATGGCAGTTCACCAAGGCATGGAAAAGATGCCTGCTCCATATTGTTAAGTTATACAGTGAGAAGAAGGAGGCGAACATAGTTCAGACTACTCTTGGTAGGTTTTTACCAAAAAATAAAATATTTTAAGCTCAATATTTTTGACATTGCAATGTACTTTAAAAGATGTTGGCCGGGCATGGTGGCTCATGCCTGTAATCCCAGCACTTTGGGAGGCCGAGGTGCGTGGATCACCTGAGGTTGGGAGTTCGAGACCAGCCTGACCAACATGGAGAAACCCCATCTCTACTAAAAATACAAAAAAAATTAGCTGGGCGTGGTGGCACATGCCTGTAATCCCAGCTAGTAGGGAGGCTGAGGCAGGAGAATCGCTTGAACCTGGCAGGCGGAGGTTGCAGTGAGCCGAGATCACACTGTTGCACTCCAGCATGGGCAACAAGAGTGAAACTCTGTCTCAAAAATATATATACATATTTTACTTTTTCTTCATTTCCCTATACATTTATAACTGACAGTAAGAGTATTTAATGTTTTGACAATTGTTAAAGATCTTAGAACAATTATAATTTTTCCCATTGATTATTGTGATCACTTTGCACAGTTTCAGGTTGCATAGTAATTTTTATAATCTCATACTACCCTGCAAAGTGAGGACTGTCTGTGCTTAACTTTTCACTCGCCAAAATTCTCAAGTTGAATTGCTTTTCTGGAAAGTCACACCAGTTTATCTGGAGATGTATACGCCCCATTGTGAGAAGCTCAGGGCTGGACTGAGATGGGCGTTCTTAATGCATGGTCTCCCAAAGACTGAGGACATGTCTTTGCCTTTCTTAGTAGAACACTCAGTGGGCCTTGAAATCCGTATTTCATATGTAAATACCATAAAATGAGTTCTTTCCACTTAGTATTAGGACTAGGGCTTTGTAGAACTATTATGTTAGGTTCAGCTAATACAATTTGATTCACCTTTTGTCACTTGTGGAAACTATTTTTAAAACAAAGGCTTAAAAGCAAAGGTTTAAATGGCTGGGCATGGTAGCTCACACCTGTAATTCCAGCACTTTGGGAGGCTGAGGTGGTTGGATCACCTGAGGTCAGGAGTTTGAGACCAGCCTGGCCAACATGGCAAAACCCCGTCTCTACTAAAAATACAGAAATTAGCCGAGCATGGTGGTGGGCCCCTCCAATCCCAGCTACTTGGGAGGCTGAGACAGGAGAATCACTTGAACCCAGGAGGCAGAGGTTGCAGTGAGCTGAGATCACACCACTGCCCTCCAGCCTGGGTGACAGAGCGAGACTCCATCTCAAAAAAAAAAAAAAAAAAAAGCAAAGGTTTAAATGGATTTTTTTTTTTTTACTGTCTTAATTGAAATTGGGTTATGAAGTGATGGTCTACCTTTCAAAAAACTAGTTGTACTTCATGTTAACTTCTTAAAATATTAATAATTACTAAGGATAAAGCTAACATTTATGAAGCACTATGTGCCAGCAACATTCTAAACACTTTGACTATATGTAAATATATATACTCTCTTTTTGATTATACTGAAATTGGCTTTTATGTTAGCAAAAATCAACCTAAATGGGTACTATATTCTGAGAAAAACTTTTTGTCATTTCATTTATTTAATGATTATACCTTTAAGCAAGTTTCAGTAAGTACTTTGAAAGAAGTCCTGTTAATATCATGGCATAATATTTTCTTGAGATTAAAGTCAGAAAATGTAAAGCTTGCCAGGGACTCTGAATTCATAATGTGGATACTGGATCATTCCAAGCTCAGTAAACAAGAGTTTGAAAATAGAAAAGAAGACAAAAGAATAGAAAAGGCCTCCTCTTCTGTATAAACTATAGCTGGACTTGAACTAAAGACATTTGCAAAGAAAGAAACAAACTCCTAAATAGGTGTAGTGAGCAAATTTTCCAGGTTTTCCAAGTTCAACTTCATTTCATACATTTTTTTTTCCCACGAAATGCAGTTTGTTATATGTGTAAATGGGATATCATTTCTATTCTTTTTTTTTTTTTTTTTTTTTTAGACAGAGTTTCGTTCTTGTTGCCCAGGCTGGAGTGCAGTGGCACCATCTTGGCTCGCTGCAACCTCCGCCTTCCCGGTTCAAGCAGTTCTCCTGCCTCAGCCTCCCAAGTAGCTGAGATAACAGGCATGTACCACCACGTCTGGCTACTTTTGTATTTTTAGTAGAAATGGGGTGATCCGCCCGCCTCGGCCTCCCAAAGTGTTGGGATTACAGGCGTGAACCACCGCGCCTGGCCATCATTTCTATTCTTTTGTCGTATCTTACCAAAAAAAGGGGATTAGGGAGCTGAAGACCATCCAACTAGTTTATCACCAGAATATGTAGTCCCTATAACCCTCCTGGTTGTGTGGATTGACCTCTTGATATTTCCTCATTGTATTTGAATCAGAACCTCTAAGTGCTTCTTTTGTTTGGTTTTGTTTTGTCTGTGTTTAGTTGTATTACCCTGCTTTGTTCTTTAAAACGATTTGAAATACCTCATATTGTGATTTGTTATTTACTTTTTCCTTCTTCATATGAATCTGTGGTTTACTTGGCTATATACCAGGAGAAGTTATGTAAATGTTTGGGGTCAGTCTGTGTGGTCAGTTTCTGTCATTTTTGTTAGTAAATGCTCCACTGAATAGTATTTTCACTATGAACGGTACGTGGAACAAATAATAAACCATGTCTGACAAACAGAATGTGTTCCCAAACCTACTTCTGGGCCTGTTGTAGATCCAGTTTTCATTCTGACTTGGCATTCTACCTGTCTTTAGTTTTCTACCGTCAACCCTGCCAGCCATTTCTTATTCACAAGACAGAGTCAGTTACCTTATTAATGTATAGGCTTCTTGACATAATTACCAGCTTATATTGTCGCTTGTGTCTCTTTTTAAATATATTTTTTACTTTGAGCCTCGTTTTCTAAATAATAGCTTTTTTCTATCCTGTTCCATTAAATGGGCTTTCAAGGCTATTCCATTAAATAGGCTATATCTTTAGGCCTAATGGCTTGTGTTTGAGCCAGAGAATAGCAAAGCCCACATATGTGTATACTGTTCATAAGTGGCATGTTTCCCAGTGTCATGCTAAACCTCAGCTGCTTTTATAATAAAAGCATAATTTCTGTTCATTGGAGTATTCAGATGAAAACACATATGCAGCTCCTGAGCCACTTTTACTTAAGGTATGTTGGAGTACTGTGAAATAAAACTTTTCTGATTTTAGTATCTCAAAATGGAAGCATCCCTGTATGTGTTCTGTTGTATAGTTGTTACTCATAACTTGTTACCTCTCTTTTTTTTTATTATTATTGTTTATTAACTATGACACAATTGCACTGGAGACTGGTCAGCTCCCCATCATAGTAGCTAAGGACCTGCAATTTGGAACTAAAAAGATCTTGATTTGAATATTGGTTTCACCAGATACTCACTTTGCAGCCACAAACGAGTTTTGTAACCTTGCTGCACTTAGTTTACATCTGTAAAATGAAGAAAATGACAGTATCTACATTATAAGGTTGCAATGAGGATTAAATGAGATGACACTTGTAATGTGCTTAGCAATATAGCCTGGCACCTACAAGCACTTAATAAAGCCAGTGTGGCTATTATTCTTTATCTACATTTACCAAGTTCCTCCTATGTACCAGGCGTGGTCCTGGGTATTGGGGATACAAAGAAGAAAAAGACGTGGTCTCTCTCCTCAGAATCCCAGAGTCTTGTGGTACAGACACATTTGAAGAAAAAATACCAACATGATGCAAGAACTATTAACCTTGGCTATTTTAGGGATGTCAAGGGACATTTTATTTCCACTTGAAATTCTTTATATCATGCACATGGTTTACTTTTATAATAAAAATTAATGACTGTCACAATACAGTAGAATAGTTGCTGAATTTGAGATAAGTATATAGTGCCGTGAGAACAGAGAAGCGGAAGGGAAAAGTCTTGTTGGAAGCTGTGCACCATAGCCTTTGCATCTTAATCAGATTTCCCCCTAGGTATGCTATGGTACACTTCTTTGCAAGATGTCAGACCAAAATAACGTGGTGATCAGGTAGTAGATAAGCTGAAAACTGTCTATGGGATGGTGGCTGTCCCACTTTACAGAGAGCTGTCTCAGGCCCAGCTGCTTTGCCTCCCAAGATTTTTTTACAAGGCTACCTCTGTTCTTGAGTGGCATTGAGTAGGTTGAGTGTAGAATGACTTTCAGCCATCATAATGGGAAACTACTACTTTTGACAAAAAAGTAGATTTGGCCTGGTTCATTGCTGTTCATCCCACACAAGATCATGAGGCAACCCTAGGGGTGACTGAACTCTGGCCTCCCGTCAGACCTAGAGCTTCATGAACTAAAGAGGAATGATTTTGAAACTGTGCCCGGTCATCCTCTTCCTCATTCCTAAGCAATTAGACGCATTTTGAGAGGGCTGGAACCAATCTGCATAAGCCTTTAGCTCCATGGGCTTATCCACCATCTAATTTAGGGTTTAAAACCCTTAACTTACTTTCAAGCTGATTGTCAATTTAGACCTGACCTTAAGATTTCTCATAACTTGTTACTTGCTTTTTAACTGAATTTGTCAACATTCAAGTTTATAAAACTCTACTACGTTAGCTAGCCCATTTAAGGAAGAAAGTAATCCAAAAAGTCAGAAATGTTCCCTAATACCAAATGTCCAGTTTTTTTATTGTGCTATCAAATGTTTTTAAGTTTATTTTTTTCTAATTTGTTTCCTTAGCTTTCAGAGTAATTTTTGTTTAAAATGAAAAATGAATAGGCTTGTTGCCATAATTTAATTGTGCTGAATTGTTTGGCCATAACTTCAGTGGTGATGAAGACCAGATTTTTGAGCTGGGGAATCTGTTCTGTTTGGATCTGACAGCTGGCTACATTAAATATCTTGGAGCTTTTTACTTTGCATGGATATGGGAGGTTGGGAGGGTGGGAACCGCAATAGAAGAAAGCAGTCCGCTTTATTTAATGTTCTGCATTTGTTTGCTGATTCCAGTAACATTGTGCAGCTGTTTGAACAGCTGCCTTTTGATTTCCTTTTGTTTACTGTTTAGATTTATTAAGCTTGTCTTTAATACTGCTTGTTGTCTGTTCTTTAACTAGCTTTCTTTCTTTATTAAATATATTTTAGTATGTTCTGCTCTGCTGTGGTCTAGGCATGTTTTAATAATATAAGTTAATTTACCAAAGGACGAATTTTTAAAATGTTGCAGACCATACTGAAGTGGCTATGCTTACTTTCTTGTTGTCCCTTAGCTTTATTATTGTAGTTAAATATTTTGTAATTTGGCAACTAAATTATCTTTTGAAATTAAGTCAGAATTTCAGTCATGTTAAACCACTATGTTAACTTCTAAGTCTGCCAACAGGTAGCTTAGTCTACATACTTCAGAGTACTTTTTTAAAAAAAATTGCCAGACTAATTGTAAAGTGTGTGGATTTTGTTTTAACTACTTTCTGTGAACAAATTGAATATCTAGAAGTATATACACACATGTACAAGGTAAAAAGACAAATTTTATATTTATTTGTTAGTCTCCTTAGCCTATTAAGGTAGACTTACTACAAGGTTCTTCAGTATTATGGGACTTTTGTTCTGTATTTACAGGTGAGGGACTTGTGCATTGCTTATATGCTGGTGACATTAACTTATCTCTATATTGGAGTCCTGGTTTTTGCTTCATTTCCTTCACCACCATTATCCAAAGATTGTATTGAGCAGGTAAGGCACCGTGTACCCTCTCTGTGTGATTGTGTACACTTTCATGTATTTATAGTAGGTAGGGTGATACAGTGGCAAGATATAACATCAGATAGGCCTGGGTTTTAATACCATCTCTGCTATCTACTCCAAGTATGGGAATTTAGGCACCTTCCCTTTTCTTTCTGAGCTTTATTTTTCTTTTCCATTAAATAGTATAATAAGTACCCCCATTTGATTTTTAGATGGACTCTGAGATAATGTACTACATGCCAGGCACCTTGTGGTACTCAAATAAATGTCTACTATTATGTACATATATTTCTCTTTTTGTGGGGAACTGGTACAAGTAGTTCTCATGTAGTTATAAAACCACAGAGAATACATTGAAGGAACTCCCTATTTTTAAAAGCCTGTATCAGGAATGCCCTGGATAAACTAGAGTCTTTGTTTATCAGACTCTAATGATTAATCAGACTCTCATTCTTATATTGAGTGACAGGCAGCAAAACAAAAAAAGAGTATTTGGCTGTTAAAAAAAGAGAGAGAGATGTCCTATGAGTCACCAGAGGGTTAAAAAAAAAAAAAAAGAGAGACAGAGTAAAAGAAAAAAATATTTTAATAAAAGATTGCCATAACTAATATTTTCTTTGATTTAACCCATCAAAAACTTAGCAATAGTATAGTCTTTAGTTATAAGTGACTGAAGAGTTTCTCACAAAAAACAACATTTCACAAGTGACTTTCTGGTCAGAAGAAATTCCTCTTATAGAGTACAATGGAATATACTAATGTGATTTATTACAGCTGAATTATAATGGTTATTTCAGCAAAATAATGTTAATAGTGTTCTCATCTTTATAAGAGAAATAAGTTTGAATTACTGCTATTATGGCAGCTTGGAAATGTTCTTATTTTCTTGATTTCCTTGACTCCAGAAGTTCTTTGGCAGCCAAATGTTTGCTGGCAATTTCCCTGATATGAACAAACTCATACAAAGCCTACTCCCTTGGGAATAGGAATATTTGTGGTATTTGTATTTGAAAGAAAAGATAAAAATTCTAAGTAATTAACTTTTTTTTAAGATACCAAACCAAAATGGAGAAAAGGGTCATGAAAGGAAGTAGAGATAAATCCTTTTAAATTTAGTGATAGACTAAACAATGATGTAGTAGGTGATAGACATACTCTCACCTTATTCTGTCATCTTTACTTCAAAAGTGCTTACAGTGCTTCAGAGGAGGAAAGCAGCAGAGCCAGAGAGGGTAAAATAACACTGAATTAAATTAGCTCTTTACATCTTTAAAGTGGACTGGTATTTTCCTTGAACCACATAAAGCAATGCTTTCTCGATCTATCTGTGGTGAAGGACAAAATTGTCTTTGCTGTTGCTTTAATGTTAAATAAATTGCAGGCTGATACTTTTGTAAAATAGAATAAAATTGTGGCAATGTCAGATTCCTGTAAAAGTTTCTGAACACTTTCGGTTTCTATACTTACCTCATTGAAAAAATACTTAACAAGTAGTTGTGGATGGGCACTAGTCCACAAACCACAATCGGAGTAGCACCTGTGTTCAAAATAAGCAGAAGACATTCCATTTTATGAATGTGTGTACTGAATTTGATTTTTAACATGACCTCATTATCTTTCTTGGATTAGAATTTTTTAGACAACTTCCCTAGCAGTGACACCCTGTCCTTCATTGCAAGGATATTCCTGCTGTTCCAGATGATGACTGTATACCCACTCTTAGGCTACCTGGCTCGTGTCCAGCTTTTGGGCCATATCTTCGGTGACATTTATCCTAGGTAAGGGCTCTTCTCTTGACCAGCAGGATGTGCCAAGCAACAAATGACTGTGCAAGCAGGTCAGTTTAAAGTGTGACTGATCCTTTTGCTATAAAAATGCCTAATGCAAGTGGTGACTAAAGATAGATCATTGGTGTCCTCTTCCCTGAAGAGCTTTAAAAATAGAAGCCACTCCCTTGTCTAGAATGATTTAAAGTTCATTCCTTCCAGTATAGTTAATTAGCTCCGATACCATTTATATTTATCTTATTATTTAATTGCTATTGATTTACATATTGTCAAGAAGTTTATAGTGTATAGTACCTATGTTGGCAATGTGTAGCTAATGAGAAGCAACACTTTTAATTATTGGTCATTGAAACTATCAGGGCCAAGGGAAAACTTCCCCTTTGCCCTCTGAAGTTTTGTTGAAAATGACCGACAAGAGGCAGATTAATAGGCAAAAAGGGCCCGGCTCAGTGGCTCATGCCTGTAATCCTAGCACTTTTGGAGGCCAAGGTGTGTGGATCGCTTGAGCCCAGGAGTTCAAGACCAGCCTGGGCAACATACTGAAACTCCATCTCTACAAAATTTTAAAAAATCAGCCGAGCATAGTGGGCATGCTTGTAGTCCCAGTTACTCAGGAGGCTGAGGTGGGAGGAGGAGGATCGTTTGAGCCCGGGAGATCGAGGCTGCAGTGAGCTGAGATCACGCCACTGCTCTGGGTGATACAGTGAGACCCTGACTCCAAAAGAAAAAAAAAAAGGAGAAAAGGCATATAAATGTATTTGAATGTGGTTTTATGTTACATGGGAGCCTTTAGAAAGAAGACCCAAAGATACAGGGGAAATTGTCCTTTTTTATGGTTATGTTTATGTGAACAGCCATGTCTAATGCTAATAGACTGAGTGGGGAACTCCAGCAAGGCCCCTCTGTCTAGATTCTTAGCCTCTCTGAGCATGTGTTTTTTTCATCTGCGTCTGGGGCAGGACCCTCTCTGGAATGGGAGTCTTATGACCTGCAGTCAAACAAGACAGGTCAGATCATTTCTTTATGGCTAGTTTTTACACAGAAATAGTGGGAAATTGGAGTGATATTTTTAGGTTTTACGGCCAGCTTGAGGGAAAAGGTTTCCATGTTCCACTTTGGGGAAGAGGGATTCTAGTTTCTAAGATAGCTTCGGGAGAATGGGACTGAGATTCAGAAGGTCAGAGAAAAACTTTTGTTTCTGAGGCTTTCATTTTAGGGTATGGTTTTCTGAGTCCAACAATCCTTACTTTTATATTCATTAACATTTATGCAGTTTTTGTTGTTGTTGTTGTTTGTTTTTGTTTTCTGAGACTGAGTCTCGCTCTGCCGCCCAGGCTGGAGTGCAGTGGCGCGATCTCGGCTCACTGCAAGCTCCACCTCCCGGGTTCACGCCATTCTCCTGCCTCAGCCTCCTGAGTAGCTGGGACTACAGGCGCCCACCACCATGCCCGGCTAATTTTTTGTATTTTTTAGTAGTGGTGGGGTTTCACTGTGTTAGCCAGGATGGTCTCAATCTCCTGACCTTGTAATCCGCCCGCCTCAGCCTTCCAAAGTGCTGGGATTACCGGCGTGAGCCACTGCACCCGGCCTACATTTATGCAATTTTACATAAATGATCAATTGTTTAGAATTGAAGGTCAGATATATAATTAATTTTTATTTGATATATAACAAGTTTAAATTACTGCTATAATTGTTAACCTCTTATTAGGGATGAAGGAGTTGTGAGTTCTTTTGAAAATCTTTTCAAAGCTGGTTACCCTCATCCAAGAGAAATTTCTTTTTTTTTTTCAAGAGAAATTTCTATATGTCATTTCAGAGTTTCCCAGCAGCCTTCTTGTGGACCTTTGGTTAACTCCTACCCTTACATTAAGTCTTTTTATAGGTTCATCTTAGTGAAAAGAACCTAGTCCACTTTTATTAGGCATATGTTCTTTTAAAGAAAGATAACTTAAATAAAATTTGAAAAAAATTGCATTTACAGTAAGCAACTAAACAAGTGGTCTTAATCAGTTCTTGTTTAAAATGAACTGATGTAGTCTGCTTCTTCGATAAATAATTTTTGCCATAAATATGTTGGTTTCAAAACAAAGCAAAAGTCAGGAGTTACCAGGTCTCAAGCACTGATAAGTATAGCAGCAGCTATGGTTCTAGTGTTATTATCCAGAAGATTGGAGCTCAATAAATGTAAGCCTCTGATTGTGTTTCTACTCTGCTGTATTTATATTCATCAAAGAAAATAAATACAGTGAAGTCATAGATGAAAAAATGCTAAGCAAATACATTATTCCTGTTTTCTACCATTATTTTGCAGAATGTGGCTATCTTTACAATAATGTTTTTTCTTCTTGGAAAAAGTCAGAGATTTCCCTTTTGTTTTCACATTACAGTTCTTCCCCTACCACCAAGAACACATTGTCATTTTCATTTATCCGACAGTTATAAGCACTTTATAGAGTGTGCATACTTTGGAGCATAATTTTTGGTCTCAGGACCCTTTATGCTCTTAAAAATGTATTGAGGACTCCAGGAGCTTTAGTTTATGCAGGTATAGCTATCAGTATTTAAATATTAAAAAATAGAATTTAGGTTTTTTGTTTTTCGTTTTTTTGAGACGGAGTTTCACTCTTGTCGCCCAGGCTGGAGTGCAGTGGCATGATCTTGGCTCACTGCAACCCCTGCCTCCTGGGTTCAAGCAATTCTCCTACCTCAGCCTCCCGAGTAGCTGGGATTACAGGCACCCACCACCATGTCTGCCTAATTTTTTGTGTTTTTAGTAAAGATGGTGTTTCGCCATGTTGGGCAGGCTGGTCTTGAACTCCTGACCTCAGGTGATCTGCCTGCCTCAGCCTCCCAAAGTGCTGGTATTACAGGCATGAGCCACCGTGCCCAGCAAAGTATTTTTAATTTGTTTAAAATCAATAATAAAACCATTACTTGTTAACATAAGTAACATTTTTGTAAAAAAACACTTTCAGGGGATGGATACCCCAGTCTCCATGATGTGATTATTATGTATTACATGCCTGTATGAAAACATCTTATGTGCCCCATAAATATATACACCTACTATGTACCCACCAAAATTTAAAAAAATAAAAATAACTGCTTTCAAAAAATTTTTAATTTAGCCGTTCGTGGTGGCTCACACCTGTAATCCCAGCACTTTGGGAGGCCAAGGCGGGTGGATCATGAGGTCAGGAGATCGAGACCATCCTGGCCACCATGGTGAAACCCCATCTCTACTAAAAATACAGAAATTAGCCTGGCGTAGTGGCAGGCGCTTGTAATCCCAGGTACTCGGGAGGCTGAGGTAGGAGAATTGCTTGAACCCAGGAGGCGGAGGTTGCAGTGAGCCAAGATGGCACCACTGCACTCCAGCCTGGGTGACAGAGCGAGACTCCATCTCAAAAAAAAACAAAAACAAACAAACAAAAAAACCCTTTAATTTACATTTGCAAAACTCTGATGTTTGTTTTACTAGCAGACAATTGATTCTCCTCTCTACTTCTGCATTCCATGTTATAATATCCTGTTTTCGTTTAGATTTGTGAAGAAAATCCAGCCTCACATAGATAGTTGGAAAAAGAAGGAGTACTTTTAATAGCTTTTTCATATAATTGTGGATATTCTTCTTTGATACTGTGCCAAAACCTGACGAGTGGTAGCTTCTTATGAGTTGCATCGTGGAATCTGAAACTTGTTTACATTAAAACCAATTGGTCTATCGTGCACTTTGGATCTTTTACGCATGCATGATTTTGTAACATCTGTTTGATCATTTGGAAAATATTGGTTCACTGAGTTCTGTGGATCTTCCAAATGTTGACACACTTCATTTTACAATATCAAAACCCACTTTCATTAATACTATCACTAATTTCATCACAAGAGCCTTTAAACATTGGGAAACTGTCAAGCTCAGGGTAGCAAATACAAGTTTTCCAAAATTCTAGTTTTTATTTGAAAACTTTAATTTTATCTTTGGCAACAAATACTGCCAGTTGTTTTCCTTGAATTATATAAGTGACAAGCTTATATAATTCATTTTTCTGGAAAATCTCTGTCAAACACCTGAGTTTGAATGACCATAGTTTGACTGCAATTCAAGTAAAAGTAGCATTTGGTAGGCAAAACAGCTAGGTCCCCTTCAGCTCAGCCACACAGGTACTTTTCCTCAAGACTTCCAGCGTACTGTACTGCAGTACGCGCAGATGTGCTTTATTATGACTTTCCTATTTGATCACATAGAATATTTAAAGGATATATATTCAAACATGAGATTTAGCAAAATTAATGTTCTACTCCTTTATCAAGGACTTTTTTTATACTTTGGAGAGTGTTTGGCATTAAAGAATAGAGTATAGAAAGCATGGGTGTTAGCCGGTCATGGTGACACACACCTGTAGTCCCAGCTATTCAGGAGGTTGGTTTGAGCCCAGAAGTTCAAGCCTTCAGTAAGCCATTATTGCCCCACTGCACTGCAGCCTGGATGACAGAGCAAGACCCTGTCTCTTAAAAAAATAATAATAATTAATTAAAATTTTAGAAAAGGAATACAGATGGATGCAACTGCCTCCCTCTGTGTATACAAAGTTGTTTCCGTTTATAATGCAGAAATAACAAAAGCCCAGCCAATACCTCAAAGCTCTGAAGCAATTTTAAGGTTAGAGTTTCTGGGTAAACAGTAAGATCTGTAAGCCCTAATATCTTTCTAATTCATCAGGGTATATGACTAACCACTTATTTATATAAATAATTTTCTTTGTTTCTAATTCTCTGTAATCTTTATCTGGGATTAATTAACCTCTGATGACTTGGGCCCAAAGGGTTGCTTTGATGTGTACATTTGGCTTTTGAGAATCATTTTCAGGGGAAATGGAGTTCTTTCTTCAGCATCAAATTTTCATCTACATTATTTTTGTTTGTGTCCAAAATTGTTTCCCAAACCTTGAATTGTTAATATCTAGTTAAAGTATTTAGTAAATATTCTCTTCATGGTAGTGAGTAGCTTTAAGTTCTTTCTTTATGGTCAAAGTATGAAGTATGACCACTTTCTTTAAGTGGTTAAATCTGGAAGATAAAAACCTGCCCATTTTGTCTTTCCCTTAATATAATGTGTTTAATATAAAAGTAATTTGAACACTTTATGAAAAGTTTGTTAAATATAGAAAGAGGCAATGTTATCCAAAACCCCAAATTGTAACAAAATCACTACTGCCTTCTCAGTGTATATCCTTCTGATTTTTTTTTCCAAATGTTTTTGGGGTTTTCTTGTGTAGTGAAAACCTAGCTGGCTTTTTTTCTGAATTGCCTAGATAGTATTTTACCTGACAAGGTAATGGTGATAAGTTATTTTAAATAATTTTTAACATATTCTGTCAAGTAAATTATTGTCTTGCTATGTCCAGGATTCTTCTGTTTTTTCATAAATATCTTGATATTCATAGCATTTTCATTGTTTGGATTATTTTCTCAAGATATTCCAAATGGAATAATAGATCAAAGAATGTGAATTCTGATACACACTACCAGTGTACTTCTACAAAATTTAACCAGTATAATTGCACAGAAGAGCTAATTTCACTTTCTCGTTACCACAATTGAGGACTACTGTTACCTTCTATTTTTGCTGTGATTTTATCAAGCTTAAGACATTTTGATTTTAACGATGTTAAGAATGAACTGTAGTCTCATATTAGTGGTTATAATTTGCCTATTTTTATATTTTTTCTTTCTTCCAAACTCTCTTCTCAACTTCTAGCATTTTCCATGTGCTGATTCTTAATCTAATTATTGTGGGAGCTGGAGTGATCATGGCCTGTTTCTACCCAAACATAGGAGGGATCATAAGGTACTGCCTTGTAAGGGAATGGTGCCCTTACATATATTGGTCTTTATTTTCAGGCTTTTCCTGTTGTTGTTGTTGTTTTAATTTAATTGTATGAAATTCCTATGAGTATTTAAAACTAGTAATATTCAAATGCAGCCCCTTGGTATCAGTTAAGATGCTCATTATCTTCCCTTTCTGTTTGTTCTGGTGGAGAACTCACTCTAGAAGCTCCATTATCCCTTAGCCTCAGGCATCATTTTCTTTTTCTTTCTCTCATCATCTTCCACTTTATTTCCTCTCTATATCCAAAATAAAAAGTTATTTTTAATATATGTATAACTTTTTGGGATTACCTGGGAGGTCCTTTATTTGTCAGAGCTTCCTTAATCCATTCTAAGTTCCTTAATCCATTTCTACTCAAAAGTATTTTTCAATGTCAATTGTAGTCAAAAAGTAAGAGTTTAAGTAAGAATTTAGACCCTAGATGGCTTTCTTTAATATCCTTTTCCTAAAAACGTGACAGGATGAATAGAGTAGGAATAAAGTTGTACCTCAAATTCTCATGGGAAATTGGGATTTAGAATGATCTGATTTCTCTTACTATGGACAGCAGGAAGGAGTCATTTTTTTTGGAACACTCTTACCTAAGAAAGTAACAAGGAACAAGAAGGGGAGATTGTTAGCCTGATGCTTATTGAATATAAAGGGCTTACCAGTTCCTATTGAACTGTTCCTCAAGAAAACCCAAGTATAGAGAAAAGGAGAAGAAAGTGCATATTTCTCTGTCACAGTCTCATGTTTAAGTATTTTTGTTATTATCTTTCGTAATCATGCTGAATGCCATGGTAGCATTTATCTGTTCTTATACTTAAACCGGGATGCTAACGGTCCCTCAAAAACTGAGAATGAGTAATTAGTTTATAAAAGATCAAAGATAGGAGGCCTAGCTCCAGATGTTTCTGAGGAAGTAGCCACAATCACCAAATACAGAGGAACTACAGAGATTTGAGGGATGAATAAAAAGTCTTTGTTAAGCAGATGCTATAAAGATGAGCAGGAAATCATATTTTATATTAACTTAGCAAGTAAAGTAAGTTTTAAACCCAGATGTTTTATGTCAACAACAAATGAATCAAAAATAATTTTTGTTGAGCTATCAGACTGAGGAGGATTTAAATTGTACTATGTTTACCTTAATTGTAAAAAGCAAAGTGCAAGATGAATATTAACCCCAAAAGCTTTTATTTTGCAGATATTCAGGAGCAGCATGTGGACTGGCCTTTGTATTCATATACCCATCTCTCATCTATATAATTTCCCTCCACCAAGAAGAGCGTCTGACATGGCCTAAATTAATCTTCCACGTTTTCATCATCATTTTGGGCGTGGCTAACCTGATTGTTCAGTTTTTTATGTGAAATACCTCAACTGTTTTTTTCAAGAGCTCTCATGATATTTTGAGCCTTGACAACAGTTCTATATAAATTCACTTGTAAATGCTGCTGTTGTGTAATTCTAAATATTTTCTAAGATAATTTGAAAGCAAGGGAAATAGTGGCCCCTTAATGAGTATTTTTTTATTGGGGTGGGGAAAGGGGCAAAAAGAATGATCTTAGTGTCTTTACCTTTCTCATATTAACTCACCTCTTTATTCTGTGGTCTTTTCTGAATAGAAATGTATGCCCTAGGAAGAAATCATGCTGGGTTTTGCTTTTAGAGATAAAAGGTGGTGGATTTATTTTGCCTGCAGTAAAGATTCTCAGGGTGTCAGAGCAGCATATTGTCAAATCCTGCTTCTGTTTTATGTTTCAGTGTATTCACTTTCATTTTCTTACTTACTAGACCATTTCTGCAGTTTGCCCAAACCTCTACTGTTTGGGACAGTAAGCCAAATACCTCATTTTTAAAAAGAAGTTTTCATGGCATCAGTGTTAATAAAGTACATTTTTAACTGAGTCTTAATCTCTATTTGAAGAAAAAGTAGAGACAAAAGTAATGTCAATGTAATCCCCAGGATCATGAAATGTATACAAAATAAATAAAGTAGGAGAGTTTGTTGCTGTCTAACTCCTCTTTTATTTCTAATCCAGTACCAGTGACTTAGATCGAAATTACAGTTCCCCAAGCCAGACTTTGCATAAGAACAAGAATGATTGTCCCCATAGACCCAGGGGGTGCTTTTGCTTTTTGGATCCCTGAGATCCCAGCGTAGGCTGTCATGATGGACCCAGTGGGGAAAGCATGGCAGAGAGGAGCCTGAGAGGCCCATAGGGGAGACGGCGAACAGAGAAGGGGCCAGGGAGGAAGAGGCCTCAGCCCAGCATATTTTGTGTCCTCTGGGGGTGGACTGGTTTCTGCACCACAAAAAAGGATTGATTTTGTTTGAGGTATGACCTTCAGAAAGAGACCTCCATCTGCTTACTTCTGTAACTGGCAGTACTGTTACAGGAAAGGGGTCCTGATCCAGACCGTGAGAGAAGGTTCTTGGATCTTGCGCAAGAAAGAATTCCAGGCAGGTCCACAGAGTAAAGTGAAAGCAAGTTTATTAGGAAAGTAAAGGAATAAAAGAATGGCTACTCCATAGACAAAGCAGCCCCGAGGGCTGCTGGCTGCCCATTTTTATGGTTATTTCTTGGTGATATGCTAATCAAGGGGTGGATTATTCATGCCTGCCCCTTTCAGACCATATAGGCTAACGTCCTGACATTGCCATGGCATTTGTAAACTGTCATGGCGCTGGTGGGGGTGTAGCAGTGAGAAGACCAGAGGTCACTCTCATTGCCATCTTGGTTTTGGTGGGTTTTAGTCGGCTTCTTTACTGCAACCTGTTTTATCAGCAAGATCTTTATGACCTGAATCTTGTGCCGACCTCCTGTCTTATCCTGTGACCTAGAATGCCTTAACCATCTGAGAATGCAGCCTGGCAGGTCTCAGCCTCATTTTACCCAGCTGCTATTCAAGACAGGAGTTGCTCTGGTTCACATGCCTCTGACAGTACAGAGTTAAAACCCTGTGAGAAAAACTCCTTAAATCTGAGAAAAAGATTAAGGAATCTGGATCCTTGGAATCGACGCTCTTCCCTTATTTCTTCTGAACTAAAAGCTAAACTAGTATCCACATTCACGTTTTCCAAGTAATACAGCCTCTGTGTCCAGGTCAGGATACAACATGGTGATTTTTTTTTTCTGAAAAAATTAGATTTCTCTAATTTTAAGCTAAAGTTTAAAAATCTATTGTATGTTCACCTCTCAGATAGTGTATGGATTTGTGTTATTTCCTTCCTTTGAAAAAGAAAAATGGTTTTTGCAAACCTAGTAAGGAGCCCAGATTCAAGATCAGCCTTAATTTCTTTCAGCAAAGCTTTCTGTCCTATTCATAAAGCCATAGACCTATATTAATGATGAACTGTATTTCCTAAAGCTCGTTTGTTTTAATAAAAAGTCTCATTATGAAAATCTCAAGCCCACACAAAAGTAACATGGAGTAATACGGTGAACCTCACAATGCCTATCCCCTAGATTAATAATTATAAAACTTGGCTGTATTTGCTTCACCTATCTTTTTTTTTCTTTTCCACTGAAATATTGTCAATCTCAGATGTTATTTCATCACTACAAACCTTAATTTACAGCTATTAGTAATAGCCTTTTGAACATAGTTACATTGATGGAAATAGTCTCAAAAGTTTTTGTTCACATAAATTGCTGGTAGTAGGAGTTCGGTTAATTGGAAAATTCTGCAGTAGGTGTCAGATCACTGTGTTAATTTCTCTTAGAAAAGGAGTATAATGAATGGAGAAAGTGCTTCTCTGTGCTTGAGAGCCCCTGAATCTTTATGACTTCAGAATCTTATTCAGTTAAGAGACATAGGATTCAAAAGCCAGACAGCACTGGGAGCGATCTAGGCTTAATCCCAGTTTATCCCCAGTCACCTTCCTTCTCTGTAAAAACTTCAGAAACAGGGCTGGGCACTGTGGCTCATGCCTGTCATCCCAGTTCTTTGAGAGGTGGAGACAGAGTTTCATTGCCACTTTTCAATAATGTACTTGAATGTTTTAACACATGGAAAAAATGATTTAATATATTTTTGTCCATTTAATGAACTAAGTGAATATGACAATGAATGAGGTATTTACTAAACTAAAAGACAATGTGAATCTTTGCTATTGTTTCTTTAAAAGACTTGATGTGAGGCCGGGCATGGTGGCTCATGCCTGTAATCCCAGCACTTTAGGAGGCCAAGGTGGGCGGATCACATGAGGCCAGGAGTTCAAGACTCAGCCTCGCCAACACAGTGAAACCCCGTCTTTACTAAAAATACAAGAATTAGTTGGGCGTGGTGGCGTGCACCTGTAATCCCAGCTACTCAGGAGGCTGAGGCAGGAGAATTGCTTGAACCCAGGAGGCGGAGGTTGCAGTGAGCCAAGATCACGCCACTGCACTCCAGCCTGGGTGACAAAAGCGAAATTCCATCTCAAAAAACAAAACAAAACGAAAAGACTTGATGTGGGCACAGCTGTGATCCCAGCTCTTGGAAGACTGAGGTGGGAGGATCACTTGAGCCCAGGAGTTCAAGACCAGCCAGGACAACATAGTGAGACCCTGTCTCTACAAAAAAATAAATTTAAAAAAAATTAGCTGGGCACAGTGTCATGCAGCTGTAGTCCCAGGTACCCAGGAAGCTGAGGTGAGAGGATTGCTTGAGCCCAGGACATCAATGAGCCCTGATTGTGCCACTGTACTCCGGCCTGAGCAACAGAGTAAGACCCTGTCTCAAAAAAACAATTTTTTTAATTAAAGAAAAAAATAATTGGCTGGGTGTGGTGGCTCACACCTGTAATCCCAGCACTTTGGGAGGCCGAGGCAGGCAGATCACCTGAGGTCGGGAGTTTGAGACTAGCCTGACCAACATGGAGAAACCCCCATCTCCACTAAAAATACAAAATTAGCCGGGCGTGGTGGCGTGTGCCTATAATCCCAGGTACTCAGTAGGCTGAGGCAGGAGAATCGCTTGAACCCGGGAGGCAGAGGTTGCAGTGAGCTGAGATCGTGCCATTGCACTCCAGCCTGGGCAACAAGAGTGAAACTCCATCTCAAAAAAAAGAAAAAAAGACTCGATAATTTAGAACTTCTAAAATCTTGTATTAGACTTACGCTGTATGACTTTGCCTTCTTAAGTTTTTTTTTCATGAGATCAACTCTTTGGCCTATTATTTGGCTTGGTCAGAGAACTCTTTGTAAGTGTGTATATCCTGGCCCACACATTAGAATGATGAGATATGAAGTCATTCATATCTCAACTAATTTTAGACCTTCTTTGTCTGCTGTCATCTCTTTGAATTTTCTAATTGAATTTCTTTCACTTTTTGCTCTCATGCTTAACTCTTGAATTTAGCTTAACATACAACTGAGGATATTATTAAGTAAAATATGGATTATTTAGAGGGGTCTTCCTTAGAAAGTCTATATATGAATATGTGGTATGCTAATAGCCAGAAAGGACAAAGAAAATTAAGTTTGACACCTGTGGGTGATCATCCAAAATCAATTTTATTATCACACCCAAAAAATGCTTTGATGTAAGGAATAAATTTATTCATAAAAGGGGACTATATTAAAGGGAAATACTTTATTTATATTAAGTATATTTTGCAAATGCAATGCAGCTACTAACTATAGAAGTAAAAGACTTTTCTGTCCAGTGCTTTGGAGGAGATAAAGATGTATAAGACATCATTCATATCTGAAATGAACTTTTAATCTAGTAAAGGAACTGTGTATATAATTAACTATGATGCAAAGCAATTTATACTGAGGACTATTAGAGAAACAGATCCCTTTCAGTTGGGAGCCTTGAGGAGGGTTGATAAAAGAAGCCGAGAGGTCAAGCAGCAACGACCCATTTTCAGGTTCCTCCTCATAACTGTCCAAAATTTAATATTTGGTACCTTCACCAGCAAATGCAATCATATAGGTTAAATGTATTCGCTTTTAGTTTGGTAAATTTCCTCTAAGATAAGTTTTCTGCGACTTGTTTAATGCTTCTGTATGCTATTTATTCTCTTTGCATTTTGAACACATTGCATTATTCTGTTAATCTTGGACAGCAAAGCACAATGGATTAATAGGGCAAATAATTAGTAACACATTGGGTGGTACAAACAGAAAAATGCATAAGTTTTTCTCACCAAAGATTTGACTTATTTAAATATCAGTATTCAAAGTGTCAAATGTTTGAACTCATTGATAAGAGCAGAAAATATTGATGTTGTATGTTTTCTTTACAAAGCACTGACCTAATTGCTTTTTAGAATCTGGTGGTGGTGGTTTTTGTTTTTTCTAAACTCAATTTCATCCCCATTAGAATATCCAAAACCAAATCCAAATCTAGTTGACACCTAAACAGTAGAATGTTACATTAGTTTGTGACCCAAAGTGAAATTAATCCCCTAGATGCACACAAACTGGCCTGGCTGGCCGGTTTTACAGTCCACTGCTGCCTTCACTTCAGATTATGTAAACACGTGTTGTGAAACAGCTCTGACGGGAACCTTATAACCTAAACATTGTTCTCTGAAATGTAATTTGTTGTCTTTTATATAAAAGAAGAAATTAAATCAAAGATAATTTGAAGGAAAACAACTCTGGGATTTTGTTTAATTGAATTTTGCTGGGAAATATTATTGCTTGGTAGCACTGGCCCCAAGGTCAGGAAGAAGCTGGGTTCCATCTTTCGCCGGGTCAAACTTCTCAAGTGACTTTGCCCCTGTGCCTCACATCAGGCCCCAAGGAGCCCCGCAAAGTGTTCTGATCCTAAAGAAAGGCATTACATTATGTTAACTGAAACCTAAAATGACTATATCTTTAGGACAATATACTGTTGTGACCTCTCCCTCTAAGAATATTTCCGATGAATGTTAAGTAGAGCCTAGTTCCTGGAAGAGCTTGATGTCCTAATCCTCCAGAGCCACTTAAGCCAATAGAGGGCTCTAATTTTCCCCCTTCTCTAAGTACTATTACTTCTTCCCCAGTATTATTTTTATGTTCCATCTCTTCGGCAAAAATAAAATAAGGCTATGTCTTTTTCAACTTCTCTATTCTCTTTTGAGATGGAGTCTCGCTCTGTTACCCAGGCTGGAGTACAGTGGTGCAATCTTGGCTCACTGCAACTTCCACCTCCCGAGTTTAAGCAATTCTCCTGCTTCAGCCTCCCAAGTAGATGGAATAACAGGAGCCAGCCACCACAACCAGCTAATTTTTGTGTTTTCAGTAGAGACGGGGTTTTGCCATGTTGGCCAGGCTGGTCTCTCTCAAACTCCTGACCTCAAGTGACCCACCCCAGCTCAGCTTTGCGGAGTGCTGGGATTACAGGCCTGAGCCACTGCGCCTGGCCATTCTTACTTATCTCAGGCCATAAAGTACAGGCCTGCGATGGGGATGGGAAATTGCTCACACTCCAGATTTTTCCTCCTTTGGCTCTCTCTCAATCCCAAGTGATCCTATTGTTTGGTCATAGTAGGCACTCAATATACACTTGTTTAATCAATTAATTAACTAGTCAGGATTCTTTATGGAAAATAATAAGGTAATTGCTATTATCTAGGATGTTGTTCCATAGCCCCAAAACCATTACAAAATAAAATTGGGGTCAGCAGGTTCAATATTAGTCATTCAGTCAATAACTAAGTACTGACTGGTTGCCAGACCTTATGCTAAGCACTGAGCATACAGTGGTGAACAAGCCAGATGTGGCTCTGACACTTTAATATCCCTCACCAACCTCTAGGCATCAACAACCAGGTCATCCTTCCAGGTGTCACCGAAATGCCAGGCTATTGCCCCTTCCTGCTGCCTGTCTCAACTGAATGCTGTGCTGTGGCCACATCATACACATGTTTTGAAGAGAAGAATATAGGACAATGTTGCAGTAAGTAGGTCTCTGTAAAGTGAATCATTTTTATCAAAATAAAACTGCTTTTAAAAAGTTAGAGCTGGGTGCCGTAGCTTGCACTTGTAATCCCAGGTACTCAGGAGGCTGAGGTGGGAGGATCACTTGAGGCCAGGAGTTTGAGACCAGCTTGTGCAACATAATGAGACGCTGTCTCTGAAAATAATAACAGAAAGTTAACCAGGCATGGTGACACACTTGCCTGTAGTCCTAGCTACTTAGGAGGCCAAAGCGAGAGGATCGCTTGAGGCCAGGAGTTCAAGGCTGCAATGAGCTGTGATTGTACTACTGCACTCCAGCTTGGGTGACAGAGCAAAAAAAAAAAACGACAACAAAAAACCTAGGTTAATGATAATCACATAAGGTTATGTGGTCACAGAATGAACATGAATGACGTTTTATGGGGGATTCTAAGTGACTCATTTATGTTATTACTTTATTATTTAACAGATTTTTCTAAAAAGATGTCTGTCTAAGATAAATCATGGAAAAGAAGACTTGTAGAAATATAGCTACAGTCAACCCATTAAATCAAGAACCTACCGACGGAGAACCTTTAGGATAGGTGAGAAAGATCCTTGGTGAAAGGGGTAGATTCAGGTTTTGTGGGGCCTGAGGCTTATACAGTTTGGAGTTATCTCTTTAAGGAGATACACAACATTAGGAGTCCCAAATTAGAAAGGAGGCCGACCGGGTGCAGTGGCTCACACCTGTAATCCCAGCACTTTGGGAGGCCAAGGCGGGCGGATCAGCTGAGGTCAGGAGTTCAAGACCAGCCTGGCCAACATGGCAAAACCCAGACTCTATTAAAAATACAAAAATTAGCCAGGCATGGATGATGGCGGGTGCCTGTAATCCCTGCTATTCAGGAAGTTGAGGCAGGAGAATCGCTTGAACCCAGGAGGCAGACGTTGCAGTGAGCTGAGATCGCACCACTACACTCCAGCCTGGGCAACAAGAGTGAGACTCCGTTTAAAAAAAAAAAAAAAAAAAGGAGCCCATGCAAGTGAGGAGCCTTGACAGCAGCTTTAAGGCAAACCATCCACAAACCACTCTGCGCAGGGGCAACTGGAAGGAATGTTAGAAGGAGGAATAAGAAGAAATGTTTCAGTCACCTTGTTTGATTATGTCAAGCTCTGAGTTTCTCCACTACCTTTAAGAACTGCAACTTTTACCAAACCTAAGCATTATTTCTGGAACAGTTAAATTGGATTTAGCAAAATAGCATGGGATACAAATTCAGTAATGGTTGAGATCAAAGTAGGACATTTTTCTTTTTTAGATTGGAAAGTTTTTACCTGGGTATGGGTCTTTTAAGAGATACTTTCAGCAATATTGAAGAATTCAAAGAACGGTTTAATTTTCAAAGAGTTTCTAGTATTAGTCTATCTTAGCGATGAGGAACCTTTTAAGGGCTCTTGACGCATAAAACAAACAACCAAGAGCAACATTAGAGTAAGGCAACATTTCTTTATACTCCACCTTGTTCCAGAAAGGATCTAATTCTACTGCACGAAAGTGCCCAGCTTTAAAGGATTAATGTTAAGTTTTTTTTAGAAACTAAATTAGAAATTTATGACACTCCTTGAGGAGAGGAAACTAAGACTTAATTCACATAAATAATTTTATCACTCCTCGGTGCTGTATTATATATAAAACCTTTATTGCAGATAGATTAAAGCCCAATCCAATGCAGTAAACTTTTACTCATTGTCCTAGAGTTGGAAATGCAAAGATAGAGCCATCATTTCTAGTGCTGCCAGAGTTATCTTTAATTAATATGAAACTGACTATGCCTTTCTCTGTAAAATCCTTCAGTGCCCCAGTAGAAAAATAGGCACAGGGCTGAACATGGTGGCTCACATCTGTAATCCTAACACTTTGAGAGGCCAAGGCAGGAGGATCACTTGAGCCCAGGAGTTCAAGACCAGCTTGGGCAACATATCAAGACCTCATCTCTCCTAAAAATTAAAAAATTTGCCAGGCATGGTGGCATGTGTCTGCAGTCCTGCATCCAGAGTTGGTTCCTTCCAGTGGGTTCTTGGTCTCGCTGACTTCAAGAATGAAGGTGCGGACCTTTGCGGTGAGCATTACAGCTCTTAAAGGTTGCACAGATCCAGAGTGAGCAGATTTATTGTGAAGAGCCAAAGAACAAAGCTTCCACAGCGTGAAAGGGGACCCAAGCAGGTTGCCGCTGCTGACTGGGGCGGCCAGCTTTTATTCCCTTATTTGTCCCCATCCATGTCCTGCTGATTGGTCCATTTTACAGAGCACTGATTGGTCCATTTTACAGGGTGCTGATTGGTCCATTTTACAAACCTCTAGCTAGCTACAGAAAAGTTCTTCAAGTCCCCCTCCTGACCCAGAAGTCCAGCTGGCTTCACCTCTCAATCCCCCCTCTAAACATGACACCCCAACTACTGTTGGGAATTGGGCAATGACCACTCTAGCTACTTCTGCTGGATAGGGGCGAAGAAGGGGCCCTGCAGTGGTAGTGTCCTCCAGAGGGGAACTCTCTAGGCCAGTCAAAGATCCAGGGGTCCTCAGTAGAAGTTTTGAGTTGAGCTCATTTGGGGTTCCATTTGTAAGACCATCTGTAGCTTGATGGCCTCCATCCTGGAGGAAACAAATTTGACAAGCAGGTTAAAAATACAGGGCCCGAAGGTGAGTAATAGCAAGATGGCTGTCACGGGACCTAGAAAGGGGAGAAGCCATGTTGCCCAACTCCAGAGGTTGGTATAAGAGTTTGAAAGGTGTTGTCTGATTCAGAAGCCTTTTCCTGTAAATGCCAGGCAGTGTCTCATACTATCCCTGACTGGTTAGTGTAAAAGCAACACTCTTCCCCTAAGAAGGTGCACAGTCCTCCTTTCTCAGCAGTGAGGAGGTCTAGGCCTTGGCGGTTTTGGAGAGTTACTGCTGCCAAAGAGTCTATTTGGGATTGTAGAGTAAGGATAGATTTTGTTATTTCTTGTAAACTGTCAGAAATCTTTTGAGAGTGTGTGGTAGTAGGATAGTGAAGTAGATAAACTGGCTATTCTGGTTCCTGTAGCAGTGGCCATTCCTAACCCTTTAAGTAGGGGTATTAGTTGTATGGCTCTGTGCTAACTGACTTGAGCTTTGAGGGGTACTGATAGGGTCTGATTTCCACAAGCTTTGAAGTTAGGATAACACATTTTATACTGTTAACTTTTAGCAAACTTTACTTCTGTTGAAAACCTTGTAAGTTTGGGATATCAATTATTCTTTGCTATTAATAAGACCTCATTCAGTCCATATTAACTTAAAATTGGTATAGATGGCTCCTTCCTGATTCTGTAAGTACTTTAAGGTTTAGCTGAGGGCAAACAGCTTGCGTGTTTGAGCAGATCAATTATTAGGCAATTTTCCTAACTCTGCTTTTACAAGAGTTTCCTTATCACTTACTGAATACCCATTGTGTCTTTTTCCCTTAATTGCCTGAGAGGAACCATCTATCTTCCTGTCCTGAAGGGAGTTCTTCCTAAGTCTGGTCGGACCTTTGTATAGTAATTAACTAAGATTTAGATCCCCTGTTAGGAAACCTGCTGGGTTAAGGATTTTTGATAGGAAGGCTATGGGCTGTCAGTGCCTCAGTGTTTTTGGGCTACGCCCTTGTTTACACTGACAACAAGGTGGTAATGGAGTGTTATGGAGTGTCATGGAGAAGACATTCAATTATCAATTATAGGTTTTAAATTTACCCTGGCTTTTAAAGGAATAGGGTACACTGTTTTTTCTTTACTACTTCTATCTCTCTTTCTCTCTCTCTGACTCCTTGTCTGTCTCTCTCTTTCTCTCTGACTTCCTCTTTGTCTCTGTCTCTTCCTCTCTTTCCTTCTCTCTTTGACTTTCTGTCCTCCCCCCCATTCTCTTTGACTTTCTGTTTTTGCCCTCTCTCTCTCTCTCTCTCTCTGACTCCCTCTTTGTCTCTCTGTCGTTAAGCACCCCGAGGGGAGACAACTATGCCCCCGTGAAAGTCCCCATTCTGTTTCAGTCGGGAATACTGGGGCTTAATCTGTTGGAGAGGGTTGTTCTATACCAAGGGTCCTTCCGTAGGTATTTCCGATGGGAGGTTCTGCCTGGCAGCAATTTTGGCCTCAGCATCTGCCCGATGGTTTCCTTCTGCCTTTTCTTCTTCACCTTTTTGATGGCTTTGGCAGTGTAAGACTGCCAGCTCCTTGGGTTTTTGCACTGCATGCAACAGCTTCATGATTTCCTTGTGGTATTTAACGGAGGTTCCCCCAGATGTTAGGAATTCCTTTTCCATATTGCAGCATGGGCACGTAGGATTAGATAAGCATACTTGCTATCTGTATACACATTTATCCTTTTTCCCTTTCCCAGTTCTAAGGCTCAGGTAAGTGCCACTAGTTCTGCTAACTAGGCACTGGTTCCTCGGGGAAGAGGCTTACTTTTGAGTACTGTTACATTACTAACTATGGCATAACATCACTAACTATGGCATAACCTGCCTTCCGTATCCGATTATCCACAAATCAACTTCCATCGGTATATAAGATTAGGATTAGCTAAGGGGACTTCTAAGAGATCCTCTCCGGTGGCATAAGTCTGGACTATAATTTGTTGGCAGTCATGCTTGATTGGTTCTCCATCCTCTCGGAGAAAAGTGGCAGGGTTGAGGGCCGCACACATGTGTATTTGAAGCACCGGTCCCTCAAGGAATAGCGCCTGGTATCTAAGCAGGCGGTTGCCTGATAGCCATAAACTTCCTTTGGCACCTATGCCATTTACATCATTAGTAGTCCAGACGGTGAGATCCTTTCCTTGCATTAGTTTGATAGCCTTTGATACTAAGATGGCCACCGCTGCAACTACCTGTAAACGGTGAGGCCAGCCTTTTGCTACTGTATCAATTTCCTTACTTAGGTATGCCACTGGTTGCGGGGTTGTCCCACAAGTCTGAGTAAGGACTCAGAGCCCTTTCCCAGAAAGCCTGACACCTGTGTCTTTAGTCTGGTGGCCGCGCTAGTTGCTTTTAACTGGCCGACAGGTGCCCGGTGTTTAGCCCCCAGATTCTAAGGAAAAATAGGACAGAATAGCAAGCGAAAGGGGTCCAGTTGTGTCCAGAATTGGTGGGTTCTTGGTCTCACTGACTTCAAGAATGAAGCCACGGACCCTCACGGTGAGTGTTACAGTTCTTAAAGGTGGTGTTTCCGGAGTTTGTTCCTTCTGATGTTCGGACATGTTCAGAGTTTCTTCCTTCTGGTGGGCTGGTGGTCTCGCTGGCTTCAGGAGTGAAGCTGCAGACCTTCGCAGTGAGTGTTACAGCTTTTAAGGCAGCGCATCTGGAGTTGTTCATTCATCCCAGTAGGTTCATGGTCTCGCTGGCCTCAGGAGTGAAGCTGCAGACCTTCGCGGTGAGTATTACAGCTCATAAAGGCAGTGCGGACCCAAAGAGTGAGCAGCAGCAAGATTTATTGCAAATAGTGAAAGAACAAAGCTTCCGCAGTGTGGAAGGGGACCCGAGTGGGTTGTCAATGCTGGCTCCGGCAGCCTGCTTTTATTCCCTTATCTGACCCCACCAACATCCTGCTGATTGGCCCATTTTACAGAGAGCTGATTGGTCCGTTTTACAGAGAGCTCATTGGTCCATTTTGACAGGGTGTTGATTGGTGCATTTACAATCCCTGAGTTAGACAAAAAAGTTCTCCAAGTCCCCACTAGATTAGCTAGACACAGAGCACTGATTGGTGCATTTACAAACCTTGAGCTAGACACAGGGTGCTGATTGGTGGTTTACAAACCTTGAGCTAGACACAGAGTGCTAATTGGTGTATTTACAAACCTTGAGCTAAACATCAAGGTTCTCCAAGTCCCCACCAGATTAGCCAGATACAGAGTGCTGACTGATGCATTCACAAACCTTGAAGTAGACACAGAGTGCTGATTGGTGTGTTTACAAACCTTGAGCTAGACACAGAGCACTGATTGGTGCATTTACAAACCTTGAACTAGACACAGGGTGCTGATTGGTGCATTTACAAACCTTGAGCTAGACACAGAGTGCTGATTGGTGTGTTTATAAACCTTGAGCTAGACATAGAGTGCTGATTGGTGTATTTACAATCTCTTAGCTAGACATAAAGGTTCTCCAAGTCGCCACTAGACTCAGGATCCCAGCTGGCTTCACCTAGTGGATCCTGCACGGGGGCCACAGGCGGAGCTGCCCACCAGTCCTGCGCCATGCACCCACACTCCTCAGCCCTTGGGCAGTCGATGGGATCGGGCGCTGCGGACCAGGGAGCGGCGCTCGTCGGGGAGGCTCGGGCCACACAGGAGCCCACGGCAGTGGGGGGAGGCTCGGGCATGGCAGGCTGCAGGTCCCGAGCCCTGCCCCGTGAGGAGGAAGCTGAGGCCCGGCGAGAATTCGAGCACAGCACCTGCGGGCCAGCACTACTGGGGGACCCACACACCCTCCACAGCTGCTGGCCCAGGTGCTAAACCCCTCCCTGCCCGGGGCCGGTCGCACTGGCCAGCTGCTCCGAGTGCAGGGCCCACTGAGCCCACGCCCACCCAGAACTCGCGCTGGCCCGTGGACACCACAGGCAGCCCCGGTTCCCGCCCCCGCCTCTCTACACCTCCCCACAAGCAGAGGGAGCTGGCTCTGGCCTCAGCCAGCCCAGAGAGGGGCTCCCACAGTGCAGCAGCAGGCTGAAGGGCCAGAGTGGGCACCGAGGCTGAGGAAGCGCCGAGAGCAAGCGAGGGCTGCGAGGGCTGCCAGCACACTGTCACCTCTCACAGTGGTACTCACTGCTTGGCGATAGTCCCATCTGGGTCACCAAGATGTGTCCGGAGTTGGTTGCTTCCAGTGGGTTCTTGGTCTCACTGACTTCAAGAATGAAGCCACGGACCTTCGTAGTGAGTGTTACAGCTCTTAAAGGTGGCACGGACCCAAAGAGTGAGCAGCAGCAAGATTTATCATGAAGAGTGAAAGAACAAAGCTTCCACGGCGTGGAAGGGGACCCAAGCGGATTGCCGCTGCTGGCTGGGGTGGCCAGCTTTTATTCCCTTATTTGTCCCCATCCATGTCCTGCTGATTGGTCCATTTTACAGAGCACTGATTGGTCCATTTTACAGGGTGCTGATTGGTCCATTTTACAAACCTCTAGCTAGCCACAGAAAAGTTCTTCAAGTCCCCACCCAACCCAGAAGTCCAGCTGGCTTCACCTCTCAGTCCCAGCTACTCAGGAGGCTGAGATGGGAGGACTGCTTGAACCTAGGCGTTCGAGGTTTCAGTGAACTATGATTCTACCACTGCACTCTAGCCTAGGCAACAGAGCAAGACCCTGTCTAAAAAAAAAGAAAAGAAGAGTGGGCAAGGGTCTTAACAGACTTAACTGAAAAAAGCCAGATGCAAAAGACTACATATTGTCTGGTTCTATGTATATGAAATGTCTAGAAAGGGCAACTTTATAGAAATAGAAAGCAAAATAGTGGTATCCTAGGACTGGGATGGAAGCAGACGTTAAATGGCCAGAGGGGAACTTGCTAGGGTGTTAGAAATGTTCTAAAAGCAGATTGTGGTGATGGTTGCAGACTATATATTTTCTAAAATCATTAAATTGTACACTTATATTGGCTGAATTTTATGATAATTTATGGTAAATCAATGGCTTCATTTTATGGTATTTTAATGTAAATTGCCTCTCAAAGTTGTTAAAGAAAAAAAGTTCAACTTCACTATTAAGGAAAATTTTAATATTTTTTGCTACTTGCCAAATCTACTATTACTAATACCCTGAAAAAAGTGTGGAACATGGACACTCATACACAAATGGTAGCTGTAAATGTGGGGACAGACTTTTGGAAGGTAATTTAGCAATGTATATCAAAGCCTCAAAATGCACATATGCCTTGAATCATTTCCAGTGTAATATCCTAATGAGACCAGGCACAGTGGCTCATGCCTGTAATCCCAGCACTTTGGGAGGCCAAAGTGGGTGAATCACCTGAGGTCAGGAGTTCAAGACCAGCTTGATCAACATGGCGAAACCCTGTCTACTAAAAATACAAAAATTAGCCAGCCATGGTGGCAGGCACCTGTAGTCCCAGCTACTCGGGAGGCTGAGGCAGGAGAATCGCATGAACCCAGGAGGCGGAGGTCGCAGTGAGCTGAGATCATGCCAGCCTGGGTGACAAAGCGAGACTCTGTCTAAAATATATATATATATATATATATATATATATATCCTAATGAAATAATTGGACAAATGTAGAAACACACACACAGATGTTCATTTCTTTAATATTTGCGATGGAAAAATTAGAGACAACCTAAACATCCAACAGTAGGAGGTAAATTAGGAAATATTTATCTCTTAGAATACTGTGTAGCTATCTTAAATGGTGATGCAGATGTATATATGTAATGTCAAAAAGATGTTTATAAATATAAGTAAAGAGATTACAATTAAATATGTGTAAATTAAAAATGTTTGTTTATATACATATGCATAGAAAAAGGGCTGGAAGTTTAACAAATGTGAACATTAGTTGTTTCTGAGTGCTAGAACTATTGGATGTTTCTTTTTTATTGTCTTTTATCTGTATTTTCTAAAGTTTTAAAGTAAAATGTATCATGTCTTATGGGGAAAAGGAAATAAAAGTTTTTGCATAAGAAAAAACCTCTGGCTGGGTGCGGTGGCTCATGCCTGTAATCCCAGGACTTTGGGAGGCCGAGGCAGGCAGATCACGAGATCAGGAGTTCGAGACCAGCCTGAACAACATGGTGAAACCCCATCTCTACTAAAAATACAAAAATTAGCCGGGCATGGTGGCACACGCCTGTAATCCCAGTTACTCGGGAGGCTGAGGCAGGAGAATCCCTTCAACCCGGGAGGCGGAGGTTGCAGTGAGCTGAGTTCGTGCCACTGCACTCCAGTCTGGTCGACGGAGCAAGACTCCATCCCCCCCAAAAAAAAAGAAAAAGAAAAAAATCTCATTGATTTATCACTTAAAAGTAATTATAAGGACTTCTTTCGACATTAATAACAAAAATCCTTTGTACCTTCACACAATAGTAGTTGTAGTTTTAGTGTTTATTGATTGATAGAAATAATGACAAAAAGCTACTCTAACTTCTAAACCACTTACACACAGCTTTGAATGTATTATTACAGTGTCTATGGACATTTAAACAATTACACACACATTTCAGGCTTATTTATTTAGTCTATGTTACAAAACCTTTTGAAAAAATTCTGTGGCCTGCAGGTTTGGCAGGACCAAACTAGAGAATAAAGTCTAAATTCTTTAGCTTGGTATCCAGGATCCTTTTTATTGCAATTTTCATACTTGTCCAACTTCATGCCAGTTCACACAGAACTACTTATTATTCCTGGACTGGCCCTGTTCCTTTATTGCATCTACCATTTATATAAGGTATGTCCTGGGCCTTGAATGTTCTTTTTCCTCCACATCTTTCAGGACACTGCTTGAAAATCTCCCTTCTTAAGTACTTAACTATCTTATCCCAGATAGTTTTAATGTTTCCTTTTCTGTGCTCTCCAGAACTTAATGCATCCACTTATCACATTGGATTGTAATTAGTGGCTTATGTATCTTTTTCCAAATAGATTAGGAACTTCATCTTTGTATCCATAGGGTTTAGCAAGTTGCAACAGAAAGAGGTACTTGCAATAAACCTCAGTTGATTGAATGAGTGCACAGAAAAAGACCCAGTACTTGCCCTTAGTGGCTTTCAGGCTGCTTAGGGAGACAGATACATGTCCAATATATGATTAGTCTTGTAATAAAAGATGTCAATGAGCCGGGTGCAGTGGCTCATGCCTGTAATCCCAGCACTTTGGGAGGCCGAGTCAGGCAGATCACTTGAGGTCAGGAGTTTGAGACCAACTTGGCCAACATGGTGAAAAACCCCATCTCTACCAAAAAAAATATATAAAAATTATCCACACATGGTGGCATGCCTGTGATCCTGGCTACTCAGGAGGCTGAAGTGGGATAATCACTTGAACCCAGGAGGCAGAGGTTGCAGTGAGCCAAGATCGCGCTACTGCACTCCAGCCTGGGTGACAGAGTGAGATCCTGTCTCAAAAACAAACAAACAAAACAATAACAACAACAACAACAACAAAACAGAAAAAAAATGTGAATGACTACACAGAAGAGGTAGTGATACATTTTGACTGGGTGATTAAGAATTGCTTCCCAAAGTAGGGTCCATTTGAATTAGACTCATTTTGACAAAAAAGAAGAAAGGACAAAGAAAAGCCTTGACTTTATTCTATAGAAAAATGAGGGTGACTCATTTTGCACCCTCAACCTCAACTCTCTAGCTATCCTCACTGCCCCAGCTTCCCTTCTCATCTCACCGTCAAAAGTGACTGACAATAAATTCCTTGTCAGGATGCTGAATTGGCACTCTAATCTCCTAGCAGAGTTTGCTTACCTGGCCAGATACACATTTGAGTGGTAAGAAAAAGTGCTAGATGAAGCATGCAAGAAGAACTCTTTTCTCATCCTGGGTTGGTCATAGTCTAGCTGATTAGACTGGATACATGATGCATCACGTAGCTTCTTGATTCTCAGTTTCTTCTTTTGCAAAAGAGGGGTAGTTATAATAATGACAATCCTCTCTAAAGTATATCACAGTTGTTCAGAAGAATTTAAAACATACTATATGTAAAAGCACTTTTCTAAGCTGATACACTGTACCAATACTCAGTGTTAGGATTATATCATTACATTTCTGAGAATACTTGTTGGAATTGGCCAGACCACTCCTCCTGAGGGGCTTTCCAGCTTCAGGAAACTTTGACAGTGGTTTGGGGAAAGAAATCCTGTCTCCCTTGTATAATCAGATCAGTAGTGGTTTTCAAGTGAATTTAGGTAACAAAATATCTGGTAATCATAGAAACAAAATATTGATGTATTTAATTACATCACCCAAATTAGGACTATGTATTCCTAATTTTATTGGCAAAACGGTGAGTCTATTACATGTATGTAAATAAAAAGTAATGGAGATACCCTTCTCCCCAGTTCCTGCCACAGTCTGAGCCCAGGTAGTTACCTTAGCTATGTACTCACTATGGTAGTCAGGGTTCTCCAGAGAAACAGAACGAATAGGACAAATGCGTATATAGATGTAGATGTGTGTGTGTGTGTGTGTGTGTGTGTGTGTGTGTATGTGTACAGGGCTACCTCAGAGATATTGCAAGTTCCATTCCAGACCATTGCAATAAAATGAATATCACAATAAAATGAGTCACGGGAATGTTTTGGCTTTCCAGTGCACATAAAAATTTATGCTTATACTATACTGTAGTCGGTTAAGTGTGCAATAGCATTACGTCTGAAAAACAATGAAAACAATGTACATGCCTTAATTTAAAAATACTTTGGGATTTTTTGTTTTTTGTTTTTTTTGAGACGGAGTTTTGCTCTTGTTGCCCGGGCTGGAGTGCAATGGTGCGATCTCGGCTCACCGCAACCTCCGCCTCCCAGGTTCAAGCAATTCTCCCGCCTCAGCCTCCCGAGTAGCTGGGATTACAGGCATGCGCCACCATGCTAGGCTAATTTTTTTTGTATTTTTAGTAGAGATGGGGTTTCACCATGTTGGTCAGGCTGGTCTCGAACTCCTGACCTCAGGTGATGCGCCCACCTCGGCCTCCCAAAGTGCTGGGATTGCAGGCGTAAGCCACCGCGCCTGGCAAAAATACTTTGTTGCTAAATATATATATATATATTAACAGGAGCCTTCAGGGAGTCATCATATTTTTGCTGGTGGAGGGTCTTGCCTTGACCTTGATGGCTGCTAACTAATCAGGGTGGTGGTTGTTTAAAGGCCAAGGTGGCTATGGCAATTTCTTTCCTCCTGCCTTCATTCCTTCCTTCCTTGCTTGCTTCCTTTTCTTTGAGACAGGGTCTTGCTCTGTCACCCAGGCTGGAGTGCAGTGGCACAATCATGGTTCACCATAACCTCATATTCTGGGGCTCAAGCAATCCTCCCATCTTGGGAGTAGCTGAGACTACAGGCATGGGCCCCCATACCTGACTAGCTTTTTTTTTTTGAGATGAAGTCCCGCTCTTATCCCCCAGGCTGGAGTGCAATGGCAGGATCTCTGCTCACTGCAAACTCCGCCTCCTGGGTTCAAGTGATTCTCCTGCCTCACCCTCCTGAGTACCTGGGATTACAGGCACATGCCACCAGGCCCAGCTAATTTTTGTATTTTTAGTAGAGATGGGATTTCAGCGTGTTGGCCAGGCTGGTCTCAAACTCCTGACCTCAGGTGATCTGCCTGCCTCAGCCTCCCAAAGTGCTGGGATTACAGGCATAAGCCACTGTGCCCAGCCACTAACTTCTAAACAATTTTTTGTAGAGACAGGGTCTTGTTGGGTTGCCCAGGCTGGTATCAAGCCCCTGGCCTCAAGCAATCCTTCCACTTCAGCCTCCAAAAGTACTAGGATTACAGGCATGAGTCACCAGACCCAGCTATCGTGACAGTTTCTCTTTTTTTTCTTTCTCTTTTCTTTTTTTTTTTTTTTTTTTTTTGAGACAGAGTTTTGCTCTTGTTGCCCAGGCTGGAGTGCAATGGCGCAATCTCAGCTCACCATAACCTCTGCCTCCCGGGTTCAAGCGATTCTCCTGCCTCAGCCTTCTGAGTAGCTGGGATTACAGGCATGCACCACCATGCCCGGCTAATTTTGTATTTTTAGTAGAGACGGGGTTTCTCCATGTTGGTCAGGCTGGTTTCCAACTCCCGACCTCAGGTGATCTGCCCGCCTCAGCCTCCTAATGTGCTGGGATTACAGGAGTGAGCCACTGCGCCAGGCCAACA
Organism: Homo sapiens; assembly: GCF_000001405.40. NCBI lineage: Eukaryota > Metazoa > Chordata > Mammalia > Primates > Hominidae > Homo > Homo sapiens. Next base: position 55,607,122 of record NC_000005.10, on the reverse strand, counting down.
GTTTTCTTTTTCTTTCTTTTTTCTTTTTTTTTTTTTTTTTTGAGATGGAGTCTCTCTCTGTTGCCCAGGCTGGAGTGAAGTGGTGTCATCTCGGCTCACTGCAACCTCCGCTGCCTGGGTTCAAGCAATTCTCGTGCTTCAGCCTCCCGAGTTGCTGGGATTACAGGTGCCCACCACCACGCCTGGCTAATTGTTTGTATTTTTTAGTAGAGATGGGGTTTTGCCAAGTTGGCCAGGCTGGTCTTGAACTCCTGACCTCAGGTGATCCACCCACCTCTGCCTCCCAAAGTGCTGGGATTACAGGCTTGAGCCACTGCGCCCGGCTGACAGTTTCTTAAAATAAGACAACAGTGAAGTTTTCTGCATTGATTCTCTTTCACACACAAAAATTCTCTATAACATGCAGTGCTGTTTGATAGCATTTTACCCACAATATAGAACTTCAAAATTGGAGTCAGTCTTCTCACATCCTGCTGCTGCTTTATCAACTAAGTTTATGTAGTATTCTAAACCTTTCTTGTCATTTCAACAATGTCCACACCATATTCACCAGGAATATATTTCATCTTAAGAAACCACTTTCTTTACTCATTCATAAGAAGCAACTCATACGTTCAAGTTTGATCATAAGATTGCAGCAATTCAGTCACATCTTCAGGCTCCACTTCTAATCCTAGTTATCTTGCTATTTTCATCTCATATGCAATTCTTCGTCTACTCTAGTCTTGAATCCCTCCAAGTCATCCATGAGGATTGGAACCAACTTCTTCCAAACTCCTGTTTTGTTGTTGTTGTTACCGGTTTTTGTTTGTTTTTGTTCTTTGTGAGATAGGGTCTCACTCTGTTGCCTAGGCCGGAGTGCAGTGGTGAGATCTCAGCTCACTGCAGCCTCAGCATCCCAGGCTCAAGATCCTCCCACCTCAGCCTTTCAGGTGCACACCACCATGCCCGGCTAATTTTTAAATTATTTTTTGTAGAGATGGGTTTTCGCCATGTTGCCCAGGCTGGTCAAGAACTCCTGAGCTGAAGTGATCTGCCTGCCTTGGCCTCCCAAAGTACTGGGATTACAGGCATGTGCCACCACCACACCTGGCACCTATTTTGCTGTTTTGACCTTCTCCTCCATGAATCACAAATATTCTTTTTTTTTTTTTTTTTTTTTTTTGAGACGGAGTTTTACTCTTGTTGCCCAGGCTGGAGTGCAATGGCGCGATCTTGGCTCACCACAACCTCTGCCCCCTGGGTTCAAGTGATTCTCCTGCCTCAGCCTCCCAAGTAGCTGGGATTACAGGCATGTGCCACCACGCCTGGCTAATTTTGTATTTTTAGTAGAGACAGCGTTTCTTCATGTTGGTCAGGCTGGTCTCAAACTCCCGACCTCAGGTGATCCGCCTGCCTCGGCCTCCCAAAGTGCTGGGGTTACGGGCGTGAGCCACTGCTCCCGGCCCACAAATATTCTTAAAGGCATCTAGAATGGTGAATTCTTTCCAGAAAATTTTAAGTTGACTTTGCCCAAAGGCATCTAGAATGGTGGATTCTTTCCAGATTTTAAGTTGACTTTGCCCAGATCCATCAGAAGAATAACTGTCTACAGCAGCTATCAACTTAAGAAATGTATTTCTTAAATAATAAGACTTAGCCTGGTGCGGTGGCTCACGCCTGTAACCCCAGCACTTTGAGGGGCCAAGGCAGGCAGATCACCTGAGGTCAGGAGTTCGAGATCAGCCTGACCAACATGGAGAAACCCCGTCTCTACTAAAAATACAAAATTAGCCAGGCGTGGTGGTGCATGCCTGTAATTCCAGCTACTCGGTAGGCTGAGGCAGGAGAATCGCTTGAACCCAGGAGACGGAGGTTGCGGTGAGCCGAGATCACACCATTGCACTCCAGCCTGGGCAACAAGAGCGAAACTTGGTCTCAAAAAAACAATAATGATAATAATAATAATAAGACTTTAAATGTGAAATTATTCCTTGATCCATGGGGTACAGAATCAGAATGGATGTTGTATTAGAAGACATGAAAACATTAATCTCCTCTTACATCTTTTTTTTGGCGGGGGGATGTGGTGCTTGAATGGATCCTGGAGTCGGCCATTGCTCAAGCACACCACCAAACAGTGCCCTTGCAAAGCAGGCCTCATCCCTGTCCACCGGGCCCAGCACCTCCCGGGTCTACCTCATCTCAGACAACCCTGCTACTCTGAATCCTGATTTGAAATCTTGGTGAAGGTATGTTTTGTTGTTTTTCTAAGTCTTTTAAAAAGAATTATCTTGGTTTCTTTGCTCCTGATGACTTTTTGCCTAATAGCTGGAGCATGAATAATGCTCCATGACTAATCAGATTTAGCCTGCTGCAGAAACTGTTTTAGTTTATCAACTTAGGGGGCATTCTGTGGGAACAAAGTTAAGATTTCAAGAGGTTCCAATGGTTCGCAACCCTGCCCGACTTCGCTTAGGCTTAATACTGCACTGAGAGCAGTCAAACCACCTTATGACAGCTCTCCCCAGCTGCATGAAAGTCTCCTGTTGTCACTCACTCATATCTCCTCTCCTACTCTAAGCATTTTGGTTACCATTTTATTCCTAACAACTACACCTTGTCAGACACAGAAGGGCACTCAGGAAATATTTGTTGATGAAATGAATAAAATTTCTGATAAGAATAAAGAGTTCATTGTAAAAAAAAAATCAAACTGCAAACAAAATAGATGAAATTATACATGAATTTCTCTCAACTCTCTATGTATAATGTTAAATCAAGTTTAGCCTAAAGCTGCCCTATTACATATTTTAAATTTGGCCTAAAGGTTTCTCTGTACATCATGAAGTATAACCTAAATGGAAGGGTAAACAGACTATAGTCTACTCTTGTGCCAGTCACTGAGTTTTGGCCAATCAAATGTGGCCAACTGTTCAAACCATGCTAAAAGAAGGCAAACAGCTGAGCTGTAACCAATCCAGAGCTGTTTCTGTACCTCACTTCCGTTTTCTGTACTTCGTTTTCGTTTTTCTGTCCAGAAATCTTCTTCCACCACGTGGCTGCGCTGGAGTCTCTGAGCCTACTCTGGCTCAGGATGCTGCCCAATTCACAGATCATTCATCACTCAATTAAACTCTTTTGAATTTAATTCAGCTGAAGTTTTTCTCCTAATGGTAAAAACTCTCCTAAGTTTAAGAGCCATAGTGGAAATCACATGGAAAAAGCTGTAGATTTGATTACATAAAACTGCTAAACTCTGTAAATCAAAAAAAATCACAGACTAAATTAAAAGAGATCGAACTGGGAAAATATTTGCTACATGTATGATAGATTTACATGGAAATAAGTGGGGGCACCTAAGATATTCCAGGAAAAAATAAGAAAAGAACATGAAACAGACAATTCACAAAAGAGAAAGTATGAATGGCTAACAGCTAGAAAATAACTAAAAACTATTATTAACAAAAATTTAAAAATCAATTATAGTACTCATTTCTGACTGGGGCACAGTGAGCTGGGCACACTACTTCTTTCTAGATCTTCAGAGCCAAGTTTTTAAAACTCAAAGCTAGACATTGACTCAGTTTCTTTGTCTGCATTTTAGGTGTTTAGACCCCACCTGAGGAGCTGTACATAACAAAAGCCCTCAATGCCACTAAACCAATGGGAGAGGGGTAAGAGTACAAAGAATTTAAAACCACAATAGACTCATATTATTCTATTACCAGTAGATAGAAATCAAATACGTTTTATCAATTTGAAGAACGTTTTCCACGTCATCCAGTCACCCAGGCCACAAGATCCTCAGTGACGACAGATAATTATGAAATTAGTTGTATTATTGATACTGCTTTTTCCTGGGTATTGGCTTCCCAGAGTTACTGAGAGAATGATGGAATAAAGCATCGACTTTGTCATATAGAGCCATGTATTACAAGTAAAACTTGCTGTTTCAAAATCTTTTCCTTCTCTTTCAAAAAAACTATCATTTTCTTCTCTCTGAGCAGTTTTTGATAGAGTTCATCATTAGCAGGGGCCTCAAAACAGAACATTGCAAATCATGTCAGTTTCAGAATGATTTTTTTTTTTTGGCTTGCTGATGGCAAACTGCAATGTGAATTTCTGCAAGAGCACAGTGCCATGTCATAAATCATTAGTCTGGCTTCAGAGTCTCTTGCTATTTTCCCTACATGGAGGACAGATGCTTTTTTGTTGAATCAGGACCATAATTTGCATCTGGTAGGACAATGGATCATATTCTCTTCTGTCCACACACAGAGCCGCATTGACAACAGCAAGAGTTGCTCAGAGATAGAGGCAAAGTTTGGCTCAGCCAGTGCTAAATTCAGCTTGATTTTTAAAAGTAAATGACCCAGTTAAAATCCAGTGAAGAGCAAAGCACATAGTGGATTTGGAAGTTTCCTTTGAAATTTCCAGCTCAGTGTATGAAGTAACTCCAGACTCTAATGAGCCTCTCCGACTGCAAGCAACTAAGACCCAAAATGATTGTCTGTATCAGATCCAGGGCTTTCTGTGACAGCAGACAATTTATTGTTATGCTTTACACCCTGGTTTTCCATCTGTGATTGATGTGTGCTCTTCCGCTTTCAAAAGACTTTTCTAATAGTCACGTTTCTTCCAACTGACCCTGCAAGATGAGTCAAAATTTCCATACTTAGGAATCCCAGCTACTTAGGAAGCTGAGGCAGAAGAATCTCTGTAACCTGAAAGGCGGAGGTTGCAGTGAGCTGCGATCACACCACTGCACACCAGCCTGGGCGACAGAGCGAGACTCCGTCTCAAAAATAAATAAATAAATAAATAAGGAGATGGTTATACAATTGCATTCTTCTCAACTTAAAAGCCTCTCTCTGAGCTGGATGCGGCCATTCACGCCTGTAATCCCAGCACTTTGGGAGGCTGAGGCGGGTGGATTGCCTGAGGTCAGGAGTTCGAGACCAGCCTGCCCAACATAGTGAAACCCCATCTCTACTAGAAATACAAAAAATTATCTGGGCATGGTGGCACGCAACTGTAATCCCAGCTACTAGGGAGGCTGAGGCAGGAGAATCGCTTGAACCCGGGAGATGGAGGTTGCAGTGTGCCAAGATCGTGCCATTGCACTCCAGCCTGGGCAACAAGAGTGAAACTCCATCTCAAAAAAAAAAAAAAAGCCTCTCTCTTTGGCTTGTAGATGGCCATCTTCGTGTTCATATGATGCTCTCTCTGTCTGCATGTCTCTGTGGCCAAGTTTCCCCTTCTTATAAAGACAGCAGTCATATTGGATTAGGGCCCACCCCAGTCACCTCATTTTAACTTGATTACATCTATAAAGACCTATCTCCAGATAAGGTCACATTCTGAGGCACTGGATATTGGACTTTAATATATGAATTTTGGGGAGACACAGTTCAGCCACAACACCAGGCAACCTCTCTGGCTTTGGTTTCTTCATCTTTAGAGGGGAATGTTGGCCTTATTGCTCCTTCAGGGCTCTTTCAATCCCAGTGTTCCAAGATTTGCTCAGCCCTTTTGAAGCTGCCAAGCCTGTCCCTGCTATCCCCAGGGTTATAAATATAAGAATTTTCCCTCCCCGGGCCTGCCAACCAGTCCTGGAGGGTGGGAAATGAACAGAGAAATGCTGCGAGGGTGGAGTTTTCCTTTAACCTTTTGTCACTTGCATGAGTGCTGTAATCGGACAAACATTCAGGGCGTGGTGAACTGGGGTTCCTGACATCCTAAAGCAAATAAGCAAATGACATTTGTTCTTTTCCAAGTCCCGAGGTTTTATGTGCTCCAACTATAGATGACAAAATAGTTCCAGGAGAGCTGCAGTGTTTTGTTCTCCCTGCCAATTCATTAGCAACAGAACCGTTGCCGGGCTCTAATCCAGCCCGGCTGACAGCAGTTCCCCAGTAAAGGAAGGACAGAACTGGAGCTGTCTGTGCAGCCAACAGGGATCAGGAGTGCTCAGATGTACTGACACGTTGGCAAAAAAAAAAAAAAAAAAAAAAGAATTAAAGAAAGAAAAGAAACTTACAAAAGTTTATTGAACTGAGAAGTTCACCCGGTTTCTTCAAGGAACTCAGACAGGAAGGTAGGAAGGAGGGGCCCCCGGCATGGTGATAACACAAATTAGGGGCTGGCCAGCATCATCTTTGGTGAAAATTTAGAAAAATTGGGATTTTCTTACCTATAAATAAAAACTGTTGGTTTTAGAAACCTAAACTAAGAGTATGTGTGCAAAAGGAAATCTATATAAGGAAGCAGGGCTGGACTGTAGTTACAGGAGGCCCAGGAACAGCCCACTTCCTTTCTTTGTGCCTTTTTAAATCATCTCTAAATGTGGAGATGGTAATACAATTGCACTCTTCTCGACTTAAAAATACTTTTCTTCTAAATCACCTGACACATCTTTTTTTGCCCCTGCATGGTGCTCATAGCCAGTAAGAGATCTTTCAGAGCCTCTTTATCAGTCTAGTAGATCTTGCTGGAAGCCGCCAGCACTCCAGATGCTGAATGCAGTCAGACTACAGCTCAAGCACTGACCCTGACCATCCTCCTGGTCTTAAGAATGTGCCAAACCTTTATGTTCGAGCTGCTTTATTAGGAACTTCTTGAGCTTTCTTTCCATGCAATTTCTCCATTCCTACTTTAAACTTTTCCACCCAGCTTTTATGATAATAATGAGCGAGGCTTGGATGCTGCTTTATGGCTTTTGAAAAGCCTGGATAGTATATGAGTGTGTCCATATCTTACTTTTTGTTTCTACCATGTGCAGCAGTGCGGGGGAAGTAAAAAAGCCATTCTTGTGGCCCCCTCCCGGCTTCCTGGAAGCTGCAGTGTGCCTGATGGGACAGGCATGTTCCTGGCTACACTGTAGCTGAGCAAAAGGTCTCTGCATACAGAAGACCAGGAGACCATAAGTTCACCATCAAAGAAAAGTCTGCAGCTGGTAGGTTGAGCCTGAATAATAATACATGCCACAACTCACTGCTGTTCAACTCATTCCTCAGCTGGGTTCACTGACTTGTGTACCTCAAAATGCTATGTTTTGCTGTCTCTTCCCGTCTATACTCTGAGATACTAACTCTTGAATCCTCCCAGTTAAATAGGAGTCTTGGATACTAAACCTGGCCATTTAGAAATCACATCCATTTATTTGTTCCTGTAGTCATTAATTCATTCAGAAGCAAGGATTGGATGTCTCCCATCTACCAAGCACAGGACTCAGCCATAGGGATGCACAGAATAACAGGAAAGGCTTTTCCTGCCTCAGAGGAACTCCTGGCCAATGGTCTCCTCTGACGCATGAAGGCTTCTGGACTTGGATTTTCATTTTGAGTTTTTGAACTTGTAGTACCCATGCGTCCTTTTCAAGGAAGAACTTGACTTCCTTGCTAACGCAGAGCATAGATGTCTGCCAAATCCCTGTACTCAACCAGACTTCCAGTTCTGATTTCTCCTAGTCCTTCCTGTTCCTATTCCTGAAGCCCAGCACAATAGCCTGAAGTGTCCACTTGAGTTTGGAAGCTCTGTCCCCATGGGAAGGGTCATACACTAGAGCCTTTGGGGCTGAGGAGCCTCTAAGACATGGCTTCTTTGGAGTCTCTGTCTTGTTTGTTTTCTCTTGGATCCACCCTAAGCATGACCACCACTGGACTACGATAGAATTTGAAGAGCCCAGTATATGTGAGAGGTCATTTGCAACAAATGAAAATGGGGGCCAAAGGGCAAGGTTTAGTTGTCAGAGTGGTATCTGGTGGCAGCAACCCTGCCAGGTCCCCTGGGAGCCCAGGTCTGCCCAGCACAAGTTCCTCAGCCATCCTTGCTGCTTTGCCTTCTGCCAGGCTGGGAAGAGGAAGGGGATGGTTACTGTGCCGTGAAGAGAAAGGCAAGTGGGCATTGGCCATAGCCTGTGCTTAAGAGGCAGTCGCACCTATCGAGTATTCCTGCCCAAAATGCTTAACCTGAATCAAATTGTGACGAGATAATCAGATGTCCAAAAAACCCCCAATTGGCCTGAACTCTTCAAAAATGTTGATGTCAAGAAAGAATTTTTTTTTTTTTTTTTTTTTTTTTTTTTTGAGACGGAGTCTCACTCTGTCGTCCAGGCTGGAGTGCAGTGGCACAATCTCAGCTCACTGCAACCTCTGCCTCCTGGACTCAAGCAATTCTCCTGCCTCAGCCTCCCAAGTAGCTGGAATGATGGGCAAGTGCCACCACGCCTGGCTAATTTTTGTGTTTTTAGTAAAGACGGGGTTTTGCCATGTTGGCTAGGCTGGTCTTGAACTCCTGAGCTCAGGTGATCCGCCCACTTTGGCCTCCCAAAGTTCTGGGATTACAGGCATAAGCCACCATGCCTGGCCAGGAAATATTTTTTTTACAGGCAAGGGAACTGGGCCGGGTGCAGTGGCTCACACCTGTAATTCCAACACTTTTAAGAGTTCAAGGCAGGTGGATCACTTGAGGCCAGCAGTTCGAGACCAGCCTCACCAACACGGTGAAACCCTGTCTCTACTAAAAATACAAAAAATTAGCCAGATGTGGTGGCACACACCTGTAATCCCAGCTACTCGGGAGGCTGAGGCAGGAGAATCACTTGAACCCAGGAGGCAGAGGTTGCAGGTAGTGGAGATCACGCCATTGCACTCCAGCCTGGGCAACAGAGGGAGACTGTCTCAAAAACAAAACAAAAATAGCAAGAGAATTGTTCTACATTAAAGAAAACTAAAAAGACATGACTAAATGTAATGCATGATGCCAATTTAGATCTGGGATTGGAAAAAATATAGCCATAACAGACATTATGGGGACAGTTATGAGTGTGTGTGTTTGCAGAAGGAGAAAGAAAAATGTGGCAAAATGCTAAAAATTAGTAAATCTAAATGAAAGTATGTGGCTATTCATTGTACTGTTTTCTCAACTTTGCTGCAGGCTTGGAATTTTTCAAAATAATAAGTTTAAAACTCAAGCATCATCCAGTGGCAGGTAAATGGGCAGTAAGATGGAAAAAATGGAGTGAGCAGACAGCAGGATCCAGGTGGCAGCATGGCAGCCCCAGACAACTTCTGGGCTGGGGTCTAGTCCCAGTAAAAAGTCAGGACCCAGGCTAAAAACCAGGCAGGCAGACAGGCATGAATACAGGGAAGCTGCAGCTTAGTGTGCACCTGGAAGCCTTGGGCCAGCCCCACCATCTGGGGACCAGGTGTGGGTAGAGCAGGTAAATTCCAGATCCACAAACAAGCAAATAACTCCCAATAATGCCACCGGTAGCCTTTGGAGGCTCAGGACTTTCCCAAGTCCTGAGTGCTGAGTGATCAAGAGGCCAGACAGGACTGGAGCCAGCAGGAACTAACATGTCTGCCTGTTGCCCAAGGATGACAAAAGCTCAAGGCGGAGATGGGGACTCCTCAGGAGGTAGGAACTTTACTGGGTTCTGTTTCCTCTTAACTGGCTACGTTCTGCATTGCCAGATTAAGTTACTGATTAAACCCACAGATGTCACTCTAATTTCCAACTTTTTCCATCTTTTCTGCCTCCTAGTCTCTATTTGCAATTCTTCCTAGCTGTCCTTGTTCTTCTCCTAGTTTTATGCCATTATGATGTGTGGAAAATATTAGACAACCTCTCTACAGTGTCTTAAAATGCCTGAGGACAAAGATTCCAAAACAAAATTTATCAAAGCTGGTTTTGGACTCAATAGTGTGACACGTAGTTTCCAAAGGTCATAAAGCTGAGTGCTAAAGTGATCAAGCTCCCAAGCTCCCTGGCTTTGTCATCCTTTGGCATTTTCCCAAGTTTTCTGGTCCTTAAAGGAATTGCTGATTTCTCCTTCCTGACTCTTTTTAATCTCAGCTGTGCTGAGCAGAGCTTCCCAAATTCTGGGCAGGCCAGCAGCTTAGCCCTCTCCTCTCCAGGACTCCTGAGCATTCCCCCTGTACATAGGGATGGACAGTGCCGGAGGTCAGCCAGGGGTTGGTGGGATGGATCCAGTCAAACTCAGCTCTGCTCGGTTTCCACCATGTGGCTCAGCAACAAAGCAGCCATGACACGTGTTGCCAAGACCATGTGTTGGGAGCCAGGAGTAGATGAATTCCTGGTGTACATAAGGAAAACAGCAACTGAGTTTGCTACAACTGTGATTAACATGCAAGATTCATCCTGGAGATAGCTCCTCTTGAGAAAACATAAGATTTGCAGAAGGGGATTTAAAGAAAGCCCCAGTGGTTTTTCATCTCAATCTTTCTCTCTCAATTTTTTAAAGCACCAAATCCCTATGTTCAAATATAAATTTTAGGCAAGAACCAATATACAGGCCAGGCGTGGTGGCTCACAACTGTAATCCCAGCACTTTGGGAGGCTGAGGCAGGCGGATCACCTGAGGTCAGAAGTTCGAGACCAGCCTGGCCAACGTGGTAAGACCACCCCCGCCCATCTCTACTAAAAATACAAAAAATTAGCTGGGCATGGTGGCATGCACCTGTAATCCCAGCTACTCGGGAGGCTGAGGCACAAGAATCGCTCGAATCCAGGAGGCAGAGGTTGCAGTGAGCTGAGATGATGCCACTGCACTCCAGCCTGGGCAACAGAGTGAGACTTCATCTCAAAAAAAAAAAAAAAAAAAAAAAAAGGAAAGAAAGAAAAGAAAAAAGAACCGATATACAAAAGAGATAACCTGGCTTGTCTGATTTTTGTGTGTGTGGGAGGGGGACCACAGACCTATGTGGTCTTTCCCAGTAGCCCAGGATACTTTCAAAGTATTATTACGGCTCTCACGGGATCCAGGGTTTGAGAACCATTGCTCCCATCTTTCCTCCCCACATGCAGAGGAACTATGGCATCTTCGCTGATGCCTTCTTTAATGTTTGTTGCTCGAGCTATTTTTTTTTTTTTTTGAGATGGAGTCTCCCTCTGTTGCTCAAACAGCAGTACGGTGGCATGATCTCAGCTCACTGCAACCTTCACCTCCCAGGTTCAAGTGATTCTCCTGCCTCTGCCTCCCAAGTAGCTGAGATTATAGGCGTGTACCACCATGCCTGGCTAATTTTTCTATTTTTAGTAGAGACAGGGTTTCGCCATTTTGGCCAGGCTGGTCTTGAACTCCTGACCTCAGGTGATCTGCCCACCTCAGCCTCCCAAAGTACTGGGATTATAGGTATGAGCCACTGCGCCCGGCTTTTTTTTTTTTTCTTTTTTTGACGGAGTCTAACTCTGTCACCCAGGCTGGTGTGATCTCAGCTCACTGCAACCTCTGCCTCCCAAGTTTAAGCGATTCTTCTGCCTCAGCCTCCTGAGTAGCTGGGACTATAGGTGTGTGCCACCATGCTTGGCTAATTTTTGTATTTTTAGTAGAGACGAGGTTTCATCGTGTTGGCCAGGCTGGTCTTGAACTCCTGACCTCAGGTGATCCACCCGCCTCATCCTCCCAAAGTGCTGGGATTACAGGTATGAGCCACCGCTCCCACTTGAGCTATTTTTATGCTTCAATGCATACCAGGACCTCTATCATATGAGATGTTTTATTTCTTTCTTAAATGTCTAGAAAGGTCCTTTGATGGAAAATGAATAACTCATGATATCTTCAAAAACCAGCATTGGCCTGAAGTTAATATATTTCATCCTAATAAAAAAATAAGGCCGGGTGCAGTGGCTCACGCCTGTAATCCCAGCACTTTTAGAGGCCGAGGCGGGCGAATCACGAGGTCAGGAGTTCAAGACCAGCCTGACCAACATGGTGAAACCCTATCTCTACTAAAAATACAAAAATTTGCCAGGCGTGGTGGCACACACCTGTAATCCCAGCTACTCAGCAGGCTGAGGCAGGAGAATCTCTTGAACCCGGGAGGCGGAGGTTGCAGTGAGCTGAGATTGTGCCACTGCACTCCAGCCTGCATGACAGAGCAAGACTCCATCTCAATAAAATAAAATAAAATAAAATAAAATAAAATAAAATAAAATAAAATAAAATAAAAGTGTGATCACAAAGTCTCACTTTCATGATGCTGAAAAGGCAGAGCTCATGAATCCTTCCCTCTCCTCCCTTACGTGATAGACGAACCCCAGGGTGTGGCTCTTCTCACAGGTTCTGTTGCACTGGCTTTCTGTGAACTCAACATCTTGGATTCAGTTGAACTTGCTTCATTTTTTTATTGTTACACACTACATCATTCATTACTTTTCCTGCCATTGACTGCTAGTTACATTTTCATCTATAACCGCAAACATCATGGGATAGAAAACCGTGGGAAAGTTAATCTCTAAAGCAATGGAAAGTTCCCAAATGTGAGAATAACAGGGCAACCCATGGTGGGAAATGCTACTCAACAGCTTTATTTCATCACAATAACAATGACTCTTGAGATGGAAAAAATTTTTATTTGATAAGGCTACCATTCATCCCAAAATGGACAATGTGTATTTAGTCATTCAATTCAAATTTGTGTGGCTCATTCCTCAGCTACTTAGTTATTTTTCATTAGATTTCATTAGTGGTTAGACTGTATTTCCCTAGTCCACAGCAGCCAGAGTGCTGTACACTATTAACATACAAATGGGGATGTCTCCTGCCCTTATCATCACTTGGAGTCCCCATCAGTGTTCCACCTGGGAGTCCCTAGAGAGCCTCTCGCCTGAACTCACCAAAAACTTTAGGACCACCATAGGCTTCTACCACTGTCTTCTTCTGCTCGGTCCCTCTTCAGTGATGTCAGCTTCCCAGGCCTCACCACCCACACAGCTAATGAAGGTGTTTCAAGGCTACCTCTGGTGTCCTCAAACGACCCCCTTTACAGGCCCATTGTCACTGCCACCACCCCGATACATGGGTACATGTGGTGTACCAATATGGAGATGAATACTCTGAAGGTCATGGCATTTGTTGCCCAAGTGAGAAAAAGCCTCTCTCTATTTCATGTAATGTACATTTTGTGTAATGTACATGAGCAATTACTGAGGCAGTCTTCCCTTGCATCCAAGATCTTAGAGTTTTTAATGAAAATAGGGGCTGTGCACAGTGGCTCACACCTGTAATCCCAGCACTTTGGGAGGCCGAGGCGGGCAGATCATGAAGTCAGGAGATCGAGACCAGCCTGGCCAACATGGTTAAACCCTGTCTCTACTAAAAATACAAAAATTAGCTGGTCATGGTGGCTCGTGACTGTAATCCCAGCTACTCAGGAGGCTGAGGCAGGAGAATTGCTTAAACCAGGAAGTTGGAGGTTGCGGTAAGCCAAGATCACGCCATTGCACTCTAGCCTGGCGAGAGGGTGAGACTCCACAAAAAAAAAAAAAAAAAAAAAAAAAGAGAGAGAGAAAGAGAAAGAAAGAAAATAGGGCCAGGTGTGGTGGCTCACGCCTGTAATCCCAGCACTTTGGGAGGCCAAGGCAGGCGGATCACCTGAGGTAAGGAGTTTGAGACCAGCCCGGCCAATATGACGAAACCCTGTCTCTACTAAAAAAAATACAAAAATTAGCTAGGCATGGTGGCTCACGCCCATAATCCCAGCTGCTCAGGAGGCTGAGATAGGAGAATCACTTGAACCCAGGCGGTAGAGGTTGCAGTGAGCCGAGATCAAGACACTGAGTCACTGAGTGAGCAACAGAGTGAGACTCTGTCTCAAAACAAAAAAAAGAAAAGAAAAGAAAAAAGAGTTTTTAATGAAAATAAGGCTTTCAGATTTTAACATAGGCCTTTCTCTTCTAGGATTCAGTCCTGAGTTCATGGAGGCAGGACTAGGGTTGGGGGGGCACAGTCGAGTATATTCAGAACTGGCCCCCCCCACCTTAACAAGCTTTTCTGGTTCAGTCTCTCTTCCTTTAAATGAGTTCTGTCTCCCCAGCCATCAGTTCCTCTTAAAAATTGGCTTTTGGCAGCTCAGTCTACCAAACAGGTCTAGACACGTCTGAATCCCAGTGGGAGATGGCTTAGGCTTAAACTAAGGCTGCTGACACATGACTTTCCACTTAAAATTTACTCAGGCTCTTTTACCCATCAATATGCTTAAAAAAAGAAAGATAACTTCGCTTACATCAAGCATTCATTCTGAAGTTACTAATTTTCTTTTGCCTTGTCCTTATGAGCTCTTGGATTTCAAATGGTAGATTGGTGAGGTTATTACTGATCATTTGACTCATACGCATTAACCACATGAATATTAAGTATATGATTTCTATTTCTCCGTGTCAGCATTCTGTTTCCCTAAAATAAATTTACTCAAATGAATCTTCAATAGGATGAGGAGAAATTGGAACCATCGTACAATGTTGGTGGGAATGTAAAATGGTACAGTCATTTTGGAAATCAGTTTGGCAGTTCCTCAAAATATTAAACATAGAGTTACCATGTGACCCAGCAACCCCATTCCTAGGTATACCCAGAGAATTGAAAACATAATCACACAACAACTTGTACACAAATGTTCAGTATGATTCCCTTTAGATGAAGAGTTCAGAATAGGCAAATCTGCAGAGACAGAAAACAGATTAGTGATTGCCAGGGACTGGGAGAAGAAGGGAATGGAGAGTGACTGCTAATGGACATGGGGTTTCTTTTTGGGATGATGAAGATCTGAAATCAGATAGTGATGATGGTTGCACAACCTTGTGACTACTCTAAAAATAACTGGATTATATATTTAAAGAAGGTGAATTTTATGTGAATTATGTGTCAATTTTTTAAAATGGATCTTTACGATATATTAAACAATCAGCAGCCTGCGTTTTATAGGAAAACTTAAATGGTTGCTTTACTGACGTTTATAACAAATTACAGCCTTCTTGTAAAAAGCAAGATCCTTTGAAAGCCCAAATAGAAAGAATAAATGCTTTGGCTGCGTGCGGTGGTTCATGCCTGTAATCCCAGCACTTTGGGAGGCCAAGGCAGGCAGATCACCTGAGGTCAGGAGTTCCAGAGCAGCCTGGCCAACACGGCAAAACCCCATTTCTATTAAAAATACAAAAAATTAGGCGGGCATGGTGGTGCACGCCTGTAATCCCAGCTACTCGGGAGGCTGAGGCAGGAGAATCGCTTGAACCTGGGAGGCAGAGGTAGCAGTGAGATGAGATCTTGCCACTGCACTCCAGCCTGGGAGACAGAGGGAGACTCTGTCTCAAAAAATAAATAAATAAACACTTTTAAAATTTATTCATTTGGCAACCATTGAGCATGTAGTATGGCAATGTGCCAGCATTGCAGAGATAATGGTGACCAAAACAGACACAGAGATATGGGCAGTCTCCAGACAGTCTGCAAAATAGCTATGCCCAGAAAAGCACAAGGCTTGGTGGGAGCATGTGAAAGGAACATTCAACTCACACGCGAGGGCTCGGGGAGATCTTTTCATAGCCCCTGACTCCTATCAGAGCCCTGGAGTTGAGCCCGAGTCAAGGATGCAAAGAGCAGAGGGAGGAGTGTTCCAGGAGGAAGGAATGGGGTGTGCAAAGACCCTCAGGTGAGAGAGAACGTGGACTATCCTGGGAACCCCAAACCGTTTGGAATGGCTCTTGAGAAAAGATCCAGTCTAAGTATTTGGTCTGAACTGAGTCTTGTTCAAACTTTACTCTGTATGTCAATTAGAATGTTTCAGCTGCAAGTAACAAAAAATCTGACTTCCACAGACTTAAAGATTAAGGACATTTATTTTATTATTCCACCTAACAGGAAGACTAGAGGTTGGCAGACTTCAGAGTTGGTAGATTCAGGGGCTTAACCATGAGGAACTGTCTTTAGGGACCCAGCTTCTTTCTTTCTTTTTTTTTTTTTCTCCCTCTGTCCCTCTCTCCCTCTCCCCACCCCGACACACACACACACACACACACACACACACACACACACACACACACGCTGCCACCACCTTCTAACTGTCTCTCTGCTATCCTCCTGTTCAGCTTCTTTCTAAGACAAGTTCCCCTTGAGGCCACATGACCTGGGACAACATGCTTTCCTATTCTCTTTCAGCAAGAAAGACACTTCTCTTTTCTGAAAGTCCCTAGCAAGCCTCCCCTGATATCTCATTGGCACAAATTTCTGAACTGACCCCTGGCGAGAAAGGGGGAGTTATCCTAAGTGTCTTGGATTCATTATCCAGCAGTGGAATGAATGCTGGGGGGTCAGCCTCAATGTGGCCACAGTGGACCATAAACATAGTTGGCTGCCTTGGGCTGGCACTGCCTTCACCAGCCCCTGCCTTGGGGCCTGTCTCCCACTTTTGCATCAAAGACATGACCAAGATGAACTTTAAAGCATGACGTATAATGTGGTTTTCACTGCAAGTTTGTGAGAATCAATTATCATACTGATAAACTTCTCAAAAATTATCTTTAAACCTCTTCCTTTCCTCAAATTTCCACTCCTTACCACATCCACCACATCTCTTTCTCTCCACCCCATCTTCCTCCCTAGGCCTGCTACAGCCATACTGGCTGTTACCTATTTTCCACTCCTTTTCTTTAAACCACTCAGCTTGCATTTTCCATCCAGCAGAAGCCAGTCCCCTCAGCCCCCATGCCGAGGAACAGAGTTTCAGGTCACCTTCTACATGCTCCCCAGGGTCTCAGTTCTCGCCCTGCCTGGAATGCAACAGGAGATCTGCAAGCTGACTTCAGTGTTTCTACCAAAAAACCCCTGTATTCTGTTTACTTCAAACTCTTTCAACCCAACAGTTTAATTAACCATCAATCATTATTAAAAGCTATGAAGACATCACACAGAAATTGTTCTATGTGGAAAAAAATGAACTTTAATATGGCTTAAAAATACCACAAACCCCCAACAGAAATACAAACTACCATCACAGAATACTACAAACACCTCTACGCAAATAAACTAGAAAATCTAGAAGAAATGGATAAATTCCTCGACACACCCACCCTCCCAAGACTAAACCAGGAAGAAGTTGAATCTCTGAATAGACGAATAACGGGCTCTGAAATTGTGGCAATAATCAATAGCTTACCAACCAAAAAGAGTCCAGGACCAGATGGATTCACAGCCGAATTCTACCAGAGGTACAAGGAGGAACTGGTACCACTCCTTCTGAAACTATTCCAATCAATAGAAAAAGAGGGAATCCTCCCTAACTCATTTTATGAGGCCAGCATCATCCTGATACCAAAGCCTGGCAGAGACACAACCAAAAAAGAGAATTTTAGACCAATATCCTTGATGAACATTGATGCAAAAATCCTCAATAAAATACTGGCAAACCAAATCCAGCAGCACATCAAAAAGCTTATCCACCATGATCAAGTGGACTTCATCCCTGGGATGCAAGACTGGTTCAATATAAGCAAATCAATAAATGTAATCCAGCATATAAACAGAACCAAATACAAAAACCACATGATCATCTCAATAGATGCAGAAAAGGCCTTTGACAAAATTCAACAACCCTTCATGCTAAAAACTCTCAATAAATTAGGTATTGATAGGACGTATCTCAAAATAATAAGAGCTATCTATGACAAACCCACAGCCAATATCATACTGCATGGGCAAAAACTGGAAGCATTCCCTTTGAAAACTGGCACAAGACAGGGATGCCCTCTCTCACCACTCCTATTCAACATAATGTTGGAAGTTCTGGCCAAGGCAATTAGGCAGGAGAAGGAAATAAAGGGTATTCAATTAGGAAAAGAGGAAGTCAAATTGTCCGTTTGCAGATGACATGATTGTATATCAAGAAAACCCCATTGTCTCAGCCCCATATCTCCTTAAGCTGATAAGCAACTTCAGCAGTCTCAGGATACAAAATCAATGTACAAAAATCACAAGCATTCTTATACACCAACAACAGACAAACAGAGAGCCAAATCATGAGTGAACTCCCATTCACAATTGCTTCAAAGAGAATAAAATACCTAGGAATCCAACTTATAAGGGATGTGAAGGACCTCTTCAAGGAGAACTACAAACCACTGCTCAATGAAATGAAAGAGGATACAAACAAATGGAAGAACATTCCATGCTCATGGGTAGGAAGAATCAATATCGTGAAAATGGTCATACTGCCCAAGGTAATTTATAGATTCAATGCCATCCCCATCAAGCTACCAATGACTTTCTTCACAGAATTGGAAAAAACTACTTTAAAGTTCATGTGGAACCAAAAAAGAGCCCACATCGCCAAGTCAATCCTAAGCCAAAAGAACAAAGCTGGAGGCATCACACTACCTGATTTCAAACTATATTACAAGGCTACAGTAACCAAAACAGCATGGTACTGGTACCAAAACAGACATATAGATCAATGGAACAGAACAGAGCCCTCAGAAATAACACCGCATATCTACAACTATCTGATCTTTGACAAACCTGACAAAAACAAGCAATGGGGAAAGGATTCCCTATTTAATAAAGGGAATTAAATGGTGCTGGAAAAACTGGCTAGCCATATGTAGAAAGCTGAAACTGGATCCCTTCCTTACACCTTATACAAAAATTAATTCAAGATGGATTAAAGACTTAAACGTTAGACATAAAAACCATAAAAACCCTAGAGGAAAACCTAGGCATTACCATTCAGGACATAGGCATGGGCAAGGACTTCATGTCTAAAACACCAAAAGCAATGGCAACAAAAGCAAAAATTGACAAATGGGATCTAATTAAACTAAAGAGCTTCTGCACAGCAAAAGAAACTACCATCAGAGTGAACAGGCAACCTACAGAATGGGAGAAAATTTTCGCAACCTACTCATCTGATAAAGGGCTAATATCCAGAATCTACAATGAACTCAAACAAATTTACAAGAAAAAAACAACCCCATCAAAAAGTGGGCGAAGGACATGAACAGACAGTTCTCAAAAGAAGACATTTATGCAGTCAAAAAACACATGAAAAAATGCTCACCATCACTGGCCATCAGAGAAATGCAAATCAAAACCACAATGAGATACCATCTCACACCAGTTAGAATGGCAATCATTAAAAAGTCAGGAAACAACAGGTGCTGGAGAGGATGTGGAGAAATAGGAACACTTTTACACTGTTGGTGGGACTGTAAACTAGTTCAACCATTGTGGAAGTCAGTGTGGTGATTCCTCAGGGATCTAGAACTAGAAATACCATTTGACCCAGCCATCCCATTACTGGGTATATACCCAAAGGACTATAAATCATGCTGCTATAAAGACACATGCACACGTATGTTTATTGAGGCACTATTCACAATAGCAAAGACTTGGAACCAACCCAAATGTCCAACAATGATAGACTGGATTAAGAAAATGTGGCACATATACACCATGGAATACTATGCAGCCATAAAAAAGGATGAGTTCATGTCCTTTGTAGGGACATGGATGAAATTGGAAATCATTCTCAGTAAACTATCACAAGGACAAAAAACCAAACACCGCATGTTCTCACTCATAGGTGGGAATTGAACAATGAGAACACATGGACACAGGAAGGGGAACATCACACTCTGGGGACTGTTGTGGGGTGGGGGGAGGGGGGAGGGATAGCATTGGGAGATATACCTAATGCTAGATGACGAGTTAGTGGGTGCAGCGCACCAGCATGGCACATGTATACATATGTAACTAACCTGCACATTGTGCACATGTACCCTAAAACTTAAAGTGTAATAATAATAAAATAAAATAAAATAAAAAATACCACAAACCAAATCCAAAGACAAAAATTGAGAAGCAGTTGTAAAATACACAATAGTTTTTTATATAATCACTCAGAAATAAAAGAACAGCCAGGGCAAAGGATATGAGCTGTCAGTTTATGAGAGAGAGAGAGAACATTTATTTCAATTGTTTGCCTATCAGATTGATAAAGATTTAAAATCTTACTAATATCCAATGTTGGAGGGAATAAGGAGCAATAGGCACTTTTTTTTTTTTTTTTTTGAGACAGTGTCACTCTGTCACCCAGGCTGGAGGGCAGTGGCATGATCTCGGCTCATTGCAACCTCTGCCTCCCAGGTTCAAGTGATCCTCCTGACTTAGCCTCCCAAGTAGCTAGGACTACAGGAGCATGCCACCACACCCAGCTAATTTTTGTACTTTTTTTTTAGTAGAGATGGGGTTTCACCATGTTGGCCAGGCTGGCCTCGAACTCCTGACCTCAAGTCATCCACCCACCTCAGCCTCCCAAAGTGCTGGGATTACAGGCGTGAGCCGCCATGCCTGAACAATAGGCACTTTTGATGGGAACATTAATTGGAACAACTTTTCTGAAAGACGATCTGCATTTATATCAACATTTAAAATATATTTACTTTTGATCAAATAATTAACACTTCTAGGAATTTATTCAAAGGCTATATTCAGGCAAGAACACAAAAATATAAGTACACATATTCGCCATAGATCTTTTCATAGTAGTCAAAATTATAGGGAGTTAATTAGTGAATTATGGTAGATTTGTGTTTGCAAGACTTGCTTACCTATGACTACCTCCCCAGAATCTAGCTCAGTGTGTGGTCTATATATGAATATTTACTGAGAAAATGAACAAATAAATATAGTAGGAAATTCTATAGCTATTAAGAATGATGATGTATAGGCCAGGCACAGTAGCTCATGCCTGTAATCCCAGCACTTAGGGAGGCCAAGGCAGGCAGATCACAAGGTCAGGAGTTCGAGACCAGCCTGGCCAACATGGCAAAACCCCGTCTCTACTAAAAATACAAAAGATGGCACATGTCCATACTCCCAGCTACTTGGGAGGCTGAGGTAGGAGAATCACTTGAACCCGGGAGGCAGAGGTTGCAGTGAGCCAAGATCGCGCCATTGCACTCCAGCCTGGGTAACAGGAGTGAAACTCTGTCTCAAAAAAAAAAAAAAAAGAATGATGATGTATAGATGTATTTCTATATGATGTATATGTATTTGTGTATGACGATGTATAGATGTATTTCTATACATCGTATATTTCCATAAATTTTCCATTTATTACAATGGAAAATTATCCATCATATCTTACTAAAAGGAAAAGCAGATGACAAAACTGCATAGACAGAATCATCTCATTTTTGTATAAAAAGCAAATGTGTGTGTGTGTGTGTATCTATGGAAAAAAGTTTAGAAGTATATACCAAAATATAAATTGTGGTTCTTTCTAAATGGTGAGATTATAGATGTTGTTTGCATTCTTATTTATACCTTTAAGTAATGTCTGGATTTTTTACAATGAGCATAGATTAACAGATGTGACTTCGATAATCACAAAAATTTCATTTTGAATAACAAAAATACTGCTCTCTATGAATATATGTGCTACAGAAACACACATATATGAAAGTAAGTATAAACTACTTTGTAGTTTTGTATGTCTTTCCAGGATCGCCTGAAGATGACAATGTCCTTGTAGCAAGTTACCACCAGGAAAAATCAACAAGTTGTCCAAAACTTGTTCAAAAGAGGCCAGGCATAGTGGCTCATGCCTGTAATCCCAGTACTTTGGGAGGACAAGGAAGGAGGATCAGTTGAGGCCAGGAGTTCAAGACCAGCCTGGGCAACATAGCAAGACCCTAGGAGGCTGAGGCAGGAGGATCACTTGAGCCCAGGATTTCAAGGTTAGAGTGAGCTATGATTGTGCCACTGTACTCCAGCCTGGACAACAGAGAGAGACACTGTCTCTTAAAAATATTCAAAGAAAATGCAAACAAAAAGTCTCAGGGAGTTCTTCAGCAGCTCATTGTGTACTAATGCACTAGGTGGACAGGAGGTGGACTGGATCAAGACAGACCTTTCCCAGGCCAGACACTATAGAGGGCCCAGCTGTGATTATCCTCCAGCCATGGTCCTCCCCCGAGGGCCAGGAATCCAAGGAGCCAAGCTCACTCCCTTCTAGATTGTGTTCCAAGAATCTTGGCACTAAAACAGCACCCCTGCACCTGCTTCTTGCACAGACCTTTTGCTGAAGTCTGAACACCAGTGGGTCAACTGTGCCTCTAGTATACACTTTCCAAGCCAAAGAGTTGGCCACGGGGGATTTATGTATGGGGGTATGAATAACTAGGGTATCCACACATGTGTGCAAGAGTCCCTGGAAGAGAGATGCAGGGTGTTCAGGGGAGGGAGAAGAATGGAGAACAGGCCAGAGGCTGTTTTTTCCCCATGTTGCCACATTCCAGAGTGAAACTCTGATAATGCCAAATTTGAAGCCAGCCTTCCTGCTCATTATGAAGGTATATTTGTAAATGTAGGAGGATTAAATATGCCATTTACAGCTATATTGGCTTGATTTATAACTTTTAAATATTTAGACACATGGTATGTGGGCCTTCATTTGTATTCTTGCCCTGCGTTCCACAAATGTTAGGGATAGAGCCTGGAGACAGAGAGCAAAACCAGTAGATCAGTTTGCCCTGTGAGAAGTTCCAGCTGTCAACTGAGAGGGTCTGCAGAAGAGCATAGATGTTGCTCTCTAACCTCATGGACAACTTAGACCTAGACCAATCTTGGATGACATCCATGGCTTCCCAGTAGGTTCACTGGTATCATCTGGACTCTAGTGAATATGTAAAGCAGAAAACCAATGATG
Source organism: Homo sapiens (assembly GCF_000001405.40). Classification (NCBI taxonomy): domain Eukaryota; kingdom Metazoa; phylum Chordata; class Mammalia; order Primates; family Hominidae; genus Homo; species Homo sapiens. The sequence goes on along the minus strand of NC_000005.10, from coordinate 55,584,635 downwards.
AAAGAGGCCTAGGATGCATCCAGTCCATCAGTGGAAGCAATGCTTATTAAAGGTTAACTCTGATAGGCTAAGCATTTGCTAAGAATAGACAATAGGATTCCCAAGCACTCAAGAGCCTGAAGCTGTATAGATAGCTTGGATTTATTTGGTAAAGAAAAACTGCTTCCCATACAGCTTTCTGGAAAAGCACTGCTTCCTGGGAGCCCTGACGTGGGACTCTGCCTGAGTTTGAAGCATAGTCAAAAATAATAACAAAGGACAACTCAATAGAAAAGGAAAGGCAAATACATTTTGAATATATAAAAATATTTTCAACCTCACAATGTGAAGAAACAAATTTAAAGTATGCTTTTCACATGCACATTATCAAAGATTGAATGATTTGATTATATGAAGCATTAGGTTAGATGTAAGACAATAGGCAATCCTGTGCATTTTGGGTGGAAGTATAAAATGTTACATCCTCTTTGAAGTTATGTTTTGGCAGAATCCATCAAAATGCAAAATATTCAGGCGAGCAGATCACTTGAGGCCAAGAGCTCAAGACCAGCCTGGCCAACATGGCAAAATCCTACCTCTACTAAAAATAGAAAAATTAGCTGGGCATGGTGGCACACATCTGTAATCCCAGCTACTCGGGAGGCTGAGGCAGGAGAATTGCTTGAATCCAGGAGGGCAGAGGTTGCAGCGAGCCGAGATTGCACCACTGCTACTCCAGCCTGGGAGACAGAGGGAGACTGTCTCAAAAAAGAAAGAAAGAAAGAAAAAAGCAATACATTTATACTCTGACACAACCACCTCACTGCAGGAAATTTATCAGACAGATACATAGCTCTTTGCATATGTACACAAAGAAATTTGCATATTGCATATTGTATGTAGTAGGGAAAGATTGGGAACAATTTGAAAGTTCATTGTGGCCGGGCGCTGTGGCTCACACCGGTAATCCCAGCACTTTGGGAGGTCGAGGTGGGTGGATCACAAGGTCGGGAGTTCGAGACCAGCCTGGCCAATATGATGAAACCCTGTCTCCACTAAAAATACAAAAAAATTAGCCGGGCGTGGTGTCACATGCCTATAATCCCAGCTACTCTGGAGGCTGAGGCAGGAGAATTGCTTGAATCCGGGAGGCGGAGGTTGCAGTGAGCCGAGATCGTGCCACTGCACTCCAGCCTGAGCCTGGGGGACAGAGTGAGACTCTGCCTCAAAAAAAAAAAAAAAAAAAAGAAAAGAAAGTTCATCAATATGATACTGGTTAGGTAAATTATGCCTCATCCATTTAGTGGAATGCTATGTGACTGTTAAAAAACAAATAGGATGATTTATGAACTGCTTGAAATGCTCTTCAAGATAGATTATTGAATAAAAGATTAGGGTGCATGAAAAACAACTGGCCTGTACTCTTTGACAAACATCATGAAAGACAGGTGAAGTAAAGAATGTATCACCGTGAAATTGACTAAAGTCTCATGACAGTCAAATGCAGTGGGTGATACTGGATTGGAGCTTGGTGTGAAGAAAAAAACAATTGCCACAAAGGATAGTATTGAGACAACTGAAAAAATTTGTATTTCAAACTGTATATTAGATAACAGTATTGTATCAATGCCAAATTTCCTGAATCTGATCATTGTGTCATGGTTATGTAGGAGAATGTCCTTGTTGTTAGACAATATACTAACAAGTACTTAGAGATAAAGATGTCTGTAACTCACTCTGGAATGGTTCAGTAATAATAGTAATAATCAAAATATATGTATGAATATAAAAAATACAATTGTGGCAAAACGTTAAAAGTTAATGAATCTACATAAAGGCATATGAGAGTTCATTTTACTATTTTTGTAACTTTTCTGAAGGTTTAAATGTTTTTTAATAAAAAGTTTTTTAAAAAGAAAAAGAGGTGTAGAAGAACCTCTAGTGTATTACTTTTTAGGAGAAATTCATAGACTGGAAGGGAACAGAAGAAACTGATATCAGTGGTTGCTTCTGGGATATCAGAAATTGGCCTGAGAGAGCAGGTAGAAGGGAGATTTACTATATTGTGTACCTAACTGTAATGTTGGGACTAAAAATTTTTTTTTAAATCTTATGTACGCATTTCCTATTCAAAATGAGAGAGGAAGCAGCAGGAGTGGGTGGGGGAGGGAACCAAGACATTATTTTAAAAGTAACCACAGCTACTAACCAGCAAACACAACTTCACTTTCATTGTGTGCATTTAGAGTAACAATTAGTTTTCCTAATTCATTTTAGGCATTCCTGTGTACACTGATCAAAAGTAATCAGTATCGTTTTTTAAAATGAAAAGCAGAACTAAAAATGACACTGCTCAGAGACAAGCACTCTTCAGATTTTCCTATGGCTCCCTGTAGTCTTTTTCCCAAACACTTTTTTTTTTGTTAACATAGTTGAGATCATACTTAATATATAATGTTATGATCTACCTCCTTTTTGGCTTAATATATCAAATATATATCTATAGATATCTATATCTATAGATGGATAGATAGATAGATAGATAGATAGATACGTAGATACACAGATAGATACATAGACAGATTTTTTTTTTAAGACAGGGTCTTTCTGTCACCCAGGCTGGAGTGCAGTAGTGCAATCTAGGCTCACTGCAGCCTCTGCCTCCTGGGATCAAGCGATCCTCCCACCTCACCCTCCCAAGTAGCTGAGACTACAGGCCTGCGCCAGCATGCCCAGCTAATTTTTGTATTTTTTGTAGAAGTGGGGTCTTGCCATGTTGCCCAGACTGATCCTGGGCTCCTGAGCTTAAGCAATCTGCCCGCCTCAGCCTTCCAAAGTGCAGGAATTACAGGCATGAGCCACCTTGCCTGGCCTTCAAATATTTTCTCAAGTCCTTAACAATTTGTTTTAAACAGAAACCTTAATAGCTGCATAATGTACTATCCTATGGATGTCTTACAATTTATTGAACCATTCCCTGTTGTTGGACATTCAGGTTGTTTGCAGTTTTCTAAGTAAATCTGCAGTGAACATAATAACTTATAATTCTCCATCTGCATTTCAGTTTCTTTTCTTCTTTTCTTTTCTTTTTTCTTTTTTTTTTTTTTTAAGACGGAATCTTGCTCTGTCACCCAGGCTGGAGTGCAATGGCGCGATCTCAGCTCACTGCAACCTCTGCCTCCCGGGTTCAAGCAATCTTCCTGCCTCAGCCTCCCAAGTAACTGGGACTACAGGCATGTGCCACCATGCCCTGTTCATTTTTGTATTTTTAGTAGAGTTGGGGTTTCGCCATGTTAGCCAGACTGATCTTGAACTCCTGACCTCAGTTGATCCCCCCACCTCAGCTTCCCAAAGTGCTGGGATTACAGGTGTGAGCCACTGTGCCGGCCTGTTTTCTTCAGATAGATTCCTAGGGCCATTCGCAGTGGTTCACGCCTGTAATCCCAACACTTTGGGAGGCTGAGGCAGGAGGATCACGAGGTCAGGAGTTCAAGACCATTCTGGCCAACATGGTGAAACCCCGTCTCTACCAAGAATACAAAAAATTAGCCAGGTGTGGTGGTGTATGCCTGTTGTCCCAGGTATTCAGGAGGCTGAGGCAGGAGAATCGCTTGAACCTGGGAGGCGGCGGCTGCAGTGAGCCGAGATCGCGCCACCGCACTCCAGCCTGGGCGACAGAGTGAGACTCCATCTCAGGTTAAAAAAAATAAAATAAAAAGATAGATTCCTAGTAGGGAAATTACTGGGTCATAGGATATTAACACATTTAAAGACTCGTGGGACATATTGTCAAATACCTTTATCAAAAGATTGTTCCAGCTCCTTCTTGCAGTGTCAAGGACCTTCTGAGTCTGCAGTGATGGGAATCTCACGTGTTGTAGACTGGACTAGAAGGCAGAGAGCTGTGTGGTGGTCTCTGCTGTGCCACAAATCACTACCTGGCCCTGAGAAAAGCAGTTTTTACAAAACACCAATAATAATGATTTTTAAATATATGTAAACCTGAAATAATTTTTAAATCATTTTCTTTGTTTTCTTTTTTTTTTTTTTGAGATGGAGTCTCTCTCTGTCACCCAGGCTGGAGTGCAGTGGCGCCATCTCAGCTCACTGACACAGCCGCCTCCTGGGTTCAAGTGATTCTCCTGCCTGAGCCTCCCAAGTAAGTGGGATTACAGGCACACGCCACTAAAAAATCAGCACACCCAGCTGATTTTTTTGTATTTTTAGTATAGATGGGTTTCACCAAGTTGGTCAGGCTGGTGTCGAACTCCTGACCTCAGGTTATCTGCCCACTCGGCCTCCCAAAATGCTGGGATTACAGGCATGACTAACGCGCCTGGCCTTTAAATCATTTTCATATGTTTGTTTGTTTGCTTGCTTATCTGTTTTGAACCTTGCAACTAGCCCATGAAACAACAGGGAGGTATCATTCCCATTTGAAAGATCAGAAAGACTCCGGGCAACATTGCAAAACCCTGTCTCTACAGAAAAATTAAAAATTAGCCAGGCATGGTGGCACACACCTGTAGTCCCAGCTACTAAGGAGGCTGAGGTGGAGAGGATCTCTTGAGCCCAGGAAGTCGAGCTGTGGTCATGCCACTGCACTCCAGCCTGGGTGACAGAGCAGGATCCTATCTCAAAATAATAATAATGATAATGATAAAGCTGGGTGCAGTGGCTTACACCTGGAATCCCAGCACTTTAGGAAGGCGGGGCGGGCAGATCTCTTGAGCTCATGAGTTTGAGACCAACCTGGGCAACATGGCAAAACCCTGTCTCTATAAAAAATACACAAAATTAGCTGGGTGTGGTGGCCTGCACCTGTAATCCCAGCTACTCGGGAGGCTGAGGCAGGAAATGGCTTGAGCCTGGGAGGCAGAGGTTACAGTGAGCCGAGATCGTGCCACTGCACTCCAGCCTGGGTGACCGAGTAAGACCCTGTCTCAAAGAAGAAAGAAAACAAAGTTCAGAATGGTTAAGTGATTTTTTTCCAGAATCACCAGCTGGTAATTGACATGAAACACACCACTTCTGGTGCATACTTCAGAATAATTTCCATTTAAGTCACACCGCCTCCTTTTTACCATGTCATGCAATCCCTCTAGATCTTGGTGGGGATTGTCTTAGTGCTTCTCAGACTTTCCCGTGCACACAAATTATCCAGGTATCTTGTTATAATACAGAGTCTGATCAGCAGGCCAGGGGTGGGCCCAAGATGTGACATTTCTAACAAACTCCCAGGTGATACAACACTGCCAGTCTGTGAACCCAACTTTGAATTGCCAGGTGGGAGACAGTCACTTAAATTCCTGTCAGCAATACTACTCTATATTTCAGTATTTTCACCTAGGACAAATTATTTTAGTGTGTAGATGCCATTTATCATATAGAACCCACCAGGTTCCAGAATGCATAGACAAGTGGATGACAATCAGTAACTCACCATAGCCTGGATTCCATAATTTTATACCAAAAATTCAAATAATACAGCTTTAAAAAAAACATATATATCTAAGAAGTTATTTGAAGCTAAAAACACAGATTGCAGAACCAGCCAGTACAGAGTAGGATATTTAGCTGGGGAGGCAAGAGCTATATACAGAGAAGTGACCTAAGAACACCAGGGTGCATGACTAAGTACTGGCAAAGGAGAGCATCCCAGGCAGGGGCCACAGCCTTGGAAAGGCAAAGGAGAGTAGGAATTAGTCAAATATTTTAGGGTCAGTAGACAGACTAATTTGGGAAGATAGAGATCTTCCCTATCTTCCCAGGGAGATAAGATGGGAAGTGCAACTCCAGGCTGGATTTTCATAGCTTGTGGATGCTTGGCTGAATTTAGACCTTTATCTGATAGCATACAGGAACATGCCACTGAAAGCTTTTTTTTTTTTTTTTTTTTTTGACAGAGTCTTGCTCTGTCACCCAGGCTGGAGTGCGTTGGCATGATCTCTGCTCACTGCAACCTCCGCCTCCTGGGTTCAAGCGATTTTCCTGCCTCAGCCTACCAAATAGCTGGGATTACAGGCGTGTGCCACTACACCTGGCTAATTTTTGTATTTTTAGCAGAGACGGGGTTTCACCATTTTGGCCAGGCTGGTCTCGAACTCCTGACCTCAAGGGATCCACCCACCTCGGCCTCCCAAAGTGCTGGGATTACAGACGTGAGCCACCACATCCAGCCCTGCTGAAAGCTTTTGAGCAAAGGAATGACATGATGAATGGAGTTAGGCAGATGAATTTTCGGAGGGAAATAACTGGAGTGCTAAAAGGCCATTGCTGTATTAGCCGTGAGAGAATTGCAGTAGAAATGAAAATGGACAGGTACAGGTACAAGAGATATTGTGAGGGAAAAAAGTAATAAGTTGACTGTACTGGCTAATTATATGTGGTGGATGATAGAAGAGTTTAGGGTGAGTCTCTGAGGTTTCAAGGCTGGATAACAGGAAAGTGGTGGTACCATTAGCAAAAATGGGAACATAGGAAACATGCTGATTTAGAAAACGATTTCCTCCTGATAAGCAACCACAACAATAGCCCCAACCAACTTTATATCCTGGCATGGCCCAGGATACTATGATCACAATGGCAGAAGAAAGACAATTTGAGACAAAATTGCCTTAATTTTCTGATCACTAGTTAATATTCTGCCTTCTGTCTATAAAAACATCTGTCAGGCTTATGACTGGTTTTCCAAGAGTGATGGGTATACACAGATTTCTGCCTACTTTCCACCCATCCTAACAACTGTCGCTGGTCACACAGCTGACTAGAAGTGCAGAGAGAAATGTGCATGCTGGGATCAGGGCCAAACTAACCTGCCTGTATGGGGTTCAGACCAGAGACTGGCATCGTGAATTCTGGCTTTCTGTGCACTCTCAGTACATGCACCTTTAGAAAAGCATTGATCTAATTCTGATTTCATTCTGACTTAGCATGATCCACTAGAAACCTCCTTGTAGGAATCTGAAGTTCTGAGTTCAACTCACAAATACACTGGCTTCATTGCCTTATAGTGGCCTCGTCCTCAGAATAGCATAGTTATTTGCAGCCAAGGGCAGACCTTTATACACTATTGGCAGCCTCTTCTCGGCGGAGCTCGTGGGAGCCTGAAAGGAAGAAGTCCAGACATGCAGGCAATTTTCTCCTCTGTTCATCAATCCACTCCATTGTCTTTTTCAGTGGTTTGACCTCATGCCACAGTTGTAAGGTATTTTGGAAAGCCCTGAGATATATTCATAGCTGTGGCTGTACAAACAAAAGATTTTTAATTAAAATAAAAGCAATAATAGAAACATTTTCAAAAAGAGGGTTGGTTTTTTAAAAAGCCAAATGTCTTTGTCAAATTCTAACTGGGATAGTTCCATGTGTAGATTGTTTTCTTTTCCTGTGACTTCTTATCACAGATAATTAATAAGAATTTGTGGAACACCCACTCTGTTCAGAGCACAATAATAGTACTGCCACTGTTTAGGGTTTAAAGCAAGTTGCCAATTCAATAAACCCAGTAAAGGGTTTCTTTTTTTTACCCCTTTGTAACAACCATCTTTTATCTGAGAGATTGAATATATTTCAATGGTAGAATCATGTGGCATCATATATCATGATTTATCATAAATTTGCAGTTGACCTATCAAGTGAGATTGAACTATGATATGAAGCCACCATAGAAAAAGTTTTTCTCTATTTCTTCCCTCTTCAGTCTTCTAATGGAAGTATAGTTTGAGTGGTGAGAGAAATGTTCCAAGAACAGGCAGATGCAACATCAGCATCTGCCACAATAGAAATGAGTAATGAAGTCTCAGGATAATTTTCTGTTTTTGTTTTGGCAATAAAAACCCGACTTGTGTTTTTATTACTCTTCTCAATCACTTCTTAAGCCAGTAAACCTGATATAGGCAAATCAATTAGTTCAGAAATGTCTTCAATAATGGGATACTCTTAGAGAATGGGCAAGTGACTTCGGGAGGCCCAAGTGGGAGGATCACTTGAGCTCAGGAGTTCAAGATCAGCCTGAGCAACATAGTGGGACCCCATCTCTTTAAAAAAAAAAAAAAATGAGAGAGAAAATAGGCAAGTGATTCAAGCAACTCATTATTTCAACCACAGTCACACAGCAGGAAGATATTCAAAACCAAATAAATGCCCCAGAACTTGCATAAGAACAAACACACAGAAAGAAAAGATAAGACTCTGTGGAAACCAGTTGGATTTCATCTGTTACTTCAGCCGTTGGGCAAGATCTGTTTGACATGTACTTCTGTAAAAGTTTCTTATCTATGGAACCAGCTAAGTTCTTTGAAATATCACTTCATCTTGATATTCCTAATGATGATGAAAGATTTGTTTGCTGAGCTGTGTCCAAACACAAGCTGAAGTGGAGATTCTAGGTACATATCAAGATGATTTGGACCAAAAGGAGCTCTTTTGATAATTTGGAGCCCATTTCACTATGTTTCACTTTCGTTGAGGTTTCCATAGTGGAATGGTTATCATGTTTACTGCACACTTATGTTTCACTTTCAGTAACTGGGATTAAATGGACAGACACTAAACAATTTGTGTTGTGTCTGGGCATGGTGGCTCACGCCTGTAACCCCAGCACTTTGGGAGGTTGAGGCCAGCCTGGGCAACATAGTGAGACCCTATCTCTACAAAAATTACAAAAATTAGCCGGACATGGTGGCATGTGCCTGTAGTCCCATCTACTCAGGAAGCTGAGGTGGACCAATCACTTGAGCCCAGCAGGTAAAGGCTGCAGAGAGCTGTGAGACGTGACCACGCCGCTGCCCTCCAGTCTGGGTGACAGAGTGAGACCCCATTAAAAAAAATTTACGTTGCTTCAAGCTTTGCTTTTGGGATAGTTTTGGGATGTTTTGGGATAGTTTCCCAAATCTTTCAAAATATTGGATTCATTAAGTTTTTTGTTGTTCAGGAGGGTTTTTTTGTTTGTAGAAATGTTACCATTTTCTATAACTATGGTATAATATCACAATCAGCCTGTTGATACAATCAGCAATTTCATCCAGATTTCCCAGTTTTACTTGTACTGGGCGGGGGGGGGGGGGTGGGGTGGGGGGGCGGTGGTGTATTTACACAATATTATCACTTGTGTAGTTTTGTCTATCCACCCTACAGTCAAAATGCAGAACGGTTTCATCACCACAAGGATTCCTTGTGTTGCCTTTCTGGAACAATACACACACCCCTCCCACCCCACAAACTGTATTTTTTTTTTTTTTTTTGAAACGGAGTCTCGCTCTGTTACCCAGGCTGGAGTGCAGTGGCGTGATCTTGGCTCACTGCAACTTCTGCCTCCCGGGTTCAAGCAATTCTGTTGTCTCAGCCTCCCGAGTAGCTGGGACTACAGGTTCGCACCACCATGCCAGGCTAATTCTTTGTATTTTTTAAGTAGAAATGGGTTTTCAGCATGTTGGCCAGGCTGGTCTCAAACTCCTGACCTCAAGCAATCCACCAGACTTGGCCTCCCAAAATGCTGGGATTACAGGCGTGAGCCACTGTGCCCAGCCCCTGTATTGTATTTTGACCTATCAGTTAGTTCTCCATGTAGGCTGGAAAGTCAGATGATAGCAATGAAAAGCATGGGCTCTGAAGCATCACTGCCTGGGTTTGGATCCAGGATCTACCACCATGCTAGGTAATTTATATAACTTATCTAATTTAATGCTCACAAAAGCCCTGTGAAATAGATATTCTTATCCCTATTTTCTTTTCTTTCTTTTTTTTTTTTTTTTAAGACAGAGTCTTGCTCTGTTACCCAAGCTGGAGTGAAGTGGCATGATCTCCGCTCACTGCAACCTCCACCTCTAAGATTCAAGCGATTCTCCTGCCTCAGCATCCTGAGTAGCTGGGATTACAGGTCTGCACCACCACACCCGTCTGATTTTTGTATTTGTAGTAGAGACAAGGTTACATCATGTTGGCCAGGCTGGTTTCAAATTCCTGGCCTCAAGGATCCACCTGCCTCGGCCTCCCAAAGTGCTGGGATTACAGGCGTGAGCCACCGCACCTGGCCTATCCCTATATTCATATGAGGAAACTGACCCTTAGAGAAATGAAATACAATGCAATATTTGCTCAGAGTAACACAAAAACAGACATTCCAACTAAGATACAAAACCAGGATTGTCTGACCCCAAAGCCCATGCTTTTCCCCAACAGCAAACATTAACTTTATAAGAATAAATAAATGCACCTTTGTGCATTTATTTATTTTGGTGCATTTATCTATTATTTCATAAAGGTGCACCAAAGATGCAACTTTGTACATGAAAATTATTTTTCTAGAGTAGAGTTGTAAATTATATCTGTTGGATAGAAAAGGGAATTCCAGGCCAGGCACAGTGGCTCATGCCTGTAGTCCCAGCACTTTAGGAGGTGGAGGTGGGTGGATCATTTGATCCCAGGAGTTCAAGACCAGCCTGGGTAACATGGTGAAATCCTGTCTCTATTTAAAAAAAAAAAACAAAAAAACAAAAAAAAAACTAGCCAGGCCTAGTACTGTGCGCCTGTAGTCCCAGCTACTCGGTAGGCCAAGGTGGGAGGATCACTTGAGCCCGGGAGATTGAGGCTACAGTGATCCACTGTGATCTTGCCACTGCACTCTGTCCTGTAACAGAGTGAGACCCTGTATTTAAAAAAATAAAAGAAAAGAGAATTCCAGAGTGTATAGTTTTATTACCCTACAGGACATTAAACAAGTTTTTTAAAAAAAATAATAGACCTTTCCTTTTTACAAGTTTTTGATTTGCTGATAAATTAGGCAGATTGTACAGACAGTTCCCATATATCCTCTCTTCCTCCACTCTTACCCCCACAGTTTCTCCTATTACTGTATTAACATCTTGCATTAGTGTGGTACATTTGTTATAATTGATGAACCAGTACCGACAAATTATCATTAACTAAATTCCACAGTTTACATTAGGGTTCATTATTTGTGTTGTACAGTTTTACAGGTCTTAACAAACACAAAATGTCATGCATCCACCATTACAATGCTATACAGAATATTTCACTATCCTAAAAATCTAATGTGCTTCACCTATTCATCCCTCCCCTGAACTCCTGGCAATCCCTGACCTTTTTATTGTCACTACAGTTTTGCCTTTTTCAGGATGTCATATAGTTAAATTAATAATATGTAGCCTTCGTGGATTGGCTTCTTTTACTTAGCAATATGCATTCAAGATTCCTTCATGTCTCTCTGTGGCTTGATAGCTCATTTCTTTTTAATGCTATATAATACTTCATTAAATGGCCAATATCACAGTTTGTTCACCTATTCAACTATTGAGGGATGTTTTTGTTGCTGCCAGCTTTTGGCACCTATAAATAAAGCCGCTATAAACTTTGGCATGCAGGTTTTTGTGTGAACATAAGTTCTGAACTCATTTGGGTAAATACCTAGGAGTATGACTGCTGGATTATATGGTAGGAGTATGTTTATCTCTATAAGAAACCATCGGCTGGGTGCAGTGGCTCACGCCTATAATCCCAGCACTTTGGGAGGCTGAGGCAGGTGGATCACCTGAGGTCAGGAGTTCGAGATCAGCCTGGCCAACATGGTGAAACCCCATCTCTACTAAAAATACACAAATTAGCTAGGCGTGGTGGCGCACACCTGTGGCCCCAGCTACTCAGGAGGCTGAGGCAGGAGAATCCCTTGAACTCAGGAGGTGGAGGTTGCACTGAACTGATATCGCACCACTACATTACATCCTGGGTGACAGAGCAAGACTCCATCTCAAAAAAAAAAAAAGAAAGAAAGAAACTGCCAAACTATCTTCTAAAATGACTGTACCATTTTGCATATCTACCAAGTTTTTTAAAAATCTAATTTAGGTGCAGTGGCTCCTAAATTAGGTGGCTCCTAAAGTGACTGTACCATTGTGCATATCTATCAAGTTTTTTAAAAATCTAATTTAGGCACAGGTGAGGTGGCTCACGCCCGTAATCCTAGCACTTTGGGATGCCAAGGTGGGCGAATTGCCTGAGCTCAGGAGTTCAAGACCAGCCTGGGCAACATGGTGAAACCCCATCTCTACTAAAATACAAAAAATTAGCCAGATGTGGTGGCAGGTACCTGTAGTCCCAGCTACTCGGGAAGCTGAGGCAGGATAATTGCTTGAGCCTGGGAAGCGGAGGTTGCAGTGAGCTAAGGTTACGCCACTGCACTCCAGCGTGGGTGACAGAGCGAAAAAAAAAAATCTAATGTAGTAATCTTATTTCTAGATTATTTCTTTCATAAATTGCAGATATTCAGTCTCTTGAATTCTCCTGTGAACCAGTTTCACCATCTTGATGGCTCCCCAATTAACAAGGTAAGTAAATATTTGACATGTGCTTACTTAAATATTTGTGTTAAGGGCCATGCTTTTTACTTTCTACAAATTATACTTTGAAAATGATAACCTACCATATTTCCCACATGAAAGACATAACCTAACACACACTACAGGAAGAAAATCTTTTGTCATTTTTCTAGCCATGGTAATGAACTTCACAGTCACACTGAGATTTCCTAAGGGTAGACTCACATGTAAACTGGCTCAATAACCCTTTTCAAAGCTATTATTTTACCAGTGCAAAAGAGTACCTGTAGGGGTGGGTTGCCCCTCCACACCTGTGGGTGTTTCTCGTAAGGTGGGACGAGAGATTTGGAAAAGAGAAAGACACAGAGACAAAGTATAGAGAAAGAAATAAGGGGACCCGGGGAACCAGCGTTCAGCATATGGAGGATCCCGCCAGCCTCTGAGTTCCCTTAGTATTTATTCATCATTTGTGGGTGTTTCTCAAAGAGGGGGATGTGTCAGGGTCACAAGACAATTGTGGGGAGAGGGTCAGCAGACAAACACGTGAACAAAGGTCTTTGCATCATAGACAATGTAAAGGATTAAGTGCTGTGCTTTTAGATATGCATACACATAAACATCTCAATGCTTTACAAAGCAGTATTGCTGCCCGCAGGTCCCACCTCCAGCCCTAAGGCGGTTTTTCCCTATCTCAGTAGATGGAGCATACAATCGGGTTTTATACCGAGACATTCCATTGCCCAGGGACAGGCAGGAGACAGATGCCTTCCTCTTGTCTCAACTGCAAGAGGCATTCCTTCCTCTTTTACTAATCCTCCTCAGCACAGACCCTTTACGGGTGTTGGGCTGGGGGACGGTCAGGTCTTTCCCTTCCCACGAGGCCATATTTCAGACTATCACATGGGGAGAAACCTTGGACAATACCTGGCTTTCCTAGGCAGAGGTCCCTGCGGTCTTCCGCAGTTTTTGTGTCCCTGGGTACTTGAGATTAGGGAGTGGTGATGACTCTTAAGGAGCATGCTGCCTTCAAGCATCTGTTTAACAAAGCACATCTTGCACTGCCCTTAATCCATTCAACTCTGAGTTGACACAGCACATGTTTCAGAGAGCACGGGGTTGGGGGTAAGGTCACAGAATCTCAAGGCAGAAGAATTTTTCTTAGTACAGAACAAAATGGAGTCTCCTATGTCTACTTCTTTCCACACAGACACGGTAACAATCTGATCTCTCTTGCTTTTCCCCACAAGTACCCGTTGAACATTCCAGGGAACTGATCCATAAATTTATTTCCAAAATGTTTTAACTTGGGAACCAATTACTGGATAAATGCTAAGTTACCCTGGTATAAATCTGATAAAAGTGAATTTTTCAAGCCACACGGTCTCCTTTGTTCAGTATATTTTTAATTTAGTGGTCTCTCTTAAGGGAGGAATTGAAATCAACCCTCTGCAACTGGGTCTTAGGCTTATCTCCAAGAAATAAAATCTCACAAGGTTTTGAGGCCTACAGTCTGAATTCTGACACTGCACAGAACTTATACAGACAGGGTAGAGACAGGAGACTTACAGGTCTGGTAGTGAGGGAGGCTAGGGTGCGTGGTTTGAATGTCAAGGGCGTTCTTGGGCTTGCTGCAAACCTCATTCTGATTCTTCCATTTTTTAACTGTTGAACTGAAGTCTATTTCTCTGCAGGGTTAAGTTATTCCAGACCAAGGAGAGAATGATTCGCTCTTGCCACCCTCCTCAGATGTGGAGCCACCGGGCAGATGGTTGGCACTGTGCACATGGCACTTGCATACACACACACACACATGCACACACGCACACACACTCACACACACCTCAACTAATGTAAAGGTCCCAACATAAACATTAGTTCTCACAAGTGCTCCAAGGATTTTAAAGGCTTTGGTGCTGCAAAAGATATTGAGTCAGCTTGTGACAGCTACAATCCTGCTCCTGTTTCAGGTTTAAGAAAAAAAGAAAGAAAGAAAAAAGGAAACCATACTCATTTCTTCCTTCCACAGCTCAGTGAAATTCCAAAAAATTAGTAAGAATCCCTTAGCTTGCCTCATTGGTAGAAATGTCTGGTTGGGACATTCCTTTGGCCACTTTCGCTGAAAACTGCATACCTCTGGGACTAAAGCATCCCCACTCCAGTCTCCTGTCTCAAAACTGACTGAGAATTGTCTACAAAGATAGGAGGACTCTGTGCAAAAACCCCCCGGAGAAAACAACACAAAACCACACCTGACCCTGCATAGAGCTTGTATTTCCAGAGAGAAAACACAGTCTCTGAGATAGTATTAGGTTGGTGCAAAAGTAATTGCGTTTTTTATAATTACTTTTAATGGCAAGTTAATATTTTTTAGCATCCCTCAGGGCCTCTTTTTATTTTCCCTGCTGAGCAGGTAACCACCTAAGGAGTGTTTGTCCCTGTTTCCATCATAGTCAAGGAAATGTGGGACATTCTTTTGCCTGTGAAATGGGAAAGTTGTCACTGCGATACAGTGTTAAGTTTCTCCGAGAGCCCATCTTTGCAAGTGAAGAGGCCTTCCTTATAGGAAATAGAAATGCTGACCAGGCCTTTTCTATCTAGGACACTTGTGCTCCTGGTCATTTTACTACAGCAGTTTGTGTTTAATTTGTTGTTTTATTTGGCAATAAGCAAGCAAGGAAAACAAGGGTATTAATAATGATAATCGTCATTTGAACTTCCTGGGTACAACATGTACTTGTACCCAAGTGCTGAATACAATTTTTAAAAAGGATTATTTGTATGTGTGCACAAATGAGACTAAAAATTGCCATGAACTTAAATCATTCATTCTCCTTTGTCCCAGAAAAACACATTTTTGTCTCCGTGGCATTTGAATCAACTTTTCTTTCCTTTCCTAATTTTAGCATTTGAAAAGATTTTATGTCATGAAACGACTTTATTTATGTATTCTGCAACCCTTGCCACAAAGCCTTAGGGTGTACCAATTAAAAACATGAGTTTTACCCAGCAAAGAACTGAAGCAATTTGATGATTTTTCATCGATGAAACAGTTTCCATTAGCAAGCTCCTTGCAAAATGATAGTTCTATTTGGCGACTCAAATGCCATAAATCTGGTTGTCTTTCTGGTTTTGCGGCGAATCCCGCCTGCCTGCCGTGGTCTCTGTTGTTGATTTAGGATTTTGGCTTGGCGACCCTTTGTTCTTCCCTCTCATCCCTCCTTTGTTAGAAAGGTGGAAAATCAGCAAGGGCTGTAAGCGCTGAGAAAACAGGGAGTCTCCTAGCAGGAGTCTCTTGAGTGTAGTTACCATTTATGGATTATGATCTAATAATTCAAATTCCAGGGCAACAGAAGACCATTGCAGAAGTTTTCTTGGCATATTAAAATCTGCCCGCAAGAGAGTTTACCAGAAAAGGAATCTCTGAGGTGAGGACCTGACGTCCACATCTTTGCGTTGGATGGCCAAAATTTCTGAGAAACACTAAGCTGTGAGGTCTTCTGAGAAATAAGCTGATGTCACAGGGTTGGACGGACCTGTTGCCACAAGATGCTAATGCTCTGGAAACCTGCCAAATGTATTGCCTGTTTAAAATGTACTCCATAGAACTACCATTTGATCCAGCAATCCCACTACTGGGTATCTACCCAGAGGAAAAGAAGTCATTATACGAAAAAGATACTTGCAGCTGGGAGTGGTGGCTCACACCTGTAATCCCAGAACTTTGGGAGGCTGAGGTGGGCAGATCACCTGAGGTCAGGAGTTTGAGACCAGCCTAGCCAATATGGTGAAACCCTGTCTCTACTAAAAATACAAAAATTAGCTGGGTGTGGTGGCGGGCATCTGTAATCCCAGCTACTCAGGAGGCTGAGGCAGGAGAATTGCTTGAACCCAGGAAGCAGAAGTTGCAGCGAGCCGAGATTGCACCATTGCACTCCAGCTCTGGGCAACAGAACAAGACTCCATCTCAGAAAAAAATAAAAAAAGAAAAAGAAAAAGATATTTGCACACACATATTTATAGCAGCACAATTTGCAATTGCAAAATTGTGGAATCAACCCAAATGCCCATCAATCAATGAGTGGATAAAGAAACTGTGAGATATGTGTGTATTTTTATATATATATCATATATATGTTATATATATGATATATATATTATATATATATCATATATATAACATATATATGATATATATTATATATATCTATATATATAATGGAATACTACTCAGCCATAAAAAAGAATTAATTAAGGGCATTTGCAGTGACCTGGATGAGACTGGAGACTATTATTCTAAGAGAAGTAACTCAGGAATGGAAAACCAAATATCGTATGCTCTCATTGATATGTAAGAGCTAAGCTATGAGGATGCAAAGGCATAAGAATGATACAATGGACTTTGGGGACTTAGGGGGAAGGGTGGGAAAGGGGCGAGGGATAAAAGACTACAAACTGGGTGCGGTGTATACTGCTCAGGTGATGAGTGCACCAAAATCTCACAAATCACCACTAAGGAACTTATGTAACCAAACAGCATCTGTACCCCATTAACCTATGGAAAAATTAAAGTAAAAAATACATAAATAAAATGGACTCCAGAGAGAAGTTGGTTAAGGGGTATAAAAATACAAGTGGATAGAAGGAATAAGTTCTAGGCCGGGCACAGTGGCTCATGCCTGTAATCCGAGGACTTTGGGAGGCCGAGGCGAGCGAATCACAAGGTCAGAAGTTCGAGACCAGCCTGGCCAGCATGGTGAAACCCCATCTCTACTAAAAACACAAAAAATTAGCTAGGCGTAGTGGTGGGCGCCTGTAATTCCAGTTACTCGGGAGGCTGAGGCAGGAGAATCACTTGAGCCCAGGAAGCAGAGGTTGCAGTGAGCCAAGATTGTGCCACTGCACTCCAGCCTGGGTGACAGAGCAGGGCTTCATCTCAAAAAAAAAAGTATTGTTTTATAATGTGTTATAAATTGACTTGCTTACTATAAACAATTTACATACAGAAGTGAATAAAGGAGAAACTAGCATTTCAAATAATCCCAATCCTACAGCTAACTATTGTGAAAAACTTGATATATATGTGTACATATATGACATATAGTATCTAATATATATCTATTACATTTTATCTATTATTTATTATATATACTGATTTGGCTTTTTTTTTTTAACCAAATGGCTTACACTCTACATTCTACTCTGTAATTTGCCTTTTTTCCCACATAACAAAACGGCCAGACATCTTTCAAAGTCCAGATACGTATATCTACTCTATTTGGTTTTGGGTTTTTGTTTTGTTTTGTTTTGTTTTTTGAGACAACAGGGTCTCCCTCTGTCACCCAGGCTGGGGTGCAGTGGCGCAATCTTGGCTCACTACAACCTCTGCCTCCTGAGTTCAAGCAATTCTTCCATCCCAGCCTCCAAAGTAGCTGTGACTGCAGGTGTGTGCCACCATGCCTGAATTTTTTGGTAGAGATGGAATCTCACCATGTTGGCCAGGCTGGTCTCGACCTCCTAACCTCAAGTGATTCACCCGCCTCGGCCTCCCAAAGTGCTGGGATTACAGGCGTGAGCCACCATGCCTGACCTATCTACTCCATTTGTAAAATGACTACATAGTATTCCATTGCATGGGTATACCATACTTTTCCATCTAATTCCTACTGGTGAAGATTTGTGGTTTCTAATTTTTTGCCCTTATAAATAATGCAATGGGCATCCTTGCATATGTATCTTTGCACACCTGTTTGGGAAGTAGAACTGTTGGATCAAAGGATATTGTGTATACATGTTTAAATATAATCATACTAGTGCCTGTAATCCCAGCACTTTTGGGAGGCCAAGGTGGGAGAATCACTTGAGGCTAATAATTTGAGATCAGCCAGGCAACATCATAGAAAGACGCTGTCTCTACAGAAAGTTAGTCGAGCATGGTGGAGCATGCCTGTGGTCCCAGCTACTCGAGAGACTGAGGCAGGAGGATCATTTGAGCCCAGGGGTTCAAGGTTACAGTGAGCTGGGATCGTGCCACTGTACTCCAGCCTGTGTGACAGAGCAAAACCCTGTCTCTTAAAAATGAAAAATAAGCCAGGTGCGGTGGCTGAAGCCTGTAATCCCAGCACTTTGGGAGACCGAGGTGGGAGGATCACGAGGTCAGGAGATCGAGGCCATCCTGGCTAACACGGTGAAACCCCGTCTTTATTAAAAATACAGAAAACATCAGCCGGGCGTGGTGGCAGGCACCTGTAGTCTCAGCTACTCAGGAAGCTGAGGCAGGAGAATGGTGTGAACCAGAGAGGCAGAGGTTGCAGTGAGCCGAGATCACGCCACTGCACTCCAGCCTGGGCAACAGAGCCAGATTCAGTCTCAAAAAATAAAAAAATAAAAGATTATAAGTATATCATATGCAATTGTGCCCTCCACTTCAGCTAAATATATCATTTCGTGATATTACATGAACTTTGTAAGTATCATTTTAATGGCTGCATAATATCCCATTCAGTGAATTAATGCTTCTAAGTCACATGAATATGACTAATCAAGTCATTAGAACTTTTTTTTTTTGAGACGGAGTCTCGCTCTGTCACCCAGGCTGAAGTGCAGTGACACAATCTCAGCTCACTGCAACCTCTGCCTCCCAGGTTCAAGCGGTTCTCCTGCCTGCCTCCTGAGTAGCTGGGACTACAGGCGCCTGCCACCAAGCCTGGCTAATTTTTTGTATTTTTAGTAGAGGCGGGATTTCACCATGTTAGGCAGGATGGTCTCGATCTCCTGACATTGTGATCCGCCCGCCTCAGCCTCCCAAAGTGCTGGGATTACAGGCGTGAGCCACCACACCCAGCCAAGTCATTAGAACTTTACTAATCCTGCAAACAGTATACATGAGACGCTTATCCCTCACTGTTTTTAACTGGTAAAACTAGTGGCTGTGTTAAAGCCACAAAACACTAGTGGCCTTAAACACATCCTGAGTGGGACTCAATGTGGCTAAAAAATGTGTCTTGCTGGAGACAAATATCTAAGTGATTTTAAATATTGCAAAATATTTGTAAAGATAGAATAAAGATCAAAAAGGTAAAAGTAGATGAAAGGGTCACATTCCATAATTTTACCAAGAAAATAAACCAATATTTCAAAGATGAAAAATTATTTCTTGATAGCAAATTCAAATCACTTAAGCTGTATATTTCAGTGGAAAATATTTTTTAAAAAACAGCCATGTCAGACCAACAGGAGGTTTCTGACTAAAATAGTTCATTAGCAGATCAGGAAACCACAGTGTTTTCTGATCACAATGTTTGCTGATCTAGTTTCTCATCCCTTTGTTTATGCATACATTGTTCCTGGAGACATGTCTGATGACAGCTGTAAGACCATCATCATAAAAAAAAAACCTGTAGTTAAAATGCAGACTAATGAGCCTGTTTCAACATGTCTCCAAGCTGCATTAAATCACAGCTTGATCAAGAATCCAC
Organism: Homo sapiens; assembly: GCF_000001405.40. NCBI lineage: Eukaryota > Metazoa > Chordata > Mammalia > Primates > Hominidae > Homo > Homo sapiens. Next base: position 55,564,849 of record NC_000005.10, on the reverse strand, counting down.
TTCTGGGCTAGGCGTGGTGGCTCATCCTATAATCCTAGCACTTTGGGAGGCCCAGGGGGGCGGATCAGTTGAAGTCAGAAGTTCAAGACCAGCCTGGCCAATATGGAGAAACCCCGTCTCAACTAAAAAATACAAAAATTAGGCCAGGCACAGTGGCCCACACCTGTAATCCCAGCACTTTGAGAGACCGAGGTGGGCGGATCACTTGAGGTCAGGAGTTCCAGACCAGCCTGGCCAACACGGTGAAACCCCGTCTCTACTAAAAATACAAAAAATTGGCTGGGAATGGTGGCTAATGCTTGTAATCCCAGCTACTCAGAAGGCTGAGGCAGGATAATCACTTGAACCCAGGAGGTGGAGGTTGCAGTGAGCTGAGATCGTGCCATTGCACTCCAGCCTGGGCAACAAGAGCGAAATTCCATCTCAAAAACAAACAAACGAAAAAAACAAAAAAACAGCTGGGTGTGGTGGCATGCACCTGTAATCCCAGCTACTCAGGAGGCTGAGGCTTGAGAATCACTGAAGCCTGAGAGACGGAGGTTGCAGTGAGTTGAAATCGCGCCACTGCACCTCAGCCTGGGCAGAGCGAGACTATGTCGAAAAGAAAAGAAAAAAAGAAGAATCTGCTTCTATCTAGGTGCAATGGCTCAGCCTGTAATCCTAGCACTTTAGAAGGCTGAGATGGGAGGATCACTTGAGTCCAGGAGTTCAAAACAAGCCTGGGTAACATAGCAAAACCCTGTCCTACTAAAAATAATTTTTAAAAAATGAGCCTGGCCTGGTGGCACATGCCTGTAGTCCCAGCTATTTGGGAGGCTGAGGCAGGAGGATTGCTTAAGCCCAGGAGGTTGAGGCTGCAGTGAGCCATGATTGTGCCATTGCACTCCAGCCTGGATGACAGAGTGAGACCCTGTCTCAAAAACAACAACAAAAACAACAACAACAAAATCTCCTTCCTAGAAACATCAAACATATTAGACCCTACAATTTGGAAGGTTGTTTTTTGCTTGTTTGTTTTTTTTTGTTGTTGTTTTTGGTTTTGTTTTTGAGACGGAGTTTCGCTTTGTTGCCCAGGCTGGAGTGCAATGCTTGAGTCACTGCAACCTCCGCCTTTCCGGTTCAAGTGATTCTCCTGCCTCAGCCTCCCAAGTAGCTGGGATTACAGGCATGTGCCACCATGCCCAGCTAATTTTGTATTTGTAATAGAGATGGGGTTTCACCATGTTGGTCAGGCTGGTCTTGAACTCCTGACCTCAGGTGATGCGCCCACCTCGGCCTCTCAAAGTGCTGGGATTACAGGCGTGAGCCACCATGCCCAGCCCATGGAAGTTTTTATTAATTTGCTCTACGTAAGGCATTGCCCAGAATATGGGATTGTAAAAAATGAAAAAGTGGAACCCTTTATTCAAATAAAGTTGTATATAGAAACCTAATATGTAAAACACTAAAGAAAAATCTGCTTTGCTTCAAGCCAGATCAGGGCTCAGAGCCCCATTACTTCAGCCCTATCTTTTCCTCTGTACAGATGCTCCTTGATTTATGATGAGTTTATGTTCCAATAAATCATAAATTGAAAATATCATATGTCAAAAATGTATTTAATACATCTAACCCACTGAACATCATAGCTTAGCCTGGGCTGCCTTAAATGTGCTCAGAACACTTACATTAACCTGTAGGCAAACCCATCTAACACAAAGCCTACTTTTTAATAAAGTGTTAAATATTTCATGTAATTTATTGAATACTGAGCTCAAAAAACAGAATGGTTGTACATGGGCACTCACCATTAACGTACACAGCCGAAAGCATACGGAGCCTGAAGAATGTTTAAAGCATTGAACTAACATGAATTGCTGCGTGATGAAGATGCTGCAGTGGCAGGGTCATCAATTTATCTCTCTTCTGATAAGGCTGGAAAATAGGCACTTGGGTATCCACACAGTACACTGTAGAGTTTGGGTTGTTTATCCTCCTGGTCGCATGGCTGACTGGGAGCTACATCTTGCTGCAGCTGCCCATAGTCTTTTTTTGTTGTTTTTATTTTATTTTTATTTATTTATTTATTTTGAGACGGAGTTTTGCTCTTGTTGACCAGGCTGGAGTGCAATGGCACATTCTCAGCCACAGTAACCTCCGCCTGCCCGGTTCAAGTGATTATCTCGCCTCAGCCTACTGAGTAGCTGGGATTACAGGCGCCCGCCACCACGCCCACCTAATTTTTGTATTTTTAGTAGATACATGGTTTCACCATGTGGGCCAGTCTGGTCTCAAACTCCTGACCTCTGGTGATCCGCCAGTCTCGGACTCCCAAAGTGCTGGGATTACAGGTGTGAGCCACCATGACTGGCTGTTTTTGTTTTTAAATGAGACAGATCACCCAGGCTGTTACCCAGGCTGCAGTGCAGTGGCGCGATCACAGCTCACTGCAGCCTTGACCTCCCGGGTTCAAGCGATCCTCCCACCTTAGCCCCCCAAGTGGCTGTGACTACAGGCACATGCCACCACACCAAGCTAATTTTTGTATTTTTAGTAAAGGTGGGGTTTTGCCATGTTTCCCAGGCTGGTCTTGAACTCCTGGACTCAAGCCATCCACCTGCCTTGGCCTTCGAAAGTGCTAGGATTACCAGGAATGAGCCACCACACCCGGCCACAGTAAGTGTTTTTTTTAATTTTAATTTTTTTTTTTATAGAGATGGGGTTATGTTGCCCAAGCTGGACTTGAACTCCTGGCCTCAAGTAATCCTCCCACTTCAGCCTCCCAAAGTGCTGGCATTACAGGTGTGAGCTACTGCACCTAGGTGAGAGTCTTTTTTAATGCCAAGCTTAACTAAATTTAAACCAGAACAATTGTACAGTATATTCACAAATATCATTAGACATTATGCAGTTAGTAAAAATGATATTGAAATTAATCCATCAGGTGGATTTTAGCAATAATGTAAATATAAAGTTCCATCTATTTTCATATATTAAATATTGTGTGTTTATGTGGAGACCACCCTTATTCTACAATCCAGTCAGGGATAGTAGGTTTCATTCTGGTAGGATGAAAGAAGACTTGGGAGATTCAGAAATTTGGAAATAGAGTAGCTCCATGTTTAAGAATTGCCTTAAAAAATGAGTCCAAAGACTACCTACAAAAGAATCACCTTGAGATGTTAAAAATATAGGTTTCTCTACTTCCTCTCCAAAGACTCCCATTCAGTGTCTGGAGAGAAGCCTGGGAATCAGTGCTTTTTCAAATGGTCTCCAGGTGATTCCAGTGTGCACTCAGGCAAGAAGGTGGCAATAAGGAGTTTCAGCAAGAGATAATAGGGAATTTTGGTAGGCTCCTATGAAAAGCTCAGCTGCAAGAAAGCCAGAAAACAGGTCAGCATGTGGCATCCGAGAAGTGTCATACCAGTGCTATACCAGTCCTGGGTTACTTGTTGTTAGATTTATTCTCCAGTTCTTTCCCTGTCCAGCTCAGTGTATCAGGGGTGTCCTGACTCCTGCAGGCTGTTTCCTAGGTCCCTTTATAGACTGACTTCCAGCTGGGATTGGCTAGTGAGAGGTACTGATCTGAGTTTGGAAAGCAGAAGGGAGAAGCCAGGGTATTTCTCCCTTTTCTCTATCTTATTCTCTATCTTAGACACCTTCTTTGGCTGCAATTGTGTCTTCTTCATGGTTCCAGCTTTCATCAGATAGGCCCACTATGGTTCTTGGTCCCACTAGCTGACCACAGCTCCTGGGCTCTAATTACATCTTTTTCCATCCCTCCAGCCTAGATGTGGAAATGCCTTCCTATTGGTGCCAATATCTGGGATACTTTAACATCCCCTATTGGCTTCTCAGCTACTCTATCACCCATGTCACCAATTCCCCTCATTAAATTTTCTCTATTCTAAATACTCAGAACAGTGTCTGTTTTCCTCCTTGCATGTTGGCTGATGCAGGCCCCAGCCACAGGGTTAGCTAGGGTTCAGAACCAGGTCTCCAGTCAGTCCTGGGATAGGTGGAACTGGCAGGAGCAAGGCAGGGAGGGTGCCAGTCATGGGGTGGGGTCCTTGGGTGTATAATTCAGGACTCTCCAGCTGTGTGATGAAGCTTGGTGCCTCACCATAGGCTATATCTGTGGTTTTCAAAAAAGGTCACAGGCATATAACGTCTTCTGGAAGCCTTACTACTGGAGTGTGTAGCACATAGTAGCTGCCTAATAAATATTTATTTATTAGATGCTTGTAGCTGGCAAGGGAAACCATTTGATCAGATTTAGGGAAAGAATTTGAAAGAGATTCTTTTCACATATTCTGCAAATGCTTCTGGCATGAAAAAGACATAAAAGATTATTTTTCTAAAGCTATTTATTTTTATTTTTCAGCTCCCAGAAATGTTTTTTTGAGCTGAACAATATCTTCTTGGAATCAAGTGACAGTTTTTTAAAACTAGAAAATGAGGCCTATGAACTAAGGATTTATTGTTATCTACCTGGCAATGAATATTAGTCCATAGCTTATTTTTGCAACAAATATATGTTAAATGAGATAAGTAATATCAGATAATGGTTACATTCGATTTCTACCACAGTTTTGCAGTAAAATGTTATCATTTCTAGGGAAGTAAAAGCTTAGTTGACCGTGAGAACAATTAAGGCTCAGGAAACAGCAAAATGCATTGATATTAACAAGTTAATTTTGTTTTAATTTTATTTATTTATCTATTTTTTTTTTGAGACAGGATCTTTTTTTTTTTTTTTTTTTTTTTTTTTGAGACGGAGTCTCGCTCTGTCGCCCAGGCCGGACTGCGGACTGCAGTGGCGCAATCTCGGCTCACTGCAAGCTCCGCTTCCCGGGTTCACGCCATTCTCCTGCCTCAGCCTCCCGAGTAGCTGGGACTACAGGCGCCCGCCACCGCGCCCGGCTAATTTTTTGTATTTTTAGTAGAGACGGGGTTTCACCTTGTTAGCCAGGATGGTCTCGATCTCCTGACCTCATGATCCACCCGCCTCGGCCTCCCAAAGTGCTGGGATTACAGGCGTGAGCCACCGCGCCCGGCCGAGACAGGATCTTGCTCTGTCACCCGTGCTGGAGTTCAGCGGCACAATCACGAGTCACTGCATCCTCTACCTCCTGGGCTCAGGCAATCCTCCCACCTCAGCCTCCGGCGTAGCTGGGCCTACAGGTGCATACCACCATGTCCAGCTAATTTTTGTATTTTTTGTAGAGACTGGGTTTTGCCATGTTGCCCAGGGTGGTCTTGAACTCCTAGGCTCAAGTGATCCTCCCACCTTGGCCTCCCAAAGTGTTGTGGTTACAGGCATAAGCCCCTGGGTCTGGCTACCATCGCCATTTTAATGCCCATGTTTACCCAATGTTTAGTTCCCACTTAAAAGTGAGAACATGTGGTATTTGGTTTTCTGTTCCTGCGTTAATTCACTTAGAATAATGGCTTTCAGCTTCATCCACGTTCCTGCAAAGGACATGATTTCCTTCTTTTTATGGTTGCATAGTATTCCATGGTGTATATGTGCCACATTTTCTTTATCCAATCCACTGTTGAAGGCAACTAGGTTGACTCCATGTCTTTGCTATCATGAATAGTGCTGTGATGAGCATATGAGAGTATACATCTTTTTTGTTTGTTTTTGGTTTTTGTTTTTTTTGATTTTTTTTTTTTCAGATGGAGTTTCACTCTTTTTGCCCAGGCTGGAGTGCAATGGTGCAATCTTGGTTCACTGCAACCTCCACCTCCCAAGTTCAAGTGATTCTCCTACCTCAGCCTCCCGAGTAGCTGGGATTACAGGCACCTGCCACCATGTCCAGCTAATTTTGTATTTTTAGTAGAGACGGGGTTTCACCATATTGGCCAGGCTGGTCTCGAACTCCTGACCTCAGGTGATCCATTCACCTCAGCCTCCCAAAGTGCCGGGATTACAGTTGTGAGCCAATGTGCCTGGCCGAGTGTATATGTCTTTCTGGTAGAACAATTTGTTTTCTTTTGGATACATACCCAGTAACGAGATTGCTGGATCTAATGGTAGTTCCATTTTAAGTTCTTTAAGAAATCTCCAAACTGCTTTCCACGGTGGCTAAACTAATTTACACTTCCATCAACAGTATGTAAGTGTTCCCTTTTCTCTACAGCCTCACCAGCATCTGTGGTTTTCTGACTTTCTAATAATGGCCATTCTGACTGGTGTGAGATGGTATCTCACTGTGGTTTTGATTTGCATTTCTCTAATAATTACTGATGTTGAGCATTCTTTTCATATGTTCATTGGCCACTTGTATGTCTTCTTTTGAGAAATGTCTTTTGACCACTTTTTAATGGGATTGTTTTTTCTTTCCACTTCTATAAATTTTATAATTAGAAAACTTAGAAAGGCCAGAAAAATGAAAATTTAATATACATTAACTAGAGAAAATCAGTAGCATACGTGTGTGCTAGCAACAACTCATTGGAAAATAGAAGTTTTTTTTTAATATATAGTTCCAAACCCTATATATAAATAGGATATAAATAGGATTTGGAACTTCTCCGAGTACTCTTTTTTTTTTTTTTTTTTTTCTGAGACAGAGTCTAGCTCTGTTGCCAGGCTGCAGTGCAGTGGCGCGATCTCGGCTCACTGCAACCTCCACCTCCCGGGTTCAAGCGGGCCTCAGAAATAATACCACAAAGTATATATACTTTTGAGGCCTCTGTTCTGTTCCATTGGTGTATATATCTGTTTTGGTACCAGTACCATGCTGTTTTGGTTACTGTAGCCTTGTAGTATAGTTTGAAGTCAGGTAGGGTGATGCCTCCAGCTTTGTTTTTTTTTTTTTTTTTTTGCTTAGGATTGTCTTGGTCGAGCTCTTTCTTGGTTCTATATAAATTTAAAGTAGTTTTTTCTAATTCTGTAAGGAAAGTCAATGTTAGCTTGATAGGGATAGCATTGAATCTATAAATTACTTTGGGCAGTATGGCCATTTTCACCATATTGATTCTTCCTATTCATGAGCATGGAATGTTTTTTCTTTTGTTTGTGTCCTCTCTTATTTCCTTGAGCAATGGTTTGTAGTTCTCCTTGAAGAGGTCCTTCACATCCCTTGTAAGTTGTATTCCTAGGCATTTTATTCTAAAAAAGAAAAATCCTCTAAGAAAAAGACAAACAACTAAATAGAAAAATGCACAGAACAGTTGAACAGATATGGCATAAAAGAGGTTATCCAAGTGGCTAATACAGTAAAAGATGCTCAGCTTCATTAGTTATTAGGGAAATGCAAACCAGAGCCATAATTAAATACCTCTAAATATCCACCAGAATGTCTATAGAGAAAAAGTACTGGTGACGATGTGGAGTAACTGCAATCCTCATACATTGCTGGTAGGAGTGGTACAAACAAAATTGTTTGGTAATATCCAGTAAAGGTGAACATATCCACACTTTATGACCCAGAAATACCACTTCCAAATGTAATCCAATAGAAATGTGTTCATACGTTCACCAAAAGACATGGACAACAATGTGTATAGCAGCACAATGCATAATTGCCTCAAACTTGGAGACTATCCAAGTGTCCATAAAAAACAGAATGGGGCTGGGCACAGTGGCTCACACCTGTAATCCTAGCACCTTCGGAGGCCACGGTGGGAGGATTGCTTGAGCCCAGGAGTTTGAGACCAGCCTGGGAAACATGGAGAAATCTCATCTGTACAAAAAATACAAAAATTAGCTAATTGCAGTAATGTGCACCTGTAGTCACGGCTGCTTGGGAGGCTGAGGTGGAAGGATCGTGAGGCAGAGGTTGTAGTGAGCTGACATTGTCCCACTGTACTGCAGCCTGGGTGACAGAGCAAGACCCTGTCTCAAAAAACAAATCAAACCAAAAAAAAAAAAAAAAAAACAAAAATAGATGAATAAATTGTGGTATTTTCATAAGATATAGAAAACTCTACAACAATGAGAATAAATAATTTACAGCTACTTGCAATAAATCAATGGATCTCACAAAAGTGATGTTGAGTGAAAGAAGTATGTACTGTATAATTCCATTGATATTTAGACATTTCAGCTGAGCCTAGTGGCTCACACTTTAAACCTAGCAATTTGGGAGGCTGAGACAGGAGGATCACTTGAGCCCAGGAGTTCGAGGTTATGGTGAGCTATGATTGCGCCACTGCACTCCAGCCTGGGTGACAGAGCAAGACCCTGTCTCTTAAAGAAAAAAAAAATTAAAGACAATCCATCGATATTGAGTACATAGTGTATAATTCCATTAGTAATTTGAGATGTATATAAAATTGATTTATATGTTGTGCTTTACAGTGTTCTAATGGGCTTTCTAAACAACTGTATGTTTAAATTTAGATGGCTTATATGTCTATAACACCAGCAGCTAAGTAAGCATCAAATTTGTCATTGTATTTCCCTCCTTAAACAAACCTGCGGTAAGCAGAATAATGGTCCCCCAAAGACATCTATGTCCTAATTACTAGAACCTGTGAATATGTTACTCTGTAGGGAAAGGGACTTTTCAGATGTGATTAAATTAAGGGCCTTGAGAAGGGGAAATTATGCTGGGATATCGGGGTGAGTCCTATCCAAAATCATATGCATCCTTAAAATTGGAGAACCTCTCCTAATGTGGTAGGAGGGAGATGTGACTATGGAAGAATAGTTAGAGAAATGCCACATTGCTGGCTTTGAAGATGGAAGAGAGAATAATGAGCCATGGAATGAGGGCAGCCTTTGAAGTTAGAGAAGGCAAAGAAACAGATTCTCCCCTAGATCCTCCTAAAAGGAACGCAATCCTGCCAACGCCTTGATTTAAGCCCAGTGGAAAACATATGGGATGTCTGATTTACAGAACTGTAAGATAATGAATTTGTATTTTTTTGGGCAGTGGGGAGGGCAGGGTCTCACTCTGTCACCCAGGCTGAAGTACAGTGGCAAGATCATGGCAGCCTCAACCTTCTGTGCTTAGGCAATCCTCCTGCCTCAGTATCCCAAGTAGCTGGAACCACAGGTACGTGCCACAATGCTTGGCTAATTTTTTTAATTATTATTTGTACAGATGGGGTCTCCCTATGTTGCCCAGGCTGGTCTTGAACTCCTAGGCTCAAGTGATCCTCCCACCTTGGCCTCCTAGAGTGTTGGGATTTCAGGTGTCAGCTAGCACACCCAGACAATTTGTATTGTTTTTGAAATACCAAGTTGGTGGTAATTCGTTGTAGCAGCAATAGAACACTGATATAACTTTCTTCTCCTGATTTTTAGTTGGAAAGGCAACATTTTAAAAAAATCTCATGCTTTCATCTCTCATGAGTTCCCACTGTCAGTAGCAGCAGCAATGATCCTATAATGCAGGAAGTTTGGCAAGATTGAGAGTTATGAACTGTATAGAATAAATCAGATACGCAAGGAGAAAAGGACACAAAGGGCTTGTCTTCAGTTCAACCCCAGTTCAACTGTCACTGGGGGTTCTGTTATGAAAACAAGCGCTGTTTCTGCAAGGTGCAGACAGGGCAATACTCCTATATAAATCTGCTCTTGATTTAACAACAAAAATACCTTCATAAATAAGGAAATCGTTCCAGTAAGTATTTGGCATGCCAATGATACTAAAAATCCATTAATGCATCTGAGAAGTGATTATACCTCCCTGAATTGGGGCCAACAAGATGATTCTTTGAGGTCTCCAACAAGAGAATAATATAACCAAGCAGAGAACTTGGCTGTTTAATTAGCAAGCCTGAAAAATAATGACTTGTGAGTGTGCCAACCAATGCTGACCTACTCTCTCCACCCACATTCTCTGATAGAGACTTTGATGTTTTTCCTCCAAGAGTTTTTTAAAGTGTTATGAAAACACAGCTTCAATACAAGTTTCCTAACCTACACCTACACCCTATACAGGAATTCTGGAACCATCACTTGAACTATCATTTCACACAGAGCATTGACGCGTCATTAATTGTGAATACTTGCCAATTTTCATTGTAAATTGTTTGGCATTATTTTGTAAAGGAGAACATATGCATATCCATATTCCTATGGCTGCTGTAACAAAACACCATGGATTTGAAACAAGAGATATTTATTCTCTCACAGTTCTGGAGTCCAGAAATCCTAAGTCAGTTTCACTGGGCTGAAATTAATGTGCTGGCAGGGCACTTTGTTTTCTGCTCTTCTGTTTGGAGTCAAATCTCCCTCTGCCTCCCACTTATAAGGACACTTGTGATTGTAATTAGGGACCACCCAGATAATCCAGGATAATCTTCCTATCCCAGGACCCTTCACTTGATCACATCTTCAAAGACTCTTTTCCCATATAACAGTCATAGGTTTGAGAATTGGAATGTGGACAAGGCTAATATGCATGTGCTTCTTTTTTTTTTTTTCGAGTCGGAGTCTCGCTTCGTCGCCAGGCTGGAGTGCAGTGGCGCAATCTTGGCTCACTGCAACCTCTGCCTTCCGGGTTCAAGCAATTCTCCTGCCTCAGCCTCCCGAGGAGCTGGGATTACAGGCATCTGCCACCACACTTGGCTAATTTTTTTTTGTATTTTTAGTAGAGATGTGTTTCACCATATTGGCCAGGCTGGTCTCGAACTCCTGACCTCAGGTGATCCACCTGCCTGGGCCTCCCAAAGTGGTGGGATTACAGGAATGAGCCACCACACCTGGCCATACCTTCAAACTTCTAAATAAAGACCAAAATACTTCTAATATTAAACAATGAAATAAATGTGAGCTATGCATACATTTAAGAAAGATTCATAAAAATGAGATTAATGATTTACCCAATTTTTGTTGTTTTTCAGACGGGGTCTCACTCTGTCCCTCAGGCTGGAGTGCAGTGGTGCAAGCATAGCTCACTGCAGCCTTGACCTCTCTGGGCTCAGGTGATCCTCTCACCTCAGACTCCCCAGTAGCTGGGACTACAGGTGCACACCACCACACCCAGCTAATTTTTTGTATTTTTTTGTAGAGACAATGTTTTGCCATGTTGCCCAGGCTGGTCTAAAACTCCTGGGCTGAAGCGATCTGCCTGCCTTGGCCTCCCAAAGTCTCTGGATTACAGGTATAAGCCACTGCACCCAGCCTACCCAATTTTTGGGGAATCAATGAGTGAAGGTTGTTGTAGTAGTGTTGGGTTAAATTAAGGAAGAAATGTTTGCAAAATGAAAAACGTAAGCAACAGCTCTTACCACCATGCAGTTAAAACACACACACACACACACACACACCACACACAAATACAATGGGTCGGCTGAGCGCTTTCAGATCATCTACTGTTGTGTATTTGTATGATTATCATAGACTCATCAGTTTTTAGTTTATAATAATTTGTATTTATTTATTTCGATTTTCCAGCCCATTTATTCCAGTTCAGGGTTAGTGCCTATCTTGTCAGTTCAGGGTGCAAGGCAGGAAGCAGCCCTAGACAGGATGCCATCCCATCACAGGGCACATTCATACGCACACCCAAACTCACTCAGACCAGGACCACGTAGAGACATGCTCCTTCACCTCATGCGGACATTTTTGGGATATGGGAGGAAACTGGAGCCCCAGAGAAAACCCAGGCATATATGGGGAGAACGTGCAAACTCCACACAGGCAGTGGCCCCAGCTGGGTGTCAATTTTTTTTTTTCTCATCAACATTATAATGGAATGAGGTTCTTCAAGGATCTGCTGTATGAGACTAACCCAGAGTCATTTTTCAAATTACTAGATTTAATGAATCAGAATTTCTAAGAAATATGCTGGATAATCTACATACTTAACAAGCATCCCAGGTGATTTTTCTCATTAGGGAGATTTGGGAAATTTCTAGATGAGTGCTTCTCTAGAGTTAATGTGCATAGGAATTACCTGGGATCTTGTTTAAAATGCAGTTTTAGGGCTGGGCGCGGTGGCTCACACCTGTAATCCCAGCACTTTGGGAGGCCGAGGCGGGCGGATCACCTGAGGTCAGGATTTCGAGACCAGCCTGGCCAACATGGTGAAACCCAGTCTCTACTAAAAATACAAAAATTAGCTGGGCATGGTGGCGCATGCCTGTAATCCCAGCTACTAGGGAGGCTGAAGCAGGAAAATCGCTTGAACCCAGGAGGCAGAGGTTGCAGTGAGCCGAGATCGCGCTATTGCACTCCAGCCTGGACAACAGAAGCAAAACTCTGTCTCAAACAAACAAACAAACGAACAAACAAAAAACAGCAAAAGCGGAGGGTGCTAGAAGTAGGGGGCCTAGAAACAAAATTCCCGGGGCTCCCTCCGGGGCCGCGGTCTGGGCTGCGCATTTGGCTGCCGCGCTCCTCGCGAAGGCAGTGGCTTCCAAACTCCTGCGCGCGGTCATCCTCAGACCCCCCTGCTCGGGCAAGGGCACCGAGTGCCAGAGCATCGCCCAGAACTTTGGCTTCCAGGATTTCTCCAGTGGGCACTTCTTGTGGGAGAACATCAAGGCCAAAACCGAAGTTGGTGAGATGGCAAAACAGTATATAGAGAAAAGTCTTTTGCTTCCAGACCATGTGATCACACGCCTAATGATGTCTGAGTTGGAGAATAGCCGTGGCCAGCACTGGCTCCTCGATGGTTTTCCTAGGACATTACGACAAGCCGAAGCCCTGGACAAAAATCTGTGAACTGGATTTAGTAATTAGTTTGAAGATTCCATTTGAAACACTTAAAGATCGTCTCGGCTGCTGTTGGATTCACCCTCCTAGCGGAAGGGTATATAACATGGACTTCAATCCACCTCATGTACATGGGATTGATGACGTCACTGGTGAACCATTAGTCCAGCAGGAGGATGATAAACCTGAAGCAGTTGCTGCCAGGCTGAGACAGTACAAGGATATGGCAAAGCCAGTCACTGAATTATACTAGAGCCGAGGAGTTCTCCAATTTTCTGGGACAGAGACGAACAAAATCTGGCCCTATGTTTACACACTTTTCTCGAACATGATCACATCTATTCAGTCCAAAGAAGCATATTAACCCTGCCCAATGGAAGAACCAGGAAGATGTGGTCATTCAGTCAATTGTGTGTGTAGTATTGGTGCTGTGTCCAAATTAGAAGCTAGCTGAGGTAGCACTTGCAGCCTCTTTTCTAGTTGAAATGGTGAACTGATAGGAAAACAGATGAGTAGAAAGAGTTCCCGAAGAGGCCCTCCTCTGCCTTTCAAAAGAAGGTCACCTACACATGTTTAACGTGTCTCTGCACGTCTCAAGCCCTTCACAGGAGAACAAGTACAGTGTGGATTTCAAACGGGGCGTAACCTCAGTTCCAGCTGATTTTTGACAACTATGTTGTTGCTGTGGTATCCTTTTTTTACACGTGATGATGGTGGTTTCTGGTTCCCCCCATCCCCACAAAGGCTGTTGTACCACAGCACCTGGAAGCCTGAGTCCGTTAAGGGCTCTAGCCCAGATTTGTCCCAGGCTTTCTGCTGTGTGCCTCCCTGGTGACAATGAAATTAAGGCTACTTACTCTCAGTGGTTGTTTCTCTGCTCTTGAGTGACTGTGTCCACAGTTCATTTTTTTTTCCAGTAGGAATAACTCCTTTTCTGCATCCATGCTCCATAGAGTCCCTCCCTTTCAGACATCTGGGATGAAAGAATTTGGCTTCTATTTCTTTTTAGACTGCATTTTTTTTTGACATCTATTTTCACTCTTAGGCCATTAAACAAAACAGGTAGTTATCGCTTTTATCCCTCTGAAATTCTTCTAAGAACTGAGTGAGGGGACTGTATTGAATCTCTGTATGCACTGGGAACTGAGCTATGAAGAGGATCTTCTTTCTGAAGAGGATCTTACTAAACTGCTGGTCTGACACTCATGGATTGACACTGTTCCTTTCTTTTATTGTGAAAAAAATTAAACCCCTAAAAATCGTTTGGGAACTCCCTAAAGTATTTTGGGAATCCTCAAAAAACATGGGAGGTATAAGTATTTAGCTACATAAATGTTGTAAGATCACATCTTATGTGTAGAAGTGATAAGATCATTTGGAATTACTGGACTAGTTGAATAGTTAAGGTTTCTATTCAGGACAATAAAATGTATTTTGAAAGTGCTGCTAACTATTGATGCTGACAGTGTTTCACTCCTATCAGTGACTCAAATATATTATAGATAGGTGGTAAAGGGAACGGAGCCTGTGGGGTTAAGTAGAATGTTGTGCTAGCTGTGCCTGGACTGAGTATAACAGCTTTACGATTATGGGAAAACAAAATCTTTATTATTTTTTTTCCATTCCAAAGATTCATCCTACAGGGTGGCCATAAAGTCTAGAATTAGATACAAATATTTTGTCATTCATTATAACATAATATCAATAAACCATTTGTTAAAAGATTTGCCTGGTTTCCAGAGTTGGTGGCCACCTTGAATAATTCTTGCTGTGGTCTGGGAAGGACAATGAAATTTATTCCTGCTGCCTTAAAAATATGTATCCCTTCTTCATGCATCATAACTGTCCCCAGTGAGTGTCCTTTACTATTCCTGAGAGTGACTCCTGTCTAACTTTTCATACTGGTGAGAAGAAAAGGAGCCTATTTTAACACTTCAGTGGTGTTGAAACACATTACTTACTTTCTGAAGATGTCTCAGTGAATCCTCAGTATGATAATGAATGCGTCTTCCTTCTAAGTACTGCCCAAGCACTTGCCAGCTCCTCTCGCATTGTCCCTTCATGTGAATATTTTTTGGTTACTTTAGTGGAAATATAGACAAGTGTCCTCCCCATCCTCTCAAACATAATGAGATTGTTTAGTTTGTAGGTTTATATAATGAAAATGCCCAGTCAGATCTATGAATCGTCGGTACATTATATTGCCTCTGAGCACTTTAGAATGTAGAGTTGCAATTGAATGGCCATTTGTGGAGATGGGGTGCATATCATATGTAGATAAAGCTCAGGTCTCCTGGGGAACCAGTTATAGAGAAAAATAAGTCTGATACGAGGAAAATTGCACGATTTAGAGTATTTCTGCCATAGAGAAAATTTCCACAAACTAGGAAACGTAGAGAGTTAAAGTTATTCTAAAGAATACCCAAAAGAGGAAAGTCTGTGCTTTTTTGGAAAAAGGAAAATCTCCAAACTTCTTTCTTCACTTCCCTCTGTGTTTAACTGACCCTCCAATGTGATCATTGCCTTTGGAGTTTTGGAGAAGTACAGGAAGTGGCCTGATCCCTGCTTCCATACTTCACTCCTCTATCTATCCTTCCCTCCCTCTTTCCTTCCAGCTAAATAGACAATTCTAGCCAACATTGAGTCACTCAGTAAGTCTCCAGTGTGTGTGTTTGCTGAGATTGTCTAGCAGTTGAGGGTCTGTGCTGGTTTAGGTGAGACCAAATAGAGATAAATATCTTTCCATGGTCTTTGAAACATAATGTTTATTTTGTGGTCAATGGCCTTAAAAAAATCTATTTCTGGTTTTCTTCAACAAACTCACTAGTTTTTCCCTTAAATGATTTTGTAAAAATTAAAATTATCTTGAAAATGTTTTGACAAAAGTAAAATTAAAGGGACATCTTTTCTTGGTTTTCCTTCTACTGCCACACAACTGTTCTTTCACCTTTAACCAAAGAGGGTGGTTTAGATGGTTTCCAAGATTCTAACCCGACCTCGCATTCTGTCATTCTACCCAGCTCTTAATTCAGTTTGCTTCCATTATCCTAACAGGCTTCTTACTTACTTAGACCTTGGAAATGCTGCTGTGTTTAATACCCTCCAATACTAACACAGACTTAAGATAGGTACTGTTTATTGAAAGCCTACTGAGTGAAATGTGCAGTTTTAGGACCTTTATAAACATCTCAATCTTTCTAGCATCCTATGAAATAGGCATGATTTCATGCTGATAAAAAAGAAGACAGGGGTCCCAGGGATGTGAAGCATCTTGCTCAGGCTTCGGCTGCTGGTGACCAGTGTAGCTGGGACTGCAGCCCAGGTTTTCCTAACTCAGAAGACTGAGCTTGTTCCTGGATGTTATTAATATCTACTTGTGTCCAAGCAACCAAGGGTCTTGAGTCTGCTTGATTCTGCTTGTGGTCTCACATCAAGAGTAACAGAGCTAGTCTAGGCATGGTGGAGCTAGTCCATGCCTGTAGTCCCAGTGCTTTGGGAGGCCATGATGGGAAGATTGCCAGAGGCCAGAAGTTCAAGACCAGCCTGGGCAACATCACAAGACTCCATCTCTACAGAAAAATAAAAAATTAGCCAAGCATGCTGGTGTACACTTGTGGTCCTAGTTGCTCAGGAGACTGAGGCAGGAGGATTGCTTGATCCTAGGAGTTCGAGGCTGCAGTGAGCTATGATTGCACCTCTGTACCCCAGCCTGGGTGACACAGCGAGACCCTGTCTCTTAAAAGAAAAGAAAAGAAAATAGCAGACTCACTAAAGTGATGTTCACCTTTTTATGACGTTCCTTTTTTTTTTTTTTCGTTTGCTTAAGCAAAGGAAGCTGCTAGAGGAGAGTCTTGTCTTGGTCTTCCTGCCTAAGAACTCCTTTATGAAAGGAATAAAAGACTGTCAAAGTAGGCTGGGCTTGCGTCCAGGCTAATCTGTGAAGGAGGCTAGCTCATGTTCCTTACCTACCCTTTGGGTGTCCACTGGGTCGTGCCCCTGGAGCGGCCTTTACCCTTGAGCCATGGTGCTCACACATAGGCTTTTGAGCTCCTTGGAGCTATCCAGACCCTGCTCACTTTTCTTTCCAGAGATCAGAACAAATCACTCCCTCACTCCTACTCCAAACAAGGTCTTGTTGATAAACTAGTCCTTTTCAAAGTGCTGGTAGGTAAACCAGCGATGATGGAGCATCAAACACAAGTTAACTCCTGACTTTTGTACCATTGTCTCTCTATTCCATTACATATTAACATGACTCTGAATACCTTCGCCCACCATCTGCTTGTTGTGCAACAGTTGAGGCAGTAACCAGGGGAGATTCACTTCCTGTCTTGTCCATCTCCAGGGATCACTCCCCTGCTGCTCTCCAGCAGCCAAGCTCAGGTGAGCTCCATTTTTACCCAAGATGTGACCCTCTCTTTGGTTGGGAAGGAGAAAGGTAAGAATAGCCATGAATGAGTAAGGATTCTTAAAGGGAGGTGCTGCTATGGTTTTTTTCTGCTATTTAAGATGTTGAGACAGGATAACTTTAGAAAGATGCATGCACAAACCCATAAATAGTGCTTTTATAAAATTTAGTTCACTGGAAACTGAGTTCAGTATTTGACATTAGCTTTTCTTTCAAAGTGTTTAAGACTGCTGGAGGTCTTTGCTCAAATAATAAATACTGCGTATTTCCAAATGTGTTACGGTATAGGCAGTAGTTACTATTTGTCTACTCCATGTTAGGCACATTACATGTATTGGCTAATCAAATCTTCATCAATTACCTGTGTAATAATCTCAATTAACTTGCCTCCTTGTATTATAAATGGAAATAATCCTGTTTATTTAAACGTATTTTTATGTATCAATAGGGATTAATCAGGAAATTCAAAGGGCCTTTTTTTTGTATCTTTCCCTAATTTGAGCTCCCTATTCTCATTAACAGATAAAACAACACATTTGCTTCAGCCTGGAATATTTGCTTTTGGTGCTTAGAGGCAGAGACAAGAAATGGGCACTCAGGGAGTCACACTGGTAGTTGCACACTGTATCTACAGAGGGCGTGTCTCATCTGTACTCTGCTGGGTTACAGGATGTCAGGAGGTATTTGTGTCCACCTGAGAATTCCGTTTATTACCTTCCATTTAACAGACAATGTCTTTCCTTTCTGCAGTTGATTTTGCTAGAGAGGCAATTCATAAGGTGAAGTCCTGTTCATAGTATGACTTGTTTTCTCACTATCCCCTTCCATTTTTAGTAACTCCTTGGTCTATTTGGTGTCTTTAAAAAAAAGAAGTTGGTAATGAAGACTTCTTTAAATATGGAAATGTGTGCTCTTTTATGGCATAGATATGAAATCCCTTCCTGTGGTAATAATTAGGTTATTCCCAGAAGCACAGGGTCATTCTTTTTTTTTTTTTTTGAGATGGAGTCTCGCTGTGTCGCCCAGGCTGGAGTGCAGTGGTGTGATCTCAGCCCACTGCAAGCTCCACCTCCCGGGTTCACGCCATTCTCCTGCCTTAGCCTCCCAAGTAGCCGGGACTACAGGAGCCCGCCACCATGCCTAGCTAATTTTTTGTATTTTTTTTTTTCAGTAGAGACGGGGTTTTACTGTGTTAGCCAGGATGATCTCGATCTCTTGACCTCGTGATCCGCCCACCTCGGCCTCCCAAAGTACTGGGATTACAAGCATGAGCCACCGCGCCCAGCCGCACAGGGTCATTCTTTAAATAAAAGCTTTCCTGTTTAAAGCTTTTCAAAGGAGCAGACCACCTTGAAGATTCCCCCTAGGGTTGATAGGTGTCTAATTCCTTTTATAAAATTATTATTGTTTTCATTTTAAAGCTTTGGCTATAAAGTCAGAAATGTCCTAAATAACAAAATATTTCATATTTAATTTAAAGAAAAGTAAAGAGAAGAAAAATGAAAACCCAGTCTTTATGTAAGCTCCAAGGATATTAGGGCTTAGAGGGCTTTTCTAGTTTTATGACAATTTATACTACTGATTTTTATATTATATATTATTGGGGTTTTGTTGTTGTTGTTTTGTTTTGTTTTTTTGAGATGGAGTCTCACTCTGTCACCCAGGCTGGAGTGCAGTGACGCGATCTCAGCTCACTGCAACCTCTGCCTCCTGGGTTCAAGCGATTCTCCTGCCTCAACCTGCTGAGTAGCTGGGACTACAGATGCGTGCCACCACACCTGGCTAACTTTTGTATTTTTAGTAGAGACAGGATTTCACCATGTTGTCCAGGATGGTCTTGATCTCCTAACCTCATGATCCACCTACCTTGGCCTCCCAAAGTGCTGGGATTACAGGCATGAGCCACTGCGCCCAGCCCTGTATTCTTGTTTTTGAGATGAGCAGATCTCCGGGAAAATTGTTGAGTTACAATGGCATTTTACTGTGATCCTTCTCAAGCTCAGATCATTTCTGTAACCCAATGACGACCTGTCTCTTTGGTGTACTGTCCTGTGAAATGTTAGCTCAATTTTCCCAGAAGTTGTGTGTTTGCCATGAGTCAGAGTGCTTTTCCTCAGTGGGACAGTTGCTGGCCCTCTTAATTTTGGTGTATGTGCTTCAAAGTATGTAAACCTCTAGTCTGATCTGTATATGATATCCTGTTAATTGTATTATTATTTTGATTATCTTGCTGGAAGGTTCATAATTTTCAATTTGATAGAAATAAAGTTTTTTTCTGCTTATAAAAAAATAAAATAAAATGCAGTTTTAGATTCAGTAGATTTGGAGTGGAATCTGAGAGTCTGCATTTCTCTTAATAATAGCCTCCGTTAATGCACACACTGCTAGTCCAGGGCACATTTTCGGAAGCAAAGCTCTAGAGCACACTATGGTGTCAGAGACCCTGTTTGAGAATCTGGGAAGGGCTACAGAGCCAGTTCATAGCAAAATATATAAACATGTAATTTATATGCAATTGCAAAGGATTTGCAGGGTCTCTGAACGCTATCCTTAGGCTCAAGGTTAATAAGACACAGACATCAACCTGGTTCTCATGCGAAAGTGACAGGAATCTTTGAATAATAATGTCCAACATCTATTGAGCACCTACTATATGCCTTGGCATTGTGCTGAGTGATCTTGACATATTAGCTCATTTAATCTTCACAACAAACCTATGAGGTAGGTACTATTATTGTCATTCTCATTTTACCAATAATGGGCGGATCACTTGAGGCCAGGAGTTTGAGACCAACCTGGCTAACATGGTGAAACCCTATCTCTACCAAAAATACAAAAATTAGCTGGGTGTGGTGGCACACACCTGTAGTCCCAGCTACTGGGGAGACTGAGGCAGGAGAATCGCTTGAACCCAGGAAGTAGAGGTTGCAGTGAGCCGAGATCTTGCCAATTGCACTCCAGCCTGGGCAACAGAGTGAGACTCTGTCTCAGAAATAAAATAAATAAATAAATAAATAAATAAGGAAACTGGTGCACAGAAAGTTCTAAGCAATTTGTCCAAGGGTATTCAGTGGAGTATTCAAGAGCTGGATTCCTGAACCCAGATGTTTCATTACTATGTTTTGCTGCACCTAATGTGTAGTAATTACTTTGAAGAAAGTGATTACTTTCTTCAAAGAGAGTGAAAATGTGGGCTGATGATACCTGAGTTTCTCTAATTCTGATGGACATCAGAATCTCCTGAGGGAATTTGTTAAACATCATTACCAAATAATGCTTGGATTCCAGCCTAGCTTCTGAATCAGAATCTCTGGGGGCGGGGCTGGGGGATTGTCTTTAACTAATGCCCAAGATGATTCTGATGTGCAAAATTTGAGCATCATTGTCACAGACTTTTCAAAGGCAGAGTTTTAAGAGTCCAAAGGAAAGCTAAACGAAGTTTGTTGTGTGAGAAACTCTGAAAGGGAAAGTGTGACTCTGAGGGTTAGGAGGCTCCCAGAAATGTATTTCTGACTCTGATCTTGATAAAGAAGAAAAGTGTGGTGGCCCTAGAAAATTCCTTTGTTGTCCCATCAGGATTATTCCTTAACACAGTCACTTAAAAGGAGAAAGGCCCACTTTTAAAAGAAGTTCACCTTGTTGAGGACACAAAAAAGTACTTATAAAGGGGCGTCATTGATCTGTAAGAATAATGCAGCAGAATTAACCCCACTCCCCACTTCTTTTTCTTGCTTTTTTTTTTCTTTTTTAGATGGAGTTTTGCTCTTGTCGCCCAGGCTGGAGTGCAGTGGCGCGATCTCGGCTCACTGCAACCTCTGCCTCCTGGTTCAAGCGATTCTCCTGCCTCAACCTCCTGAGTAGCTGGGATTACAGGTGCCCACCACCATGCCTGGCTAATTTTTTTGTATTTTTAGTAGAGACGTGGTTTTGCCACATTGGGCAGGCTGGTCTCGAACTCCTGACCTCAGGTGATCCGCCTGCCTCGGCCTTCCAAAGTGCTGGGATTACAGGCATGAGCCACCGTGCCCGGCCACCCCATTCCCCACTTCTAACTCCAGACAAGCTTAAGTGCATGTGAGGGGAAAAGAGCTAATAACAACAACAAAAAGGAGGTGGGAGGGGGGCACAGCTTGCCTCTTTCCTGAACTCTTGCTTTACTTTTCTTTTTCTCATTCATTCATTTATTCCAGTACTTTTTTTTTTTTAACTGCATGTGCCTTCATTTTGCCAAGTACACTCTCAGAACTAGGAAGGCCTGCTCCCCTCACTTAAGAAGATCCATTAACTTGCCGGGTGCGGTGGCTCACCCCTGTAATCCCAGCACTTTGGGAGGCCCAGGCAGGTGGATCACCTGAGGTCAGGAGTTTGAGACCAGCCTGGCCAACATGGCGAAACCCCCTCTCTACTAAAAATACAAAAATTAGCCGGGTGTGGTGGTGGGCACCTGTAATCCCAGCTACTTGGGAGGCTGAGGCAGGAGAATCGCTTGAACCTGGGAGGCAGAGGTTGCAGTGAGCCGAGATCGTGCCATTGCACTCCAGCCTGGGCAACAAGAGCGAGACTCCATCTCAAAAAAAAAAAAAAAAAAAAAAAAAAAAAGAAGATCCATTAACCACAAAGATCAACCCAAGAATGAGTGCTAGGAGAAGGGCAAGTGCAATGTCAGAAGAGCACAAATGGGGTTGTAAGCAGAAGAGGAATTGCAAGATGGAAGAAGGGCAAATTTTATTATGATTTCTAAAACAGGTGGAGCAGGTGTATTCTGACTGGAGGCCAATAACTACATGGCAATCCTACCTAAGATTTGTAATTTTAATTTTTATTTGAGATGGAGTCTCGCTCTGTGGCCCAGGCTGGAGGGCAGTGGTGCTATCATGGGTCACTACAGCCTTATTTCCTGGGCTTAAGTGATCCTCCCACCTCAGCCTCCTGAGTAGCTGGGACTACAGGCATATGCCACTGTGCCCAGCTAATTTTTTTGAAAATTTTTTAGAGAAGGGGTCTTGCAGTGTTGCCAGGGCTAGTGTTGAACACCTGGGCTCAAGAAATCCACCTGCCTCGACATCCAAAAGTGCTGGGATTACAGGCATGAGCCACTATGCCTAGCCTATTTTTATTTTTTAAGAGACAGGGTCTCACTATTTGTGTAGGCTGGACTTGAACTCCTAGGCTCAAGTGATCCTCCCACCTCAGCCTCCTGAGTAGCTGGGGCTAGAGGTATATGCCACTGTACCCAGCCTGTCCAAGATTTTAAAAAAAAATATGTGATGTCTTTAAGATTATAGATACTTTATAGGTAATTAATTTACATATTTCTGGTGATAGATTTTTAAAGAGATTGTTAAAAGAGATATTTGTGGGCCAGGCGTGGTGGCCCACACCTGTAATCCCAGCACTTTGGGAGGCCAAGGTGGCAGATCACAAGGTCAGGAGTTCGAGACCAGCCTGGCCAATTTGGTGAAACCCCACCTCTACTAAAAATACAAAAATTAGCCAGCCATGGTGGCAGGCACCTGTAGTCCCAGCTACTCGGGAGGCTGAGGCAAGAGAATCGCTTGAACCCGGGAGGCAGAGGTTGCAGTGAGCAGAGATCACGCCACTGCACTCCAGCCTGGGTGACATAGTGAGACTCCGTCAAAAAAAAAAAAAAAAAAAGATAAAGAAAAAGAAAAAAAGAAATACTTGTGAGCATCCTACAGAAAGGAACTGGTGATCACCAGGGCCAGGTGTGTGTGGAGTTATTAAGAACAAGTCATGACAAATCATCACTGTTTCTTTGGTAGATTAAGGAACCATGGTAGGTAGTGGGTTGAGTGGGTGGTAGGGAAGCAGAAACAACGGATATGGATCCGCAGAAATCTTTGTTTTTGAAAAAACATGCATTGTGTGTCAGCATATGTCAGACATTTGCTAGGCAATTGCACCTATTTTTTTTATTTGCTCATTACTAGAACCTTTTTTAGAAAACACTGACTTCCTAAAAAACAACAACATAGAATCCAGGCCCTCCAACCTTGACACGGAAGGAGAGATTGGTGGAAGGACAGTATCTTTCTGGAGCTGGGTTGCCCATCCACAGGGCCCCAAATCAGATCCTAGATACACACTCATCTCCTTTTCATGGGTTTTCACTAAAGATTGTAACTAAACACCTCACACTTGGGAATTGGCTCAAGTGTTAACAGAAGACTTTCCTCTTAATACTCTGTAGCAAAGCTGAAAAAGCACTGGAAGCCATAAATACCTTTAGGAAAGATAGGAAATAAAATGGATATATACATGAAAAAAGACCAGAATCTAGATAATCTGATTTGCAAGATAAAGTTTACTCACCTTTATTTAGAGTCCTCTGCAGAGACTATGACTTCTTTTCACTACCAGAGTACTTATTTTAAATGACTGTTGTTAGTATGTCTCTACCTACTTTGAGTGATTTTTCTTTACCCCAGCTGTACTTTTTAGTTACAAATTGTTATAACCTACCTTCTAGAACCAATCTTATCTTCCGCTAATCCCCAATGTGAGTTTCACAGCCTTTCCTACTCAAAGACTTCAAAAAAGCCACTTGTTTTGCCTCCTTTATGCTTTAACCATTGCTCAATCTTCAAAGTTTATTCTTCCTCAGCACCCTTTTCTATTGACTCAAATTGTTTTATTCAGGGCTTTGAAGTTTCAAGGACCAGAAATTCAATTAAATTAGTTCAAGTAAAAGGTTTTCTTAGAATAATGACATGAAATTTCTCAGAAATACCAATCAAAGTTCTCTTGAGCCTTGTATTTGTTGTGAATATTTTAGGCTTAAACATATTATTATTATTTTTTTCTCACATAAGAAGAAATCTGGAGGCAACCAGTTGCTGGTTATTTTTAGTAGAGCTCAACATTATAAAGACCAGTGACACTGCATTTCTTGGTCTGTCCCTCATAATCAAAAGATGGCTGCTGTAGCTCTAGATATCAGGTCCATGTTCAAAGAAGGTAGAAAGGAAGGGAAGGGAATTCAGCCTTTTCCTTTGGTCAGGAAAGCAAAAACGTTAAAGAAACCTGCCAGTAGATATCTGCTTACATTACATTTACAAGAACTCTATCACACAGCTGCTAATAAAGGAAGTGAAATGACAAGCCACATACTCGGAGAAAAAATTTACCACACAAAGAATTACTATGAAGAGCATATGAATAACTTCCACAATTAAATAAGAATAAGATATACAATAGAAAACAATAGAAAAATGAAAAAAAAAAATAGAAAACACAACAGAAAAATGGCAAAAGACATGAACAGGCAGTTAATAGAAGAGGAAACATTTTTGGTGAATACATTTAGGGAAAGACATCCAACCACATTAGTGACCAGGGAAATGCAAATTAAGGCTACATTGAGATACACATTTATACCTACTAAATTAGCAAAAGTTAAGAAGTCTCAGAATATTGCATTGATGAGAATGTGGAGTTTCATCCACCACTAGTGGGGGTGTGGATGAAATGGTATAACCATTTAGTAAAACAATCTGAGATTATCTCATGAAGTTGAATGTGGACATACTACAAAATGCAGCTAGTAATTCCACACAAGAGACATGTACACAAATGCCTGCAGCAAGCATTATTTGCATAAATGAAAACCCCGATGACTATTGTCAGAAGAATGAACAAAATGATGTATTCATATGACAGACCTACTATTGCAGCAGCATGAATGAATGTAAGAAATATAATTGAGTGAAAAAATATCAAGGGCAGAAGATTAAATCTATGGCATAATATTTTTAAAAGCTAAAAAACAAGCAAGTGAAACAATATATATTTTTAGAGATACATATGCACGTGGTTAAACGATATGGAAAAAACAAAGCTAGGGAAAGGTAAATATAGAATTCAGGTGCTTTCAAAGATTCTGCAATGATCCAGGTGTTCAGTTGAATAGAATTGTAGATTCATAGTTGCCCATTTTATTATGCCTCATAACTTATTATTATTTATTTGTTTTTTTGAGACGGAGTCTCGCTCTGTCACCCAGTCTGGAGTGCAGTGGCAGGATCTTGGCTCATTGCAACCTCTGCCTCCTCGGTTCAAGCGATTCTCCTGCCTCAGCCTCCCCAGTAACTGGGACTACAGGTATGTGCCACCATGCCCAGGTAATTTTTTTGTATTTTTAGTAGAGACGGGGTTTCACCAGGTTGCTCAGGCTGCTCTCGAACTCCTGACCTCAAATGATCTGCCTGCCTCGGCCTCCCACAGTGCTGGGATTACAGGCGTGAGCCACCACGCCTGGCCTTTCATAACTTATTTATATGTTATATATTTATGTATCAAACATTACATGATTAAAATTTTTATTTTATTTTTATTTTTATTTATTTATTTTTTGAGATGGAGTCTCGCTTTGTCGCCCAGGCTGGAGTGCAGTGGCACCACCTCGGCTCACTGCAACCTCCGTCTCCCGAGTTCAAGTGATTCTCCTGCCTCAGCTTCCCAAGTAGCTGGGATTACAGGCGCGTGCCACCACATCCGCTAATTTTTGTATTTTTGGTAGAGATGGGGTTTCACCATCTTGGCCCGCCTCGGCCTCCCAAAGTATCGGGATTACAGGCGTTGAGCCACCGTGGTCGGCCGATTAAAAACTTTAATAAGGTATGAAGCAAATGGCTTTGACAAAAAGTGTAAAAAGGATTAAAATACACCATCCTGTGAAATTTTCTTTTTGGAGCACATGTACTGGGGAACCAGACATCGACATTTTTAGTTATTTTAGTTTCACAGTGCTATTTGAGTATAATAGAAACTGTATTTGCTTCAGTCAATTTGGGGAGAAAGAACATAAACACATGGAAACACAAATATCCTAAGGGAATTGAGTCTTATTACTTTGCAGACAATTTTTGAAATAAATAAGTTGCTGAGACAGTAAGTGCTGTTAGAATGGAGAGAGGGAGACTTACCAATAATATTATGTTAAAGAGCAGTGCAAGTAGAGGAGTGGGGACAGAATTGAGCATGCAGAGGTATCGAAAGAGAAAGTGGAAATGCAGCATGTAAATTGCAGATTCCTTTTCAAGAAGTTTAGTAATGACAGAAGAGAGGAAATTAGCTTCTTTCTTCTTCAGGGAGCTTCAGGACTGTTCTTCGGAAGCCCACCCTACTTTGCTTTTGTTTGATGCCTGTATTACAGGGAGAAAAGTTTGGCCCAAGGACAAACTTTGTTAAGCATTTATGCAAGCCTCTGAGGTTTCTTTCTTTATTTTTTTAAAGTATTTTTTTCTGGGATGCACAAACTCCAGAGAAATGGAGTCAGTGCTCTCGCTTCTGAGGTTTCATGTTCAGTCCAGGGACACACTCATAGCTGCCCCCCTCCCCCGGGGGTATTAATGGTGTTACCATTTAATTCGTGTTTCCTTTTTAAATTATTTTCATCACCATTTCAAAGTTATTTAACTCATTCTCAATTCCAATGATCACACCAGAATTCAATTATGACAACAAACCAAAACAGTCAAACAAAAAAATTCCCCCAAAAAGGAATGAAAGCTCCCCATTCCAAAACAAAATGATGTGTCATAGTCATTCTTTCCACAAATAAGGGCTTATTAATTGTTTTTTTTTTTTTTTTTGAGACAGAGTCTCCCTCTGTCACCCAGGCTGGAATGCAGTGGTGCGATCTTGGCTCACTGCAACCTCCGCCTCCTGGGTTCCAGCGATTCTCCTGCCTCAGCCTCCCGAGTAGCTGGGATTACAGGTGCCTGCCACCATGCCTGGCTAACTTTTTTGTATTTTTCTTTTTTTTTTTTGAGATGGAGTTTCACTCTTGTTGCCCAGGCTGGAGTGCAATGGCGCAATCTTGGCTTACCGCAACCTCTGCCTCCCGGGTTCAAGTGATTTTCCTGCCTCAGCCTCTCAAATAGCTGGGATTACAGTCATGTGCCACCAGGCCTGGCTAATCTTTGCATTTTTATTAGAGACAGGGTTTCTCTTGTTGGTCAGGCTGGTCTCGAACTCCCACCTCAGGTGATCTGCCTGCCTCGGCCTCCCAAAATGCTGGGATTACAGGCGCGAGCCACAGCGCCCAGCCTACTTTTTGGTATTTTTCATAGAGACAGGGTTTCATCATGTTGGCCAGGCTGGTTTCAAACTCCTGACCTCAAGTGATCCGACCGCCTCAGCCTCCCAAATATTGCTAGGATTACAGGAGTGAGCCACCGTGCCTGGCCTTATTAATTGCTTATAATCTGCACATGGCACAAGTCCCATTTAAAATAACAGGAAATGACAATGCATTTTAATGGGCTTTGGTTTATTAATCTATTTTATTTATTTATTTATTTATTTATTTATTTATTTATTTATTTGAGACAGAGTCTAGCTCTGTTGCCAGGCTGGCTAGAGTGCAGTGGCATGATCCCGGCTCACTGCAACCTCCGCTTCCTGGATTCCAGCGATTCTCTTGCCTCAGCCTCCATGTAGCTGGGACTACAGGCACGTGCCACCATGCCCAGCTAAGTTTTGTATTTTTAGTAGAGACGGAGTTTCACCATGTTGGCCAGGATGGTCTCGATCTCTTGACCTCGTAATCCACCCGCCTCGGCCTCCAAAAGTGCTGGGATTACAGGCGTGAGCCACCGTGCCCAGCCCTAATCACATGCTTTCTAAGTGGGCCTCAGGATTCCCCTTGTGGGCAGAGAACTTCTCTTGTTTATTTTAGCTTCTTCACAGATGTGTACCAGGTATCCATTAGGGGCTCAATAAATGTTGAATTAATGAATGTGTGAATAAACAAAAAATCACTAATCAGTAAGGTTTTTTTGAATGCTTATTTTTGAAAACGCACTTTAAGAGTAAATTTTTTTTTTAAATAGAAAGAATAAGATCTAGTACTTGATAGTACAACAGGGTCACTATAGTTAATAATTAAATTGTACATTTTAAAATAACTAAAAGAGTATAATTGAATTGTTTGTAATACAAAGGATAAATGCTTGAGAGGATGGATACCTCATTTTCCATGATGTAATTATTACACATTGCATACGTGTATCAAAACATCTCATTACCCCAAAATATATACACCTATTATGTACCCACAAAAAGTAAAAATAAAAAATTTTTAAAAAGTAAATGTTTTTAAAAATTACTTTTAAAAAGTAAATATTTCAAAAGCTGTTTAAGACACTGAGACTAGACTGTAACACAATAGGTGCTCAACAAATGTTTTTTGAATAAATACCTAATACTCAGACATCACAAGTACTTTGAATTTATTGTGACCTTGCAATCTGAGGCCCTTGTAACTCTGGAAGTAAAGAAAGCTACATGATAAACAATGGCACATCTTTCTCAGGTGTAAATTGCTTAAAGCTTTTACGGCTATTTAAACAAGAGGCAAAATAAAACATTAGCATTCGTTTTAAAGAAAAACATCTTTCTTCAAATGTATATTTTGTTTTTGAGAGCTTACTTGGGGCTGTATCTCCAGACTCTGTTTAATGTTATCTTTCCATTGGCTTTATGAGTGCTTTGCAGGATAAGTCGAAGAAGTAGTAGGCACATTTTGTGATTTGTGTTTTACATATTTAAAGAGAAAATATACCAATCATTAACATCTGTAGACGGTTTAACTCTAGATAAAGCCACTATCATATAATCTTTTCTGGGTTTCACTTCTTCCTCCAGACTGGAACACTGGGCAGCTTAAAGCTGTAAAAGCTTTAAGCAATTTACACCTGAGAAAGATGGGCCATTGTTTATCATGTGGCTTTCTTTACTTCCAGAGTTACAAGGGCCTCAGATTGCAAGGTCACAATAAATTCAAAGTACTTGTGATGTCTGAGTATTAGGTATTTATTTAAAAAATCCCCATTTTACATATTAGGAAACTGAGATTACTAAATGTGGGCTAGGGTCCTCCTGGGTATGGGGCAGGGGGAGTGCTTGCTGCTGTTAAAGAAAATTATCCTGACACTTGTCAAACACATGAATAATTTATTCAAGATTATTACAATAAGGGTCATGACTATTGGAACAGGAGAGAGAAATTGAGCTCAACTCAGAATACAGCAAAGACAGCAGGGGATTTATAGCCAAGGAACAGGCACCGTGTCTGTGAGGGAGGTGACGGTGGATGGAAAATTACTAAGAGGAGACATCAAGGGTAGAGGGATTCTGGCTAAAGGCAGGTCAAGGGCTTCTACAACAAAGGTGTAATATAAGGAATCTAATCCGATATTAAATATCAAGAATTCAACGGTGATCAGGTATCGAGGATGGATGATTTAGCATGCTTCTTGCTAACATTTGGGCTCAGCCAGGACACAGGGAGGTCAACGTTGAGGCCTAAGTGAGAAAGGGCTCAGAGGTACCAAACTAAAGGAGAGCGTCTCTGTTCCTGCCTACTCTGACCTCTTTTCCCCCCTTAAACTCAGTGGTAACAATCTGACCTGTTTATTACCTCATCCCCATGGAAGGGGTGGGGAGTGGCAGGCAGCCGGTGCTCTAGGATCGTTGGGTAGGGAGCCTAGCTCTCTGAAAGCAGCAATGCCTAGTGGGGGTACCGAGGCCGAGTTCGGAGACCACCTGAGCAATTGCGGTCCAGAGCAAAGCCCCCTGGATCGGAACGGGAGCCGCCCCCACGCCCCGCCCGGCTGCCGAGAGCCGCACTTCTGGGCGGATGCCGCAGGTCGGGAGGGATGAGGCCGACGGCGCTGATTGGCTGACCGCCGCGGCCTGGGGTTTCCCTGGCCCCGCCCCTGCTGCACTCCCCCCGCCCGCGAACCCGCGCGCTGCCCGGTCCTGCGCTGCTCAGCGGGAGGGGCTGGACCCCGCGTTCCTCCTCCCTGCCGGTCCCCATCCTTAAAGCGAGAGTCTGGACGCCCCGCCTGTGGGAGAGAGCGCCGGGATCCGGACGGGGAGCAACCGGGGCAGGCCGTGCCGGCTGAGGAGGTCCTGAGGCTACAGAGCTGCCGCGGCTGGCACACGAGCGCCTCGGCACTAACCGAGTGTTCGCGGGGGCTGTGAGGGGAGGGCCCCGGGCGCCATTGCTGGCGGTGGGAGCGCCGCCCGGTCTCAGCCCGCCCTCGGCTGCTCTCCTCCTCCGGCTGGGAGGGGCCGTAGCTCGGGGCCGTCGCCAGCCCCGGCCCGGGCTCGAGAATCAAGGGCCTCGGCCGCCGTCCCGCAGCTCAGTCCATCGCCCTTGCCGGGCAGCCCGGGCAGAGACCATGTTTGACAAGACGCGGCTGCCGTACGTGGCCCTCGATGTGCTCTGCGTGTTGCTGGGTACGTACGCGCCGCCGGGTCCGAGGGGCGTGTGCGGCTGTCCCGGGAGGGCTTTAGCGCAGAGCCGCGACGGGCAGCGGGGGTGTGTTGCCTGACGCGTGCGCAGCTGTGGGGCGACACACGGGGGCGGCTTCTGCAGCCGAGGGACCCCGCTTTGCAGCCTGCACCCCGGCTCCCGCGTGCCCGCCGCTGTCTGTCGCCCGCCGGTGCGATGAGCCCAGCCCTGCTTGGACGCTGTTCACGCCTCTGCGCTCCATACCTTGCTCCTGTCCTCTGTTTGCAGTTCCACTCTAGCAGAGCAGGGTGGGCTCCTCCCCTCTGTACGGTAGAGGAGCCTGGTCACTGGCCCATCTCAGTAGTGAAACTGGAGGTTTGATGCACAGGGGATTCTCAGTAGCAGGCGCCAGTGCCTGATTTATCGTGAGAAGCAGTTTAATATTTCGGCTATAAAAGGCTAGAACTAGTTCCTAATTAGAAGGTGTGCCAGGTTGTAAATTGTCAGGTTGCAAGTAGGGATGAGCACGCCAAGTTTTTGCGTATAGGTCTAAAGAAGTTTTGGGGGTGGGGGAGGATGCGGTACCCCAGACCTGTTTCCTTGTCTGCCCAGACCTTGCCATGGTGTAGCTTTCCATCTCTTGTGACAGTGTCTCAAGGAGCAGTAGACATTCTTTGGCTGCAGCAGATTTCGCATTGTCTTCCTGATTGGAAGAGTTCAGTTATGAGGCTTCTGGTTGCCAGTTACTCCTTTCTTTTGAAGAGAAAGAACTGGAATCATTTGGATAAGGGATGGGCGTTGGAAGGAGTAGTTTTCACTTTTTATGTATTGTATAAGGCAGTTATGCTGTGAACTATTTATATATGATGGAATAAACAAAAACAAAGCAAGAGCTGCTGGAGGTTTGGATAGTCCTACTCATGTTGAAGTAATCAGAATAGTAGTAGTATTGGCAAGTTCTCAGGGTGGGAGATCTGTGGCTTTAGCCACCTGGATGGAAGTCTGCGTAATGGTTTCTCAGTGACAGGAGATTCCCTCGGTTTTAATCCAGTAGTTCCTAGTTATTCCACTCTCCAGTTTCCAACCGGGTCATTTAGGCCCTTGCAATCTTGTGGAATTCTTATAAATTCTGTTACCAGGTTTTGTTGTTGTTGTAAGGAAAAATTCCATTTTGTTATCTTTTTTTTTTTTTTTTGGATACAGTCTCTCTCTGTCACCCAGGCTGGAGTGCAGTGGCGGGATCTCGGCTCACTGCAGCCTCTGCCGCCTGGGTCCAAGTGAT
This sequence comes from Homo sapiens, assembly GCF_000001405.40. Classification (NCBI taxonomy): domain Eukaryota; kingdom Metazoa; phylum Chordata; class Mammalia; order Primates; family Hominidae; genus Homo; species Homo sapiens. The sequence continues at coordinate 55,533,294 of NC_000005.10, read as the reverse complement.
TATCCTGTCTTGGCCTCTCTAGTAGCTGGGATTACAGGCACCGCCACCATGCCTGGCTAATTTTTCTGTTTTTAGTAGAGACAGGGTTTCTCCATGTTGGCCAGGCTGGTCTCGAACTCCTGACCTCAGGTGATCCGCCTGTCTCAGCCTCCCAAAGTGTTGGGATTACAGGTGTGAGCCACAGCGCTGGGCCCTAAAACTGCATTTTGTTACCTGTTAATATGAAGCATCTTTGTTGTTTCCCAAGACACTTCCTGTTTAGGTCCACAGTGAGTTTTAGGAATTAAGTTTAGGAAAGTGGAACACAATTTTGGCACATTGTCTTTTTTTTTTTTTTTTTGGAGACGGTCTTGCTCTGTCGCCCAGGCTGGAGTGCAGTGGCGCGATCTTGGCTCACTGCAACCTCCGCTTCCCGGGTTCAAGCAGTTCTCTGCCTCAGCCTCCTGAGTAGCTGGGATTACAAGCACATACCACCATGCCCGGCTAACTTTCGTATTTTTAGTAGAGACGGGGTTTCACCGTCTTGGCCAGGCTGGCCTTGAACTCTTGACCTTGTGATCCACCCGCCTTGGCCTCCCAAAGTGCTGGGATTACAGGCGTCAACCACCGCGCCCAACTGAACACTGTCTTTATAAAAACACAGTCCTTTCAGATGTCGGGACTTATTAATAATTAAATATATTCAAATTTATTTGCAACAAAAAATTACCTTTCATAGAAATGTTACATTAAAAAATATATTTTAACTTATACTTGATGTCATTGGAACTTTGTTAAACTTTGTTTATATTTTAGTGAAAGGAGAGGAAAATGTTCGATCAGAAAAAAATATATTTCTAATATATTGAATATTATCCTATCATTGCCACATATTGTGCACTATCAGAATTACATATCATCTTTGTCTTTTCCTACTGTGGGAGTTCGATCAATTTGTAAAACAACATAAATTTTTTTCTATGGGCCAAACAGTGATTAGAATGGCTGAAACATAATACTGCTCTGAGGTAGCTGAAGCTAATGGTATTAAACACAAAGCCATATGGTAGATCTGCAATTAAAAAAAAAATCACATATAATGGAGGAACTGACATGCAGTACAATTTTATAAATTATGGGTTGTTGTAGCCTGTAGTTTTAACATGATACAAACATCACATAATTATCCTATAAAGGTTAATTTCATTGCTACATTGACCTGACAGTTGCAGGAGTACAATAGCTGTCAATAAGATAAAATTGTGTTTTTGGTGGTTTTGGAGAAAGCTTTGAGGACTTGTTTTAGGAAAAGGCATTTAATCTATTTACAACATTATGTTTTGGTATTACTGGCATTTCTTTTAAAGTAATTCAGCATATTATCACTATAAGCTCAGAATTCCCTTTTCCTAAATAGAAAGTGACCTATTTTACTGACTTTTAAAAATGTAAGATTACATTACATTTAACAACATCAACTGTCCATTGCAAACAGCAGTGAAGGAGACCAGTGGTGCAGGAGATACAAAACTTTTCACGCTTACTTTTGGAAGACACGTGTTATATAGCAAATGCGCCTTTCTGGTGGAGTCTGTTATATTAAATTTGATTTGTATTCATTTTACTGACAGCAGGAGATTGGTAGCCTAAAATCATGGTAGCTTCAAGAGAGTTTTCAACCTGGCATAAATTTCCTTTTTCTGTGAGGAATCCACAGGTAAGAATTGACTGTTAGAACAAAAAGATGATTAAGCACTTCATAAGTGCAGGGTTTTGTGAAAGTGGTTCATAATTATAATGTGGATACATTCCAGATTCTGTTAATGACCACCTCAACATCATACAGTATAGCCATTTTAATATGATGATGTTACGTCAACCTGTTGTACAACTACTTTATAATTTTACTGTGGGTGATGTGTGTTGAAGTGATCATTAAACATGCCTGTGTGCATGTGTGTGTATATGTTTCTGTCCGTATGTCATCTTTATCATCAGTGTGAAACACGACTTCCTCTATATACACGTTTGAATTATTAGTTCCTTAAGTGGATCTGATAAATCCTTGGAAAAAGAAGGAGAATTTTGAGAAGTCCTGTGTGTTAGTTCCTCAAGTGGATATGGTAAATTCTTGGAAAAAGAATGAGAATTTTGAGAGATAATGTATATTTGATTCCTTTCTGAAATGGAACATAGTCTTGCCATCTGTCTTTGGCTCTTTTTATGACTGGTTCTGTGACTATAGAACAGGCCATATACATTATCTGAGCGCATGAGAAAAGCTCTACAGAGAATGGTGGTAGGCTGGTATGAAAGGCGCGATGTTGTTGTAGGGCATCGAGCCCCGGGCCGTCACCGTCACCTCGGCCGCTGCCGCTGTCACCATGTCACCATCGGGGCCGCTGCCGCTGTCACCATCGCCTTGTTCCCCCATCCCCCGCCATGGCTGAGGACCTCTCCGCGGCCACATCCTACTGCCCCGTCTGTCAGGAGGTGCTCAAAACGCCCGTGCGGACCGCGCCCTGTCAGCACGTTTTCTGTAGAAAATGTTTCCTGACTGCAATGAGGGAAAGCGGAGCACATTGTCCCCTGTGTCGTGGAAATGTGACTAGAAGAGAGAGCATGCCCTGAACGGGCCTTAGACCTTGAAAATATAATGAGGAAGTTTTCTGGTAGCTGCAGATGCTGTGCAAAACAGATTAAATTCTATCGCATGAGACTTCATTGCAAATCTTGTAAGAAGTATCAGGATGAATATGATGTTTCTTCTATCATTCCAAACTTTCAGATCTCTGAAGATTCAGTAGGGAACAGCAATAGGAGTGAAACATCCACATCTGATAACACAGAAACTTACCAAGAGAATACAAGTTCTTCTGGTCATCCTACTTATAAGTGTCCCCTGTGTCAAGAATCAAATTTTACCAGAGAGCGTTTACTGGATCACTCTAACAGTAATCACTTATTTCAGATAGTTCCTGTGACATGTCCTATTTGTGTATCTCTTCCTTGGGGAGATCCTAGCCAGATTACCAGAAATTTCGTTAGTCATCTAAATCAGAGACATCAGTTTGATTATGGAGAATTTGTGAATCTTCAGCTAGATGAAGAAACTCAATGTCAAACTGCTGTTGAAGAATCATTTCAAGTAAACATCTGAAGGCTGTAGACATCTCTGCATCTTTGTACCTGCAAGTGCCATCTTTAAGGGGGAAACTACATGAAGTCACCGTTTCAGTAACTTGATGTGTATATTAATAAAAGTAATTCAGTCATTTTAGTTTTTGATTGAAAATAAAGGTAGGGCTTCTAAAAACTTCATCCTCTTGGTAAGTTAAAAAATGAAAGTTATGACATTAGCTTTAAAAGCGTAAAAGATGTTTCACTAATGTAATGGTGAAAGAGAATCCCTGTTGTACTTTATCTTTTTGTAATATTAAATATTCTTGAATTTTTCATTATGTTGCTTTTGAAATTTGGTACATTCCTCCCATTTACTTTATTATTGTACACATTAAACACACAGTAGCAAATTTTGAACGATGTGATATAATCTAACAAATCTGAGCCAGTTATTAGAGTTGCAGAATAGAAACTTGAAGTGCTAAATGGAAAAATCCAAAGGAAATTTTTTAAATGCAGATTCTAGCTGAAAAATTCAACTATAAGAAAATCGTATTTATATAACATTTACTATTTTTGAAGACTAGTAATAATTTTAATTCTTTAAAAAGTGAAAGCTTGTTGTAAAGATATTTTCTTTTTGTTATTAGAAGGAAATACAGAGAGAAAAATTTATTTCTTTCATGGGCATTTGGTAATTTCAGTCTTTGACTGATTTGTAAGCCTAGAATATACTAAGCTGAATAGCAGCTCTTTGGCCTCAGAATTTTCAGTAGCCAGTATTTCTGATTAACTAAGTTGAAACTCTTATTAGAAACTTTCAGTTGGTATTACTGTATTCTAGAAGATATAAATGAGAGGTTTGGCTTCATCTCAGTTTAGAAATTTATTCAAAGCTAAAGATGTATATGTATATATATATACTTTTGTGTGTATATATACACGTATGTGTGTATGCAGTTTTTCAGGTTATATATAGAGTTTCTATAAGGATTTTTTAAATGGACAAGCAATAGGGGGTTGAAGTGTTTATCTGATTTGTTAAAATTTTGTGTATAACCAGATTTTTAAAAAGTGATAGTCACAGTGCTAAGTGATCTAGTTGGCTGCTATTACACCTTAGAAATTGAGTTTACACACACACACAATTACCTGTTTGTATGGTGCTCATTTCTTATTCTCAGATATAATGTGTGACCGTGATACAGTGAGAAAGATTCTACCAACCACTGTTTCACTACTTTTTAGTCAAAATTGGGTATGTTCTTAGTATTCATTAGTGAGAATCATAAAGTATTTTGTAGAAGGCCCAAATCACAGAATAAAGGACTAAGAGTGGATTCACTGACATTCCATACTAATATACATTGTTTATGCTTTCTTTAAAATAACTAAAAGAACATAAAAGAGAATCTCAGTAGTTTGCTGCTAATATATACATATATTGTATAAAAAGGTATATTTTGGTTTTGTTCTACACTGAACATTTTTTAAACTTGGTTTAATAAAAATGTTAATTTTGGAAAAGGCGCGATGTTTTAGCCCAGTGTATTAAACCATATCCTGAATACAACTTATTAGTGTTTAATTGCTAAGGGTCATTTCAGATTTTAGCCACTATGGCATTAGGCTGCCGATTAATGGACACTGAGTCCATTAATTTATTCAATGCATATTGATGGAAGGCTAGCTTCGTGGCCAGTACCATGTTAGGTACTAGGGATACAAAGATGAATAAGATAATCCCTGCCCTGAAGGGCTCAGAGTCTAATGATGAAGAAATAAACAAGTGGTTATAATACATCATGATAAGTACGATAATGGAGGTTTGGAATATGTTCCCTTTGAGCAAAGACGAGAGCCTTGTCTTAGATCTGCTCCATTGTAGATAAATGATTTGTCTGTTTACTCTTAGAGACGCAGAAAGGTCAGAAGTTACCTGGAATTACTCGTAGCTGCTGCTGCTTTTTTTTTTCTTTTCCAACTTGATATAGGGCAGTAGGAACCCAAGTAAGTACCAATGTTTATGACTTATTTGCGGGCAGTCCCACAATATCTAGAAGATTTAGCTGGAACTGACAAAACTTTGATTCCTTATACCTGTGTTTTGCTGTTTTTGACAATCATTTAGAATATCTTTCTGTGCTGTGTGTGTTCCATTTGCCCTTCCAGATCTTTTCTCCACTCTGCTCTGTGCTTCTGGGAAATGAATTACATGGGGTACATCAACTGAGCCCTTCCTTTTTGGTTTCAGATTAGCTTTGCCCAGTGGGAGGGACATCAGAAAGGATCTCCCTAAAAGCTAGTTCCCTCTTGCTGGATTTAGTGTTGCCAAAGCTGTTCTGTGAGTAGTTCACAACTTGTATTCAATAATGGCCCTCTCTGCCAGCCATCTATAGTTACACATCTTTCTGGGTTCTAATAACCCTTCCCTAGCCCCTTTAGACCTGGAGATGATAATGGCTTCCTGACGTTGCTAACCTGGAGTTATACCACCATCTTTTGCTGTTTTCCCTAAACCCTGCCTGTACCTTTTGAAATGGTTCCTTCATTAAGTTTTCTTGAATACTTCATTTGAGTATGCTGCTTTTCTTGGCAGGACCCTACTGATAATACCCATCTATGTCTAAAACAGATTTGAGGTAGCTTCCGTTTCTGCATTAAACACCAATTACAGTGTCCTTAATGGCAAATGCAAACAGGAGCCCATGGGCTGCCATCTTGGCTTTCTTGGGAGGGAGGGGGTTATGGTTCCCTCAGCATGCTCCAAATGTGGTATCATCATTATGCCAAATCAAAGTCAATGGGTATAGAGTAAAATCTGGCTGCAAAAACATTTGCAACCAATGCTAGATGGTTGTGGGGTCCCTGTTGCTTGTTTTAACCCAGTAATTATCTCAAATACTGATGCCATTTCTTATTACCATAATGCTGACATCATTTTACCCCTTAAGGATACTCCTAAGGAGCGGTCCCTTTGTTAAGCCTCAATCTGGGTCCCTTCCTCAAAGGGGGAAAAAACAAGTATTTTGGGAAGATTCTCACTTGCTAAATAGTTTCCAGCATTTTGTGCCTTCCCTTTTCTCGTAACATTTATTTGTTCATTCACTCATATTCAGTACACATTTGTTAACTGTATCATAGGTGCTGGGCAGTGTGTTAGACACTGAAGATAAAAATAAGTAAACAAATAGGACACGGTGCCTATCCTGACCACTTGCTGTTTCTTCTATTTAACTTTTTTTTTTTTTTTTTTTTTTTGAGATGGAATCTCGCTCTGTCGCCCAGGCTGGAGTACAGTGGCCCGATCTTGGCTCACTGCAAGCTCCGCCTCCCAGGTTCACGCCATTCTCCTGCCTCAGCCTCCCAAGTAGCTGGGACTACATATGTGCGCCACCACGCCCAGCTAATTTTTTGTATTTTTAGTAGAGACAGGGTTTCACCGTGTTAGCCAGGATGGTCTCGATCTCCTGACCTCGTGATCCGCCCACCTCGGCCTCCCAAAGTGCTGGGATTACAGGCGTGAGCCACCGTGCCTGGCCTCTTCTATTTAACTTCTATTAGGAAACTTATTTTGCTTCTGATGAAAGTTTACTTGTTTTTCTGTTTGTTGTCGTTGTTGTTGTTTTTCTCTATTCTAGTCACAGAGAGAGGGAAGGAATCTCAAAAAACGAACAAAAATTTGTCAAACTGGCATATTCTTGGGTCAGTCTAGAATCCTATTGCAAGGCTTTTTCTTTCTTTAAATGGGTAGTTTGGAACAAAAGCAGAGGCTTGGAGGAAATTGCTGCTATTTGGCTCTAGTTGGTTTTATTCAGCTGAGTTTTAGCTTAAATTTACCTTACTTGGAATAAAATATAGAAATGTTCAGAAAACGTTCCCCTTATAGATTTTATGAAATGTAAATTCTTCCTTTATATTCTCTTTGAATTACATCCTTTGGAAACTCAAGAATGTGCTATGGATCTTTGTTAATCTCTTTCTCATTTAGTCATTTTTGGCTGAGCTCTACCAAACTTTCCAATGTGTTACTCAGTTTGGGGAATTATTCTGATTCTTTTGGTTAAGAAATTTAAGGTTAAAATTGTCAATGTTTGCCTATTTTTTTTTTTAAAAAAAGAAGTTGGCAGCAAAAGTCACTAAACTCCCAGATTTTGAGTGAACTGATTAACATGTAATTTCAGTTTTTATGGAAAGAAATTTGGAATGTTGTCTACTTCCTCCTAATTTAGGTGCCTTAATTCAACATTTGAAATGGAAACATACAGTCTGTACAATCAGCTAATTAAGGATTATAGAGATACTGTCTTGTCTCTTCTTTTCAAAAAAAAAAGCATTTGCCATCCAGAGATTATGAATAGTGGTTACAGGTAGCATTCTCATCTTTCTATCCTTCTTTCTCCTTTTACCTTCTTTTTCATTGTCATTCCTTCCTCCCCACTGTACTTCCCTTCCTTCTGCTCATCTTCCCTTCAGTCTTCTTGCTGTTTAGGTTTAATGTGCAAATGGTTTAGGTAGGTTGCCTTTTTACTCAACTGAAACTAGTCTAAAATTGGGGGCCAGGCATGGTGGCTCATGCCTGTAATCCCAGCACTTTGGGGGACTGAGGTGGGAGGATCTCTTGAGCCCCAGAGTTCAAGACCAGCCTGGGCAACATCGTGAGACCCCATTTCTATTTTTTTAAACAAACAAAAATTATAAAATTGGGAATGACTTGTTCCTTATAAGCTATGAAAAACTAGTCTATGTATTTTCTTTAAAATGTTAGGCAGCATAGTCTAGTGATGGACTGTGGATTCAAATTTTAGCTCCTCCATTGAACTCTGTGACCTTGGGAAAGTTTTCTCTTTGTGCCTGTATTCTTTAGCTATATAATGAAAGTACCTATGGTTATCTTAAATGAGACTTAAGTGAATCAATATGTAAAGTGCCTTGCACTTAATATGCATGATGTATGTTTGTCAAGTAAAATAATTCTCTAATCCTACTACCTGTAACATAATAATTATATTAGTAGAAATAACATCAACTAGTTTTGTATTAGGGACAAAAACACAAACTTTAAAATGTTTCTCATGAGTACTCATGGAATGCTTTTGAAACTTAGTGTTTTATTAGTCATGTGTGAAAGCCACATACATGATTTCTAAGTAGTGGTAATTCCAGCCATGGTGAAAATTGATCTGTGTAGGTCTGTGGTGGAGAGTAATTAAACGAATGGAAAAACTGTTATTTTATACAGTGATAAGTCCTGAATTTCAGCTTACTCCAGAAAGTGGAGTTAGCTACACTCTAGTCACCTTTTTATTGCTGAGGTCTTGGGAATGATTACTCCACTTATAAAAAAGTAGAGTTAATATTCCTAAAACTTTTTTTTGGGGGGGGACGTAGTTTCACTCTTGTCGCCCAGGCTGGAATGCAACGGCATGATCTTGGCTCACTGCAACCTCTGCCTTCTAGGTACAAGCGATTCTCCTGCCTCAACCTCCTGAGTAGCTGGGATTACAGGTGCCCACCACCACGTCGGGCTAATTTTTGTATTTTTAGTAGAGATGGGGTTTCACCATGTTGGCCAGGCTAGTCTGAAACTCCTGACCTCAGGTGATCCACCCGTCTTGGCTCCCAAAGTGCTGGGATTACAGGTGTGAGCCACTGCACCTGGCCCAATATTCCCAAAACTTTTGAATGACCTTAATTATACATCCTCATTTGTATAAATTCTGTTATTTGAATTGCTCTTGGCGATTAAACAGGCAGCAAGGAAAAACCGTTGTGTAATACTTCTCTATATCCTCCCTCTCCCTAAACCAAGCTTGTCCGACCCATGGCCCACAGGCTGCATGCAACCCAGGATGGCTTTGAATATGGTCCAACACAAATTTGTAAACTTTCTTAAAACATTATAAGATTTTTTTGCAATTTTTTTTTAAGCTCATTGGCTATTGTTAGTGTTAGTGTGTTTTATGTGTGCCCCAAGACAATTCTTCTAGTGTACTCCAGGGAAGCCAAAAGATTGGACACTGCTGCATCTAAACTCTTTTTCAAACATTGTGACATATGTTAAACTCAAATTGTTTTTAAAATTGTGTGAGCACAATGTTGTTTTAAAGTATTTGACATTGCATCATTTTTTATTTATTTATTAAGCAGACATTATTTGCTGTAATACAATGCTAGGAGCTGCAAATACCAGTGCAAAAAAGATCAGCTCTCCATACCAGTGTATATAAGACAATTACAGATGTTTGTAAAAGCTATGACAGAATTAAAGCAAGATTATAAGAAAGTTAGACTTTTGGGGATAGCAGTCTCAATGAAGGCTCTCTAAAGGGGGAATATTTGAATTGAGAGGTATTGGACTTGAGATTTAAGGAACAAAATGAGTTGGCCGTGGAGGAGCTGGGGGAAAATTCCAAGCATAGGGAGGAGCAGGTGTTGAGGGCAAAAGAAGAAAAGGGCATTTTGTCACAGAAAAGAGGCCAGTGTGGCTGGAATATGGTATGTATCAATGGTATTTTTAATAGTGAATTTTGTAACTTTTATTTCTAAATGCCAGAATGGATAAAAATAATAATTGACATTTATTTAGTGCTCTCTAGGCTTGGTACAGCCAGTGCAGTCTCTCGACAACTCTCTTAGGAGCTTGGTCATCTGCATTCTGTAGATGACGGAAGTGAGGGCTGGGAAAGTTGGGAAACTCACCCAAGGCAACCTGGCTAACAATGGTATAGTCAGGAATTGGGAAGTGCATTTTTGAGGATTATAACTTTTGAATGCAGATTAACTAGTGTGTATTTGGGAAAGGTTGTAATAAATGGAGAGGGTGAAGTGGGGATGGTTGATGAGTACAAAAAATAGGTAGAATGAATAAGATCTAGTATTTGATAGTACAGCAGTGATTATAGTCAATAATAATTTAATTGTACATTTAAAAATAACGAAAACAGTATAATTGGATTGTTCGTAACACAAAGAATAAATGGTTGAGGTGACAGATACCCCATTTACCCTGATGTAATGATTATAAATTATATACCTCTATCAAGATATCCCATGTGCCCCATATGTATGTATATTTACTATGTACCCACAAAAATTAAAAGTAAAAAAAATATGGAGAGGGTGAGAAAGGCAAGAATGTGGGAATTCATTGTCTATAAAAACAATCATTATTGGGCCTGGCGTGGTGGGTCATGCCTATAATCCCAGCACTTTGGGAGGCCAACGTGGGTGGATCACGAGGTCAGGAGATCAAGACCATCCTGGTTAACACGCTGAAACCCCGTCTGTACTAAAAATACAAAAAATTAGCTGGGCGTGGTGGCGGGCGCCTGTAGTCCCAGCTACTCAGGAGGCTGAGGCAGGAGAATGGCGTGAACCCAGGAGGTGGAGCTTGCAGTGAGCCGAGATTGCGCCACTCCAAACTGGATGACAGAGTGAGGCTCCGTCTCAAAAACAAAACAAAACAAAACAAAACAAAACAAAACAAAACAAAACAAAATGATTATTTTAGATGGCTTAAATATTTTGTAACTATTTTAGTTTTATGTTTAACTAGTTATGATGTAGTTTCAGAGTCAGTTTCTGCTTACCATTTTGAGTATATCTGCTGTCTAAAAGAGGCACTTTAAAGTTGGGAGCAGTGGCTTATACCTGTAATCCCAGCACATTGGGAGGCTGAGGCAGGAGGATTGCTTGAGGTCAGAAGTTGCAGGTTGCAGTGAGCTGTGATTGTGCCACTGCACTTCCAGCCTGGGCAACAGAGCGAGACTCTGTATCTATAAAAACAAACAAAAAGAAGAGGCACTTTAATATTTCATATCTCAGACTCCCAATAACTATTAAGCATTAGCAATGAGGTTATATCATACTGGAGGATGTAACTAATTTCCCCTATTCAGTAACATGCTCACAGACTTTTTCTTCAAATAGCGTTGTTATAGGCATTCCTTTCAGGTTTTCACAGGAAAGGAAGATCTTTGTCTCTCCCTGTGTTTTAGATGAATCGTGTATGGAGTTCAGAGTGACCTTTGGTAATGCATTCTAGCAGATATAGTTAGAATCTCGTGATTTAGTCCTCAGTTGTCACTGCTTGGAAATGTTTCCTGAGTCTTTTTCAGGGTGGGGTGTCCAGGAAAATGACATATAGGAAACGTGTAGCAGATGAGCCCTTCAGTTAATTGGCAGCTTGTCACGGCAGATTCTGCCTTGCCTTTTGGTTCATTTGCATCAGTAGTAGGAGAGATGGGTTTGCTGCTTGGTGCTGGAGAGGTAAATGAGTAGAGAAGAAAGCTATTATCTATTGAATGCCTAGTATATGCGTTTGGTAAATGTTTCACATGAACTCATGTAATCATCACAAAACTCTGAGGTACATAGTATTAGCCTCATTTTATGCCCTACCTACCACTGGAGATACCAAAAATAGGTATGCATTTTTCGATCAAGGGAAAAATATAACCCATGGATTTTTACTAGCTTATTACTTATGGTAGAAGACAGACTCATAGGAAAAATGATAAAACTGTATAATGTTATTGAGTGCCTGTTAGCACTGAGATTACTAAGAATGAGTGAGACAAGGTCTCCATCCTCAAAAGGTACACAGAGCTTTGGAAGGTGAGATAGGCAGGTATTTTAATCAAGTTTTTTGTTTTTTGTTTTTTGTTTTTTTTTGAGACAGAGTCTCGCTCTGTTGCCCAGGCTGAGTGCAGTAGCATGATCACAGCTCACTGCAGCCTTGACCTCCCAGACTCAAGTGATTTTCCCACCTCAGCCTCCACGAGTGGCAAGGACTGCAGGTGTGCACCACCATGCCTGGCCAATTTTTTTTTTTTTTTTGAGACAGAGTCTTGCTCTGTCACCCAGGCTGGTGTGCAGTGGCGCAATCTCGGCTCACTGCAGCTCTGCCACCTGGATTCCAGCGATCTTCCTGCCTCAGCCTCCCGAGTAGCTGGGATTACAGGTATGTGCCACCACGCCTGGCTAATTTTTGTATTTTTAGTAGAGACAGAGTTTCACCATGTTGGCCAGACTGGTCTCGAACTCCTGACCTCAAGTGATTTGCCCACCTCAGCCTCCCAGAATGCTGAGATTACAGGCATGAGCCACCGCCCCCAGCTCCGGCTAATTTTTGATTTTTCGGTAGAGATGAGGTCTCACTCTGTTGCCCAGGTTGGTCTGGAACTCCTGGACTCAAGTGATCCTACTGCGTCAGCCTCCTAAAGTGCTGGGATTACAGGTGTGAGCCATTGTACTGGGCCAGAAGTCTGTCTTTATTTCAGAACAATTTCCCCTGAAACCATTGCTGTTGCTGTACAGCAGAGATAATGTAAACTTTTGGGCACATTACTTTTGGCTACTGCTGAATTCTGAAATAATTCCTGTAGATAGTTCAGAAGGATATGAGTCTATCCACATTAATAGGTGAAAACACTCTAATATTGGTGCTTAGGAAGTGTATCGCCATTCAAATACTTGTTATATGAATGACTGGGCAATAAACTTGAGTCAGCCATTCTTCCAGGGTTTAAAGTCTAGCTCCATCTATTACTATTGTGTGACATTGGGCAGGTCACCTCAACTCTTTGAGTTCGTCATCTAATGAGGAAAGAGATGATGCTAATAGTGCCTTTCTCATAGTGCTGTGAAATTAGATGAGATAATGCATGAGACAATGTATGTGAAGTGGTTAACATAGTCCTGGCCTGCAGTAGGCACTCAAATATTTTTGCTGTTTTTGTTATTATTAAGCTAATAAGCCAATTTGGTACCACTGACACAGTCTGCTATTTAAATGTGATTTCATGTGTTGGTGACTTTTTGTTTGTTTGTTTAATTTGTCCTAGCTGCAGTTTAAACAGCATTGAAGTCAGAACCTGGTTTGTATTTCAGTTCCTGGTGCCCAGATCATGATGGGAAATGTTTTGATTACTTCTAACCTATTTCTTTCTGGAATCAGATACCTCAGATCTTTTGATTGTACTTCTAGGTGAACAGTATTCCCACAGCTCATAGACAAGGTACCTAAATGAAGTTCTTGGTTGGAGAGAGAACAGCAAACTAGAAATATGAATAAATAAAGATGTGTGTGAGGTGAGAATGGCATGGTTTGGATAGTAATAACTTCTCTTAGTCCTCAGCTCCTAAAACATGAAGATTTTATTTCTTGAATATAAACTTGTCAAGAGCTAACTTAAAGTACAGGTTGAATGAGTTAAACATTGCCACTTCTCATCATAACTTCTTTTGATGAATAATTTATTCTTTATTTTTTCTGTAGAGTTTAAGAAATAGATGTATGTAATGATTACAGTCATTTATAGTATTCTGAGGTTGTCCTAATTTTAGGTAACTGTCTTCAGAAAGGTAACTTGTTAAATAGATGACTAAATGTAATTAAAATTCATACTTTTATACTTTTTTCTTTTTCTTTTTTTTTTTTTGAGACAGAATTTTGCTTTTGTCCAGGCTGGAGTGCAATGGCGCGATCTTGGCTCACTGCAACCGCCAGCTCCCTGGTTCAAGTGATTCTCTTGCCTCGGCCTCCTGAGTAGCTGGGATTACAGGTGCTCACCACCATGCCCAGCTAATTTTTTGGATTTTTAGTAGGGATGGGGTTTCACCATGTGGGCCAGGGTGGTCTTGAACTCCTGACCTCAGGTGATCCACCCACCTTGGCCTCCCAAAGTGCTGGGATTACAGGTGTGAGCCACCATGCCTGGCCACTTTTTTCTTAAAATTTTTAAAAAACACACTTTTGAGAGAATATTTGATCTAGAAAGTATCACTAGCATAGTTATGCAGTGTAGCAGAGGCAAGTGACATTTTTTGTATTTTACTATTTTTCAAAGGGCATGGATAAGAGAAAGGAGTTTTAAATGTGCTCCTTTTCAACTGTTGTCTCTGCCTAGCCCAGTAGCCACTTGGAGAAAAGGTTTCTTAAATTGTGATGTTATCAAAACTTGTTAGGCAGGTTATGGATAATGTTCAACTTTATGGCTAGTGTGGATATCTATATTAAAATTTACTTTATGTCCCACAGTATGAATGCAGTTCTCAGTGTTGCCATTGAATATAATTATTAACCAAATCTGAAAACCAGTAATTACCCTCTGAAGTTTTTTTATGGATTTCCCCCCTTTCCTCAGGATTTGACATTGTAAATGATTTTTTAGTGAGTGGCAATTAGTTTGAACCCTTTATTTAAAGAGTTCAAAGTGTAATCTAGTAGTAAAAACAGTTGGTTTGGAAGTCAGATTCTGGTCTTGCCTCTGCTATTCTCTGTGATCTCATGGACAAGATCCCATGGCTGCTTCATTTACTGATTGTAAATTATAATGAGAATGATGTATTCCTTGTTTATCTCTCAGGATCATAGTGGTAAATGAACCTCAGTTATTAAGGAGAGTCATCTTGCAGCAGTTGACACCAATGGATTCAGGTAGTAAGACAAGGAGCACATGGTATATAAGGGGCTATTTTGAGCAACTGCAGTGGACTTGTGGGAGATCAATTATAAACTTAGCCTGGCTAAGAATGGGGTGAGTGTTACTGTCAGCATAAAATAGGAAAAAGTTGAAGACTGAAGTATTTAGAAAGTAGTAATATAGGAAAATGATCCCTGACACAAAGTAGTGTAGGCCTCCTGCCTGGCTTTGGTTACATATGTTTCTTCTGGTAAAAGAGGAGGCAAAGATGAGAGTAGGAAAAGGAAAATTAAAAAATGAAAAAAGGCCGGGCGCGGTCTCTCATGCCTGTAACCCCAGCACTTTGGGAGGCTGAGGCCCCAGCTGGGTGTCAATTTTTTTTTTCTTATCAACATTATAATGAAATGAGGTTTTTTCAAGGACCTGCTGTATGAGACTAACCCAGAGTAATTTTTCAAATTACCTGATTTAATGAATCAGAATTTCTAAGAAATAGCTGGATAATCTACATACTTAAGCATCTCAGGTGATTCTTCTCATTAGGGAGATTTGGGAAATTTCTAGATGAGTGCTTCTCTAGAGTTAATGTGCATAGGAATCACCTGGGATCTTGTTTATAATGCAGTCTTAGGGCTGGGTGCGGTGGCCCATGACTGTAATCCCAGCACTCTGGGAGGCCGAGGCAGGCGGATCACGAGATCAGTAGTCTGACCAACATGGTGAAACCCTATCTCTACTAAAACTACAAAATTAGCTGGGTGTGGTGGCTCACGCCTATAATCCCAGCTGCTCAGGAGGCTGAGGCAGGAGAATGACTTGTACTGGGAGGCAGAGGTTGCGGTGAGCTGAGATTGCGCCACTGCACTCCAGCCTGGGCAGCTAGAGTGAAACAATGTCTCAACAACAAAAAAGAAAAAAGTAGATATTGCTGGTAGCTCTGTTTTTGCCTTTCAGGAGCACTTCTGAAGAGAATGAGGCTTTTTTGAGAGGAAGGAGGATTAATCATGAGGACATGCTTTGGAAGGCCAGAGTTTGCTGTCCCGTAAAGAGATTGTGGTAGAGATTTTATTTTCAGTTGGATTAAGTCTAGAATCACATTGATAGTGATTTACATTGCCTGAAGTAGGGAATTTGCTCTTTAGGTTGGTCAATTAATTAGGTCCGTATTCTAGATTTGCTAGAAAAAGGAGCAACTCACTTGAAGAGCTTTGTGGTGGTTGCTCTTATTTCATATCCTCACATGTTTCATGATTAAGGATGAAAATTGGGCCTGGTGTTGTAGCTCACACCTGTATTCCCAGCACTTTGGGAGGCAGGGGTGGGCAGGTCGCTTGAGCCCAGGAGTTCAAGACCAGCCTGGGCAACATGGCAAAACCTTGTTTCTACCCAAAAAAACAAAACAAAACAAAATTAACTGGGCTTGGTGGTGCAGGCCTGTAGTCCCCAGCTAACTTGGGGGTTGAGGTGGATCACCTGAGCCTGGGAAGGTCAAGGCTGCAATGAGCTGTGATTGCACCACTATACTCTAGCCTGGGCGACAGAGTGAGATAGGGTCTTGAAAAAAGTAAAAAAAGAAATATTTGATTTGAAAGATAGCATAATTTGGTTGAATATTTTGTAAATTAAAGTTGTAGTAAAAGCAGAGGAGTTTGAAATTTTGGACTGTCAAATAGAATTGTAGCAGAAGTGTTATAGTTGCTATGAGGCTAGCCATAGACATATTTTAGTGAATTATCTGACTTATAGTGAATTATAGGAGACTTTAGTGAATTATATGAGATAAAGACATATTAATACTTTCTGCAATAAAGAATGTAAATGGATACTATTTGAATGGGCTACCATTATGTTTATGTAAGCTATAATTACCCAAAATAACAGGGAAACAGTGTTGTACCTTTTAAAAGAGCTTAGAATGCTAGGATGATTCTTACCTTGCAATTTCAACTGCAGATTTTGTATTTTATTAAGACACGAAACAAATTTCCATTCATTTTTACTAATATGTAGATATTTTGCAGAATTCTTTTGTGTTCATGGGATACATAAAGTTTGAGTATGGACATTGGAAGCATACAGGTCTGAGTTTGAATCTCAGTTCTGTCACCTGTTGCTTGGGTAACTCACCTGAGTTCACAGCTTTAGTTTATCTGAAAAGGACTGTGTCTTAATCTGTATGTTCTCCTTGGCATGTGGCCCAGTCACCGTTACATAGTGGGCATTTGTTTATTCCACAAATGTCTGTTGCTCATATACTGTGTGCCAAGCACTGTCTTAGGTAATAGAGATACAAGTAATCATACAAATAAATATGAAAAATGAACCAATAAGTATTGTGAAGGAGAAGTATGGGTGCTATGATAGTTTATAATAAGGGGTCTAAAAAAAAGGAGGATGAGGTAGCTTTTAAAAATGATTACTTTGGCTGCAGGGTAGAATGATAGATTAGAGCTAAGAAATAATGGATTTAGGGAGATCAGTTAGGAAGCTGCTGTAACAGTCCAAGTGAGGCAGGCAGTGAGACTAAAGAGGTGGTGGTGATGGTGGTAGAAATGGAGAAAAGTAGATACATTTCAGAGGTATTTGGGAAGTAAAGGATACCTGTCTTGGTGACATGTTGAAGGTGTAGGGTAGGAGAGAGAGAAATGTCAAGAATAGTTCTGAAGCTTCTGGCTTGTATAATTGAACAGATGTTGGTTCCTGCCAGTTACTGAGGTGGAGTGTGCTAGATGAGAACCTGGTTTGATAGGAAGGGGGATGGGGAGGAGATCGTTTGGTTTGGGGCATGTAAGTTTAAGATGTTTTTGAAATATTTAAGTGGAAGTACCAAGTTCTTGTTTGGATAATGGTTCTAGAGCTCAGAGGAATGGTCAGACTTTTGAGAATCGTTGGCATATTCGTGGTAATTGAAGCCATGAGAATTGATGAAATTTCAGGAAGAAGTTATAAAATGAAAAGGAAGAAGACTTTATACTGAGCTTTGAGAAACACTGACTTTTCAGATTGGTTGGAGGGAATTAAGACCACCAAGACTGAGAAGCAATTCCTTAAAAGCTAGGAGAGTGTTTCTGGGAAGCCAAGTGGAGAGAGTGGTAACGATCTACTTTGTTCTGAAGGGTCAAACAAGATAAAGACTGGAGAGTGTCCATTGGGTTTAGTTACACAAAGATCATTTATAACCTTATGTAAAGCCATTTCAGTGGTGAGTTGGAAGCTGAAAGAGATGGATATTGCTGGGTATAGATTATTCTTTGAAAAAGTTGGATTGAGGAAGAAGGGAGAATGTGGTAGCTTAAGGGAGAAGACACTCAAATATTGGCTGAGTGAATACATGTGCAACATGAACCTCCTTTAGAAAATAACAAGCACAGGCTAGCAGGATCATCTCTGAGGAGGATAGGAGGAGGACCTGTTAGGGATATCAGCTGAAACATGAATAGTCTGGGATCATAGTTTTTTGTGTTTCCTATGATGTGCCAGATGAAGGAAGAAGAATCTTGCCAGAAGGAGAAATGTCATTTTTAGAACAATGGTATAGGAATCGTTGACCACCCTTACAGAACCCTCATTGCTGAGAATTTGATATATTGTTTTCTAACTATCACCAAGTATAGCGGAAAGAGTCTGGGATTGGAGCCTGGTAATACTGCTTTGCTATTTTCTTGTGTTAGGTCGCACAGTTGATTATTTAGTCCTAAAGAGCTTCAATTTCTTCATTTGTATAATGGAGCGAATACTGTCTACGTCACGGATTTGTTAGGATTAAATGACAATCTGTGTATATAAAGTAGCAGGTATTTAGTAGGCACTCAATAAGCTGATGTCTACCTGTTTTCTTGCTTCTCATGGTAACAGTTGTTTATTGTGTAGTTTCAGCATTATAAGTTTGCTCTTAGCCTCAAAGGAATCATTTGTGGGAATCCTTCCTTCTTCATCTTATCTTTTGTGTAAAATAACTTGAGTGATACAAGCATACATTTCTGGGGAAATGGAAATATTATTTGCTACTGCAATAATAACCAATAAATAAGTATTTTGCCAGTCGTTTTTGGCATGTATGCCTTATATTTGTGTGCCTTTAAAAAAAAAGCGTGTGTGTTTTAAACAAAGCTTACTAATTTAGATATGCCAATTTGGTAACTTCCTGCCAGAGTAAGAGTTTTTATGTTTTCCTTCTGAGACACACCTTAGTATAACTTTATTTTAGTTTCTGGGCCATTGCCATTTGGCATAACTTCAAACTAGATGTGATGGACCCACATAAATACTTTTAAGATTTAAAATTTTTTTTATGGTGGGGGGATATGAACTTTCAAAACCAGCTGAGGTGTCAGGTCTGGATTTTATTTGGTTGTTTAATTTTTTTTTTTTTTTGAGACCAGGTCTTCCTCACTCTGTTGTTCAGGGTGGAGTGCAGTGGTGTGATCACAGCTAACTGCAGCCTTGACCTCCAGGGCTCAATTTGATCCTCCCACCTCAGCCTCCTGAGTAGCTGGGATTACAGGTGCATGCCACCACAGCTGACTAATTTTTATACTTGTTTCTTTTGTAGAGATGGGGTTTTGTTATGTTGTCTAGGCAGGTCTTGCACTCCTGGGCTCAAGCAATCTGCCTGCCTTGGCCTACCAAAGTGCTGGGATTATAGGCATGAGCCATGTGCCTGGCCATTTAAAATTTTTTGTTTGTATTTTTGATTTTCGAATTTTTTTTCTACACATATTTTGAACACTGAGATAACTAATTGTATACCAAAATGACTGAAATGAAGTCAGTCTGATTTCCGTAAGTTTGATTGCTAAAGCAGTCTCCTTAAAGGTGTTAAAATGTGCTCTCAATCCCCACCCTACACAACATCTGTCTCCCAGGCTGAAGTGCAGTGGCACAAACATGGCTCACTGTAGCCTTGACCTCCTATGTTTAAGCATTCCTCACACTTCAGCCTCCTGAGTAGCTGGAACCACAGATGTGCACTGCCATGCTTGGCTAATTTTTAAAATTTTTGTCGAGTCCTGGTCTCACTGTGTTGTCCAGGCTGGGCTCAGGAGATCCTCTCACCTCTGCCTCCCAAAGTGCTAGGATTACAGGCATTAGCCACCACTCCTAGCCTATGTATGAACCTTTACGGAAGTTGATTACCCTAGAATTTTTATAAGAGCATTAGAATTTGCCAGCTTTCTTCAAGAGTTAATATAGGCCGGGCGCAGTGGCTCATGCCTGTAATCCCAGCACTTTGGGAGGCCAAGGCGGGCGGATCACCTGGGGTTAGGAGTTCGAGACCAGCCTGGACAACATGGTGAAACCCTGTCTCTACTAAAAAAAGAAAAAAAATACAAAAATTAGCCAGGTGTGGTGGTACCTGCCTGTAGTCCCAGATACCCTGGAAGCTGAGGCAGGAGAATCGCTTGAACCCTGGAGGCAGAGGTTGCAGTTAGCTGAGATCATGCCACTGTACCTCCAGCATGGGTGACAAAGCAAGACTCTGTCTTAAAAAAAAAGGAGTCATTATAGTAGTAATACTATAGTAAACACATACTTGATATTCTTTGGAATATGGGCCTTACTATGAAATAGGAGAAATTATTTCTTTCCCAGTTACTAATAAGGGAGACTTCATTGGTTAAGGGAATTTTGTGGGTAGAATTGCTAAGACTAGAAATCTCATTGTTGGTTCAAAGAGAGAAATAAGTTAACCACGTGTTCTCACCTGAATATAGGATGCTTTGCTTTACAAGCTTAAATAATACCCGGACAAAACTCTACAGGTCACAAGTTCTTTAAAGACTTAATAAACTCTGTAGAAACTATACTTCAAAGGGGAACCTTCTCCTTGATTCACTATCCTGCCTTGTCTTCTGAAATTTATTGGTTTTTGACAAGCGTTTGAAGAAAGACCACTAAAATACAGTGTTGTTAATATTTGGTGAAATGTTCTTGTACATACATCTGTTATAGATTTTCCAAGTTAAAAATTACTTTTCCATTAGAGGAGCTCCCCATACCTTGTTTCTTTCCCCAAAGGGGTGTGTGTGTGTGTGTGTGTAGTTTATAATGTATTTTACTCTTTTGACTTTGGAAATACATAGTATTTCATTGTATAGGTTTGGCACAATCTACTTTTTAACTCTAATTTTTAGACATTTGAACCTTGGATGATATGGAATACTGTCATTAGTAAGTTTTATGTTACCTTTCTTTCTTTCTTTCTTTCTTTCTTTCTTTCTTTCTTTCTTTCTTTCTTTCTTTCTTTCTTTTCTTTTCTTTTCTTTTCTTTCTTTCTTTCTTTTTTTTTTTTTTTGAGACAGTCTTGCTCTGTTGCCCAGGCTGGAGTGCAGTGGTGTAATCTCAGCTCACTACAACCTCCACTTCCCGGGTTCAAGTGATTTCCCTGCCTCAGCCTCCCAAATAGCTGGGATTACAGGCACCTGCCACCACGCCTGGCTAATTTTTGTATTTTTAGTAGAGACGGGATTTCACCATGTTGGTCAGGCTGGTCTTGAACTCCTGACCCCAGGTGATCCACCCACCTCAGCCTCCCAAATTGCTGGGATTATAGGCTTGAGCTGCATCGCCTGACCAGCTTGCTTTCTTAAAAAATATTCTGATTCCTGAAGTTTCTTTTTTTCCTTTTTATTTTTTCGAGGAGTTTTGCTCTTGTTGCCTAGGCTGGAGTGCAATGGCGCTATCTTGGCTCACTGCAACCTTCGCCTCCCAGATTCAAACGATTCTCCTGCCTCAACCTCCTGAGTAGCTTGGATTACAGGCTGCCACCTGCCACCACGCCCAGCTAATTTTTGTATTTTTAGTAGAGTGGCTCAGCCTGTAATCCCAGCACTTTGGGAGGCCGAGGTGGACGGATCACGAGGTCAGGAGATTGAGACCATCCTGGCTAACACGGTGAAACCCCGTCTCTACTAAAAATAAAAAAAAAAAAAATTAGCTGGGCGTGGTAGCCGGCGCCTGCAGTCCCAGCTACTCTGGAGGCTGAGGCAGGAGAATGGCGTCAACCCTGGAGGCGGAGCTTGCAGTGAGCAGAGATCGCGCCACTGCACTCCAGCCTGGGCGACACAGCTAGACTCCATCTCAAAAAAAAAAAAAAAAAAAAAAAAAAAAAAACTCAACACGTGTTAAATCGCTAAAGTCTGAAGAGCCCAGAAAAGAAAATAAATATCATTAGTAATATTCTCACCATCATCCAAAGATTACCCCTTTTAACATTTTGGTTGCTTATCTTTCCAGTGCTTTTTAATGTCCATATACCCACATTTTTTTAAACCCATGCTTTAAAAGAAAAAAAAACTTGTGATATTACTGCATGTATACATATATTTTGTAATTTTCAATATAATTGTCTGAAATTTTAATGGTTATATGGTATTTCACTGTATGTATTTGGTAGAAGTCACTTTGCCCCCATTTTTGGATATTTAGGTTATTTGCAATTGTGCTATTATGCTGTGTACAACGTCCTTGTGGAAACTTTGGCAAACCTTGGGTTGTCCATCTCAAACTCTCTCATTGTACTCTGTCCTTTTCAGCCTGCTTCTCTCTCTTTTCCAGTAACTCCTTTAACAACAAGATCAGATCAGGTGGACAGATTATTCTTCAAACAATTTACTATTAGGCAATGAATATGCTGGTTTCTGTGAATTCTGGGATTAAAGAGATACATAGACACATTTTATTTGCAGAGATAAAGAATTACAATAATAAACTAAGTGTTGTGATAGGTTTATATATGTATAAGGTCCATGGGGGCTCGGAAAGAGAGCAGGGGTTGTGAGGGCAGTAGGCAGGGAAGAAAGATCAGGGAGTAAGCATTTATTAATCCTCTTAATGTGCCAGGCACTAAGTTAGGCACATTACTAGGCTCTTAGTTTGCAGCAGTTCTGGGAGGTATGTACACAGTATTATTCTTACTTACCAGATGAGGAAACTGAGCTCAGACAGGTAAGTAATTTGCCCAAGCTCCCACAAGTAGTAACTGGGAGAAAGCCAGAAGTAAACCCAGCCAGATATACTTGACTACCCAACTCTGTCCAGTACTCCACCCTGGCACACCAAAGGATTGGTTCCACCAGTAGCTGAATGGAAGCTAGAATGGCAAGTAGGCATTAGCTAGGTGGAGGGGGTGGGGTCATTGTGTAGAGCATGTCAAGAGGTTTGAAATAGGTATGAGGAGTAGGTGAGATGAGGCTTAAGCTAAAATTTAATTGTTGTGTTTTAAAAATGTATAGTAAGATTGACTCATTTAGTGTACAGTTCTGTGAATTCAGATAATATGGAATTTAGTCCTGTAACCAGATACAATCAAGATACTGAATTGGTGTGTTACCTCCCTGAGTGCCCTCATTCTTCTTCTTTGTAGTCAGCTCCTCCCACCAGCCTTGACTTTTGGCAAACAGTGATGTGTTCTCTATCCTATATGTCATATAAATGGAATGTCATATAATGTCATATAAATGGAATCATAAAGGCTATATAGTATGTAGCCATTTGAGTCTAGTCTCTTTCACATAGCATAATGCGTTTTTGATTATGCCAAGTACTGTGATGTAAATGTTACTGTACAGTTTTGCTGTAGGTTTTTGTCCCTTTCTAAATGTGCTTATATCACTTCTAACCCTAGTTCCATGTAAACAGAATGTTTTTTGGCAAAGAAGTTATTAAGTTATAGCTTCAAATACCATGGAAGCCCTAAATAGTTTCCCGATAAGTGGCCAGGAGAAAGTACAATTGAAAAAAATCAGCTGTCTCTCCCAGTACCCTTTACCTCAGTTATCTCCTTGCTTTTGACATATAAAAATCACGTGGCCGGTTTACTACTGATTGTGACCTTTGCCATCTTAAAAGGGAAGAGAAAGAAAGCGAACAGCTGTACCATGAGGGAGTGGAAGGAATTAATGTTGTTCTTGGCCAGTTGGCACTGTTTTCTTGTGCCTTTCTGGGAAGGGAACAACAGGTGAGAAGGTTTGCTTTTTGTTTTTGTTAGTGTATAAATAAATAGGTTAACTTGTTTTTTATTTGTGTGGAAATGTGAGAGTCCATAGTGAAGTAACTTGCCCTAATAGCTCGTGATTTTTTAAAAGCTCATTAAATATATACACAAATTTATTTTAAGTGTCTTAATGAACTAAGCTACTCCAAGGTTGAGGATATTGTAGGCAATTACTGACGTAAAACTACAAATGTAAAAACCATCTTTGGTAAGTGTCACTTATATCCTATATCCCAACTGCTTTTTCTCCCTTTTATCCTAATTTTAAAATAAAAAAGAAAAGATAACGAAGAACTTTTTATAATAAAACCATGTCAGCCACAGAGAGATGGTGACTGTAAGCTAAGTGACCAGAATGTAGGTGCCTCTAAAAGTTGAGGGTGCACTGTTCTTTGAATTCTTGCCTGTTAACACTTTTCATAACATCTCTGTGAATCACACTCAAATATACTGTACAGTGCTATCACTGATACCTCTCACCTGCCACCAGGCTCTGCCCCTTCCCTACCAATACCTTGCACAAATTCATTGTCCTGAAGCACAGCTTTCTTGCTCAAGAACCAGTGTTGATTTTTCATTTCTTATTGAAACATACACAAATTGTTTACCTGAAATTGAAAACCTTCATGCTGTAGTTTTGCTTTGCCCATTCACATTTATTTCTCTTTGTTACTCATTCCCCTCTACGTTACTTTAGTGAAATCATCCTGTTTTTTAGTTGTCTAACAGCAGATTGAGTTCAGTTACCAATTTTTAAATTCAGTTCTAATTCCATTTCACATTGTAGTTGTTTTGACTAGTTTTTTTCTACTCTATTAAAAGCTCTAGTTGTTCTCTGCTCTCCTCACTTATCTGACTCTGAAATCTTCTAAATGGTACCCACTTTATTTAGAACGTTTTAGGGTCAAATAAGTACAGGTTGGAATCCTGAGTGCACCACTTAACTATTGAGGCTGACAGCCAGTGTACACCTGGGTCTTCACTTCCCCTGCCCCATGACTCTTCATTGTCTTAGTCCCTTCTATGGACCTCCCTATGATACCTCAGCTAAAAGTTTGAAGCAGAACCCAGCTCCTCTAGCACCAGCTAGTGTCTGTTCTGAGTGGCCGATGCTGGTACAAGTATGAGTTATTAAATATTTTTAATTTCACCCTGTTTATTATATGTATGATTTTAATTAAGTTACTTGTCCTTTCTGAGCCACTCCCAGATCTTTAAAATGGGGATAATAATACCTGTTTTGCAGGATGACTGTTCATTCATCAAATATTTGTTGAAGGCCTGCCTTGTTCTAGGCAATGACTTAAGTACTTGGGATATATTGGTGAACAAAACAGAAATGTCTGTGCCTTCTTGGATCATGTGTTTTAGAATTATGAGAATTAAATGAAAATAAATATTCAATATGGTGCCAGACACATAGAGGTGCCCACAGTGTCTTATCTCACTTTCTTCCTGCTTGCCATATCTTTTCCATCAGGGCCAAAGAGAATGGGAAGTGGGAAGAAATAAACTTCATATTTCATTTGTATAGCTGTGGAGAGTAGCAGGCCCTGGGTCCCTTTGGGGAGGTCATGCGAACTGGGCATGGCCTTCTGTCAAGAATTATTAGACCAGGCATGGTGGCTCATGCCTGTAATCCTAGCACTTTGGGAGGCTGAGGCAGGAGGATTGCTTGAGGCCAGGAGTTTGAGACCAGCATAGCCAACATGGTGAAACCCTGTCTCTAATAAAAATATAAAAATTAGCCAGGCATGGTGGCACATGCCTGAAATCTCAGGTCTCCAGGAGGCTGAGGCATGAGAATTGCTTGAACCTGGGAGGTGGAGGTTGCAGTGAGTTGAGATTGTGCCATTGCACTCCCACCTGGGCAACAGAGTGAGACTCTTGTCTCAAAAAAAAAAAAAAAAGTTTTCAGTGATCAGTGTGCAGATATAGGTGGACTAAAAAAATCATCAGTGACCTTTTATCTGTACTTTGTTCTTTTACTACTCAATGAGACTGAGAGCCTGCTGGATTCACTAAGACCAGGTGAACCCAGAGGGCTCTCGGTCTCATTGACTCAATTGGGTTTGAATCTCAATTCTGCAACCTACGTGGCTTTGGGCAGGTTTCCTCATTTTCAAAATTATACAATAATATTTACCTTTTAAACTTATTGAAGGATTGGAAAGCTGTAACACCTAGCATGCTGTCGTGGCATAAGGTGGGGGTTAAGTAAAAAGTAGCTACTATTAACATTTTTGAAAAGTGCTCCTTCATTTTCCCTGCTCCCTTTCATACTCTTCATCCTACTTTCCTGGTAGTTCATTTCTTCTTAGTTGGCTGTTGACTTTCTCTTTTCTTTCCAAGATTATGGCTCATGCCACTTTTTCCGAGCAATCTTAAAGTCTCATGGCTTCAGCTATTTCCTTTATAACTGATAATTCCAGATATTCATCTTCAGTCTGTATTCTTTTCTGAGTGCCAGATATGAATGTCTAGGTGTGTGCTAGACATGAAACATGTGCCAAATGATCAGGAATGATAATCAGGATGGAGTCTGTATACTTGACCTACAGAGGAAACAAGCTGTCTTATCTGGCAAACTTTTTAGTTTTGCTTATTAAGTTGGTAAAATTTTGAATGACTTTCTTTACTCTTGGACATCTAATGATCTTTTGTAAAGAAGGGGAAGAGAACCCTTTCTGTTCAGAAATAACACACAACTTGATTAGTAGGAGAATTTTTCATGTGATTCTGGAAAGAATTTGCAACACCTGTTTCCAAAGAAAGCAAGAAATATATTGCATATTTTTCTCCCCAAAATGTATTTTGTCCAAACTGAATTGGACACAGAGAACATTCCTTAAGTTTGGAATAAATAAACTTTCTGAAAACTGCTCAGGTAACAAAGTAGTAAAGAGCCAAAAAAAATTTTATTTACTTCTAACCTTTGACTACTAAAAGGAGAAAATGAAAGGGTTCATGGAAGCAAACTTCACAAAAGTAACTGTAGACTTAACTTGTCAGATCCAAATATACATGTAGAAAAATGTACAAACATGGTTAAATTTACATATGCCGGAATTTTGGGGGGAATGGAATGTGTTTCTTACATATTAGTTTTATTTATTACCTTTTTGGTAAAAAATCAGCTCCTAGAAGCAACTCCCACACTGTTTATTTTTCTTATACATTTTGCTGAGGTTTCAACATTTCTCTTCCATAGTTTGCAGCAGGATGGCTACTTAACCAAATTTAATAGGGTTAAGATTTATTGTGTGTATCACATAGAGACCCTGGAAGTTAGGCTCCTTTCCTAAGAGAGAGGCTGTGTAATGTGGTGAAAAGAAGAGAAACTTTTTGTTAAAGTTTTGGTTTCCCTGCTTACCAACTGTGTAATACTGGATTATCTGCCTTAGTGTTCACTCAAGTGCTGTGCACTTGGGTGAGTTACTTAGTGTCTCTGAGTTTGATGAAATTTAGCCCAGAGATACAATTAGTGCCTTTTTTTTTTTTTTTTAGTAATTTGCTGTATTTGTGTCTTCTTTTATATTCTTAAGCTAAAGTAGGACTGACCATTTCATCAGCCTGTTTAAAAAAAGGCATTTGGTTTTGTTGATAGTCTTTTCCTTTATTTTTCATTTCCTTAATTTCTGTTCTATATTGCTTTTAGTTTCTTGAGCTTTTAAAAATAAGGTTTTTGTTTTGTTTTGTTTTGTTTTGTTTTGAGACAGAGTCTTGCTCTGTTGCCTACGCTGGAGTGCAGTGGCGTGATCTCAGCTCCCTGCAACCTCTGCCTCCCAGGTTCAAGCGATTCTCCTGCCTCAGCTTCCAGAGTAGCTGGGAGCACAGGCATGCGCCATCATGCCTGGCTAATTTTTGTGATTTTAGTAGAGATGGAGTTTTGCCATGTTGGCCAGGCTGGTCTTGAACACCTGACCTCAAGTGATCCGGCCACCTCAGCCTCCCAAAGTGTTAGGATTACAGGCGTGAGCCACTGCACCAGCCAGTTTTATTAATTTCTAATGCAGGAATTTAAGGGTTTACAATTTTCATGTGGTATTTTAGCTGTATCCTTTAAGTTTCGACTTGTGGTATTTTCCTTGTTCACTTTTAACTATTTTGTCATTGACCTTTTGACTTTTCTTGACCTGTGACTCATTGACTCTTAAGTTTTCAAACATAGATATTTTGGGGAGACCTTTTTTTTTCTCCGTTACAGAATTGTTAAGATTAGAGATAATATGTGGGCAAATATCAGGCAAATAGTAGATACTCAATAAATGTTTTCATTTTTCCTTAAAGAAATAAACCTCTGCTATTTGTTTTTTTTTTTGCGTGTGTATAGATGTGTAGAGATGGGAGTCTCCCTATGTTGTTCAGGCTGGTCTTGAACTCCTGGCCTCAAGTGATCCTCCTGCCTTGGCCTTCCAAAGTGTTGGGATTACAGGTGTGAGCCACTGCAACTGGCCTAACGTCTACTTTTGAAATGAGAATGGGAAATACACAATTGCCAATAAGTGTAAATAATACTAAAAGTGACTTTAGTTCTGCATGATAGCCAATTGAGTAGATGAAGTATAGAAAATATAGGGGGATGATAAGAAGAGGGTAAAATTGGGAGGAGGTAAGGGAGAGAAGGAAATTTAGCCCTTCCAAATTCTTTCTCTAGAATTTAGAGAGGATGGCTCACACCTGTAATTCTAGCACTTTGGGAGGCCAAGGCGGACGCATCACTTGCGACCAGGAGTTTGAGACCAGCCTGGGCAACATGGCAAAATCCTGTCTCTACATAAAATACAAAAATTAGCCGGGTGTGGTGATGTGCACCTATAGTTCAAGCTACTCAGAAGGCTATGGTGGGAGGATTACCTGAGCTTCAGAGGTTGAGGCTGTGGTGAGCCATGTTGGTGTCACTGCACTCAAGCCTGGGTGACAGAGTGAAACACTCTCAAAAAAAAAAAAAAAAGGAAAGTTAGGGGAAAAAGTGGAAATATCAAAAGTGGAAATATCAAGTGTTAATTCCAGTCTTCTGTGAAGTCATATTCTGCTGAACAGTTTAGTCTATGGGCTTCTATATACTAATTATTTTAGATTATATTTCTTACACTTTAGTAATAGAAGTGTCCTTAGATGACCTTTAGTGTGTATGTGTATGTATATGTAGGTGCATGTTGCCCTGCATGGCAACAAAAATTTTGTTTTTGGGGAAAGGGTCCCTAGTTTCATTAGTCTTTTTTTTTTTTTTTTTTTTTTTTTGAGATGGAGTCTTGCTCTGTCTCCCAGACTGGAGTGGAGTGGCACAATCTCGGCTCACTGCAACCTCCATCTCCTGGGTTCAAGCGCTTCTCCTCCTGCCTCAGCCTCCCAAGTAGCTGGGACAACAGGCGTGCACCACCATCCCTGGCTTTTTTTTTTTTTTTGATACAGAGTCTCTGTCGCCCAGGCTGGAGTGCAGTAGGACACTGTCTGCTCACTGCAACCTCCGCCTCCTGGGTTCAAGCAATTCTCTGCCTCAGCCTAAGTTGCTGGGATTACAGGCACCTGGTACCACACCCGGCTAATTTTTGTATTATTAGTAGAGACGGGGTTTCACCATCTTGGCCAGCCTGGTCTTAAACTCCTGACCTCCTGATCCACCCACCTCAGCCTCCCAAAGTGCTGGGATTATAGGCGTGAGCCACCACACCCGGCCTAATTTTTGTGTTTTTAAACAAAATTGCCTGATCTCAGGCAATCCACCCACCTCTCAAAGTGCTGAGATGACAGGTGTGAGCCACCGCACCCGTTCCATTAGTCTTAAGGAGGTCCATAATCCCCAAGAAATTAAGAACCACCCCTCCCTCCCTCCTCTCCCATTCCTCCCCCCCCTTCCTCCCCCCTCTACTTCCTCCCCCCTCTACTTCTTCCCCTGCCCCCTCTCCTCCCCTCCTCTCTCCCCTCCCCTTCATCCCCTCTTCCCTCCCCTCCCCTTCCTCCCCTTCCTCCCCTTCCTCTCCTTCGTTTTGAGACAGCCTCTCTCTGTTGCCCAGGCTGGAGTGCAGTGGCACGACCTCTGCTCACTGCAACCTCCACCTCCTGGGTTCAAGCAATTCTGCTTCAGCCTCCTGAGTAGCTGGGATTACAGGTGCACATGCTACCATGCCAGACTAATTTTTGTATTTTTTTTTAGCAGAGATGGGGTTTTACCATGTTGGCCAGTTTGGTCTTGAGCTCCTGACCTCAGGTGATCTGCCTGCCTCGGCCTCCCAAAGTGCTGAGATTACAGGCATGAACTACCGCACCCAGCCAAGAAACAACATTTTAGACTTCATTAGTTGAGATAAATTGAGAAGCTTAAAAGGAAGTAATTTATTTTTTCCTGCTCTGATAGTAATGACTACTTCCCACTTGAGTGAGATTTGGTGTTCCTTTTAATTCCTCACATTACAGCCAGATGACCAGGCAATATACTAAGATCAGGATTTGACTTTTAATGTAGTGCAACTTAAAACTACTGAACATGATATGTTATAAGCATAAATATTGTAATACCTGGTATGAATTACAAAACTGTAAATGCCTTTGATTAGTAAAGTTTTGATACAGCTAAGCCAAGCATTTTGGGCCTCACCTGAGGGTAGGAACAGTTCTGGGAGTAAGAGGAAGCAGTTGGTAGCTGCAGTGGAGATGCGATACTGTAAAAGGCAGCTTTGGACAGCCAGAAGACAAGAAGACACTGTTGGGTTAGAGATGAAAGGTTTTACCCCAGGACAAAAGAATAGGGAAGACCTGAGGCTGGTGAGAGAGGTAGGAGGGTACCCAGTCATACTTGACTGGCTCTCTTGCTTCCCTTTACATGAAGGCGTCATTGCCTGAAAAGAGAAGCTAGCTCAGGATTCTAAAATTTGAAGGATGAAGCAGTGATAGGTTCTTCAGAGGAAGCACTAAATGTATGCACGTGGGGGAGTTTTTTTTTCTGAGCACTGGCTCACAATAAAACCTATGTTTACTCAAGTACTTTATAATTATTCCCTCTTATGTTTCTGGAATCAAAATTAGTGCCTTGTGTTAATATGTTTTGGAAATTTAATGCTCAACCTGTCAGTTTATTTTTAACCCCCTAGATCTGCATTATCCAGCATGAGATCCATTAGCTGCATATAGCAATTTAAAATTAAATTAATTAAAATTTAATACAATTGAAAGTTCAGTCCTTCAGTCACACTAGCCATATATCAAGAGCTCTGTAGCCTCATGTGACTAGTAGCTACTGCACTGGACAACACATTGTATTGGACATTTTTTTTTTTTTTTTGAGACGGAGTCTCACTCTTGTCACTAGGCTGGAGTGCAGTGGCACGATCTCGGCTCACTGCAACCTCCACCTCCTGGGTTCAGGTGATTCTCCTGCCTCAGCCTTCCGAGTAGCTGGGACTACAGGTGTGCGCCACCATGCCTGGCTAATTTTTGTCTTTTTCGTAGAGACGGGGTTTCACCATGTTGGCCAGGATGGCCTTGATCTCTTGACCTCGTGATCTGCCTGCTTCGGCCTCCCTAAGTGCTGGGATTACAGGCATGAGCCACCACGCCCAGCCTGGACATTTCTTTTATCACAGAAAATTTTATTGGCTAGCACTGCCCTAGATAAAATTATGTATTTTCTTTCCTTTTTCTCCCATCAGACTAAAGCTGGTTTATATTAATGCGTAATTAACTTTGATATTTGAAAGTAAAAAACTTGAAAGGCTTACTAGAGTAATATTCTTTTGCTTTTTACATAATTAAAAAGACAGTGCCACTCTTTTATAATGATCTGCCTGAGTGCCATTATTTTATAAGATTTTTCAAGAAGTGGTGACTAAATCAAAGCACTGTTATGGCTTGTATTTATCCCCTTCTACTGAACTCTTGAGTCTCAAGGTTATTTCTACTCTCTCTGTAAGCATGTCTGGAAGGGCCCAAAATGTTACAACAAAATTTCCAATTTAAAAAGTTAGTGGCGGGGCACAGTGGCTCACGCCTGTAATCCCAGCACTTTGGGAGGCTGAGGGGGGTGGATCACCTGAGGTCAGGAGTTCCAGACCAGCCTGGCCAACATGGAGAAACTCTGTCTCTGCTAAAAATACAAAATTAGCCAGGTTTGGTAGTGCATTCTTGTAATCCCAGCTCCTCAGGAGGCTGAGGCAGGAGAATTGCTTGAACCCAGGAGTTGGAGTTGGCAGTGAGCCAAGATCACGCCATTGCACTCCAGCCTGGGCAACAAAAGCGAAACTCTGTCTCAAAAAATAAATAAATAAATTAGCTTTGTTTCATACATTTTTAAGGAAATCATCATAGATCTCTAAAGTTGCAAGAGAGGGAAAATCGCCAAAAGTAATTATTTTGCTGTAGGGCTACTTCTCTGAGAACCTATCAATTAGGCATAAAGGCTATACGTTAGTTTTTACTGCTTTGTGTTTTTTTGTTTATTTGTTTGTTTGTTTTTTTTGAGACGGAGTCTTGCTTTTGTTGTCCAGGCTGGAGTGCAATGGCATGATCTCAGCTCACTGCAACCTCTGCCTCCTGGGTTCAAGTGATTGTTCTGTCAAAGCCTCCTGAGTAGCTGGGATTACAGGCATCCGCCTCTGTGCCCAGCTAATTTTTGTATTTTTAGTAGAGATGGGGTTTTGCCATGTTGGCCAGGCTGGTCTCAAACTCCTGACGTTGTGATCCGCCCGCCTCGGCCTCCCAACGTGCTGGGGTTACAGGGGTGAGCCACCATGCCTGGCCTGCTTTGTGTTTTAACAGAGTAAGAAAATAGACTTTTCCTTTGCTCTAGTTTCAATCTTCTTAATATAGGTAGGACTTTTTCAGATAAATTTATGATTAATTACAAGGAAAAGGATAGTATGGATGATTTCAGGTAAGTTATAGGCATAATTTCAAGAAACAAAAAATGTTTTTATTGTGATAGAGCATCTCAAACACCTTTAGAATCTACCTCTTTTTCCTGTTCCCCCCGTTATTTCTTTGTTTCAGGCCCTTAACATCTCTCATATACACTGGTATTTCTTGCCTCTGGCCTTGCCGTCTATTCTGTCTTCACACTGCTTTTTTCTTTACACAGCTCTTTTCACAGCCCCCTCAGTTAGAGTACAGATTGGATTGTGTGTCTCCCTGCTACCCACAGAATAAAACTTCAAATGTGATGATTTTGGTCTTTTGTTTTATTATAAAATATTCAAACATGGAAGTATATACAGTAGAAAATAAGTTTTCTCCCTGATTTGATTTGTATTAGTACCATCTCTGCTATTTAGCCCCCACTGTTAAATTTGACTGGCTTAAAAAAAATACCATCTCTGAAGATAACTACTTAGAAGTTGGTCATATGTTTTTCCAGACTTCCCAATGTTTATTTATATATAAACATAAATAATTTTAGGCCAGGCGTGGTGGCTCACGCCTGTAATCCCAAGACTTTGGGAGGCTGAGGCAGGGGGTTCATGAGGTCAGGAGATCAAGACCATCCTGGCTAACACGGTGAAACCCCGTCTCTACTAAAAATACAAAAAATTAGCTGGGCGTGGTGGCGGGCGCCTGTAGTCCCAGCTACTCGGGAGGCTGAGGTAGGAGAATGGTGTGAACCCGGGAAGTGGAGCTTGTAGTGAGCCGAGATTGCGCCACTGCACTCCAGCCTGGGTGACAGAGCGAGACTCTGTCTCAAAAAAAAAAAAAAAAAAAATTTTTAGAGAAATCAAATTATACCATATATGATGTTTTTACTTATTTTGCTTGGTTTTATGCTGTATACTCATTGATTATATTTTTTTGTTTTAATTTTTAATTTTTCCATATTTTATGGTAGGATGTCAAATATAAATATATCTCTTATATCTGAGATATAAATATATATGTGAAATATAAATATATTCTACCGGATTTTATGGTAGGATATTTGAAATATATATTCTTTTATGGTATTCCTATAAGAATATATTTATATTTCAGGTATATATGCAAGTACCTTAGCATTGCGGTGACTTATAATAGGTGCTCAGTCAATGTTTGTTTCCATTCTTCTTGGACATATATGAGAAGGGCCATATAAGATTATTAACTATTTATTTATTTTTTTTTTGAGTAGTGAAACTCTAAAGACTCACAGTCTGAGGACTCATGGAGTTGTTCACATCCATGAACAACAATGTTATGAATCTTTTAGTTATAAAGCAAACCTTTCTCTGGAGCATGTTTGTGTTTTCTCATTTAGGTTTATAAATTGCTCTGAGACTAGCAGGATTGCTGTTTAAGAGTCTTGTGAGGTAGGCTGCCTGATTATTTTAGGTGCTTCCAGTAAGAGCAGATATTTTTTTACTGGTGAATAAGAGACCACATTATAATTTGTCCTTTTTACTGAGAGTGCATAGTATATTGTATACTGTAAACTTGTATAGTATGTGAAAACTTTTTACATGGGAATCTTGGAACAAAGTCTTAGATGTCTAACTCGTTTGCTAACTCTGAGGATGTGGAGGATGGATATGGACATAGGAAGTTCAACATGTGTATCATGGAGTGGGATATGTAGGTGTGTAATCTATGATACAGTTTCAGATCTGAGAGTTTCTAGTGGTTCTAGAGAAGAGAACAGGATGGATCTGGAGCTGTTGTTAATTATTTGTAAAGTCCTATTTTGAAGTGTGATTGCTTTTTACTCTTCAGCATCTCCTTTGGAAATCTTATCCCTCTACTTTCCTGCAGGGAGTTTGTTTTGGGTGGATCAGTAAAGAGGATGCAATTGGGGCCTCAACTTCTTTTCTCATTGAGGAAAGAGTGAGGGGTGCTGCTGAGAGCTCAGTGCTTCTACAGTAGCCATATTTGAAGGTTTGCTTAGAGGTAATGCTGGAGCGTACACAAATTGCCTTCAAGATTCCAGTAGTTTGTGATTTAAAAATTTGTTTGAGCAGTTAACATGGGTATATTCAGTTTGTTTATTTTTGTTAGCAGTTTGTGTTCCCAATGGAAAACAGCGTGAGAAAGAGTTGCTAGAGTATAGAATTGTAAGTGCTTCCCTAGCGTGTTCTTGGACTTCAGATTGTTCACCTTTTTTTTTTTTTGTCCCTTCTTGGTTTGTTTGTTTGAACTTGAGCCCTTTGGTGTGACAAGTCACATACAGCTTTTCAGGATCTAAGTTTATGGTTACATAAGATTATTGTTTATATGTTTCAGAAGCTTTGCTCACTTGTTTATTCATTCATTTCATAAATATTCCTTGAAATGCTTACTGTAAGCAAGATTATGCAGGGCATGTTATTAGGTGGTAATTAGGGAAAGGGAAAAATGGAAATTATATTTTGCAGATACAACAAAGGCTGAAGAGGTGTGTGTGTGTGTGTGTGTTTTAGATACACACACATCTATATGTACACAGAGACACGATCCACAGTTGTGTAGGAATAACTTCCTAAACATCTTTAGGATCTACCTCTTTTTCCTGTTCCCACTGTTATTTCTTTGTTTCAGGCCCTTAACATCTCTAATATACACTAGTATTTCTGTCTTCACACTGTTTTTTTTCTTTACACAGCTCTTTTCATAGCCCCTCCATTAGCACACAGATTGGAATTGTGTCTCCTTGTTACCCACAGAATAAAACCCAATGTTCTTAATATGTAGTCTTAATATAGACTCTATAAATAGCCCCTTTGTTAATCTATCTTGAATTACTCACTTTTAGGTTTCAGCTCCCTACTGAGACCCCAACTGGCTTTACCTTCTGTTCCCTCCTGGTTCTGCTTATCTTCCATTGCCCCTGTGGACCTGCTTTCTGTCATTGCCTTCCCTGCCCTCAGTCTCAGGAGCCTGAGACTGGCTTCTAGATGGGTTTGGACAATGGATAGCACTGGCAGGAGGAGAGTAGAGTTGCTGTGTTTATTTTCCTGGTTTCCTCCTGCAAGATCATGTCATGTTGGCTCTCCCAGAGGGCATGGCTCATATCATGGGGCCCTCTTTGTCTTTCCAAGTCTGTAGATGATAGCAGCTTCAGGAGGTTGCACTATCTTTTGACTGTGCCCACACCCTTCACACCTTGTAAATAGTCCCTTTCTTAAACTCTCCTTAAATTACCCAGTTTGGGGGTGCTATCTGTTTCCTGCTGGGATCCTGATGGCTGTGTTGCCCAAACCTAAATGTCAGTCATGCTTGCAGTTACAGCTGTGTTATTTTCCTGTAGTACTGATTTCCCTCTTTTATTAAAAGTTCTGTGGTGGCTGGGCATGGTGGTTTATATGTGTAATCCCAGCACTTTGGGAGGCCGAGGCAGGAGGATTGCTTGAGTCCAGGAGTTTGAGACCAGCCTAGGAAACATAGTGAGACTCTGTCCCTACCAAAAAAAAAAAAAGAAAAAATTAGCCAGGAATGGTAGCACAGGCCTGTAGTCACAGCTACTTGGGAGGCTGAGGTGAGAGGATTGCCTGAGCCCAAGAGTTCAAGGTTACAATGAACTATGATCCTACCACTGGACTCCACCCTAGGTGACAGAGTAAGACCCAGTCTCTTAAAAAAAAAATTTCTTTGAGGTCTTTTTCATTCTTCACCTCTTTTAGTCTTTTTTCCTTTCTTCTTTCTTGGCGTTGCAGCTGCCATATTATGGCAGTGGAAATGTTTGAATGAATAAGGAGGGGATGGACATCTGAGTTTCCCTGTTGTGTAGCATAATATTCATTTAAATGTCTGAAATGAGATCTTTAGAGAAAATTGAGGGAGTGGGTACATGAATCAGTGTAGTCACTTTAATAACTTGATTTTTATTTCATTGTTTTCAAAATAAATTTAGTACTTTTTCTTTACCTTCTACATATTAGGGATTAACATTGATTTACTTTAGTCTTTCTCTTTGTAAAATGCATTTTAGATTTATTCCATTGGAATATTTTGTAATAGCACATATTTGAGGAAGTATGTATGACATATATTTAATAAAATGGAAGAGGTTTCAATTATCACTGAATTGAGGAGAATATGGGAACATCTGTTTACATCTATCCAGGTATTCATGTGTCTGTTTTCCTCAACATATCATAGGAGTAGTGCACTAAGAGCAGACATACATGCCTAACAGTTGTGTTTAGCAAGATCAAAATATGTATGTGGTACTGTCACCCATGGCCCTGATAGGAAACAGATGGCATATTCAAGCTGGATAATTTGAAGAGGATTAAATGAAACAAGTATTCACAAATAGGTGGGCAGAGTTTAGAAAATCAACAAGAGATATTGTAGTATCCTGGGCTAGCAACAGAGAGGATGGGAATATTGCCCCATAGACCTGAAGTGCAAAGAGAAGGAGTGCTACCTCAAAAAGAGAGCTTTGTGGAGAAGGCTGCCTGATAGCAGCTGTAGTCCCAGGTAGAGGGTGAGCCACCACGCCCGGCGGTTATTACATAGTTTTAAAAGTGACTCCTCTTAAGGAAATTTTAATTAAGAGAAAAATATCCTAGAACTATGATTAGGGTCAAAACAGTATCTATGTTCTTTAGGTATTAAGGAAAAAGTGTATCTGTCCTAAGAAAGTGTTTATAAGGAGAAGAGTCTTCCTAGAACACTAACTTTAACACAGAACTCTCATCACTACTCTAAAAAATTAACATTAAAAATAATCTTGGCCAGGTGTGGTGGCTCATGTCTGTAATCCCAGCACTTTGGGAGGCCGAGGCAGGTGGATCACTTGAGGGCAGGAGTTCAAGATGAGCCTGGCCAACATGGTGAAAACCCGTCTTTACTGAAACTACAAAAATTAGCGGGGCTTGGTGGCGCGTGCCTGTGGTCCCAGCTAATCAGGAGGCTGAAGTCGGAGAATCACTTGAAACTGGGAGGCAGAGGTTGCAGTGAGCCAAGATCGCACCTCTGCACTACTCCAGCCTGGGCGACAGAGCAAGACTCTGTCTCAAAACAAAAACAAAAACAAAACAAAACAAAACAAAAATGATCTCAGTAGCAGATAAAGACTATTCCATTGCTTTTTGGAATAGTGATACCTGTTTACTCTGGAGGGATGGACATTCCTCTGTGTGTGTGTGTGTGTAATACATATGAACAATAGGGGACATAATTTTGACATATTTAACTTGAAGAAAGGCATGCTTAGACAATGACAACCCGATATTGAACAATGCTCAATACTAAGTTTCTTTATGAAGATACCATTGTTGTATTAGTGGAGACGGTATAATATATTCTCAGTAAAGACCTCAGTCTTTACTCAGTTCTCATGCTCCTTGATGTCTTAGCAT
This sequence comes from Homo sapiens, assembly GCF_000001405.40. Classification (NCBI taxonomy): domain Eukaryota; kingdom Metazoa; phylum Chordata; class Mammalia; order Primates; family Hominidae; genus Homo; species Homo sapiens. The sequence goes on along the minus strand of NC_000005.10, from coordinate 55,495,528 downwards.
TTGATATATTAGATTTGCCATGTACTAGATACTCTGAGCTTTGGTTTTTGTATCACAACATTGTCCTACTTCTCTATTGTTCATTCATTCTTTTGTTTAAAGAATGGCCAGACTATGCTGCTGAACAAGACAGACACAGCCCTTGCCCCTTGGAGCCTGTGAGCATCCTTTCTTCCTCTCCTATAGCCTCTTTTCATGTTTTCTCTGTGGATATTAGTCCTTAGCTAATTGCTTTGTTTCTTTTAGTCTTGATTTGCCTTCTGTAAGAACTGTTTTATTCTCCTAGCTTAAGTTGCAAATTCTAATGCCAACAACTTACACATCTTTCTCTACTTCTGATCTTTACCCTGAATTTTATTCACTTAGCCATTTAATACATTTTTTTTTTTTTTTTTTGGAGACAGAGTTTTGCTCTTGTTGCCCAGGCTGGAGTGCAATGGCGCCATCTCAGCTCACCACAACCTCTGCCTCCCGGGTTCAAGCGATTCTACTGCCTCAGCCTCCTGAGTAGCTGGGATTTTGGGTGCCCGCCACCATGCCCGGCTATTTTTTTTTTTTTTTGTATTTTTTTTAGTAGAGACAGGGTTTCGCCATGTTGGCCAGGCTGGTCTCGAACTCCTGACCTCGTGATCTGCCAGCCTTTGCCTCCCAAAGTGCTAGGATTGCAGGCGTGAGCCACTGCGCCTGGCCAATAAATTTTTGTTCAGATCTGTGTGCCTGGTACAAAGGATACAAAAATGGTAAAGGTAGCCTTTGCCCTCAGAGTTGCTGACACACACATAAAAAGTTAAAGTACAGCGTGATAGACATATGTACATGGTGCCATGGGACAGATAAGAAGGGAGTACCTGGCTTGGACTTGAAGGAGAAATGAGAGAGCAACTATCCGCAGTAGAAGGCTGAGCATTTCAAATCCCTGTGAAACCTAGGGTTTTGAAAACAGTATGTTTCGGCAACAGCAAGTGGTTCAGTGTGATTGGAGCCTTAAGGGGACAGTGGAAGATGAGGCTGAGCATTTAGGGAGGTGCCAGATTGCCCCAAAGGCAGTGTTCTCAATACTAAACTAATGTTCTTCCACCATAAATGAGCTCCCCCTGGCAACTTCTCATTTCTATCAATGGAACTTTCGTTCTTCATATGTCCAAACCCTGAAGTGCCATCTTCAGGTCTGCCTCAGCATTTGTGATCAGTGCTCAAGTTTTGTATCATTTCTATATTCAAAACATTCTTCTCTGCATCCTATTCTGTTTCCACTATCTACACACTACTTATCACCTAATTAGTAGATAATTTCAAAACTGTAAATATTTGTGTTTCTTCTTGCTCTCTCTCTCCCTTTTTTTTTTTTCCTGGAAGTTAATTTCTAAAATTCCTCATTTTACCATGTTGCTGACCCTGAGCAAAAGAGGACAGTGATATTTTATTTCCTACAAACTTACATCCTTTCCAAGTGTTTTAAACCCATAATCCTTTTTCTTTCTTTGGAGTTGGGAGTCTTGCTCTGCACCCATGTTGGAATGCAGTGGCATAATCATGGCTCACCGTAGCCTCGAATTCTTGGGCTCAAGTGATCCTTCTGCCTGAGCTTCCCAAATGTCTGGACTATAGGTGTGTGCCACTATGACCAGCTATTTTTTTTTTTTTTTTTTGAGATGGAGTCTCGCTCTGTCGCCCAGGCTGGAGTACAGTGGCGCGATCTCAGCTCACTGCAATCTCTGCCTCCCAGGTTCAAGTGATTCTCCTGCCTCAGCCTTCCAAGTAGTTGGGACTACAGCCACTACGCCCAGCTAATTTTTTGTATTTTTAGTATAGATGGGGTTTCACTGTGTTAGCCAGGATGGTCTTGATCTCCTGACCTTGTGATCCACCCGCCTCGGCTTCCCAAAGTGCTGGGATTAGAAACATGAGCCACCTCACCCAGCCACCCAGCTAATTTTTAAAAATATTTTTTAGAGACAGGGTCTTGCTGTGTTGCCCAGAATGGTCTTGAACTTCTGGCCTCAAGTGATCCTCCCGCCTCAGCCTCCTGAGTTACTGGGATTACAGGTGTTAGTCACCATGCCTGAGTCCTATAATCTTTTAATAAACACAGAAATCTCAAGCACTGTTATTCCCATGAAAAACCATAGAATTGCAGAATTCAGAGATAATCTATAGCAAATAATACACTGTTCCATTAACTTTCAGTTTTTTCTTCTTCTTTTTTTTTTTTTTGAGACAGGGTCTTGTCCTGTTGCCCAGGCTGGGGTGCAGTAGTGTGAACATGGCTTACTGAAGCCTTTACCTCTTGGGCTCAAGGGATCCTCCTGCCTCACCCTCCTGAGTAGCTGGGACTACAGGCACATGCCACCATGCCCAGCCAATTAAAAAATTTCTTTTGTAGAGACGAGGTCTCAATATGTTGCCCAGGCTAGTCTTGAACTCCTGAACTTAAGGGGTCCTTCTGCCTCAGCCTTTCAACGTGTTGGGTTTATAGGTGTGACCCACCGTACTCAGCCTACTTTGAGTTCTTATCGTGAACACAACATGTATTATACTGAGTGAGGTTTTTAAAGGACAGGTTCCCCTTCTCCCAATCATATTCTAACCTGTTAACCTAGCCAGATCACTTGTCTCCATGGGAGGCCGTATATTCCCTAACTCTGGAAGAGATAGCTTGTGTTGGAATCCTGGTTCCACCACTTCCTAGTTTCAGCAATGTTCCTCATTTCTCTAAGCTTCAACAACGTTATATGAAAAAAGCAGGTAGTGATAATACCTACTTCACAGAGGTGAGGTAAGGATTGAGTTAATCTATGTGGCCTAATTCCCAGCATGTGCAAGCATGCAATACATGTTGGCTACAAAATGCGTGTACCTTGAAAACTTCTTGCTCATTCCCTTTGTGCTCTTGTTGATGCAATTCTCATGCTTCCCTGCCTCCCTCTACCACTAAATGGTCTCCCTGTGCTCCTCCCTATTGCTTGTGTTTTACCTGTCATTTCACCTTCAACTCAGTTGCCTCTTCTTTAATAGTCTTTTCTAACTCCTCCAGTCTGTATTGACCTCTGAATTCCTATAGGTCCTTCTATGCCATTTTAGTAATTATATTCCTATTTTTATGGCATATTTCTGCCTTTTATGGTATTTCTTCTTAACTTTACATGCAATAAAAGAGTTGTGGAATTACCATCTCAATCAAGATACAGAACAGTTTCATCATTTTCCCCAAAAAATCTACCTTGGGATTTGTTTTTAAACAATTTACTGGGTATACATTATTTTTCTACATATACAATTTAGGTTCTTGAATTTAGTATTGGTTTTATACAAATTTGTCTTCCCTAAGTATGGCTTAGTATTGCGCATATAGTGAGTGAGTTTGTATAAAACAAAGCCTAAAAGCATGGTAAATTTGAATATCTTAAGAAGCCACTAATTTAAATTATTTAACTTTGGTCTTTCAGGGTCATTTTATTTAGGTGCAAAATTTCAACTGAAATTATTTTGGTATAACTTGTTAAAAGTGGTTTTGGAGCCTTGCCAGGGCTAATAAAACCGGGTGTTTGTTTGTCTTTGGAAAACAAAAGGCTTTTTCTTTCTATTTTTATTACTGAATATATACTTGTGGTTTTATCATTTTCTTTCTCTCTCTTTTTCTTTCTTTTCTTTCTTTTTTTTTTTTTTTTCCTGAGATTGAGTCTTGCTCTGTTGGCCAGGCTGGAGTGCAGTGGCACAATCTTGACTCACTGCAACCTCTGTCCCCTGGGTTCAAGCGATTCTCCTGCTTCAGTCTGCCCAGTAGCTGGGACTACAGGTGTATACCACCATGCCTGGCTAATTTTTGTGTTGTTAGTAGAGACGGGGTTTCATCATATTGGCCAGGCTCGTCTTGAACTCTTCATGTCAAGTGATCTGCCCACCTTGGCCTCCCAAAGTGCTGGGATTACAGGCATGAGCCACCTAAATTTTTACATGTTTCTTCTCCTGGATGACATTTGGTTGTTATGATATTAATTACTAAATTTATTTATGGAATTTTGCCTTTTTTCTTAAACACAGTTTAATGTAAAGCAATTCAATTAAAAATGAATTAACTACAGAATGCAAAATGGAAAACCTTCCTGTTTTCTCAGCTTTATTTTTCCATGGGCCAATTTTGCTCTCCTCCTTGTGGAAGTCTCTTTTATTGTTTATTTCTAAAATCGGAGGTCAATGCAAGTAATAGTATTTATACTTGGAAAAAGGTGGGGCTGATATGGACAAGCAAATGATGCTGCATGATTTCCTTAATCTTTGCCCTTGGGTATAATGGAGATCCATCTCCAGAGAGGGCAAAATATGGCTAGGATTTGCATCCCATTCAGTAGACTTTACTTCCTAATGAAGTGAATTGAATTTAATCATGTGTGTCTTTTTTTCCCTTCCCCAACAGCTTCCATGCCTATGGCTGTTCTAAAATTGGGCCAAATATATCCATTTCAGAGAGGCTTTTTCTGTAAAGACAACAGCATCAACTATCCGTACCATGACAGTACCGTCACATCCACTGTCCTCATCCTAGTGGGGGTTGGCTTGCCCATTTCCTCTGTAAGTAAATTAATAAGTAGGTAGTGATGGGTTTGTTGTGCTGGAGGTTGGATGAAGCATGGAGTTGGGGCGGGGGTAAATCCACAGTACTGTCTTCACCAGTGTTGATATGGTGAATGATTGCTTGAGGAATATACCCACTGTTTTAGTCCAGAGGCAGTGTTTCTCCAGTTAAAGGTGGATGTTACCCAGAACAACTTGATGTCATTCTGAAGAATGATAGAATGATTATTTTTGAATAGGAGAGTCTTTTTGAGTCATTTGGATCAACTCCTCTCAGTAAACAAATGAAGAAACTTAGGTCCAGACACTTGTTAAAGCCCAGTAAGCTATCGTACGGCAGAGCTGAAACTAAGATTATGCTTGCTTTATCATACTGTTAAGTGGAAATTGAGGCCATGAAAAAGGAAAACGTTTGCATATTAAATTTGAGAAAACAAACTCAGCAGAAAGACCACAAATATATGTGCAAAATAAAATTATCAGAATACATTAAGATATGTCACTATTGGCCAGGTGTGGTGGCTCACACCTGTAATCCCAGCACTTTGGGAGGCCGAGATGGGCTGATCACCTGAGGTCAGGAGTTCGAGACCAGCCTGACCAACATGGAGAAACCTAGTCTCTACTAAAAATAAAGAATTAGCCGGGCGTGGTGGCGCATGCCTGTAATCCCAGCTACTCGGGAGGCCGAGGCAGGAGAATCGCTTGAACCCAGGAGATGGAGATTTCAGTGAGCCAAGATCATGCCATTGCACTCCAGCCTGGGCAACAAGAGCAAAACTCCATCTCAAAAAAAAAAAAAAAAAAAAAAAGAAAAGAAAAGTCACTATTTCTTACTTTGTACTGTCCTTCAGATAGTTCATCAATTTGTAGGACAATATTGGGCTTCACTGTTAAATAATTAAAATTTTCATTCTAGTTTAAGATTCACAAACTAGGTTAAGATTGCCACTTGGGATATTATGCCTACTTTCTTTACCCTTGGCTCTCATTCCTAAATCTTGCCATTGTCATTTTATGTGACTTGGAAATAGAAGGGAAGGAGCAAGGTGAAGATTTACCTCCTTGAGTGTCTTGGCAGTGCAGCATATCACACCTTATTTCTCCTCTGGCCACCTGTCTTGTTACTTGCCTTTCCTAGATATATGACTTACAAAACTTTAGTGTCTCAGTAAACTCAGTAGCCTTGTTCTGCTGTAGGACTGGCTGGCTTTTCTCTCTCTATTTTGCCTCCAAATTGGCTAAGAATAATAACCTAGTTGTTTGTTTTTTCAGCTTATGTATCTGAGTTCATTTTGCCTTTTTGTCTGGTAGATTTTTTTCTAATGGGCTGCAGCTCAGTATTTTGAAGGTGAAGGGGTCCAGGATTTTATTATGTTCTAAGAGGTATAAGTATTAATATATTCATATAATTCTAATTTGATTATAGCTACTTTTATGGGAGTAAAATGAGAAAAATCTAGCATTTAGTTTAAGGGGATACTTCTTTTTCTAAGAAATACATCCCACCATAACTGGTTACTTAAATTTTAGTTATTCAGCTTAGGAGAAACTGTGTGCAGGGAAGTACTGCCACTTGGATGACAATAGACGGTGTTTCTGTACTATATGAAGTACTAAGTAGTTGTGGTAGCCATGATTCTGAGCAACTGTTGCCAGATAAAGTTTCTTTTTTAAGAAAAACTTGCCCCTGTATTTGAGGAGATAATTGCTTGAGAGTGAATAAATTAATTGTAATAATAACACATATATATTTTTGAGATGGAGTTTTGCTCTTGTCGCCCATGCTGGAGTGCAATTGTGTAATCTTGGCTCACTGCAATCTCTGCCTCCCAGGTTCAGGTGATTTTCCTGCCTTAGCCTCCTGAGTAGCTGGGACTATAGGCGTGCGCTGCCATGCCCAGTTAATTTTTGTATTTTTTTTTAGTAGAGATGGGGTTTCTTCATGTTGGCCAGGCAGGTCTTGAACTCCTGACCTCAAGCAATCTACTCTGCCTCAGCTCGGGTTCAAGCGATTCTCCTGCCTCAGCCTCTCAAGTAGCTGGAATTACAGGTGCCTGTCACCACTTCCAGCTAATTTTTGTATTTTTAGTAGAAATGGGGTTTCGCTGTGTTGGCCACCTGGCAACATGCCCCCTGGCCCATGATCTTTTATTAATTAAAAAAATTATTATAAAGTAGAAAGAGAAAATAAATAGCCCTTAGTTCTACTACCTGAAGACAACTACTGGTAGCATTTTGATGTTTCCTTTAGTTTGACACATTTTTTTGTTGTTGTTGTTGTTTGTTTGTTTTTTATTTTTATTTTTTTGAGATGGAGTCTCACTCTGTTGCCTGGGCTGGAGTGCAGTGGCACAGTCTCGACTTAGTGCAACCTCCGCCTCCCAGGTACAAGCAATTCTCCTGCCTTGACCTCCCGAGTAGCTGGGACTACAGGCACACACAACCACACCTGGCTAATTTTTGTATTTTTAGTAGAGACGGGGTTTTACCATGTTGGCCAGGCTGGTCTTGAATTCCTGACCTCAGGTGATCCACCTGCCTCGGCCTCCCAAAGTGCTGAGATTACAGGCATGAGCCACCACACCCAATCTAGTTTGACAGTTTTTATATCATTATGAGCACACCACAGATTTAGTTTTGTGCTTTGTTTTTTTACTTATCTTTATAACAATTTTTTTTTTTTTAGTTATAGTATTATAATATCAAGCAGCTTAAATAGCAATAGGGCTAAATTTTTTTTTTTTTAAGGAGTGGAAAAAGACTTAGTATCAATCTTTTTATCAATCTTAGTATCAAACTTTGATTAATTCCTGTGAGTTTGCTGTTAGGATTGACCTGGAAAAATATTTTAATGCCAATTATTTATTTATTTGTTTGTTATGAGACGGAGTCTTGTCCTGTTGCCCAGGCTGGAGTGCAGTGGCATGATCTTGGCTCACTACAACTGCCGTGCAATACCACCACACTCGGCTAATTTTTTGTATTTTTAATAGAGACAGGGTTTCACCATGTTGGTCAGGCTGTTCTGGAACCCTGACCTCAGGTGATCCACCAGCCTCGGCCTCCCAAAGTGCTGGGATTACAGGCGTGAGCCACCACGCCCGACCTAATGCCAATTTATTTTTAATTAAAGAAGTAGTATTTGGCCAGTTTCTGGGCCTTAAATGTGCTTGAATGTGCAGGAAGGAATTCTTGCAAATTCTTAGGGTAGATTTGTTTGTTTTAATAGTTTGTGTATAACATCTGTTATATATAGAAAATAATTTATTTTCTATAAAATGAATTATTTATGCTTAACATAACTTTCATATAATGTGCCTTATAATTTGATCAGAATTAAGATTTGGGGTGATAGAAAATCTATATTTTAAAGCAGTGATTTATTTTTACAATGCGAGGTTCATAATCTTTTTAAGAAATATATTATTTACTGTTTCTTCTTTAGCTATCCAAAAAGGTGCCATATTCAGAAAACTATAGATTTCTGCATTATTTGGCTTTTACATTTTTTTTTTGTTTTTGGGTTTTAATGATCCATATTAGATTTGACACCAGACTTTTTTTTTTCCATCATTTTTGGCTTTGTGTAGTTCTACCTTCTCCCTTGGTAATTCATTATACATTTACTTTTATAAATTCTTATATTTCTAGAAAAAGGCAAGACTTTTTATGTACAAACTTTCAGAGTAATGATAGTAACAATAAAGTTAGTATTAAATCTCAAATCCATATGTTGCAATGAATAATATACTTTGTCTAAATTTAAAAATTTGTAGTTTCAGGATAGAAAACTTACCTATGTTTAATAGGCTATTTTAAATCGACTTGAGTACTGACTGTAAGTAGTTGCTTTTCTTAAGTGATGATTACTGTATGGCATAACCTTTTAGCAAAAATACTTAGCCTAAAATAACAGTATAGCCAATGTTTGTGACCAACTTATTAAACTTTTTCTAAAGAGTGATTGTATTACTTATGGTGACCTAAACTGGAAATGTACATGGATGTTTGTGAAAAGGGCTTAATCACTTTTTTTTTTTTGAGGTGGAGTCTCGCTCTGTCGCCCAAGCTGGAGTGCAATGGTGCGATTTTGGCTCACTGCAACCTCCACCTCCCGGGTTCAAGCGATTCTCCTGCCTCAGCCTCCTAAGTAGCTGGGATTACAGGGGTGTGCCATCACGCCTTGCTAATTTTTGTATTTTTAGTAGAGATGGGGTTTCACCATGTTGGTTAGGCTGGTTTTAAACTCCTGACCTCGTGATCTGCCCGCCTCGGCCTCCCAAAGTGTTGGGATTACAGGCGTGAGCCACGGCGCCCGACCAAGGCTTAATCACTTTATATATTTTATGTTATTTTATTGTATTTTTTGAGATGGAGTCTGGCTCTGTTGCCCAGGCTGGAGTATAGTGGTGTGATCTCAGCTCACTGCAACCTCCGCCTCCTGGGTTCAAGTGATTCTCCTGCCTCAGCCTTCCAAGTAGCTGGGACTACAGGCGTGTGCCACCACAACTGGCTAATTTTTTGTATTTTTAGTAGAGATGGGGTTTCACCATGTTGGCCAGGCTGGTCTTGAACTCCTGACCTCAAGCAATCCACCCACCTCGGCCTCCCAAAGTGCTGAGATTACAGGTGTGAACCACCACATCCAGCCACTTTATATATTTTATAACTTAGTGAAAAACAGATGACTACCTCAAAGAAAAATGGGGAAAGGGCATGACTAGAAAGCTGTCAGTGGAAGAAAATTGCCAAGAAATATAAAGAAATGCTTTAACATTTAACATTTCTTAAGACTAAGTCTTAAGAAATCAAAGTTTATATTAAAGCAACACTGAGAACACAGTTTGGCCTGTCACAGTAGCAAAGGTAAGAACTTTCCCAGCTTATCAAGCATAGAAAACAGGTGTTCTCATACACAAATCTGGCAGGGGTATAAATTGGCATTAAAAAGAGTATATTGTTGAACCTATAAATTATACTGGAAGGAATTTATCCTGGAAATAAAAGTTTCATATAGAGAATTAGTTGGAAGACAGCTGATTACAGTACTTTTTATAGAAGAAAATTGGAAATAAGTAAGTTCAGCTGTAGGGGACTGTTTTATGATTTATTCTAGTGATGAAATATTATGATATTTCATAAGTTTTGATAATATTGACATAGAAAGATTTTTGTAATATATTGAGAGGGAGAAGAATAGTAATCGTTCTTTCTGAATAGTGGGATTATTAGTATATGAGATATTTTCATTTGGTCTCTTATATTTTCTGTTTTTCCCCTCCCTTGAACATTGTTTTTTCAAATAAGGAAGCCTATTTTTATTTTTTAAAAACCCATTAGAAATTTTTCTGTTTTCATTTTTCATATACCTGAAGTTTAAATGCCTTAACTATATACCCATTTTTACATAGCATTGTGGAAGCTTAACTGTTATGTGTGTGGATTTTGTCTGTTTCTAAGAAAGTGCCAAAAGAAAAAAAAAGATCAAAATAACTATGTTTTGAGATTTCACAGTAAATCAAACTTCACTCCTTGTCCTGTGGCTCAGCAGTCTACGTAGCTGACTAGGCTTTTTAGAAGTGATTGGTTGTCCGTTAACCTGAGTGGATCTACACATACCCATGTAACTCCTTGAATGTGGAAAGTTTGTCTTTTGTGTTGCAGCATGCTGTAATTCAATTCTGACACTAACCACCTGGAGTTAGCATGAGACTCCACGGATTTAAGGTCATTGTCCCCAATAAGACTGCTTTCACTGTAGTTTTCAGGTGCAAATTTGAAGTTCCCCAGGCTGCAACTCTGGGGGTTCCTGTGACTCTGTCAGGTTCAGTAATAGGCTAAAACAACTCATAGAGCTCAGGAAATCATTTTACTTATGATTATAGTTTTATTATAAAGAATCAGAATGAGCCAAATTAAGATACACAGTCAAAGTCTCAGGGTGGGGGGCAGCCTGAATGTAGAACTTTTCTGTCCTCTCCCAATGTCATCAAGATGTGTCACTTTTCTGGCACATTGATATGTTCACCAACCAGGCAGCTCCTCCAACCTTCAGTGTCCATTGTTTTTATTAGAGTTTTATTATGTAGTCATGATTGATTGAATCATTGGCCAAGCAATTGAACTTGATCTCTAGTTCCCCTCACCTACCTGGAGGTTGAGCTGGTTTAAAGCCCTGTCCCCCTAATCACATGGTTAGTGTGACCAGCCCCCATCCTGAGTCATTCATTAGCATAAACCCAGGTGTGAACCAAGGGGCTCAAGAATAACAAAGACCCTCCTATTACTCAGGAAATTGTAAGGTTTTCGAGTCTCTCTCCCAGGGACAAAGGCCACATTCTTTGTTATAGACCCCAGTCTCTGTATTTTTTACTCTATAGCCTTGGTACCTTGAAAGTGTTTAAAGCACTCAGTTGTTGGTTTGATACAATTTAATATTTTTTAAAAAAGTTTTCGTTGTTTCCTTTGAATCTGCCAACCCAAGTTTACTTAGGAGTTGGAAACTTTCCATCTAATATGGGTTTCTATTGTTGAAAAAAATTATTCTGATACTTGTTAAAATGGTAAGGAAAACTTTACTCAAGACTATTGCACCTAGTGCAATAGCGGAGGGCTCAACTCTAACTACAACAAGGAGAAGGGGGTGGATTTATGGGTGAGGGGAATCAGTGGATGGAAAATCACGAAGAGGAGACATCAAAGGTAGGAGATTCTTGTTAAGGCAGGCCAAAGATTTATGTATCAAAGGTGGGAGATGAGGAATTTAATCATATATCAAGGATGAGGGGCTTCTTGCTTAGCTGACTTAGCAGGACTTTTGCTAAGACTGGGCATGTCCTGTCCTTGCACACCATGCAAGGACAGGCTGACATGAAAGGCCAAGGTTGAGGCCTAGTTGAGAAGAGGGTTCACAGCTGGTTAACTAATGTTTAGTCAACTAAAGAGCCTTTGTCACTGTCTATTAATGATGAACTTTATCTTAAGCGTGCATTGCATAGTGAGTTAGTAGCTCATCGTAGAAGAACATCTATGTAAACATATCTTAATATGCAAAAAACCTTTGTTCTAGGTTAATTCAGAAATATGCATTATTTAAAATCCCATTATATCTCCATTTAATAGACCAAGTATTGGTCTATTAAAATTCCTTTACTCTGGGATGTGGATTGTTATAGTTTTTGGTTGGAGATTTTTGTAAAGTCATTCTAAGTGTAAAAAATACAGAAATGGAAATAGCCTCTCAACCCAAAATTTCTAATAATGTAGTTTTTTTTTTTTTTTTTTGAGACAGTCTCCCTTTGTCACCCAGGCTAGAGTGCAGTGGTATGATATTGGCTCACTGCAACCTCTGCCTCCTGGGTTTAAGCAATTCTTGTGCCTCAGCTTCCCGAGTAGCTGGGATTACAGGCATGTGCCACCATGCCTGGCTAATTTTTGTATTTTTAATAGAGACGGAGTTTCACTACATTGGCCAGGCTGGTCTTGAACTCCTGACCTCATGTGATCTGCCCACCTCAGCCTCCCCAAAGTTCTGGGATTACAGGCATGAGCCGCTGCACCTAGCCTCGAATAATGTACTTTGAATTATCCTTTTCAACTGATGTTGTTTGTGTGTTAGCATAATGAAAAATGTCTAGCTTTTGTATACCATTAAGCACTTGTATTTTTCTGGCATTGATTAATCAGATTTTCACTATAAATATTACTAGTGTAATAATATATTAAGTAGACAATATTCACAATTTTAAAGGATAAAATACGACTTTTTAAGAAATATTAAGAAATATTTTTTATTAATTTTGGTAGTCTAAGTGCTCCTAAGTTAATTTTAAAAAATCACTTTTACTCCCTTTGTTAACACCTGGGGGAAGTAACACAGGATACATTTTTTGGGTTGAATTGTTGTGGAATACCACATTTGAAAAGTTTGGGATTTGATAATGTTTTGGAAGATGAGGGAGATTATTTACTATATATATGTGGATTTTCTGAAGTTCTTTGTTTTTGGTACATTGTTTGAAAAAATAATATTTTTTTAGAGAAGCTGCCCACAAAGCAGGTAACTGAGGTATAATTTTTATTATTTTGAATAGCTTACTTAAATGGTAATAAGAAATTGCTAGTCTTGAGGAAGAAAGAATGAGTGGGTTAATAAGTTTATTTTTATAAAGTGTAAAGTACTATATAAGTAAAGTGTTCTTATGGCGAAGTGGCTTTAGAATTTTACCCTGCATAGCAGAGGAGATTGGAGTTGGTTAGGTTTTATGGCAAGGCACATCTCTCTTGCTGTCCTTTTCCTGTACTGGTTCAGGAAGCTGGTATCCAAACAGTCTATTGCTCACATTTGTTTGTCATTTCTCCCTTGTTTTCATGGGGACATAGGCGCTGTGCTGCCATTTCTTATTTTCACCTCTATAGGCAGTAAGACAATAATCTTCACTAGAGTAGGAATGGTCTGTATTGCTCACCATTGTAACCTTAGTGGCATGTAATAGGTGTTTAATAACTTGAGGTAGAAAATTTTATGAAAAACTACAAAATGTTAAATAGAATAAGATTGTTGTTTATGTTTGATAATGACTACTACCATGAAAATTCAGCTTAACTCTGTGGAAACTGACCATATTTCCAAGTCATCTCTTGCTATCAGATACCTCATTAAAACAGTTTTTCGGGGGTGAGGGGGGACAAAGGAGACTTACATTGAATGCGTATCCTGACTGGAGATGTGTGTGTGTGTGTGTGTGTGTCTGTGTGTGTATATACTATATACTATATATATATGTATGAGATATGTATATCTCCAAAGGGGGAAATATAAATATATAAAATTTAAATATAATACTTAAATATAATATTTAAATATAAATATATAATTATATTTATATTTCCCCCTTTGGATGTATCTTATATAAATAAATATATATTTATAGATCTTATAAAAATAAAAATAAAAATATATATATGTATTTCCCTCTTTGGAGATATCTTAAAATATGGAGGAAACGTCTATTAGAATTGTAGAAATATAGTACTGTGGAGATTGGTTTCTTAGGTTGGAAAAAAGTTTTATTTTCTTGTTTACTTATTCTCATGTGTAGCTGCATTTCCTATCCACAGCATTGTGGAAAGTACTGATTCTCAATTCTTATGAGCAATTTTATTAACAAAATAGTAATAGCTCCATTATTTGACAGTCTGACCTATATGTCTGGGTTCTTCAGGCTTCTAGCCTACATCCACATTCTTCTCTACTTGTTCAGGCATTAAGAGAAGAATGTATTTCCTGAAATATTTCACAAGTGGACACAGTTCTTTCTATTCCGTGGGTCTTTTGGTCTGCCTATGGGGTCTTTTTTTCTTCCAAACTATTGAGGTAGTACTTGATCTCACAGTAAATCCCAAGGCACCTGCCATCTGTGTGTCAGGATTTCTCAGACTGTTGCCAGCTGCTGTCATCCCCAAGGCAGTGTATCCCTTAGTGATTTGCTACTGTGGTCTCTAAAGTTGCATGCCACTCTCTCTTGGGCATCTGGTATGTTTTAGATTCGTACAATGGAATACTGTTCAGCAACAAAAAGGAACAATATATCCATGGTGCTATATAGGTGATCCTTAAAACATTATTTTGTGAAGGCAGTTTTGTAATTTTCGCTAATATTAGAAGAGTTCCCTTCACATGTAAAAGAGTTTTTAACCAGTTTCCCAGATTTGCTGGATACCCCAGCACCAATATTTCTAAATAAAACTGTTAGTATTTGTATTATGGTTCCAAGATCCTGAGCATTTGTGCAAGAGGAAGTTAAAGAAGATGTGGTGTGACCATGTTCTTATGTTGTCCTTTCCTGTCTCTAATAAAGGACGGCGAAGTGTTCTTGTGGTATTTGGTTTGTGGAAGCAGTAAGTTACCATATCACATACTCTGTCTTGAACCATTATAAATATTCACTGGTAAAATATAGAAAGTTGTGTTTATTTATAGCTGAGTATGAGTTTACTATGCAGAGAACCTGAGTCATGGGCTGACTAGTGAATGTATCAAAAAGCGGAATGTGGGAATGTAAAAGGGTGCAACAACTTTGGAAAACAGTTTGGCAATTTCTTAAAAAGTTAAGCATCAACTTACCATATGACCTAGCAATCCCACTTGTAGGTATCTACCCATTAGAAATGAAAACATATCTACAAAAATACTTGTATATGAATGTTCATAGGATTAATCATAATAGCACAAAACTGGAAGCAATCTAAATGTCCATTAACTGGTGAGTGGGTAAACCAAATGTGGTATATACATACAACTGAATACTATTCATTAATAAAAAGGAACAAAATGCATGCTGTAACACAGATGAACCTCGAAAACATTATGCTGAGTGATAAAAGCCACATATAAAATACTACATATTGTATAATTCCATTTATATGAAATGTCTAGAAAAGGCAAATTTGTGTAGAGACAGATAGCAGATGAGTGGTTGCCTGGGTTTCTTGGTGGAAGCAGGGATTAAATGCAAATGGGCTCAAGGGAATTTGGGGGGTAATGAAAATATTCTAAAACTAGATTGTGGTGATGTTGCATAGCTATATAAATTTACCAAAACCATTGAATTATATGTATACTTAGAATGGATGAATGTTATGGTATGTAAATTATACCTCAATTTAAAAAAAGGGAGCATGAAAATGAATTTTGCCAGCTCAAGTAATAAGAAACAGTGTTTGACAAGGGTAGTCATTTGAGAAATGATGAAAGAGATTTAGAGATATAATCTTTCAGGTGAAAGGAAAAGGGTTTTGACTTGATTTGATAAACGAAGAAAGGGAACTCTTTCACTTTTGCCTTAATCTTCAGTAAATGTCAAAGTTAACATCAAGTATCTATTTAAATGTTTGCATTTCTCCACACTTTTGTACACTGTGTCTGGTGAAGTAAGTTGATGGTGTGCACTAACCCTTTTGGAATAGTTTATCAAGGATTTAATGTTTGTATCTTTTAATTCCACATACATATATATCTTAAGGAAATAACTAGAAATGCAAACAAGAATTTGTATTCAGAAATGTTCACTATAGCATCACATAGGGTAATCAAAAAATTAAAAATAACCTACATGCTCTCAAAGTAGGAGGAATGGTTAAATTATAGTTGATTTTGCTTTGTCTCTCTTGGTTTCAAGGAGTAGAAATTCTAACTAGATTAAGTAAAATTGGGCTTTGTTGAAAAGGGTAAAAGGTGCTCTAATAACCCCAAACAGCAAGATCACTGAGGCCTTTTGGCAGTGGGGAGCCAGAGCTACTTTCCCATTTCACCCGGTTCAGGGACCAGGCTAGTCACTGCTTCTTCCTCTGTAGACCTGCTTTGTTCTCAGCTTCTTCTTCAGCCAGTCTTCCTTGTACATGGCTCAGTGTTGTTTGCCACCTTGGACTTACTCAGTTTTTGTTAAAATTCACATATTTCCAGAACAGGAATCTGAAAGAGCTGTTCTTTTTGAGCCTTAGGTGGGTCAGTGAACAACCTGTGGTTTGGTCTTTTTCTTCATCCCCTTCCAGGGGTCTGTATTTAGGTTTAGATAGTTAGTGAAAATGAAATGGCACTGGGTAATGACATTGATTCAATACATCTTGGCTAGGCACACTGGCTCACGCCTATAATCCCAGCACTTTGGGAGACTAAGGCAGGTGGATCACCTGAGGTCAGGGGTTTGAGACTAGCCTGGCCAACATGGTGAAACCCCATCTCTACTAATAATACAAAAAAACTAGCTGGGCATGGTAGTGCACACCTGTAATCTCAGCTACTCTGGAGGCTGAGGCAGGAGAATCGCTTGAACCCGGAAGGTGGAGGTTGCAGTGAGCCGAGATTGCACCATTGCACTCCAGCCTGGGCAGCAACAGTGAAACTCTGTCTCAAAAAAAAAAAAAAAAAATCTCATAGGCTTATACGAGGAATGGCAAATATTGGCCATTATTTATTATCAATTTAAAAATATTTCTAAGGCCTTTGGTGGTGGCAGCCTCTTTTCTTGATTCTCTCAACAGAATAGTGTACATTTGTGGTAGATTCATGCTTATTTTCTTATATTTCCTTACCAAAACTTGAAGTCAGGATATTACCCCTTCTTATTAAAACCTCTTTTACTAAGACTGGCAATTGAAATCCCATTGGATGCCATATTGGGCACTGTGGACCAATCTCCACCTCCTGTATGCCCCCTCTTTCTGATGTGGCCACGGTGAGGTCACTGTCTCCTGACCTGCCCTTACCCCACTCATGTCTGCCTTAGTGGATCTTCTTCCTCTCCTCATCTTCCTCTGCTGTTGCTCTGTGCCTCATCCTCCACTTCTTTTCTCTCTGTATACATCCTGTACAGTGTTTTGTACCTCTGTGACTTTAGAGACCCTTTCTATCCCCAAATCTCTGTCTCTGTCCTAGACCCCTTCTGCTGAGATGGAGTCTCTCATAACTACTGGCTTATCGAATATCACACTCAGAGATATCACCAACTCTCCTTTTCTTTCGAACATTCAGAATTTTTTGTACCTCAGTTTATTCTCTGCTATAATTATGTACTGTGCCTTATTCAATTTGTATTCCTGGTAGCACCTAGCGGAATTCCTTGCACAGTGGGTTTACTTAGTATTTGCCCACATGAATATTTTTATTTTTTAAAATGGGCTATTATCCTTTGTATGGGGTTTTATTTTGTTCCCCTACTATCCTGAAAAATACCCACAAACTTTTTTTCTAAATCTAAGAATAGTTTCTAACATGGTTTTTGTGGTCAGGGGGGAACAAAACCCCTTAATATTAATGGACATACATGTTAATAGCATTTCTAAATACATTTGGGCATGTGTATTAGGGCCTATATGTTTTCTCTGAGAATAAGGACACACAGCCTAGTGAGTTTTGGACTCGAATCCTATTATATGTGAATTTTCTTTCTTTCTTTCTTTCTTTTTTTTTTTTTAAGACAGAGTGTCACTCTGTCACCCAGGCTGGAGTGCCATGGCACAATCTCGGCTCACTGCAACCTCTACCTCCTGGGTTCAAGTGATTCTCCTGCCTCAGCCTCCTAAGTAGCCGGGACTACAGGTGCATGCCACCACACCTGTGAATTTAATTTCTATACTAAATATACTATTCCAAAAGAAAGAAATGTTTATTGGAAAATGCAACCAATTCAGAAATATGCTTTGTAGACAGTGAAAGTTTCAATTATTTTGTATAGACTAAATTAGATTATAGAGGTTCTTTGGCTGGGCACTATGGCTCATGCCTGTAATCTCAACACTTTGGGAGGCTGAGCTGGGTGGATTACTTGAGGTCAGGAGTTTGAGACCAGCCTGGCCAACATGGCAGAACCCTTCTCTATTAAAAATACAAAAATTAGCTGGGCGTGGTGGTGGGTGCCTGTAGTCCTGGCTACTTGGGAGGTTAAGGCAGGATAATTGCTTGAGTCCTGGAAGTGGAGTGTGCAGTGAGCCGAGACTGTGTCACTGCACCCCAGCATGGGCAACAGAGCAAGACACCATCTCAAAAAAAAAAAAAAAGAAAAGAAAAAAGAAGTAGTGGTTCTTTTTATGTACAAAATAAATTTGCTCATTGGGTTAGAGTATGGTTATTGATTAGGGGGCTAAGCATTTAGTTACTGCATGGGGCAGCCAATAATAAAATCACAGCCCTGTGTATTTACCTCCACAGTGTGTGCTGATAAGTGCAAAAGGTTTGTGCAAATTCTTTTGAAGTTATATTGTAACCATGGTATATGTATTGAAAACTTGGCCATTTTACCCCATTCCTATGAATGAAAACTATTTGGTGAATCAGAGGATAGTCTGAATTGGGATATGAAGGCCAGTATAAGTGTCAGTTAGCAAAGTCAGCTCTAGTTTATTATTTTTTTTTTTTTCTTTTAAGGCGTAGCATTACTAGAAGTATAGCTTTGGGAACCTTGTAGCATCTTAAAGACTTTTAAAGGGTTGACAGCTATTGGCAAATTGACTAATACAGAGAACTAAACTTTGGTTCATGTATTCAATGTCTAAATGAAAAATGGGAAGATAAAAGAGCTAAGAATGAAATGTGATTTCATGTGCTTCTCCTTTTTAGCTCTTATAATAGATTGAACAGATTTGATATTTGTGGTAAATACACTCAGGCAGAGTGACAGAGGCTTGGTTGTCATTTAGCCTTTAGGGCCTTAGTGGAGTTAATGAGAACTGCAAATGGTCATCAAGTCTTGGTGCTTCATGGAGAAGCAACACTTTTACAGTGAGTGTGTTAGCTTAGTGGTTATGGTATTACTGCAGGGACATGGATCACTTAGGGAGAGAGCGTTTCAGGCTTGGGTCAGTCTTAAAGCAGATCTCATGTGGAGGGTTTCTGCTAACCTGCATCTCTTACAACACAGTACTAGTCAGTATGCTGTAGTATTAATCAGTAGGTCAAGTTCAGTGAAGTAAAGGAGAATTGAATTCTTGAAGTTCACATTTAGGCAAAAATTTGGCGTTTTAGGAGGTGAGTATAAGACATGATCTTTATAGAAAACGCTGATGATAAAAACAGCGCTCTCTGTTAGGTGCTTTTATGCTTGACTCCATTGTCATCTTTTCTTAAGAAACTAAGCTCAGGACTGGGTGCAATGGCTCATGTCTGTAATCCCAGCACTTTGGGAGGCTGAGGCTATAGGATCAGTTGAGCTCAGGAGTTCAAGATCAGCCTGGGCAACATAGCTAGACCTCGTCTCTACTAAAAAACAAACAAACAAAAAACAAAAAAAAACCCCCAAAAAAACCAACAAACCAGCTTGGCATGGTGGTGCGTGCCTGTGGTCCCAGCTGCTCAAGAAGCTGAAGCGGGAGGATAGCTTGAGCCCAGGAGATCAAGGCTGCACTTAGCTATGATCGCACCATCGCACTCTAGCCTGGGTAACAGAATGAGACCCTGTCTCAAAAAAAAAAAAAAAAGAAACTTTAAGTTCAGATTCCTTTTTATAGCAGCTTTCAGCCTGCTATAGACAATACAGAAATGAGTGGATAAAGTTTTATTTAGATACTCTGATAGCTTAGCCAGTGACAATGACCTATCCAAATATGGAATGCTAAAATGTTTTCTTTTTGGAAGCAAAGCCCATGAAAAATTGGTTTGGAAGTAGCGTTAAAAACCTGGTGATTAAATGACAACAAGAACGTGAGAAGAGATTTTTCCAAAATCCATTTAGTGTGTTTGGACAGAAACAAAGGAAAGATAACTCTTTGTTAAATTGGTTAATAGAGGATTTGAACACTTTGTTTGCTGTAGACAAAACATCTTTATCTTAAAACTGTAATCTTTCTAACTTCCGTTGCATGCATTGCTGCATTTCCTTTTTTACATGTGCTCTCATTTATTTTCATGGCAAATGCATTTTTAGACAGAGTCTGTGGGATAATTATTGCCATTAATTAGTTTTGATATTTCTTTTTTAATGATATTTTCATTTATTCCCTTTTGCTAGCTGGATTGCCTTTTGCAATTCTTACTTCAAGGCATACCCCCTTCCAACGAGGAGTATTCTGTAATGATGAGTCCATCAAGTACCCTTACAAAGAAGACACCATACCTTATGCGTTATTAGGTGGAATAATCATTCCATTCAGTATTATCGTTGTAAGTTAAATCCACTTTTCCAAGTTTATAACTTTTGGGCACTTGGCTTAATTTTCTGTTACTCTTTTAATGCTTAAATGTGTAATCCTCCAAAAACAATGTATGCTTTTTAAACCTTTAATTGATGCTTTATTTGATCAAGAGAATCTCAGCTATTTTAAGTGGAGTCAAAAAATAACAATGTGTAATTGTAAGAGCCAGGCATGGTGACATGCCTGTAGTCCCAGCTACTCGAGAGGCTGAGGCTAGAGGATCGCTTGAGTCTCGGAGTTGGATACTATAATATGTGATGATCACATCTGTGAATAGCCATTATACTCCAGCCCAGACAACACTGCAACATCCCATCTTAAAAAAAAACAGAAAAAAAACACGAAAAGAACCTTGCTGGCTATGTATAGATTTTATGCTAATCTTTTCCATGTCACTGTGATTGTTAGAGCTCTAATTTTATTGTTTTAATAATCTTGTGATCAATAGTTGAATGTTATAGCAATATGATTCTAGCATACTTTATACATAGGATATCATTTTATAATTTATTGTATCTGTATGTATGTACCTACCGTTTTTGATTCTCCCTCTGTACTGAGTTCTAGAAAAGAAAAATTTTGCTAAGTGATGTTAAAACTTCAATGCACGCTTACTTTAAATAATTTTTAGATCATATCATACACAGGAGAGAAAAGCTATAGTTCTATATATGATTAGTAGTGAATATGAAAGAATTTTTACTGGTACTGAATGCAAGAGTGAGTCTTAAACTAAAATAGTAACTGTTGTTTTCCGGTATTTCAGGTGGAAATGCTTAAAGAATGTGTCTAGGGATAAGACTATTGACTGGACTACATGATTTTTATAATCTCTACTAAAATTCTGTAACTTAACAGTTTTGTGCTCCATAGCTTGTAATATTATGGTTCCAGCATGCTTCCACTGCATGGCTCTGCTGACCATAACTTGTGACTTTATAAACAAGATTTATGTTAGTTAAAAGTAGAAGGCTGGGTGCAATGACTCATGCCTGTAATCCCAGCACTTTGGGAGGCCGAGGCAGGCAGATCACCTGAGATCAGGAGTTCGAGACCAGCCTGGCCAACCTGGTGAAACCCCGTCTCTACTAAAAATACAAAAATTAGCTGGGTGTGGTGGCACACACCTGTAATCCCAGCTACTCAGGATGCTGAGGCAGGAGAATCGCTTGAACCTAGGAGGCAGAGGTTGCAGTGAGCCGAGATTGCACCACTGTACTCCAGCCTGGTTGACACAATGAGACTCCGTCTGGAAAAAAAAAAAAAAAACAACAAACAAACAAAAAAACCAGAAAATATGGTGGATGTGGTGGCTCACGCCTGTAATCCCAGCATTTGGGAGGCCAAGTCAGGAGGATCACTTGAGCCCTGAAGTATTGAGACCAACCTGGGTAGCATAGCAAGACCCCTGCCTATATCCATCCCCCTCCTCGCAAAAAAAAAGGCCAGGTATGGTGGGCAGGAGCCTCTGGTCCCAGCTACTCAGAAGGCTGAAGCAGGAGGATCCTTTCAGCTCAGGAAGTTGAGCCTGCAGTGAGCCATGATTGCACCACGGCATTCCAGCTTGGGCAACAGAGTGAGACCCTCTTTCAAACACACAGACACACACACACAGATTTTTTTTTTTAATTAAAAAATATATATAGTTGTATCCAGGAGATAGGCCAAAGATGACAGCATGTATATCATGTCTGTTTTTGGAGTTTATTTTAAAAAAAGAAAAGCTTCTTAATTTAGAAATGTCTTAAGAATGATCGTAATACCTTATTAGCATTGAAAGTTAACTTGTAATTTGTGGTGCATAATTAATAAAAGAAAACCTTTGTATATAGATATTTGTTTTATAAGACTGTGAGCTCCTTGAAGGCAGAGATGATATCTTGTTCATCCTTGTGTCCACTGCCTGGCATGGAGCCCAGCATGTCCTAGGTGCCTGAATGAAACTGTATGAAGGAAACTATAGAGTAATTACGCAGTAATGTTGGTGACTCTCCCAAAGTACGGGGAAGTTTTAGGAAATCAGGTATTCTTTTAATCTAAACAAATCTTTACACTGAATTTTTTCTGCTAGAAGAAAGCCAAGTCTATAATTCTTCCATTAAGGAGGGAGTAGGGTCTTTTTTTAAAAAGTATGTATGTTTCTGAGTGATTGCTAAGCAATTAAATATAACATTTTTAGTAGGACTTTTAGTTGCAAATAGCCAATTTCAGACAGGATTCAAATATTCAAATAAACAGTGCTAGAAATAGACCTGTCTTTCAATTCTGCCTTGTTTTTTGGTGTCAGTAAAAAGGATGCCATGCTAGCAGAACTACAGGAATTTGCTCTAGCCTGGAGGGCTGCAGTAGAGCAGGACACTGATTGCTGGGCACTGTGTTGATGTGCACGGCCTACACAGGGCCTGACAAAATGCTTAGTTAGCAAAAACTCATGAATTATATTTCATTAACTTGAAATTCTTTTCTATTTCTTTTCTTCTTCTTCTTCTTCCTCTTCCTCTTCTTCTTCCTCTTCCTCTTCTTCCTCTTCCTCCTCTTCCTCTTCTCTCTCTCTTTCTCTTTTTCTCTCTCTTTCTGTCTTTATCTCTCTCTTTCTGTCTCTCTCTCTCTTTCTTTCTTTCTCTCTCTCTGTCTCTTTCTTTCCTTTGTTTCTTTTCTTTCTTTCTTCTTTCACAGTCTCCCTGTGTTGCCCAGGCTGGAGTGCACTGGCGCGATCTCAGCTCACTGCAAACTCCGACTCCTGGGTTCAAGCGATTCTCTTGCCTCAGCCTCCCACATAGCTGGGATTACAGGTGCCTGTCACCACATCAGCTAATTTTTGTATTTTTAGTAAAGATGGGGTTTCACTATGTTGGCCAGGATGGTCTTGAGCTCCTTACCTCGTGATCCACCTGCCTCAGCCTCCCAAAGTGCTGGGATTATAGGTGTGAGCCACTGCGCCCGGCCTATACTCTACTGTCTCAACATAACCTGTGAGAAAGTTATCTTTACATTTAATAAAATGGCAAGCAAATTAATAGATGAATGCAGACTGCTTTAAAAAGAACAGATTGTTTAAAGGTATTGTTTTCATCTCTACAGTATCACTGAAAACAAACACTGCTTAGGGCAGTGGTTTTATGTATGTATGTTTTGATTAATTGATTGACAGAGTCTTTCTCTGTCACCCAGGCTTGGAGTGCAGTGGTGTGATCAGAGCTCACTGCAGCCTCAACCTCCTGGGTTTAAGTGATTCTCCTGCTTCAGCCACCTGAGGAGCTGGGACCACAGGTGTGCACCACCACATCTGGCTAATTACATTTTTTTTTAAAGAGATAACTATCTCTCTGTGTTGTGCAGGCTTGTGTCTCAAACTCCTGGGCTCAAGCAGCCCTCCTGCCTCAACATCCCAAAGTGCTGGGATTATAGGTGTAAGCCACCATGCTCAGCCTTATGTGCTCATTTAAAATAATTCAATTTTATTCATTAACTCAGCCTCTTTCAGGCAATGCTCGGTTAGACTTGTATACATTTAACTTTATTTACTAGAAAGTAAATCATTTATTTAAAAAAATCCCTGTGATTAAGACTGCATACCAGGGCCTTGACATGAGTTGCAAATGATTGATTAATAAATGAGTGATTGAGGGAGCTGGCAGGTAGAGAACCAGCATTATTATAGTTTCTGAGAAGACATGAGATAATTTCAATGAGGAGGAAATGGTCAGTGAAGTCAAATACACTGAGAAGTTAAAGTAAGTGAGAGTTGATAAAAATCTGTTTGATCTGGCTGAGTGCAGTGGCTCACACCTGTAATCCCAGCACTTTGGGAGGCCAAGGCGGGTGGATCACAAAGTCAGGAGTTCGAGACCACCCTGGTCAAGACGGTGAAACTCCTTCTCTACTAAAAATACAAAATTTAGCTGGGTGCGGTGGTGGGTGCCTGTAATCCTGGCTACACAGGAGGCTGAAGCAGGAGAATCACTTGAACCTGGGAGGCGGAGGTTGCAGTGAGCCGAGATCACGCCGCTGCACTCTAGCCTGGGCGACAGAGCAAGACTCCGTCTCAAAAAAAAAAAAAAAAATCTGATCTGATGAAACAATTTTGACTTTTGAGAAAAAAATCAGTAGAATAAAGGAAATGGAAGTGGTTAGAGATATTTAGGAGGGAGAAGAAGATGCGGAGATGTGTCATTGATTTTAGACAATTCTTTTGGGAAGGTGGGCCCTGAATGAAAGACACAAAATCATAGGGACAGTGTAGAAACATATAAAATGATCTTGGTTGATGGAGATTTAAAGGGGATGATAAGAGAATACTGTGGGAGATAGGCTTAAAAAGGTTGAATCACTCTGATTTAGATAATTATTAGCTTTGAACTTCATAAGTATTGTTTTACTTCTCCAAACATTTTTATTTCTTTGATAATTTATCATATCCCAGAATCTAAGTAAATAATGCATTATAAATAGTCTCAGTTTAAGGATTAGGCCACACTTGGCTTAGGTGTAAACTTCATGAAAGGTTAAGAATTGGCATAAATGGCTCAAAGGTTAGGGTAAGGAATTAAAATGAAACAAAAGAATATGGTTATCTTGTGTGGATCAAATGGGCAGACACATCTCTGCATTTAATTCAGAAGAATTGATTTAGAACTTCTTTATTGTCTGCTTCTCTCAGCGATGTGAGTTGACCTAGCATTTGCTGGCTTTAGAGACTCCCCTGCATTCCCATTATTAATGGTTAAGTTTCAGCTTACACTACTTCTGAAGATCAGCTTTTAATCTGTGCCCAGTATTCTGAATATTCCTAGCAAACTCATTTTCTGTCATCACTGGCAAGAGCCAGGATTTGGGTGGCCATAAACTATGATGATTATGACTGGGAAGACTCACAAAACATACTACCTGTTTCTGGAAAATAGTTCAGTGCCTAAGAACAGCTCATACCTGAGATGTGGAAGTTTCAACTGCTGAAACTGTGGTTGATTAATATACTTGATATGTTTTCAAGAATCAAAGATTAATTCCAAAATGAAATGTTAGATAAGTTCTTTCTGGCTGCTGATCTGTGAGGAATTACTGGGACCCCTTAATGGCCTAAGGAGGCAATGTGTACTGAAATGGAAAGGGTTCCTCTGTTGGCAGTCAGGGATAACCCTAAGCAAAACTGTAAAGGAATGACATTCTTGGAAGTACATATAGTTTACCTCTCCTGTGACCTGTTCTCAGAAAAGAATCTGACTAATTCATTCATGTTAAGGACTATAATTAGAACTGTATTTTTATGGGGCTTAACATGTATAAACTAAGGGCATTTGCTGTTTACCCAAGGCAGCACCTTTCACTAAAATTTATTGACCACCTACTTTGTTTAGGTCACTCTGGTGATATGAGGTTTTCTGTTCAACAATTAAGAAATCCTCCTTACCTTGTAGAGTTCATAGTCTCATTGTCAAAGTTAAAACATTCTAATTATGGAACTCTAGGAGCCATTGAGCCAGGTAAGGAAAGGATTTTAGGTATCAGATTCTTGAAATCCCTTTCGGGAAGCAACCATTTATTTTACTTATGGTAAGACTTACTCTGAAGACAGTTGATCCTCATTAAATGGAAATGTTTGAATGCTTTATAAAATAGTTTATATAAATTTAAGGTGAAGCAGAGAAGCTAGTAATGTATCTCAAGTCAAGCTTTGCTACTTAATTCTCTCCACACAGATTAGCAAACCCACTGTTCAGGCTGCTCTGTGGTTAAGTGGTTTTTTTTTTTTTTTAATTTTTATTATTATTTTTTGAGATGGGGTCTCGCTGTGTCGCACCCAGGCTGGAGTGCAGTGGCGCCATCTCGGCTCACTGCAACCACCACTTCCTGGGTTCAATTGATTCTCCCGCCTCAGTTTCCCAAGTAGCTGGGGATTATAGGTGCCTACCACCACTCCTGGCTAATTTTTTGTATTTTTAGTAGAGATGGGGTTTCACCATATTGGCCAGGCTGGTCTCGAACTCCTGACCTCAAGAGATTCACCTGCCTCGGCCTCCCAAAGTGCTGGGATTACAGGAGTGAGCCACGGTGCCCGGCCTTAACTGTTTATTTTGGTTTCAGGTAGCTAGAGTCTTACTGTCTTTTTTAATAGCAAATGTTACTATTTATAATGTTGCCATTCAGTATTCTTTGAATTCTCAGGATATGGGTTTGTTAACTTATAAAGCATTGGAAACCTTTTTATACTTTTAAATTAGTGACTAAAAATCCTGTCCCACCCCTTGGGACCCCAGCAGAGGTCACCTGGAAGGCTAAATCCCTGCCCTCTGTATCCTCTAGCAATCCTCCCTGAAATGATTTTACTCTTTTTAATATGATGGATGTCTTTGATTCAAAGGAATATTTGAGAAAAATGAAGCCTCTGTCAGATAAAAGTACTTATACACAGGAGTTTCTGATTGGGGAAGTAGGTATGTATGTATGTATTTATTTATTTATTGAGACGGAGTCTTGCTCTTGTTGCCCAGGCTGGAGTACAATGGCATGATCTCGGCTCACTGCAACCTCTGCCTCCCAGGTTCAAGTGATTCTCCTGCCTTAGCCTCCGAAGTAGCTGGGATTACAGGCACCCACCTTCATGCCTGACTGATTTTTTGTATTTTTAGTAGAGACAGGGTTTTACCATGTTGGCCAGGCTGGTCTCGAACTCCTGACCTTGGGTGATCCACCTCCCTCGGGCTCCCAAAGTGCTGGGATTACAGGCATGAGCCACCACACCCGGCTGGAAGTTTGTTTTTTGGACAAGCCATAGTTTTTGTCCTCCAGGATATATCACTGTCTACTTTTTAAAGCTCTGTTTATTTGAATACAAGAAAAAAAAAATAAGATCTTGTTATTTTAGGTAAGTGATGATATAATTTTGTCCCAGCCATGGCTTTGTAAGTAATGTCCACCATTGATATGACACCTGTTTTGTGGTTTAGAATTGGATATCCTAAGTTGACTCTCCATTGTAAAGAAAAAAGGGGCTGGGACTGTTTTTGAAACAAAGATATTTTTGCGATTTACCATTTCCTTTTTTCCCCCTATGTTTTGTTTTGTTTAAAGTGCCTGCTTGCTACTTTAACATGTTATTTTTCTGTTTCTTTTTCAGATTATTCTTGGAGAAACCCTGTCTGTTTACTGTAACCTTTTGCACTCAAATTCCTTTATCAGGAATAACTACATAGCCACTATTTACAAAGCCATTGGAACCTTTTTATTTGGTGCAGCTGCTAGTCAGTCCCTGACTGACATTGCCAAGTATTCAATAGGCAGACTGCGGCCTCACTTCTTGGATGTTTGTGATCCAGATTGGTCAAAAATCAACTGCAGCGATGGTTACATTGAATACTACATATGTCGAGGGAATGCAGAAAGAGTTAAGGAAGGCAGGTGAGTGTTAAATCGCTAATGCTTGTTTAATCTTGTATATTCTTGGAATAGAAGGTTTCAGTGACTGGAAGATAAGCCACGCACTTAAAAAGAGAAGTTAGTGTTATCACTGGGAGGTGAATTTTGATCTTGTATGAATTGTTCTCTCTCATCATGCCTTTTTCCTTTTTTATTGCTGTCTTCCATTTAAAAGTGTTTTATTGCAGCTCTTTTTTTCATCGCCAGCATGTAAGAATGTTAAATGAACCTTATAGATCATTTAGGCTAGAGTCAGCAAACTTTCTTAAGATGCCAGATAACATATATAATATATATAATTTTTTTTACATTTTTATATTATTATTTTGTAGAGACTAAGTCTCACTATGTTGCCTAGGCTGGTGTCAAACTCCTGGGCTCAAGTGATCCTTCCACCTTGGCCTCCCAAAGTGCTGGGGTAACAGGCATGAGCCACCACACCCAGCCAATAGTAAATATTTTAGGCTCTCTGGGCCATATAGTCTCTTTCACAACTATGGAACTGTGCTGTTAATAGCAAGAAAGCAGCCATAGACAATACTTAAATGAATAATGTGGCTATGTTCCAATAAACTTCACAAAAACAGCGCTGCCACAGGGGTCAAAGTTTGCCGAACCCTGATCTAGTCCCACCATTATTTATGAAGCTCTGCTAGATCTTAGTATTCTTAGTTTATTATTATTGTTTAGATTTTTTTTTATAAGGTAACTTGGTTCAGGTTGTGACAGCTCTAGGTCATCAGGTTGCTGTCTTATAACGCCCTTATTGGGCTCCTTTCTGCATGCTGGGACACCTTTAGACATGAATGAAACAGAATGTTTAGAACTCAGAAGATCCAACTTTTTAAATTGATAGATGAGGAAAAAATAGAGGACCAAGAACACTAAGTAAAGCCACTAATTAGTAGCAGAGCCAATTCCTCATTTCAAGTTTCAAAATTGTCAGCCTTATCTTTTTATATATCAAGTTTAATTTCCTTTAGTTGTTCAAAGTACAAATACTTTCTTGGGTAAAACATCCTTTGTTTGTTTGATTTTTTTAGATATGATTTCTAGATACTTCATTGTCTTTGTTGGTATTCTTGAAAGCAACGTGGGCCTGCTAATAGCTTCAATTTTTTTTTTCTTTTCCTTTTTTTCTTTTTTTTGAGATGGAGTCTTGCTCTGTTACCCAGGCTGGAGTGCAGTGGCATGATCTTGGCTCACTGCAGCCTCTGCCTCCCGGGTTCAAGCGATTCTCCTGCCTCAGCCTCCCGAGTAGCTGGGACTACAGGCACGTGCCACCATGCCCTACTAATTTTTGTATTTTTAGTAGAGACGGGGTTTTACCATGTTTTCCAGGCTGGTCTCAAACTCCTGACCTCAGGTGATCCGCCTGCCTCAGGTTCCCAGAGTGCTGGGATTATAGGCATGAGCCATGGCACCCGGCCAGTAGCTTCAATTTTTTGTATTTAGTGGGGATGAAAAAAATCTTATTTAACTAGAGTATATACTATGGTATTTGCTTGGGGTTTAGCAGTGAACAAGACATCTCTGGTCCCCATCTTCATGGACCTTAGTCTGGCAGGGAAGATTTACATTAAACAAAGGATGAGAATGGAAGAGAACTTGCTTGGTGATAATGAGGTCAAAGAAGAGAAAGATCAAGCTGTTAAATGGCAAACTTTGAGGTGGTGAGGAGGACTGATATGGGTGTAAAGTCTTAATGAAGGAGGGAAAAGTGACTGAAGAGGTAGACAGTTGAGAAATAGTTGGTAAAAGGTGATAGTGTTGATTTGAGCTCAGGTGAACAAGCATTTTTATAAGGGGCTAGAGGAAGAATGGTCCAGAAATGGCTTTGAGGAATGATGAAAACACCAACATCAATACTGGACTCTTAAGGTGTATGGGCTGTGTAGATCTCATTCCCTGCAAGGGCAAGCAGTATCCTAGGGAAAGCCTCTTTAATTGGATGGCTAGGAGGTACAGAGAGCCTTCAGGGAACAGTTTGGAGACACAGGGAAAGATAGAAGACTTTAACAGTAGAGCCAGAATTCCAGAGTGTTCAGTGGAGGAGTAGGAACAGAGGGGATGAACAAATGGCTTGGGTGGAGGAGAGGAAGCCTATTGAAAATGAGACTGAAATTTAAAACAAATTATAAAGAAGAACAAATAGCTGGGTAAAAACATACCATGTAAAACAAAATCTGATACAAGCTTATCCAACCTGTGGCCCACATGTGGCCCAGGATGGCTTTGAATGCGGCCCAACACAAATTCGTAAACTTTCTTAAAACATTATGATTTTTGTTTGTTTGTTTATTATCAGATATTGTTAGTGTATTTTATGTGTGGCCGAAGACAGTTCTTCTTCCAGTGTGGTGCGGGGAAGCCAAAAGATTGGACGCCCCGATTTAATAGAATAAAATTATCATGATTTCTTCTTCCATCTATAACTTAACCATATAACCTTTAAAAAATACCATACATATTTATGAATGCAATGATAAAACCAGCTATAGGAGTACGGCTGGCGTGGTGGCTCATGCCTGCAATCTCAGCACTTTGGGAGGCAGAGGCAGGCAGATCACTCGAGGTCAGGAGTTCAAGACCAGCCTGGCCAACATGGTGAAACCCTGTCTCTACTAAAAATACAAAAAGTAGCTGGGCATGGTGGCCGCACACCTGTAATCCCAGCTACTTGGGAGGCTGAGGCAGGAGAATCGCTTGAACCCCGGAGGCAGAGGTTGCAGTGAGCAGAGATTGCGCCACTGCACTCCAGCCTGTGTAACAGGATGAGACTCTGTCTCAAAAAAAAAAAAAACCACCTCCGCCCCACATAAAAAAACACTTATAGGATTTAAATCACAAAGGAAAAAAATAGAATAGATACTAGTCGAACTACTCTTTTAAATAGCTTTTTTGAGGTATAATTCACATGACATAAAATTTTGCCCATTTTAAGTGTACAATTGAATAAATTTGTAAAGTTATTTACCATTACAGTCAAGTTTTCAGATATTTGAAAAGCTTGTCCCTGAGTGTTTACAGTCAATTTACACTCCCATCTGCAACCGGAGGGTCAAGTTTCTGTGCCTATAGTTTTGTGTTTTCTAGAGTATTATATAAAAGGAATCCTACAGTGAGTACTTTGTTGTGTCTGCCTTCTTTCACTTAACATGTTAGTTTTGCAATTCATCCATGTTGTTCCTTTTTCTCCCCCTGAGGTATATTCGATTGTATGGATATAACACAGTTTACTTATCCATTCATGCAAATATTGATGGACATTTGAGTTGTCTCCAATTTTTGGCTATTAAAAATAAAGCTGTTCTGGCTGGGTATGGTGGCTCACACCTGTAATGTCCGAACTTTGGGAGGCCAAGGCTGGGTGGATCACTTGAGGTCAGGATTTCGAGACCAGCCTGGCCAACGTAGTGAAACCCCATCTCTACTAAAAATAACAGAAATTAGCGAGGTGTGGTGGTGCACACCTGTAATCCCAGCTACTTGGGAGGCTGAGAAACTGAGGCACAAGAATCACTTTGAACCCGTGTGGTGGAGGTTGCAGTTAGCCCAGATCATGCCAGCCTGGGTGACAGAACAAGACTGCTTCTTAAAAAAAAAAAAAAAAAAGATGTTCTGAACATTTGTGTACCAGTACAGTAATATATACTTTTATTTTTTCTTGAACAAATATCTAGGAGTAGAAGTGCTGGACTATATATAGCATGTGTGTATTTATTAATGGCCAGTTTTTGTTATTTTAGCCATTCTAAGGGTTTTTGTTATGGTATCTCAGTGTGGTTTTAATTTATATTTCCTTAATGACCAGTGTTGCTGAACATCTTTTCGTGTGTTTCTTGTCCATTCAGCTATTGTCATTTTTGAAATGTTAACTCTTTTACCCATTAAAAAAAAATTAGTTGCTTGTCTGAGTTGTAAGAGTTCTTTATATATTCTGAATAAAAGTCCTTTGTTAGATATATGTTTTGAAAATATTTTCTCTCAATCTGTGGCTTGCTATGTATTTTCTTATTTATTTATTTATTTATTTATTTATTTATTTATTTATTTATTTATTTATTTATGGGACAGGGTCTTGCTTTGTTGTCCAGGCTGTTTTTGAACTCCTGTGTTCAAGCGATCCTCTTGCCTCGGCCTTCCAAAGTCAAAGTGCTGGGATTATAAACATGAGCCACCATGCCCAATCAACTTTTTCTTTTCTTTTTTTTTGAGACAGAGCCTCACTCTGTCGCCGAAGCTAGAGTGCTGTGGCACAATCTCGGCTCACTGCAACCTCATGCCTCAGCGTCTTGAGTAGCTGGGATTACAGGTGTGTGCCACCATGCCCAGCTAATTTTTGTATTTTTAGTAGAGATGAGTTTCACCATGTTGGCCAGGCTGGTCTTGAATTCCTGACCTCAAGTGATCTACTCGCCTCAGCCTCCCAAAGTGCTAGGGTTACACGCGTGAGCCACCGCTCCTGGCCCAACTTTTTATTTTCTTTTTCTTTTTTATCTTAATTTAAGTTCTAGGATACATGTGCAGAACATGCAGGTTTGTTACATAGGTATATATGTGCCATGGTGGTTTGCTGCACCTATCAACCCGTCATCTAGTTTTTAAGCCCCACATGCATTAGGTGTTTGTCCTAATGCTCTCCCCACGCCTTACCCCACACCCCCTGACAGGCCCCGGTGTGTGATGTTTCCCTCCCTCTGTCCATGTGTTCTCATTGTTCAACTCCCACTTAGGAATGAGAACATGTGCGTTTGGTTTTCTGTTCCTGTGTTAGTTTGCTGAGAATGATGGTTTCCAGCTTCATGCGTGTCCCTGCAAAAGACATGAACTCATTCTTTTTTATGGCTGCTTTCTTTTTCTTTTTCTTTTTTTTTTGAGATGGAGTCTCGCTGTATCCCCCAGGCTGGAGTGCAGTGGCACGATCTTGGCTCTCTGCAAGCTTCGCCTCCCGGGTTCACGCCATTCTCCTGCCTGAGCCTCTTGAGTAGCTGGATCTACAGGCACCCACCACCATACCCAGCTAATTTTTTGTATTTTTAGTAGAGATGGGGTTTCACCGTCTTAGCCAGGATGGTCTTGCTCTCCTTACCTCGTGATCCGCCCACCTTGGCCTCCCAAAGTGCTGGGATTATAGGTGTGAGCCACTGCGCCCAGCTGGCTGCTTTATTTTCTTAATGGTGGTTTTTCAAGCTTAAAAGTTTTAAATTTGATAGAATCTAATTTATCATTTTTTTCTTTTATGGTTTTTGCTTTCTGTGTCCTAAGAAATCTTTACTTGCCTCAACGTTCCAAAATTTTTCTTATTTTTTAAAATAAGTTTTATGATTTATTTGTTTAGTATTGTGATCCATTTGAATTATTTTTTTGTGTATAATGTGACAAAAAGGGTCAATATCTACTTTTTCTCCATTGAATATCTGGTTGTTCCAACATTATTTATTGACCGAAAAAAAACATTTTCACATTGAATTATGTTGGCACTTTTGTTGAAAATGAATTGACCACATAAATGTGGGTCTATTTCTGGACACTTAGTCTAGTTCATTGCTCTGTATGCCTCTCATGCGAATACCATACTGCAGCTTTGTAATAGTTTTAAAATGAGGTGTAATGGGAAGCTTTTAACTTTGT
This sequence comes from Homo sapiens, assembly GCF_000001405.40. NCBI lineage: Eukaryota > Metazoa > Chordata > Mammalia > Primates > Hominidae > Homo > Homo sapiens. The sequence goes on along the minus strand of NC_000005.10, from coordinate 55,462,216 downwards.
CCTTCTTTTTAAAGCTTGCTTTGTCTATTGTAAGTTCTTTATGTTTTCTTTGAAAGGGCAGAAATTTTATTGAGATTGCTTCAAATATATAGATCAATTTTTGAAGAATTGCCATGTTAGTATTGGGTCTTCCAATCCATGAATATGTTGTATCTCTCCATTAACTTAGGTTTTCTTTAGTTTCTCATGCCAGTGTTTTTTAGTTTTCAGGGTCTGGGTCTTGCATACGTTTTGTTAAGTATATTACTAACTTAATGCCATTGTGAGTTTTTTTTTTAATCAATTTCCAATTGTTTTGAGTGTGTAGAAGTAGAATTTGTTTTTATATTAATCATGTATCCTGCAATCTTGCTAATTTAATTTATTAGTTGGAGTGATTTTATAGATTCCTGAAGGTTTTTTGCTTTCCCATTCATGTTGTGTGTGAATAAAGAGAGCTGTACTTCTTTTCTCTTTTATATTGCCTTAGATTTCTTTTCCTTTCCTTACTACACTGGCTAAGACCTGCAATACCAGGTTGAATGAAGTGGTGAGAGCAGATTGCTTGTCTTCTTCCTGACCTTAGGAAAGAAGCACTCAGCCTTTCACAAATATGTCAACTGTGCATGGTTTTTTTTTTTGTAGATGCTTTTTGTTAGATTTTTATCATGAATGGGTATTGGATTTTGTGACATGCTTTTTCTGTGTTTGTTAAGATGGCTATATTGTTTTTCTTCTTTATTCTCTAATATAGTATATTATGTTAGTTTTTTGAATATCAAAGCAACTTTTTATCCCTGGGGTATATACTTAGTCATGGAGTATTATACTTTTTATATTAATTGGATTTGGTTTGCTAATATTTTATTAAGGATTTTTACATCTGTGTTTATGAGTTATTGGTCTGTAGTTTTCTTGTAAAGTTTTTGTCTAGCTTTAGTGTCAAAAGTTTGGTATTAAATGTTGAATTCATCAGTGAAGTCATTTGGGCCTAGAAGTTTCTTTGTGGGAAGGTTTTAAGTTTAATTTAATTTTTTAAAACTGAGACAGGGTCTCACTTTGTTACCTAGGCTGGAGTACAGTGGCGTGATCTTGGCTCACTGAAACCTTGACCTCCCGGCTCAAGTGATCTTCCCACCTTAGCTTCCCAAGTAGCTGAGACTACAGGTGTGCGCCACCACGCCTAGCTAATTTTTGTTGTTGTTGTAGTATTTTTTGTAGAGACAGGGTTTCACCTGTTGCACAGGCTGGTCTTGAACTCCTTGTCGCAACTGATCTGCCCACCTTGGTGCCCAAAGTGCTGGGACTGCAGGCATGAGCCACCACTCCTGGCCTATTTTTTAATGTTTTAAAAAATATTTATATTCATTCATTCATTTATTTAATTAATTAGAGATGGAGTCTTGTTCTGTTGTCCAGGCTGGAGTGCGGTGGCCCAGTCATAGCTTATGGTAGCCTTGAACTCCTGAGCTCAAGTGATCCTTCTGCCTGAGGCTCCTACTTAGCTGGGACTACAGGTGCATGCCTTCAGGCTCGAATAATCTTTGTGGGAAGGTTTTAAATATGATTTCAAGTTTTTAAATAGATATAGAACTATTCAGATTATCTGTGTTTTCTTCTATGAGCTTTGGTTGTTTGTCTTTTAAGGGATTTGTCCATTTCATGTAAGTTGTCAAGTTTATTGGCATCAAATTGTTCATCATGTCATTATACTATCTTTGTATTGTTTGTAGGAACTGCAGAGATAGCCTCTCTTACATTCTTACTATTGATAATTTGTGTCTTATGTCTTTTTTTCTTGACTGATCTGGCTAGAAACTTATCAATTTTATTAACCTTTTGGTTAGTTTCAAGGGTTTCTTTTGATTTCATTGATTTTTATCTATTTTTTGTGTTCAGTTTCATTTATTTTTGCTTTTATTTTTATTTACTTTCTCCTGCCTGCTTTTAGTTTTGTTTGCTTTTCTTTTTTCTAGTTTCATAAAGTAGATGCTTAGATCACTAGCTGTGTCACAAATTTTGATATATTGGATCTTTATTTAACTGAAAATATAGTTGATCCTTAAACAATGCAGGGACTGGGGCGCTGACCCCCTGTGCAGTCAAAACTTCACATATAATAACTTTTGACTCCCCCATAACTTAACTACAAATAGCCTACTGTCGACTGGAAGCCTTAATAACGTAAACAGTCCATTAATGCATATTTTGTATGTCATATTTATTATATACTATCTTCTTACAATGAAGTGTGGTAGAGAAAAGAAAATGAGAAAACCATAATGAAGACAAAAATATGTATCTGCTATTCAGTAAGTGGAAATGGATCATCCTAAAGGTCTTTATCCTCATTTTCTTCACTGAGTAGGCTGAGGAGGAGGAAGAGGAGAGGTTGGTCTTGTCTCAGGGGTGAGGGAGGTAGAAGGGAGGCAGGAAAGGCAGGCATGCTCAATGTAGCTGTTATTGAAGAAAATCTGCATGTAAATGGACCTACACAGTTCAAACCTGAGTTGTTCAAGGGCTAACAATACTTTCTAATTTCCCTTGCGTCTTCCTCTTTGATCTGTGGATTATGTAGGGGATTTTGCATTTATCTTTCTGTCATCGATTTCTAATTTAATTTCATTGTGTTTAGAGAACATACTTTATATGATTAGAATTCTTTCAAATTAGTTGATTCCCATCCCCCTGGGCCCCCACATTTTTCACATACAGTCTATTCTGGAGAATGTTCCATGTGCACTTGAAGAGCATGTGTTTTCTGGGTGAAATGTTCTATAGAAATCAGTTTGGTCAAGTTGGTTGATAGTGTTACTCAAATCTTATATATCTTTACTGATTTTTTTTTAACCAACATGTTTTATGAGTTATTTTTTGGGGAGCTTGAAATCTCTAACTATAATTGTTGAATTGTCTTTTTGTCCTTTCATTTGCGTAAACTTTGTTTTTTTATCTTGTGGCCGTGCTGTTCAATATGTAGCACTTACAAGTGTCGTTTTTTTTTTCTGCTGTATTGCTCCTTTTTGGTATCAATGTATTTCTTTGTGTTTAGAAATATTCTTTGTTTTAAAGTCTATTTTGCCTGATATTAATATATAGTCACTCTAATTCTCTTATGCTTATTGTTTGGGTTATATATTTTTCTATAAGTAAAACTTTTAGCTTATTCGAATCTCTGAATTTAAAGTGTATCTTTTAGAGACAATATATAGTCATATCTTGCTTATTCTTTTTAATCCAGACTGAAAAATCTTTGCCCTTTGATCACAAATTTAATGTAATTACCAATATGGCTGGATTTTTCTGCCATTTTGCTATGTGTTTTTTTTTTTTTTTTTTTTTTTTTTTTTGGAGACAGGGTCTCCTCTGTTGCCCAGACTGGAGTGCAGTGGCATAATCTTGGCCCACTGCAGCCTCTGCCTCCTGAGTTCAAGCAATTCTCCCACTTCAGCCTCCCGAGTAGCTGGGATTACAGGCATGCGCCACCACGCCCAATTAATTTTTGCATTTTTAGTAGAGATGGGGTTTCACCATGTTGGACAGTGTGGTCCCGAACTCCTGACTTCAGGTGATCCACCCACCTTGGCCTCCCTAAATGCTGGGACTACAGGCGTGAGCCACCACGCCCAGCCTTGCTATGTATTTTCTATGTTTCGTCTCTTTGTTACTGTTCTTCCTATACTGCTTTCCTTTGTATGAAACAATTTTTTTTTAGTGTAGCAATTTAAGTATCCTACTGACATGTTATCTGTTTTTTTGGTTGTTTCTCTAGGGGTTACAATATACATCTTCATATATTTAATTTTTTTTTTTAAGGTTAATACATGACTAAGCTACAGGAAAAAAAAGCATATATGTATTAGTTTATTATTTACTTATAACCAAATGAAGAAAGGTGTTTATTTTCAGTGATCATAGATTAACCTGGGAGTTAACTATCTTCTTATTTTCTGGCATAAATATCCAAGCTTTTGCATGCTGACCATTTGTTACTCATTTTCATCCTTTTGGCATTCTTGTAACATAGGCATGGACAATAATATTGTCCCACTTTTATGAATAAAGAACTTGAAGCACAGTAAGGATTAGCATCTTGTTTTTGATTCTAGAAACTTAATAAAATGGAAGTGGGACTTCAGTATCAGGGTGTTGATTCTCTGTTTTGTACTTTTCCACCAAATGCCATGCCTATGTCTCTAATATCTCTCTTGGATCAACCAACATGTTAATAAGTTAGGCAGGAAAACTCTAATCTTTTCTCTCAGCCAGCAAATTTAAGAAAGTCATTGTGGTGATGAGTGTACCTAAAGTCTAGAAAATGTCATTGTAAATGATTTTTTTTTTTTTTTGAGACAGAGTCTCGCTGTGTCACCCAGGCTGGAGTGCAGTGGCGTGATCTTGGCTCACTGCAACCTCTGCCTCCCGGGTTCAAGCGATTCTCCTGCCTCAGCCTCCTGAGTAGCTGGGACTACAGGCGCCCGCCACCACGTCCAGCTAATTTGTGTATTTTTAGTAGAGATGGGGTTTCACCATATTGGCCAGGCTGGTCTCGAACTGCTGACCTTGTGATCTGCCCACCTTGGCCTCCCAGAGTGCTGGGATTACAGGCGTGAGCCCCCTTGCAAATTATTCATACATATATTATTTCTCTGGTTCAGGTACATAAATCTTATTTTGTTTTAGCTGAGAATTTTCTTGTGATATTTCTTATTGATGATATTTTTGTTTCTTGCACAAGCCATTTTGACAAAATGTGAAATATATTTATTTAAAATGGTATAAAAATAATTATTTTGTGATATATACATGTCATACTCATTCACTGTCTCTTCCTGGTGTATATAAATTGGCTGCCATATACTGTTACTTTGATTGCACTTTTAACCTAAGTATACTTAGGCTTTTTACCTATTTAAAATTTCTACAGCCATCCATATGCAAGTGTCCGCTTACAGTCCTGTGTAAGGGTTGGGAAAGCACCCTCTTTAAAAGCAGAATTAATTTTGGATAACTGAAATTGAAGAGCTATATATGTTGAAAGTAATTATTATTTATAGCTTTTTTTTTTTTTTTGGTCTGAGACGGAGTCTCACTCTGTCGCCCAGCCTGGAGTGCAGTGGTGTGATCTCTGCTCACTGCAACCTCTGCCTCCCAAGCTCAAGCGGTTCTCCTGCCTCAGCCTGCAGAGTAGCTAGGATTACAGGCCTGCACCACCCTCCCCGGGTAATTTTTGTATTTGTAGTAGAGACGGGGTTTCACCATGTTGGCCAGGCTGGTCTCAAACTCCTGACCTCATGATCTGCCCACCTTAGCCTCCCAAAGTGCTGGGATTATAGGCGTGAGCCACTGCACCAGGCCTGTTTATAGCTTTTAAGATAAGCTCCCTTAGTAAGCTTTGGGGTTCTGAAGCAAGGAGCAAGGAAAATCAAATATAGAAAAAGTTTTAGAAAGACTTTGTATCTTCCTAGAAAAATGTAATTTCCATCTGTCTTTCCAGAATGAGTCAGTTGTTGCCAATTTCAGAGCTGTATAATAGTGGTACATAACTGTGGGTATGCATTGCTGTTCTATTGTGGAGTGTAGTTTGGCTGGATACATACTTTCCTATTATTTTTCTCTTGAATTTTGAAAGTCAGAAAGCTAAAAATGCAAAAAATCCAGTCTAAATATTGTCTATAGTTTTTTAGGATTATAGTGTAATCTGCTCTTTTAACTTATGTATCTCTACAGCCTGCCACCATATAAGCTTTTAATTATAAAATTATGATGCTTGACATTGGGGAGAAAGGAACATAAGCACCCATAATGAGTCATTTTTGTTGACTGTATAAATGAGTCAGAGTTACATGTAAGGATGAGAATATCCTCCTACAATTTTGGTTTTTGATCTTGATTTTTTCCCATTGACTCTCTTTTCTCCCCGCCATTCTCTCTCTTGCACGTAGCACACTTTTGCGCTCTGTCTGCTATTACTGCTATTATAAACCTTTTACTGGACTTCAGTTGTAGTGACCATTAGGTCCTAAACATAGAACTAAGAGCATAAGTGGACTTTAATAGAATACTTATTAATTTTAATATCTAGAGTTCATAATTTAGAATTAATATATGAGAATTTACTGTAAATTAAAAGGGGCTATATACTTGCAATATTAGAACATCCAGTTATCTAGGACTGCCATTATTAATGCCAATGAGAATACCATTCCTCTAAGATTTTCTGGGGAAAAAAAAAGCTAATGAGCCCAGGTAGTTCACATCTGTAGCTCCCTTCCCAGGCCAAGATTCTCTTTAGATCCATGGCCCTTAAATTTTAATGGTTCATTAGAGTTATCTGGAGGGTTTATTAAAACACAGATTTGCTGGGCCACAACCTCAAGTGCCTGATTGAGAAGATTTAGCATGGGGCTTGAGAATTTGTATTTCTTCTAACAAGTTTCAGATGCTGCTCTTGATCTTGGCACCACAGCTTGAGAACTACTACTTTAGATTACCTGGATTATGAAAACATGACCTTGGATGACATCTACTTCAGGATACAAGGGTTTATATTTACCGTTAGGATGAATTTAAGGGCATACACAGCTAGCTAGTCTATTTGTTATTTTTAAAAAATTAAGACAGGGTCTTGCTCTGTAGCCTGGCCTGGAGTGCAGTGGTACGATCACAGCGCACTACAGCCTTGACCTCCCGGGTGCAACCAATCTCCCATTTCAGCCTCCCGAGCAGCTGGGACTATAGGTGCTTGTTGGCACCTATAGGTGCTGTTGGTGTAGCCACCATGCTTGGCTAATTTTTGTATTTTTTTTGTAGAGACAGGGTTTCACCATGTTTCCCAGGTTGGTCTTAAACACCTGGGCTCAAGCGTTCTGCCTGCCTCGGTGTCCTACAGTGCCGGGATTACAGGTGTGAGCCACTGTGCCGTGCCCGGCCTAGCTGGTCTATTTGTGATAGTACAGTATGGAAACTATTGGCTGCTTGAAGAGATTTGCTTTTTTTTTCTTTTTTTCTGGCTTTTATTTAAATTGTGTATGTTTTAGCACAGGCCCAGTGTTTCTGATCCATTCTGAGTAACTGATCTCTGGCTGTATGAATCAGATTTAAATACAAAATTATTTTTGTTTGGATTATGGAAGCCTTGTATTCTTCAGATGCTTACTTGCAGTATATATGATTGAATGTGAGAAATAAATTTCCTTTCTTAAATGCAACCCACATGCAGATAAAATAAAGCTGAAGTTTGAGGAAATGCCTTCTATCATAGGAAAACTCATTATAACTAGACTGGCTGGGTGTGGTACTTACGTACCTAGTACAACTGGCTTTACATTTTGAGAAAATGGCTGAAGAAGAATATGGTCTAATTGTAGACATTACTGGGTAAGCATTTATGATGCTAAAGGATTCATTTGTTAAGGCTTGTATTTCTCATGCATATGTATGTCAGTAACTAGACAGCTTTTTAAATCATATACCTGTGTAGGAATAGCAACATATGAAATGAAGAAGGGGATGATTTAAAAAGATCCTTCACTTTGTGAGAGGATATTATTATTGTATTTAACAGGAATGTGACTTAAAGATCAGTACCTCTTTCCAGCTTCCCTGTTCTTAATGTCAGTACCTGACAATTTAGGCTTGTAGGCAAAAAGCAGTGCTACTTAGTCTCCAGGGAATATGTGAGTAAGAAAACCAATAATAGCCCCTGAGGAGTACAGAAATTTGCTGTACCAAAATGGCCCCAGCTTCGCCTGGACCAGCTAATTTACTGACCAGTAACCTATTGACCTGTCTGGATCTTGATTTCCTGTGATGTCATTCTCTATTGAGCAGACAGACAGAAAAAGCTTTTGTTGATACAGAATTTCTAATGCCACTCTTCTGGGAGAATGAGGTTTGCAGAGACATTAGATAATATTATCTAATAACAGTACTGTTCGTTTATATAATAAACTTGGGAGATATAGGAGGGAGATATAGGATTGGCTAACTTTTATGTTTATATTATGTTAATCAATTATTTTTTCTTACATAATATATTGCAACTCAGAAGCAATGTTTTGCTTCTGGGGTAATGTTTATAAACTTTTGCATGTGAAGATGGGCAATTTGGAAGACTTTTGGTTTCTGGAAGAACAGAAATACTCCTGTAAAAATTGAGAAAATCTTCACATAGGCAGTGGGAAATAGAATTCAGACAGCCCCTAAGTCCTTTCTTCTTATGGTTTGTGGTTTGTTATTGTGCTGCTTACGTTTGTTTTGAGCATGTTTTTAAGACTTGAATTTTCTTTTTTTTTGAGACAGAGTCTTGCTCTGTTGGCCAGAGTGGAGTGCAGTGGCATGATCTCAGCTCACTGCAACTTCCACCTCCTGGGTTCAAGCGATTCTCCTGCCTCAGCCTCCTGAGAAGCTGGGATCATAGGTGTGTGCCACTGCACCCGGCTAATTTTTGTATTTTTAGTAGAAATGGGGTTTCACCATGTTGGACAGGTTGTTCTCAAACTCCTGAACTCAGGTGATCCTCCAGCCTTGGCCTCCCAAATTGCTAGGATTACAGGTGGGAGCCAACGGTATCCGGCCTAAGACTTGAATTTTAAAAAATTTATAACAGGATACATCTGTATTTAATCATTATGAATATTATTTACTCAGTTAATCTGACTGCCTTTGACCATAATGGAAAAAGAAATTTGAGGCATTTTGCACACATTATTCCAATACTTGCCAGATGTGTTGGGGAAGATGCATTAAGTTCTGCTTGTTTAAGCTAATGTTCTTTGACACTGCCCAAGATTTCTGACAAAAGAATGACAAGAGAGGGAAGTTAAACTGGACTTCCTAATGCTCCTCGGTTTTGATGAGGAAGTCCAAATTTCTAATCACTGAAAGGGGAAAATACATCAGGCAGTAAGGTGTCTAAATTAGATAACTTAGTGGCTTGATGTAATTTATTAGTATATAGCATTTAATTACATGATAAAGTATATTCCTTAGTTTTATTAATGTATTTTTATAACTGTCAAAACATAAGTTGTTAAAGTATACTTCTTGTGAAGCCATTTAAACTGATACTCGATGCATGTGGGTGGGAGAGAAGGTGAAATTGTTTATGACATTTAAATTTGAAAAGTGTAAGGATTATCTTGGATAATTAAATAAAACTTTATTACTCAATAGTTTAGATTCTACTTTAGCAAAAAAGGAAAAAAACCACATTGAATACCTACTCTATGTTCGATAATGCTGCAGGGTGTTAAGAGTATGACATGAATTAAGATGTGATCTCAATCAGGGAGGATGGGAGTTTGCCAGTAATTTTTCTTTTGTTTTGGTGTACCTTCTGATTTTTAAAAATAATTAACATATCTTATGCAACTAAAAATATACTGTCAAACCTATTTAAAACATCTTATTCTACCCAGCCTGCCCAGCTTTTGATGTAATTGGGGAAGAAGGTTCAGTAACAGATGATTTTAACATAACAGGTTGGGCTATGATTGATATGTTAATTGAGTGCTCTTCAGAGAAAGGGTGATCCATAAATTCAATCTAGATTTTTAGGAAAGGTTTCTTGGAGGAAACAGGGGCTGAATTGACTCTTAAGTAATAATTACCAAAGAGAGGTGTGGAGCTGATTTCAGGCAAAGGTGTTGAATAAACAACATGGAACAGATATGTTGGGAACTGTAAGTAGTGTATTACACTGTTTTGCATTGCTATAAAGGAATATCTGAGACTGGGTAATTAATAAATGAGGTTTATTTTGGCTTATGGTTCTATAGGCTGTGTAAGCATGGCACCAACATCTGCTTGGCTTCTGGTGAGGGCCTCAGGAAGTTTACAGTCATGGTGGAAGGTGAAGGAGGAAACAGGCATACCACATGGCACATGAGCGACAGGGAAAGAGAAGGTCCCAGACTCTTTTAAACAACCAGATCTCATGTGAACTGAGTGAGAACTCACTCATCACCAAGGGGATGGCACTAAACCATTCATGAGGGATCCATTCCAGTGATCCAATACCTCCCGCTAGGCCCCACCTCCAACATTGGGGATCACATTTCAACATGAGATTTAGAGGGGATGCCCATCCAAACTATATCAAGTAGTTTGTTGGCAAGTGATGGTTCTGGAGCTGTTGGGGCTTAGGAAGAGTGTGTTTACTCTTTGCTCAACAGTTTGTTCTAGTGAAGGACTTGAAGCAGGAGAGTAACAAGCTCATGTTTTTTTTCCTATACTTGTAAAAATTATTCAGCTTTCCACTCTTTAAATATACTAAAATGGGCACCTAAATGTTGTACGATAAGAATTGGTTTCTTTTCTCTAACAGCAGAAGGGCTTGGGATACTGAAGGAAATGTGACTTTTCTGCCTTTGTCTATTGGGTAAGTGGCTCATGCCTATAATCCCAGCACTTTGGGAGGCCAAGGTGGGCAGATCACGAGGTCAGGAGTTTGAGACCAGCCTGACCAACAGGGTGAAACCCCGTCTCTACTACAAATACAGAAAATTAGCCAGGCATGGTGGTGCACACCTGTAATCCCAGCTACTCAGGAGGCTGAGGCAGGAGAACTGCCTGAACCCGGAAGGCAGAGGTTGCAGTGAGCCGAGATCATGCCACTGCACTCCAGCCTGGGCGACAGAGTGAGACTCTGTCTCAAAAAAAGAAAAAAAAAAAAAAAGGTTTCTCTAAGTGAATTATTGTGGCACTGTGTTAGTCCTCCTGGTAACATGAGCTGTAGTGACATCGTCTGGTTTTAATCTTAAAGGAATAGGAGGTGACCTGTCTGGCAGCCTCCTACTGGGCTCTAATAATTTTACATTTGTGTGGGCTTTTGCCTTCTCTTGCCATTGGTGGTGTCTCCTTCAACTCAAATCTAAATTTCTGTATTGGCATAATACTAAAAACACTTTTATTGGTGTCTTGAGCGTTATCTTTCTTTTTTACTATCACGCCTGCCTAATTAAAACAAATTTTTTTTGTAGAGACAGGGTCTCACTGTGTAGCCCAGGCTGATCTCAAACTCCTGGGCTCAAGTGGGCCTCCCACCTTGGCCTCCCTAAGCACTGGGATTACAGGCGTGAGCTACTGCACCAGCTAAGGCTTATCTTTCTTGACCCTAGTCACCAAGAGTGATGATTTCATTATCTGCAGGAGGGTCATAAGTGGAGCCTACTGCCAGGTTGTAGTAGATGTTCTTGGCCTTGGTGTTGTCTTTTGGAGTGAGGGCTTAGAGTAGAAGTCTCAGGGTCTCGTTTCTAGTTAGCAGTCCTGCCTCTTAAAACAATAACAATGCGTACTTTAGAAAGTGATTTAAAATTGTCTCTTCCTTCTGTATTATTCTGAAAGAATTTACCTTTTAGCAAGGGAGTCTTCTTGTTCAGTGTTTTTACAAAGGGGATGGGTGGTGGGCAAGGTGTTACAGTTGCCTGCAAAGGAGTGACGCACAGTGTATCGTTCGTTTCATCCACCGCTTGTCCCTTGTTTCCTTTTTGACTGTAGTTTTACTGTTAGGTAAAGTGGCTTTGGTGATTTGGAGTATTTTTGTATGAGGTCATGAATTTTCCTTAATAACCAAGGAAACTTATGATCTTTCCTTCCCCTGGTTAGTAGTTGTATGTGTTTTACCCTTTTTGTCAGCAGCCTTCGTCACAGCCTCATCTCTCCTCATCTGTTACAGTAGTCACCAAGTTTCCCTGCTGAGAGTTTGGAAGCATTTCTTTCCCAGTCATGTTATTTTCAAGATATACCGAGTTCTGCTTTCCTTTATCTTAAGATTCTCAGCAACCTCCTATTTTCTAGATTCGTTTTTTTGCAAGATTCTTCCAGAAACAGAAGACACACATGATAACAAGTTCTAAATACCCTACACACATACCTACTGTGTCCTACATTTCCCCACTCTTTTTTCATTGTCCATGTTCCTGCTAGTTTCTCTCCTTTAAGGTTTATGACCTAATATCTGTAGATGTCAGTCACTCGGCATGTGATTCACAGATGTTAGTGGCTGTGGAGTGGTATTTGAGGAATTAATGACTAAAATAGAATAGTCACTTCTGTCTTATTTCAGATGGGTATGTGTCTCTCTATGTAATGTGGCTTGGTTAAAATTGACCTATATAATAGAGTAGCTTTAAATGGAAATGTATTAAAATAATTGTAAAAATAATTCAAGGAGTATATGACAGGATTTTTTGCTGCAAATGAAACAATTTCTCACTTTCTAGGTGGTTCAAGGAAATAAGATGAGTCTATATAATTTTTTGTTATATTATATTTTAGTTAATTTTGGTGGGGACCGTTTTATATTCCTTTACCATTTATTACCTTCATCTCTGTACCCTTTGGGAGAGGTACCCTGTGTTTCTTATAGTTCTAGACATTTCTAGAAATGTGATTTCTTTAAAAAGCCTCCCCTTCCTAAACATTCAGTATTTAAGTATATTTATTAGCTGCATTAGTTATAAAAATGGCAGAGTTAATTTACTGAATTTCAGGGTATCAAACATTTGAAGAAACATTTGAAGAAAATGCCTCATGTTGTAATTTGACTTCCTTTTAAATTATATGTATATTGTATATTTTTATTGGAAACAAAACATGCGGTATTTATAAATACATATATATGTTAAAACATTTTAACTGCAAGATGTGAGAACAGGGCCCGATTCACTGCTGGGTTCTGGGCATGAGTTTGTAGGTAGGGAGCTGTGTTTATACTCGGAGTAGTGGCACTTTTAGCCAAGAAACTCTTGGGGAAACTATTAGGAAGAGAAATGTAGACTGTGTGTGTGTATTTGGCGGGGAAGAGATTTGTAAGAAATCTGTAGCAGGCATGTCAGATATTTTGACAACCATTACTTTAAAATATTGTCACATATATATTATCCCTTTTACATCAAGTTGTGTTTCCAGTATTATCACCGTGTTATGTGAAAGTTTAGTTTAACCCCCATTTGATACCTTTCCCTGGAGCTGCTGTTAATAGTTTGTATTTCCTTTCAGTCATTTTGCTATGTATTTTTATATTGAATGTGAAATTGTATAGTTTGTGTGGATTAAATAAGTAACATTTAAAATATGTCTTGGAGACACAGCTTGTATCAGTTCACATAGAGCTATTCATTTTAGTTAATATGTTGTACAATCAGTTCTCCATATCTGTGGATTCAACTAACTGTGGATTGAAAATACTTGTGAAAAAAATTGCATCTGTACTGAACGTATACAGACTTTTTTCTTGCCATTATTCCCTAATCAATACAGTAGGACAACTATTTACATAGCATTTACGTTGTATTAGGTATTGGAGGTAATCTAGAGATGATTTAAAGTATATGGGATAATGTGTGTAGGTTATATGCAAATACTGTGTCATTTTATATCAGGGACTTGAGCATCCATGGATTTTGGTATCCTTGGAAGGTCCAGGAACCAGTTCCCCACAGATACCATGGGGCGACAGTATTCAGAATAATGCTAGTAGAATCGGCTGGGTGCGGAGGCTCATGCCTGTAATCCCAACACTCTGGGAGGCTGAGGTGGGTGGATCACCTGAGGTCAGGAGTTTGAGACCAGCCTGGCCAGCATGGTGAAACTCCATCTCTACAAAAAATACAAAAATTAGCTGGGTGTGGTGGCGCACGCCTGTAATCCTAGCTACTTGGGAGGCTGAGGCAGGAGAATCGCTTGAACCCAGGAGGTGGAGGTTGTGGTGAGCCAAGATTGCACCACGGCACTCCAGCCTGGGCGACAGAGCAAGACTCTGTCAAAAAAAAAAAAAAAAAAGGTGCTAGAATCTTCCTTGGGTCCTTGAGTTTCCGGCAGTGTTGCAGTAAACGTCTGCATTTCTCTAGGAGACATACCTCAAAGTGGAATTACTGGGTCACATAATACATTTTTCCTATGTTGATTGATATTTCCAAACCATCCTCCAGAAAGTGTGCAATATGAGAGTGCTCATTTTCTCATTCATCACCTACTTGATTCCTTAAGTATCTTAGATGTGAGATTCTTGTAGATAATAATCTGATATCTCATTGCCAAATCATTTAGCACAGTTATCGATTGTCAAAATCTTTCTGAAATAAACTATGACTAATATACTTAGGAAAAGTTTATGTTCATTAAGAGGTCATTGCTCATATATCCATTTGTAGCATTTGTACAGGACATTTTAACTTTTTTATAGGATCAGTCCATGTTTACAGATTATCAGAGAGGGGAACTTATGCTATACTTCAGGTTAATCTGCTGTTATATAAACTTTATAATCAGGAAATAACATTTGAGAAAATGCCTCGTTATGGTTTGATTTCCTTTTTTTTGCATTTAGAGTGTACAAAAAAGACAAATTGGTATTCACTTAAAATGATTATTTACTGAACTCTAGCCTGAGTGACAGAGCGAGACCCTGTCTCTAAAGAAGACAATTTTTACATTGACAACATCTATTTCTTCATGGATTAAGTCTAATTTCTTCTTCGTATATTTACTTTACACATTTTGCCACATGTAAACTGTACTTTGTGATGGAACTCCCCTGCCTGGAGATGGCAGGATTAAAGTTCCTCTTTGTCTGTCTACCATTGACAAGAGTGAAATCATGGCACAGAAAGAGTTGGGAAGACTCAGATTTGAGCTGCAGAGACGTGACTTTTCGAGCAAGTTACTGAACCTGTCTGAGAATCATTATCTCTGTGTGAGCACGAGAGTTTTTGTGAAAGTAGAAACGCTGTGTATTAAGTACCTGAACATACTCAGTAACTTGTAACAATTATAAGTCTTTAAACAACCTTTCTGCCTTATAATGCTTTGGGAATCAATTTCAGGATGATTTTTAGGGGAAAAAGGAAATTCTAATTTGTAGCAGAACCAACTTTGGCATACCTGGGGGAAATGGTGGTATAGTAATAATTTGAAACATTTTTGAGCATTGGTCACTGTATAATTAAAAACAAACCGCTGTTGCTGAAACTATTTTGTCTGTTAGTAAAGTGACTGATTTTAGATAGCATTTCATTAGTTCTAAGTGTTCTTTTAAAAAAGCCTGCTTCTATTTCTGGTAACATGGAGGATTAGAAGTGCCTACTGATAATAGTTCAGCTAAACGTGCTACATGATACGTTACACACACACTTGTGTATACTGTATCTTAAATTATATATACACATCTTGAAACACATTTAAGTGTTTTTAGTAAATAGTTTAGCTGGTGGGAGAGTAAAGGGATTTTTCTGAGGCCTGCGTCAGTTAGTGCTGTAGATCCAGTGTGGTCCTTGAAAGTATCTGCCGGTTCCTGGTGGCATAGACACTGAGTTTTGATAGGCAGTGAACATGGGGCACAGATATAAAGGCTGAGGCCGGGGAAGAGGACATAAAAGACATGTGGATAATGTGAGAACTCCCGAAGAGTGGCAGCATCCTCCCCGTGGGAGCTATTAAAAAGAATTCTTAAACACAGGACCACACTCACACTGGTCTGGAGCAAGAATTCATACTATTTGGTTTAGGAAGGAAAAGGAAAAAAAGCTTGAAGTTTAAAGTGTATTGGTAGTGAACCCAGCATAAGTGAACACATACCTTCTCTGGAGGAACTCTCCTTAAACCAAGGCTCAAAGATTCCCCTCAGATAGAGTCCTAATGACTTCATTCTAATATAAATGGACCTATGTGGAAACAAGCTACCCTGAGACAGTCAGCAAATACAACAAATTACCTAAACTCTCAAAGAGATTACAGATATTAGAATTACCAGGTGTAGACTAAAATAAGAGGAGATAGAAAATATGATGTGGGATGAAGAGAATCAAAGTTGGCCAAGTAGGTTTGGAACCAAAGGGATTTGTAAATGATACATATATGGTAATTTAAAATTTACAGTGTAACATATTGATTAAGCAGATTAGATACAGTGAAAGGGATGACAAAATGAAAGATACACCTAAAGAGACCTAGATGAAAAATAGAGAAGAAAGGGTAAGAGATCTGGAGGAATAGAATGCAAAGGTCTTACGTGTTGAATCAGCATCCCATAGAAAGGTACGAGGATGGAGGATGCCCAGTATGCAAAGGTGGCTGAGGACTTCTACAAATTGGTGAGTCCTCAGATAGAAGAAGCCAATGAATACTAAACTAGAGCAATAAAAGGAAATCCTAGTACTAGACACAATGCAGTAAAACTAGAATATTGATTGATGGGGGCAGGAGGAGAGGAAGCAGTTACAGAGAAAAGACAGATTACCCAGAAAGAACTGGCTGACAGATGGCTTATATTTTAACAGCAAAAGCAGAAGCCAGAAGATAGCGCAATGATAGCCTCAAAGCGATGAGAAAAAAAGTCATCAATTTAGAATTCTGTACTCAGGAATACCATCATTCAAGAATGAATGTAGGCTGGGCACAGTGGCTCATGTCTGTAATCCCAGCACTTTGGGAGGCCGAGGCAGGCAGGTCACTCGAGGTCAGGAGTTTGAGGCCAGCCTGGGCAACACGGTGAAACCCTGTCTCTACTAAAAATACAAAAATTAGCCAGGCATGATGGCAGGCGCCTCTAATCCCTGCTACTTGGGAGGCTGAGGCAGGAGAATTGCTTGAACCCAGGAGGCGGAGGTTGCAGTGAGCTCAGATTGGGCCACTGAACTCCAGCCTGGGTGACAGAGTGAGACTCTGTCTCAAAAAAAAAAAAAAAAAAAAAAAAAAAGAGTGAATGCAAAATAAAGATATTTCAAATGAAAACAGCTAAAGATGTATCTGTTTTGTGCTTTTTAACTTTGGAGAGTAGGGAGGAGGAAAGGAAGAAAGTCAGGTGGTGGGAAGAGATCAGAGATGATCAGCTGGGTTCTTTGTGATTTAACCTCCTTCTGAGCCCCAAAATACTAAATTAAGATATGCTTTATATGAGTTGATTGCTTTTGATGCTGATGAAGGATGGATTTGATTGTGTCTTTGCGATTTATGAGGCTGAACATGGATGTGGATGTTGGAGCACAGAGATAGAAGAATGCTCAGTCGAGGAGGGAACTCACATGCATGGGGGCAGGCGGATGCAGGCAGATGGCTATGAATGCTCTCAATGCCATGATATTGGGGATCAGGCCAAGTTTAATCAGCTCTGAGAAGGGGGTGCCCTGGCTGGCAAATGTGAGGAAAAAAACATCATAAAGTTGCCATTTGAAATAGAATCCCAGGCTAGGCGCGGTGGCTCACGCCTGTAATCCCAGTACTTTGGGAGGCCGAGGCGGGCAGATCACCTGAGGTCAGGAGTTCAAGACCAGCCTGGCCAACAGGGCGAAACCCCATCTCTACTAAAAATACAACAATTAGCTGGGCGTGGTGGTGCGCACCTGTAGTCCCAGCTACTCAGGAGGGTGAGACAGGAGAATCACTTGAACCCAGGAGGCAGAGGTGGCAGTGAGCCAAATCACGCCACTGCACTCCAGCCTGGGTAACAGAGCGAGACTCCATCACACACACACACACACACACACACACAAAATAGAATCCCATTCATAGTGATTTATGTAGTCAAAATCAGTTTACTTAATAATTGAAGCTGGCTTATTGTTCAGTAGACCACCCCTCAGAGTCAGTGAAAACAGCAGCATTTCAAAATACATTTTTCTCTCCGTAAATTTTCTTCCTGAGAAGATTTTCGTAAGATTTGGTTGGAAAGCTGGCTCACATTGTTACTGTACTGTACTTGCCTTCATCAGAGAGGCTATAATGAAGTGAGATGATAGTCTAGGATTGGTTAAAATCTAGAATTGGTTAAAGTCTAAGGGCAGGGTTCTTAGGCCAGGGCCATAGTCTTAAACATTTCAGTGAAGTCACTATGATGAAAACAAACTGCATTTGGGGCCGGGCGCGGTGGCTCACGCTTGTAATCCTAGCACTTTGGGAGGCCGAGGGCGACGGATCACATGAGGTCAGGAGTTCCAGACCAGCATGGCCAATGTGGCGAAACCTCGTCTCTACTAAAAATACAAACATTAGCTGGCACAGTGGTGCAAGCCTGTAATCCCTGCTATTAGGGAGGCTGAGGCAGGAGAATCGCTTGAACCCGGGAGGCGGAGGTTGCAGTGAGCCAAGATTGCACCACTGCACTCCAGTCTGGGCAATACAGTGAGACTCTGTCTCAAAAAAAAAAAAAAAGCATTTGGGCTACTCCTTGGGATTTATTAAACCACCCATACAGATATTTAGTCTATTTGTGAATTCTGGTCATAATAAGATATCCTTAAGAGCTGTATCTACTAAAGACTCCGATAAAGAGTTAGATTTATATGGAATATGAATGCTTTGAATTTCCATTGTTTTGTGCTTTATTCTGTTTGCTTAATAGAAATAAAAGACCATATTATGATCTGTTTGTTAAATTACTATGGATAAAGACATAGACACTGAGATTGAATAGAATTACCCCTTTGTTTTTAATCCCTGTCTGTCAAAGTCATAGCCAGACTTCTTCACAAATTCTATACTGAATAAAATATCTGTTTTTGTATTCAGTGTAAAAAATGGAAACCAACAAATGAAATCATTCTATGGCTGATTCAGAGCTGTTTAAAACTATTACCTAAATTAGTTTGCAGTTCATGATTTTATAGCACAGTGTAAAGGATTTAGTGAGACCTCACTTGCTTGGCTTTGAGAATATTTCTGTGATTATGGATATGTTGGCTTGGTGGGCTTTGACAATCCTTGAAATTGGCTTTTATTAACTTGTAGGCTCTTCAATAAAACATTGAAACTATAAAATATGCAGAGCTGTGCTCTAATTATCTGATTTAAAATTACTATTCGTATTGATCCATTCTGTGTGGTCAAATAGCAAGGTTAAAAAGTGATTTATTTTTCTTCCTTTACGTAGACTAAACCCAGAATAATTATTGGGTTTAATTACATAATTCCTGGTTGGCACAGGAATTTACAGAATTCTCTTTCTTAGGCATGTATCTGATTACAAAAAGACAATCAAAATTCTTGGTAGAATCATATATATGTGTGTGTGTGTGTGTGTGTGTATATATATATATATATATATTTTTTTTTTTTTTTTAAGTAATCCTTTCTTTCCCACCCACTGGCAGCTGCCAAACATACACACGTGACTTTCCAGTATGTGTGTGAGGAGGTTTCTCTCCTGTCTGAATTCAGGGAACCAACGTCTCCCTTAAATTCCTTTTGAACAAGGCAGAGTGTAATAAGTAAATTACTTAAGAGCCGGTCCCTCTTGTTTTTGTTCTTATTCTTACGTAGGGAAAAGTGGTTGGGAGATGCATTCTAGTTATTTGCATGAGCATCTTTTCGTGGCATACTTTCACTGTGCCTGATGTGCTTGCCTCTTCTGCATCAGTGGCTCATTCTGTATAAGCAAATCTTAGATCTTTAATGTTAGCTCTATTTTTCTTTTCTCAGAAGTGCCACAAAATTAAGTTTTGTAAGCATTCTGTCATTTTTAGGTGGGGAAGATGATACTTAGATGTTTATAGACTCTAATATTGAAAGAAACAAAAGCACTGAATTTGGTGGGAAATGTAAGGCAAGATGTGTGCCCATTTAAAACACCAAATTTTTTTTTTTTTGAGATGGCGTCTCCCTCTGTCACCCAGGCTGGAGTGCAGTGGTGCGATCTCGGCCCACTGCAGCCTCTGCCTCCCAGGTTCAAGCAATTCTTCTGCCTCAGCCTCCCGAGTAGCTGGGACTACAGGCACACGCCACCACGCCCGGCTAATTTTTGTGTTTTTAGTAGAGATGGGGTTTCACCATGTTGGCCAGGATGGTCTCGATCTCCTGACCTCGTGATCCGCCCGCCTTGGCCTCCTGAAGTGCTGGGATTACAGGACTGAGCCACTGCGCTGGGCCAAAATACTAAAATATTAATATGGATGGAAAAAAGCAATCAACTTCTGAGTGTTCCCAAGGAGGTATGACATTATTCAGGGACTAATCCTGCAAGTGGAAAATAAAACTTAAATCATGGTCACATAAGTGTGTATGTAATAAAGTCAAGGCAATTTGTGCCAGTTATGACTTGTCAAGTATCATTCTTCTGACATCTTAGAATTGCTTGGCAAGTTTATTTTCATGACACATTACCCATCCTGAAGGTTTCAATAAAATGATACTGTATAGAGATCTGACCTCAGATCCTTCTTGCACTCTTTAATGTTCATGTCCTAATTGTCCCCCTGCCGTACCCTTCTAATTTCTCAAAGTAGAGGGAGGCAGTTGTGTACACTCTGAAACTAAGGAGCAGATTTATGAAATCAACAATACTTTTGGCTCCTAAGAGAGAAAAGTAACATTTGTCTTCTTTTTCTTCCAGGTTGTCCTTCTATTCAGGCCACTCTTCGTTTTCCATGTACTGCATGCTGTTTGTGGCAGTAAGTACTTTGTGTCTGTTGACGGTTAGGTTATGTGCTGCATGGAATTAATGTGCTCAGCATCAGTGTCCTCACCTGTCCTAATAAATTAGCCAGTAGCAAAAGGTGAAACAGATGATCTGCAAATCTGTAAGTTTCATACTGAGAAGTAGTTGATGTGTGCCCTTACTTTGGGACGTTTCCTGAAGTGGTTTTCTGGAACACAGCTTCTGTGTAATCACAGCAGGTAACTAATCTGAAGGACTGGGACAACAGGCTGCTGTTGCTTGTTAACCTCCTCCCTAACTGGGAGCCACTCTCCTCATCTGCTCAGTGTGGGCGAACAGCAGCAGAGCTTCTTTCCTTCTGGGCTCTGCTGTGGTGAGGAGTTGGGTTTTGATCATTGTTAAGTGAAGGCAGCTGTCCTTGTTCCTATTTGAGCAGATTTTGTTTTCCTCCCATTTTCTAAAACATTCCCAGAGTGCTCTGCAAGGGACCAGAAAGGTTTCAACTGCTGGGAAAGGCAGTTGCCACTTCTGGAGCCTGTCATCTATACAACTTCCAGGTCCAGTTCTGATGCCAACCTGTAGAGCAGCAGCATAGCAATTTGCATTTGCATCATACAAAGCTGGCAGTGAGGCCTTACGAAGATTTGCACCCACATTTTGCATTATCAAACTAGAGATGAATATGTAGTTTTTTGAGAGTAACTAATGCAAGACCAGGCTTCAGGACACATTCAAGGGATTTTTAAAGGTCAATTTTACTTGATTTTTATTTTTTTATAATGTTCTCTTTACATATAAAGTATTAATAAAACACTATATATTTGGGTGTATTAATATGTCCTGCATTATCATTATTTAGGGGGAACAGAGAGGAGGGTTAGAAAATCTGTACCCTAATAGATCAGCTATAATTTTTGTCTTAATTTTCTTTATAAGGGGATTTTTATACAGTTGTGTTCTGTGTAAATTTGTCATTTCCTGTGTTTTTCCCTTTGATCACATTAAGTGCCGTATGATAATTTAATGCTTAGACTTAAAATGCACAATATGTAACATTAAGGGTAAACTAATGGGAATTAGTCTCAGAGATAATTTAAAATGTTTTACTAGAATCTTGCTTTTATTTGAAAAAACAAATTCCAAACATTAAAAGAATATGTAAATTGTAGATGTGTTATATAAAATTCAAAGTCAGAACCTCAAGCCATTACAACAGCTAATTTTCAAAGCTTTCATCTTACATTAATTAAATTTTGTGAAGAAGCACAGAGTATGATTCAGCAGAATTTAGGGCTTCCTTTTTAAGACACACACTCAAATGTTTCTGCAGATGCAGCATGGAAAATGTGACTTATCTGAAGGTAGTTAGCAGAAAATACTATTCTGACATCTTCTGTTCATTTATCATATTAGAAAAAAATCAGCATTCTTTCTTAAGTGAGACAACATATTTTTTTCTTTTTAATTAGAGCACGAGGACCAGGGCAGACCCGGAAGGCTGAGCAATAGCTAGAGCCGTTACTATCCTGAGAGCTCTTCCCAGAGCATGGGCCTGTGACTGGACTGAAGGGCGTTTGAATGTGTGGGCGTGCTTTGTATGCCCTGGGCTAGACCTCACTAGGTCTAGCTTTTGTCTCACTAGCTATTGTGGTTTGTTTTTCGCTCACCTGTCTGTGTTAGTGTCCAAGTCCCTCTTTATGAGAAATCTAGAAATCTGAGTTTTGATTGATCTTGATGATGATTTGCATTTTACACTACTTTTATTTTTGACTAAATTTCCATGAAAAGATGAGGGATGACTGCCACTGTTTTACAAGTGAGGGAATAGGCACCTTGGGAGGGGGCTGCTGAGTTCTGTGAGCTCTGTGGGGTTTCTTGATAATCAGGATCCCATGCTGTATTGATTGATTGATTACTTGGTCTGAACCCTAGTCCATTTATTTTGAAGGTCAGCTCATGCAGATCTCTGGAAGTAAAATGGCATTCTGGAAGTGACTGACACATAACTTTGACCCACTGTTTGTAATTTTAAAGAAAATTCTCAGCTATAACATATTCCATACTTCATCATTTTCTGCTCTTCTTCCTTGACCCTTCTCAAAACACCCATTAACGTCTGTGTAATTGGTCAAATAGTAACTTGTACTGAGGGCTGTTTTGTGAAAGATTAAAATTACTATAGAGAGGATGACATTGATATAATAGAGGGCCTCAGTGGCAGGCCTGCTCAGTGGACATGCAGCCACATATGAAGGATATCAACTCGGGAAAATGATGTCAACCATAGTGTGGTAATTGGGTCAGTTTGAACCAACTGTGTTAAAAGAACAACTTTAGATAAATTTAAGGGTGTCACTGGGCAAGGAAGAAACGACTTTCAAATTGGGCAGCCCTCAGAGTCACTGCAGATTCAGAATGACTCCACTGCTTCTAAGTGGTCAGGGAGAATTTATGGACAGAAAAAGGAAAGTGAGTACAGAAAATGGAAGCGAGGTGCAGAAACTGCCGGATTGGTTACAGCTCGGCCTTGGAGCTTTATTTGAGCGTGGTTTGAATGGCTGTGAGTGGTTGAAATATGGCTGCAGGGACTGGCTGAGACTCAGCTGCTGTTACAGAAGCACATTCCTGAGTCAGGCTCCCAGTTTGCTTACTTACCAAATTAGGTTGTTCTTTGTACAGAAGAACTCAAGTATGTGAGCAGGGGGTTTTCAGGACAGATTTTAGTTTGATTTAACAGATGTAAAGTTATAATGGCAAAAAAAGAAGCCTAGATAAATAGATTTGTTGTAGACCAAGACCTTTCTGGAGAAGAAAGCAGGCCAGAGCAACCATGCACTGCATTTTACTGACTCTAGGTAGTGGAAATATTTGCTTGATGTGGATGTAGGCCCCAGCTTTTATTTCAGCCCTGAATACACAGATCCTTGCTTTTTACATTTATGTACAACTTTTTTTTTTTTTTTTAGACGGAGTCTTGCTCTCTCACCCAGGCTGGAGTGCAGTGGCGCGATCTCGGCTCACTGCAAGCTCCACCTCCCGGGTTCACGCCATTCTCCTGCCTCAGCCTCCAGAGTAGCTGGGACTACAGGCGCCCGCCACCACGCCCGGCTAATTTTTTGTATCTTTAGTAGAGACAGGGTTTTACCGTGTTAGCCAGGATGGTCCCAATCTCCTGACCTCGTGATCCGCCTGCCTCGGGCTCCCAGTGTGTTGGGATTACAGGCGTGAGCCACCGCGCCTGGCCTATGTACAACATTTAACCTCTAAGCCCCACCCCCGAATTCCTTGAGCAATGACTCATCTTGTTTCTCTGGGCACCTTGGCTTCATGAGTCAGTCTCAGATTTGGGTAGAGACGTAGTCATTTAAATCCTCTCCTAGGACAGTCTTTGATAGCCAAAACTTCTCTGTCAATTCCTGACACCCAGAAATTAACTTCTAGTTAAAAATGGCTCTTAAAACACCCTGACCATTGTTCTTCTCTGGCAGCCAGTGCAGCCCTGCACACTTAACTGTGCCAAGAGAGTGTCAGCATCAGTGAAAACCTCCCAGGCCTGCGGGAGCTCAGGGCAGGGCTGCTTTGCACATAGCCAGTTTATATGCTTAGTGACTCCCCGTGAACTTGGCTGAATGCCAGAGATTCCAAATTTATTTGATTATTCAGGAGAACAGCCATGGTATGAGTCTGTATTTTCTTTCAATACAGTGAGGAGTGTTAAAATACTTTTCCTGAGACCCTTCTATTGAGGCTGTAACCCCAGATTGTTTATATCACCGCCTGTTATGAAATTCCTGTATCTATGCTTCAGCCAGACTCTCCTCCTGCCACAAAATGCCTCTTATCTGGGCCTTGCCCCTGCCCTGTGTTTAGACAGTGCTGCCCACCTATCTAAATCCACTCAGACTCTTTCATACTATCCACTTTCCTTAAGATTCATATAATCCCTCATTTAGCATTCACTGTATACCTCCTAGCATTGTTGATACTTCGTGATGTTTTCCAAACTTGATTATTGCTGAACATTGGGCAAATGATGAACAACTCATGGCCCATAGCCTACGAACCTTGTCTGATTTTGAGGTGGGATTTAAGATCTAAATTTAGTGCCTCAGTGAATCCTAAAAATGGTGAAATTAAAACCCAAAGAAGACTAAACTGAGGCCTGCTTTCCAGTGTTCTTCTGGACAGATCTGTCATCAAATGTAGGTGGAGCAATCAATTTGGCTTGCCTGGCTAGTCATAAAAGCACTATTTCAAAATAAGTAGACCAAGGTATATTTCTTTGCATTGAGCCTGCTGTTGTTAGTCTAGTTCTGGGGTTGGTATTTTTTTTTTTTTCAGTGAAAGGTCAGATAATAAATATTTAGGCTTTGTAGGTCACATATTCTTTTTTGAAAAAACAAACAAAAAAAACTCCTTAAAAATGTTCTTAGCTTGCAAGCCAACCCCTTGACTCTAGTTTAAAATGGAAAAAAAAAAGTTCTTACTTTATTAACAATAGAATATTCAGAGGCTATGAGACAATAACAACATTTTACAGTTAAGAAGTGTTAACAAGATTAGTCAAGGAAAGGCAAAATCAAAACAGCTTCAAAAAATATCTCGTTCAACGATTATTTATTTTAAAGGTGAGATATTCTAATTAGATCCTTTAATGGAAGTTAAATGTTTCAGAAATTTCAACCAAAAATGGTTATATATCCTTCCTGTCTTAGTTTGGGCTGCTATAACCAATTGCAGCAGACTGGGTGGTTTATAAAAAACAAATTTCTCAGTCTGGAAGCTGGAAGTCTAAGATTAGGGTGCCAGCATGGTTGGGTAATGGTGGGGCCTTCTTCCAGGTTGTAGAATGTCCTCACACAGTGGAAGGGGCAAGGGAGCTCCCCTGGATCTCTTATTAGGTCATTAATCCCTTTCATGAGGGTTAACCCCTTATGACCTAATCACCCACAAAAGTCCTATTTTCCTAATCCCATTGCCTTGTGGGGGTTAGGCATTCAGTATACAAATTTTGGGGTAACACAAATATCCAGGCAATAGCACCACCCTTCAGTGATAATGAAAGAATGCCTAAGTAGTATCACAGATGTTGAATTTTCTAGTTTCTTTTAATATTAATTTTTAAACAAAAGAAAAAATGGGCATACCTTGTAATTTGTTCCTGATGTGGCTCTGTGTAATGAAGAGTCTTCCGTTTGTTTTGACCAGGTCTTCTTTGTGCACTTTATAAAACTATCATGAGGCTCTTCACAAGCGGAGCCACACGTTTTGGAGTGTTGGTTTATTAGTCTGTTTTCATGCTGCCGATAAAGACATACCCAAGGCTGGGCAGTTTACACAAGAAAGAGGTTTAATTGGACTCCCAGTTCCCCGTGGCTTAGGAGGCCTTACAAGCATGGCGGAAGGCAAGAAGGAGCAAGTTACATCTTACGTGGATGGCGGCAGGCAGAGAGAGCTTGTGCAGGGAAACTCCACCTTATAAAGCCATCAGATCTCGTGAGACTTACTATCACAAGAACAGCATGGGAAAGACCTGCCCCCATGATTCAGTTACCTCCCACTGGGTCCCTCCCACAACATGTGGGAATTCAAGATGAGATTTGGGTGGGGACACAGCCAAGCCATATCATTTGGGACTGGGAGGAAGGCCTCTGTGCTTCTCAGTGAAGCATTTGCTGCCTGCAGGTGGAATGGCCAGCTTTCTGCAACCCTCCTTTCTGGGCTTGAACACCTGGTTATTTTGAGCAATGTGATGCTTGGTGTCCTTATTGCTCTAAGAAATAGGAAATTGCTTGTATGAATCTCTAGTAATATCCCGGCTAAGAAGTTTTTTTTTTTTTTTTTTTCTCTGAGACAGAGTCTCACTCTGTCGCCCAGGCTGGAGGGCAGTGGTGTGATCACGGCTCACTGCAACCTCCGCCTTCTGGGTTCAAGCAGTTCTCCTGTCTCAGCCTCCCAAGTAGCTGGGACTACAGGCGCACACTGTAGTACAAAGAGACAGGGAGGAATAGAAATAGCCTAACTGTGGTTTCCTTCTGAGGCGTCGGGGTTGCCATATGTTGTGTTCCTGTGGTATTTGTATATCCAGCCCATTTTAATAGATGAAAATGGGGGAGGGAGGAGTGTGAAGGTCAGGCGAAGAATATGATGTATCTTTGTTTTTCCTATTAATCTTCATTTAAAATTTGTGTGTCCTGGAAACCCATGTCTCTTCCTTTCCAGTTCTAGAGTTGTGTTCCTGTACGTTACAGCAGGGATCACACTAGTGGCACACTCAAGTGTTCTTTTGATAAATGACATTTACTCTTGATGTATATCAGGATAGCCTCCAAATTTGGGAGCAGAGACTATAAATACTAGAAATAGTCATCCTTTTTAATCAAGGAAGGAAAGCATTTTTTGGTATGGGCAGCTGACTGGAGATTCTTCCGCATCCATTCTCCCTGTTACCAGGTGATCTCTTGTATTAATACCTTTTAAAAAGCCCAGTTACCACTGCACATCTCCCTCAGCATACTTCCCCGGATTAGGCCCCCTTTTCTGCATTTCTCTGGTGGCTGGACTAATTTATATTCCGAGCAGCAGTGTAGAAGAGTTCCTTTTCTCTGCATCCTCAACAGCATCTCTTAATGTTTTTTTGGTCTTTTTAATAATGGCCATTCTAACTGAGGTAAGATTGTGGTTTTGACTTGCATTTTCCTGGTTAGTGATATTGAGAATTTTTTCATATACCTATTGGCCATTTGTACGTCTTCTTTTGAGAATTGTCTATTCATGCCCCATGCCCACTTTTCAATGGGAGTATTTGGTTTTCTACCGTTGAGTTGAGTTCCTTATATGTCCTGGATATTGGCTCCTTGCTGGATAAATACTTGGCAAATATTTTCTCCCATTCAACAGACTGTCTCTTTATTCTCCTGATTGTTTCCTTTGCTGTGCAGGTTTTTAGTTTAATATAATCCCATTTGTCTATTTTTATTGCCTCTGTGTTCAAGGTCTTAGCCATAAAATCTTTGCCCAGACCAATATCCTGAAGCGTTTCCCCTATGTTTTCTTTGATTAGTTTTATCGTTTCAGGTCTTACATTTAAGTCTGTAATCCAACTTACTTGAGAGATAGGGGTCCAATTTCATTCTTCTGCATATGGATATCCAATTTTCCCAGCACCATTTAGTGACGAGACTGTCTCTATTGTATGTTCTTGGTACCTCTGTCAAAAGTCAGTTGGCTGTAAATACGTGGACTTATTTCTGGTATCTATTCTGTTTCATTGGTTGCTGACGAGTCTGTTTTTATACCAATACTGTGCTGTTTTGGTTATTATAGCCTTGTAATATGAAGTCAGGTAGTGTGATGCCTCCAAGCTTTTTTTCATTTTGCTCAGGATTACTTTGGCTTTCTGGCTCTTTTTTAATTCTGTATGAATTTTAGGATTTTTTTTTTCTATTTCTGTGCAGAATGTCATTGGTGTTTTGACAGGGGTTGCATTAAATTTGTAGATTGCTTTGGGTAGTCTGGTCATTTTAACCATATTAATTCTTCTGATCCTTATGCGTGGGATATCTTTCCACCTGTTTCTGTCTTCTGCATTTTCATTCACCAGTGTTTTGCAGTCTCCTTTGTAGAGTTCTTTTACCTCCTTGGTTAAATAGATCCCTAGGTGTCTTTTTTTCTTCTTCTTCTTTTTTTGTAGCTATTGTTAATGGGATTGCTCTTTTTTTTTTTTTTTTTGAGACAGAGTCTCACTCAGTCGCTCGCCCAGGCTGGAGTGCAGTGGTGCGATCTCGGCTCACTGCAACCTCCACCTCCTAAGTTCAAGCGATTCTCCCTCCTCAGCCTTCCCAGTAGCTAGGATTACAGGCATGCACCCGGCTAATTCTTGTATTTTTAGTAAAGACAGGGTTTCACCATGTTGGCCAGGCTGGTTTTGAACTCCTGACCTCAAGTGATCCACCTGCCTCGGCCTCCCAAAGTGCTGGGATTACAGGCGTAAGCCACAATGCCAGGCCTGACCTCTTGATTTCTTTCTCTGCTAATTCACTATTGTTGTATAGAAATGCTAGAGATTTGGGGGCATGGTGCCTCACGCCTGTAATCCCAGCACTTTGGGAGGATGAGGCAGGAGAATCATGAGGTCAGGAGATCGAGACCATCCTGGCTAACACAGTGAAACCGTCTCTGTTGGAAATGGAAAAAATTAGCCAGGTGTGGTGGCACGCGCCTGTACTCCCAGCTACTTGGGAGGCTGAGGCAGGAGAATTGCTTGAACCTGGGAGGCGGAAGTTGCAGTGAGCCAAGATCGTGTCACTGCACTCCAGCCTGGGTGACACAGTGAGACTCGGTCAAAAAAAAAAAATGCTAGAGATTTTTGTATGTTGATTTTATATCCTTTAACTTTACTGAATTTATCAGATCTAAGAGTTTTTTGGTAGAGTCTTTAGGTTTTTCTACATATAAGATCATATTGTCTGCGAAGACGGACAGTTTGATTTCCTGTTATACAACTTGGATGCCTTTATTTCTTTTCTTTTTTTCTTTTCGAGACTGGGTCTCCCTGTCACCCAGGCTGGAGTGCAGTGACACGATCTCAGCTCACTGCAACCTCATTGTCCTGTGCTTAAGCAGTGATGCTCCCACCTCAGCTTCCCAAATAGCTGGGACCACAGGCACATGCCACCAATCCTGGATAATTTTTTGTATTTTTTTTTTTTTTTTTTTTGTAGAGATGGGGTGTCGCCATGTTGCCCAGGCTGTTGTGAACTCCTGACCTCAGGCGATCTGCCCGCCTTGACCTTCCGAAGTGCTGGGATTACAGGTGTGAGCCACCACACCTGGTCCGTTTATTTCTTTCTCTTGCCTCATTGCTCAGGGTTAGGTCTTCACTGCTATGCTGAATAGGAGGGGTCAAAGTAGGCATCCTTGTCTTATTCCAGTTCTTAGAGGAAAGGCTTTCAGCTTTTCCCTGTTTAGGATGGCGTTAGTTGTGTGTTCATGCAACATTTATCATGTTGAGTTATGTCCCCTTCATGCGTAGTTCCTGTGGACAGGTTTTTTTTTTTTTTTAAATCATGAAGGGATGTTGAATGTTATTAAAAGACTTTCATCACATTTGAATGTGATGTGTCACATTTATTGATTTGCCTATGTTGAAACCTCCTTGCATCCCTGGGATAAATCACACTTGATCGTGGCATATCTTTTTGATGTGTTGTTGAATTAGGCTGGCTAGCATTTTGTTGAGGATTTTTGCATCTGTGTTCATCAGAGATATTGGCTTATGGGTTTCTTATGTTGCATCCTTGTCTGTTTTTCGTATCAGGGTAATGCTCACCTCATGAAATGAGTTAGGGAGAATTCCCTTCAATTTTTTGGAATAGTTAGAGGAGAATGGGTGTTCTTCTTTGTAAGTATGGTAGAATTCAATAATAAAGCCATTTGGTCCTGGATTGGGACCAAATGGGAGACATTTTATTACTGATTGAATCTCATTACTCATTATTGGTCTGTTCAGGTTTTCTATTTCTTCCTGATTGAATCTTGGAAGATTGTATGTATCCAGGAATTGATCCATTTATTCTGGGCTTTCCAGTTCATGCACAGCAGTTAGCAGTAGTCTCTGATAGCTAGGCATGGTAGCTTATGCCGGTAGTCCCAGGACTTTGAGAGGCCGAGGTGGGAGATCCTTTGAAGCCATGAGTTCAAGACCAGCCTGGGCAACATAGCAAGACCCTGTCTCTACCAAAAAAAAAAAAAAAAAAAAAAAAAGAAGAAAAAGAAAAATTATTCATGCTGGCATGCTCTGTAGTCCCAGCTACTCAGGAGACTGAGACGGGAGGATCACTTGAACCCAGGAGGCTGAGGTTACAGTGAGTGATGATCACGCCACTGTGCCCCAGACTGGGTGACAGTGAGACCCTATCTCCAAATAGATGATTGGAGATAGATGTTCTTTTGTATTTCTGTGTTATCAGTTGTAATGTCTTTTTCATTTCTGAATTTATTTGGGTTTTCTTTTTCTCTTGTCGATTTCGTTTATCCTTTCATAAAAGCAACTTTTTTTGTTGATCCTTTGTACTTTTAAGAGTTCATTTTGTTAAGTTCTGCTCTGCTCTTTAGTATTTTTCTTCCACCAATTTTAGGTTTGTTCTTGTTTTTCTACTATCTTGAGTTGCATTGTTAGATTATTTACTTGAAATCTTTCTAGATTTTTGATGTGGGCGTTTATTGGTATTAATTTACCTCCTAGCATTGTTGTTGGGTTTCGGTATGTCCTGCCTCTATTTTCATTTGTTTCAAGAAATTTTTTTATTCCTTTAATTTATTCCCTGACCCAGTGGTCATTCAGGAGCATGTTGTTTAATTTTCATGCATTTGTACAATTTCCCAAGTTCCTCATTATTCATTTCCAGTTTTATTCCATCACGATCTGAGAATAGTTTGGCTGGTGGGGTTTATTTTTCTTTCAGCACATTCAATACATCATCCCATTTTCTCCTAGCCTGTAAGGTGGCTGCTGAGAAATTCACTGTTAGTCTGATAGGTGTTCCCCTTCTAAGTGACTTGATACTTTTCTCTTGCTGTTTTATTCTCTGACTTTTGACAGTTTGACTGTAATATGCCATGGATTTTTGAATTGCATCTATTTGGGGTTTTCTAAGCTTCCTGTGCCTGGGTGTCTAAATCTCTTGCTAGACTTGGGAAGTTTTCGGGTATTACTTAATCAAATAGGTTTTCTATCCCTTTTATTTTTGTTTTCTGAGACACCAAAAATTTGAATATTTGATGACTTTATGGTGTCACATATGTCACAGAGCTGTTGCTCATTCTTTCTTATTTTTGTCTGGGTTCAAAAGACCTAATTTTTGAAGTTCTGAAGTTCTGCTTGATGCAGTCTATTGTTGAAACTGTTGGATCTATTTTATATTTCATTCAATGAATTCATCAATTTCAGAATTTTTTTTTATATCTATGTCTTTGGGAATTTTCTCATTCATATCCTAAATGGTTTCTCTGATTTCTTTGTATTATTTTTCTGATTGCTGTTTTCTTGTATCTCACTGAGCTTTTTCAATTTTTTTTGAATCATTATTTTGAATTCTTTTTCTGAGATTTCACACATTTCTTCATTGGAATCTGTTGCTACAAAATTACTGTGTTCCTTTGGAAGTGTCATATTTCCTTCTTCATGTTTCTTGAATCCGTATTTCGGTATCTGTACATCTGGTTTAACAGTCACTTCTTCCAATTTTTTGAATTTGCCTTCATAGGGGAGGATATTTTCCTTAAGATATATCTGTGGTGTTGGTCGGGTAGATCACTTTGGCTTTGATTCCAGATGCATGCAATAGTGTAGTCTCAGTATGATTTCTTTGGCTGTAAAGTTATCAGTTGTGTGTGATTTCCTCAGTGGCTTAAGTTGCAGTTTTTAATTGCTGCAATGAAGCATTTGCTGGAGATGGGAACATTAGGTGGGCCCATCCTCGAGCCCCAGGAGTGGCAGCAGCAGGCTGAGCATGCCTGTCCTTGGGCCCTGGGGCAGTGTATGCTGGCACTGATGTTAGAGGGTCCAGGTGGGCTGATTCTTGGGTCTCCAGGAAGCTTGCTTGGATGCCAGCAGTAGCACGGTGGGAAGGTCCTCGGGCTTGCTGCCCATAGACAGCAGGTGTGGTGCGGGCAGTGGCAGGACAACCCTCTGATTCCCAAGTGGTTTGCGCTGGTGGTGGTGGTGACCGTGATGGGCTGGGTGGCTAGTCCCCAGGCCCATAGGTGGTGCATGTGGGTGGTGGTAGCAGCAGGTTGGATGGTCCCTTCCTGAGGCCCCTGGGAGGAGTGCTCAGGTGTTAATGATAGGTGCACCCTCCAACGCCCGATGGTGTGCTTGGGCATAGGGGTAGGTGGAGCCGGGCTGGATAGGTCCCTCAGTGGTGTGTATAGGGCTTGGCTGTGGTAGGTAGGGGTGTTTTTGTGTGGCAGCAGTCATAAACAGGTGGGTTGGGAGCATGCACTTTGGCCCCAGATGGTATCTGCAGGACAGGGTAGCCTGTAATCAGGCTTGACAATGCACAGTGGCTCTGCTGGCTCACTGCCAGTAGCTTGTATACTTTGGCCCTGCGGCAGCACCCAGCTGTGGGTGGGGGACTTTAATGGGGCTTCAGAGATGTGGATATGCAGGGGCTGTTGGGCCTCAGGGAATGATGCAGTCTGCTGGGGGTGGGGCTCTCAAAATGGTGCCCTGCTGTAGCTGCTTAGGACTCGGGGGGATGAGCTCCCTCTCTGGAGCAGTGCCATCATGCAGTCCCCAAGTTCCCTGTTTGTGTGGGTTGAGGGTTTCTTCCATGGCTGGGATTGCAGGACTTCACAATGGGAATGCGGATGCTGACTGTTGGGGGTCACTTACCCTTCTCCAGCATGGGGGAGCCTCCCCAACCAATCCCTGCCAGGTACCCTGCCTTGCTTCCCTCTCCTTACTTGCCTCAGGTGTTTCCTGTCATTTTGGTGGTAAATTCCAGCATTCTCTCTTAGGTGATCTATTCAAAGTGTGATTTATCTACTACTGTTTTGGTGGTTCTTCAAGCAGAAAGCAAGTACCAGGGGCACTTTAGTCAGCCATCTTGAAACCACTCCATTGTTTTCTACTAAATGGCTTGCTGTCCTCGACCATAGCTTTTGCTTCCTCCTAACTTTAGTTTGCAAATAACCTATTATGTACCCATTAGGCATCCTTCCTACTACTTTTGAAATTAGAGAACGCCTTCATACTTCTGGTATAAATTCCAGAGACAAAATACAGCCCAGCAGGTCTCTGGGTGATGCCTGGTGTAAGTCATCTAGTCAGTGCAGGGAGATGTGGGTATGCAAGGAGAAGGCAGGGCTATGTGGTCCAAATAGGACTGACTGTGAATGGGCAATTCCACCTAGAAGGGGAATTAAAAGTAATAATGTTGCTGCCGAGCCTGTCTGGTACCACACACTGTATTGGACATACAGCTCTGTTAAGTTCCTACTCTTAAAAGAGAAGTAACTAACTGAATGCCTTACCTAGAATGGGTTTAATAGATAAGGTTGGCAAATGGCATGTATGGGGAGGAGAGAAGAGTGGAATCTGCAAAGGAAGGAACCTATACAGCCTTTTTACTATTAGCCTTGGCGCTGAAGCATGAGCTGTGTCCCCTGTATCTAGTTCTAATAGAACAGTATTGAGAAGCTTCAGACATTCAACTTTTCAGTGGCATTTAGGGAAAGCTAAAGTAATAGACTTTCTTTTAAAGGAAGTCATGTCAAGTGTTTGCTTTGCCCAGAATCAAAGTAGAGCCACCAGAAAGACACTACTTTTTAGCTTTGTTGAACTTACGCATATAGGAAACTTTTGCTGGCAAGGTGGGAGGGGAAAAGCCAGTCCGGATTTCTGGGCATGTCAGCTGTGGAATTCAAGTTTACCCAAGGTCTGAGAAATTCAGGGTGTCCACTTTCTTGAGCTCTACAGAAATGGAAGTCTTCACAGAGCTACACCGAGTACCCTGACCCAGGGAAACGCAGTATGGGCACATAGGAAGCACACTCAGGCCATGCCTGTTTGTCACTAGAGAAGCCAAAGCCTAGAGCACAAGGTTAGGTACAGAACCACAACTGGGGCATCCCAGAATTCTCACGGTGAAATAATTTCTGGGTCCATGGTCAGAGTTTCACTGATGGGGGAAACCTCTATTCTTGGGTAGATGTGTAAGGAGAAAAACAGCTATTTATAGGGGGAAAGACTTCACTTAGAAGTGTTGGAGCGAGCTGGGTGTGGTGGCTCATGCCTGTAATCCCAGCACTTTGGGAGGCTGAGGTGGGTGGATCACCTGAGGTCAGGAGTTTGAGACCAGCCTGGCCAACACAGTGAAACATCGTCCCTACTAAAAATACAGACAATTACCTGGGAGTGGTGGTGAGTGCCTGTAATCCCAGCTACTCGGGAGGCTGAGGCAGGAGGATTGCTTGAACCCGGGAGGCGGAGGTTGCAGTGAGCCGAGATCGCACCACTGCACTCCAGCCTGGGCAACAAGAGGAAAACTGTTCCCTGCTTCCCCCTCCCACATCCCCCCCCCCAAAAAAGTGTTGGAGCTTAGTTGATTATTGATAATGTTAAGTAAATGTTAATTCTTTTCACTGGCATGTTGGGGAAGAAATCTGGAGAAAATAATATTCAATATGAGTTTGCAGGCTATCTACAGTGAAAGTCAGGGTTGTTTAGAATGGAAATATTGCTACAGGGATTTTAGAATCTTAAAAGAGGAAAGACCTTGGAGTCCTAGCTCTGAGTTTCCTTCAGGTTGGAAGTAGCATGGGACTAGCTTAAGTCCATTCTAGAGTTGCTATTTTTGATTTGACTACTTACTTTTTTCACAGCTTGAACAACAAACAAAAATAAGGATTCTGCAGAAAGCCAGTGGTTCTTAAACTTGCTGATGAGTCAGACTCAGTTAAACAGCTGGTGTGCTCTTTTAGAACTAGATGGTTTATACTAAGTACTTGATAAAATTAGATAAGCCCTGGGTCTTTGCCAGCTTTTGGTGACTGAACACCCATGGCAGTGCCCAGAGAGCTGGGAATGGATTTGTGTCATCTATTTTAAATAGGCAGTGTCCATGGGGAGAGCTATGTATATTGTTTTCTAAGGACTGCATTTAATTTAGTCTACGAGTCATATATTATTGAACAGAATTTTAAAGGGAATGTTATAAATTATATTGTTATTGGATAGAAATTAGGTAGTTTTCTTTTTTTTTTTTTTTTTAATGAGAGCAGACTCCCTAAAAAGAATCATTTCTACATAAAACCTTCAGAGATGCACCCAAAGTCAAAGGCAGACTGACATGAGAAAGGGGAATTTCTTAGGTCCGATTAGTGTACAGAAAACTCATAGAACTTAACTTAAAGGGGATACAAGTACTGTTGAAAGAATACACTTCTTGGCTGGATCATAACTAAACTACAACCTATATTACTTGCAAATACAGATTATTTAGTCTCAGTTGCCTTGTTAAACAATTTGAGGGTAGAAGAGCTCTCTTTGGTTAATTAATGAAATAGTCCCTAGATAGGCCCAGAGCAATGGCAACCTGTGCCCAGAATGCTAGCACTTTATCCCAAGACTCAGAACTAACCACGATACTGGGTCAGGCATGGTGGCGCATGTCTGTAATCCCAGCACTTTGGGAGGCCAATGCAGGCGGGTTACTTGAGACGAGGAGTTTGAGACCAGCCTGGGCAACACAGTGAGACCCCCATCTCTATAAAAAAAAAAAAAAACCAATTAGCTGGGCTCAGTGACATGTACCTATAGTCCCAGCTACTTGGGAAACTGACATGGAAAGATTGCTTGAGCCCAGGAGTTTGAGGCTGCAGTGAGTATGACTACACCACCACTGCACTCCAGTCTGGGCAACAGAGCAACGCCCCATTTCTTTAAGGAAAACAATAAAAAAACCAATGGCAGCACTGGTCTTGACTATGAGAATTATAACCCAAATTGCAAGGGGAGGAACTGTCCCTGAAATCCTGTTTAGAAAGCCATAAACAAGGAAACACCTGTTTGTATACAGTTTGAAGGGTGGTATAGCTAGACTGGCAATAGATTCTTGTGAACAAGTTAGTAGGGCAATAGTTTTGTTTCTTTAAAGGATTAACATTTAGGTAATAATGCGTACGTGAATGTTTGCCTAGAAGTCCTGTTCCCTATATAATAATACTTTGATAATCATTTCAAATGCCAACCCTTCCTTAATATAAAAGTTTTGCGTTATGTTAAATAAACTATTTTTTTCTTTATTCTTTTCTTTTAGCTTTATCTTCAAGCCAGGATGAAGGGAGACTGGGCAAGACTCTTACGCCCCACACTGCAATTTGGTCTTGTTGCCGTATCCATTTATGTGGGCCTTTCTCGAGTTTCTGATTATAAACACCACTGGAGCGATGTGTTGACTGGACTCATTCAGGGAGCTCTGGTTGCAATATTAGTTGTAAGTATACAGGTCAACAGCCTACATCTTGATATTGCTAAACATTTATATAAGTAAATAGAAAAAAAAAATCCAAAAAATCCCCAGCTGAGGAGAAGACTATGCAGTGGGCAAGAATCTCAATGTTATTAAAAGTCACTTCAGGATACACACCAGGTTAAAAACTAGGTTGCTCTTTCTAAAACTTAGTAGTTTTGTAAAATCTTAGTATTTTTATTGTGAAAGGCTCTGGCTAGAAATAGTTTTTTTAGGGGATTATGACTTGAAAAAACTAATTCACATGTAGAAATAACTCTTTTATTCAGTATTGGCAAAATGAAGCTATTTGCTGAAGGCATAACAAAGCAACTCTTAATTTGGAATAATCTTTAAAAAATCCCAGTTAGTCTCTAATTTTTTATATGCTTAATCTGTACACCTCAAAGTATATCCTTTTGTTTATATTTATCTTAGGATGCTGTTGATCACAACTTTGTATGTAGTTTTTAACTTGATCTAAATTATACCATTAAATATTTTGCACTGTAGGCTGTATATGTATCGGATTTCTTCAAAGAAAGAACTTCTTTTAAAGAAAGAAAAGAGGAGGACTCTCATACAACTCTGCATGAAACACCAACAACTGGGAATCACTATCCGAGCAATCACCAGCCTTGAAAGGCAGCAGGGTGCCCAGGTGAAGCTGGCCTGTTTTCTAAAGGAAAATGATTGCCACAAGGCAAGAGGATGCATCTTTCTTCCTGGTGTACAAGCCTTTAAAGACTTCTGCTGCTGCTATGCCTCTTGGATGCACACTTTGTGTGTACATAGTTACCTTTAACTCAGTGGTTATCTAATAGCTCTAAACTCATTAAAAAAACTCCAAGCCTTCCACCAAAACAGTGCCCCACCTGTATACATTTTTAT
Source organism: Homo sapiens (assembly GCF_000001405.40). NCBI lineage: Eukaryota > Metazoa > Chordata > Mammalia > Primates > Hominidae > Homo > Homo sapiens. The sequence goes on along the minus strand of NC_000005.10, from coordinate 55,424,956 downwards.
TAAAAAAATGTAATGCTTATGTATAAACATGTATGTAATATGCTTTCTATGAATGATGTTTGATTTAAATATAATACATATTAAAATGTATGGGAGAACCAAATCCACACTTGCAGGCATTTGTAGTCAACTGTAATCAAACAGGTGGTCAATAATTTAAAATCTCACATTCCTTTAGCTGACTCTACAAGTAGAGGCTGGCAGCAAACACAATATCTCTCTTGATTTTGGTGATTCCTAAGAGAAAAGAAAGTAAGGTTTAAACTTTCAAGACCACAAAACACCTAACTTGCCTCTACCGAAATTTTAAAGCCAGTATACCAACCCTGATTCAACTGGTAAGCGAGCAGCCTAGAAAGTCAAACACCTTGCTGAACACCTAGAGGAATTTGCAGCCACCTCTGTGAGGTGGAAAACATACAAGCCAGACCCCTGTTCTTTTGACTCTGAAATACTCCATGGGGGCTGGCCAGGAAAGAGGTGTCTAGAACTGTTTAAAAAGATAAATGCTAGGTCGGGCGCAGTAGCTCATGCCTGTAATCCCAGCACTCTGGGAGGCCAAGGCGAGCGGATCACCTGAGGTCAGGAGTTCAAGAGCAGCCCGACCAACATGGAGAAACCCCGTCTCTACTAGAAATACAAAATCAGCCGGGCGTGGTGGCGCATGCCTGTAGTTCAGCTACTCAGGAGGCTGAGGCAGGAGAATCGCTTGAACCTGGGAGGTGGATGTGGAGGTTGCAGTGAGCCGAGATTGCGCCATTGCACTCCAGCCTGGGGCAACAAGAGCGAAACTCTGTCTCCACACACTAAATAAATAAATAAAAATAAAAATAAAAAAAATTATAGGGAAGGACTAAACTGTCTAAAGAAATGTAAAATCCAAAGACTTGGATTTTCAACCTATATCAGAAGACACTTTTTTTTCAGTTCCCATGTGAAATTCTTTCTAGGCCAAGGAAGGACAAATACAAATTTTGATTACAAATTATTTTTAAAACTTTGACACCTACACTTAAATTCTGAGTCATTAAACAGGCCTACATTTATCAACTGTGGAAATATCAGCCAGTTTTTGCAAACCTCTTCTTAGGACACTAAGTTGTTTGCAGAAATCACTAGCATTGACTGACTCAGCAACAATGTGGTTATATTCTTTGATTAACTTAGTCCTTTTTCTTGGTCAAGAGTCAGTAGACAGGACTGAAGCTTATGCCCCTTGCCCCCCCACCACCACTCCATTACTACCACCTTGGTTTAGCCATCCTTTCTTGATCTGTTCTCCCCACTTCTACTGTGCTACTCTACAGACTTGCCCTGAATGTAAGAGCAACAATTACCTTGTAAAGTCCAAGTTGGGGCAGGTCACTCCCAAACTCCACACCTCCAGTCACTGCAGAGTTGAGAAGCCTGGGGCTGGGAACTATGGAATCATTTCCTTTCTCACTTCAACCCCTACTCCTCTACTCACTGCCCATTCTGCTCCAGCCACACTGGCCTCTTGCTGGTGTTCACGTACATCAAGCATACACCAAAGGCCTTAACTGCCACCTTCCCTGTGGAGGCCCTAGACCATCATATCCATCTGCCAATTCTATTGTCTTTTCTGCTTTGTTTTTATCTTACAGACTTATCACCATCTGATAAATTTAATTGTTGACTTATTGTCTATCTCCCCACACTAGAATGTAAACTCCATGAAGGCAGGGGTGTCTTTTTGTTCACTATATCCCCTAGTGCTTAAAACAATGCCTGGCATGTAGTTAGCGTACAATTAATATACGTAAATGCATGTATATATAAAATCTCAACTTTTCCCCCAACACACTAAATTTTATAGAAACACTAGTAGATAGCTCTCCATGACAATGCAGTGAAGAACATCTCAAAACGTCCTCCTAGGTTGTGGTCCAGGGCTCAAGATTTGCTTCACCAAATTTGTCTAAATTAGAAACAGCTTATCCATTTGATACTGACCTTCTGCAAATTTATTTTCCAGCTCAGTGTTTCCAATGGCTTTTGCTGCTTGACACATTTGTCGAAGCAATTCTTCCAGGCGCCTCATACAACGAATTATGCTGCCTGGATAGAAAAGGAACAAAACACTGGTAAAATGGAAATAATCAGGAACAGCAGAATTTTTGTTAAGAGGCAAGGCAGGAGAACACACGATAATTAATAGTACTTTGAGGGACTTCCCATGAAGTAAATCATGGTTAGGTACTGGAGAAAGCTACAAAGATGAAAGGCTTAACTCCCACCTTTGACTAATGGTAGAGACACCTGTTTATTACTAACATGCTGACACTTGGTATTAAGTAGGAAAACAAAATGCCCTAGAAGGAGGGAGCAACTTTGGGTGAAGGCTGCAAAGATGACATAATCTGTGTCTGTAAGAACCAGGCAGTATCTCTCAGGCAGCAGCAACAAGGGAAGGACCACCACGACAATGCAGAAAAGCCTGGCAAACTGCAGCTATTCAAGGACCCTGAGTGTGGCCTAGTGAGGCATCTGGACACCATCCATACCATCTCATAGAATGCAACAGACTGTTTTTAGCAGGAGAGTAACAAGATAAAACTTGTCATTTTAAAGGTGCATTCATTCTTCTTGACCTTAGATTCTTTCATTAGTACGTTCTTTACACAGTGTTCTCAAGGAGCACAAGGAAAGAAGCCTTTTCCCATGGGTCTAGAATCTGTTTGAGAAAAGTGTTTGTATCAAAGCTGAAGCTATAAACATAGTTTCACTTTTGCTAGACTTGTGCAAAGAGGAGCAGAGATTGTGAGATCCTTTCTCTAAGTGCTACCTGCCTAAATCTAAAACGCTTGACTTCATTTTTAATATATGAAATACATTAGGAATACCAGTTCTCAAAATGCAGTCTGTAGGAACAATGAACTATTTACACTATTAACAATTATTAAATTAATAATAATTATTTGTTATTTCTATTCTCAGCTGCTAGGAATGCAGGCTCCAATACTGCCTTGCAATGAAACAGGAAATCCAACTGCAGAAACTTCTGGGTGTCAAGAGAGAGGGTAGGAATTGGGATAGAGAGGGTAATGTCATATTACCTATGCAATCAGATATTAAATGTTTATGCAAACAAGTATATCCAAAGATAATTAAATTAGGTAGTGGCTCAAAATGTAACTAGATTTTTACCTGAGACCAGATTCTCACAGGTCATTTAGGATTGAAATGAAATCCTTTACAAAGTCCTCTGCTGCACAGGGCATTAAAGAGCCAGACACATTCTCAAACATTGTTTTGACTGACTTCAAATGTGTACCAAGAAACACAATGTGATATTATTATTTCACAAATTTTAGTAACTCGTGTTAACCAGAATCTGTGAAAGTTATCAGAGACCAAACCATACGAAGTAAATTACTAAGATAAAGAATAAACTAAGGCAAGTAAATGCACATTCAGGCCAGAGAGCACTGTCATGTCACATTTTGTAAACATTTCGACTCAATTTCTGGAAACTTTAGTTTCGACACAGTTTCAGGTAACAAGCAAATTAGGCCAGTAGGCACAAGGTTGCATATACAATGACTGTGGTTGTTGCCCACAGAGTCTCATCAACAAATCACTGGGTATGTGCACAAACACTAACTGTCCAGAGCTGCCTGAAACATAGAGGCTACTCCCCCCAGGGATTAATGAAGACTGACGATTAAGTAGTGAATTGTCTAGCATCTCTCCTACCTACTACAGTTCTCTGTAATCCAAGGGCTCTTCTTACACCCACCTTTATAAGTCATCCTGCCTCATCAGCCTGACTAAGTGCTAGACAAAAGTTTCAAAGCCATGACCCATCATAGGCTAAATGAAGCTGACCAAAACCGAAACAAAACAAAACCACATTAACCTACTGGTTTGTTACAAAATTTTTTTTTTGGTCCTGCCAGAGTAGAAAGAGAAATCCAATTCTTTCTAGTTATTGTCTTTAAAAAATTTTTCAAATAGTGGTAAAATATAAAACATAAAATCCACCTTTTTAACCATGTTAAAGTATACAAGTCAGTTACTGCCCTTTTTTATATTCAGGTTTACTACATTCTGGAAGAACTCACATGGAGACAGAATTCACACACCATAAATTATTTTAAATAAGTGTACAACTGAGTGGTTTTTAGTATATTCAGACTTGTGTAACCATCATCATTATCTAATTTTAGAGCATTTTTACCACCCCCAAAAAACCTTGTTCCCATTAAGCAGTTACATGTCTTCCTGTCCCTCCAGCCCATGGCAACCACGTCTATGCTTTGTCTCTATGAATCTGCTTACTCTGGACATTTCATATAAGTGAAATTATACACTATGTGGCCTTTGTGTCTGCCTTCTTTCAACTTAATGTGTTTAAGGTTTGTCCATATTGTAGCATGAGTCAGTATGTCTTTTCTAACTGAAAGCTGTTCCATTTAATCTTTATTACAATGGAACACCTTGCCATTAAAAATGGCAAAAACCACAATTACTTTGGCACCAACCTAATATATACCACAATTTATTCATCTATCGATGGACACTTGGGACTATATGCTTTTATTTAAGAGCATTTTAATAAACATCAGCCTTACCCGGTTGATGAACAAAACAGCATCATTCTCATTAAGGAGAGAAAGCAGCAGATTTTCCCGAACAGAACTTCTGCCTTCAGCTTTCTGGCATACCCTAAAGCAGTTTCCTACAGTTCATGCTCTGACCCGAATTTAATACTCCTATCCAGCCTGGCCTCAGGTTAGAATCACACATGTATCTTGCAACTACTTGCCGCTAAACCCCAGCTTAGGCTGAACCCTTTCTTGAGAGCAGAGACTATTGCTCACACTGTAACTAGCATGGTGCCTGATTCCCACTAGGGTCTCAGAATTATTCATTAAACGAGTAAGTATCAGGTACTAAAACTGTGCCAAAATGTAAAGACAGAAACAATTACTAATAAATTGTTACTCTATTATTATCAGCAAGAATACTTTTAAAAGACAAATCCACTGGAAAACCACTCATGACACTGATGATGCTAAGAAAGGGTTAAACTGCTACTTGAAAGGCATGTGAGAGAATGTGTGTGGTGGGGAGAGTTGAGGAATGCAATTCACAGTATTTGCTTTCAAAACATGTGGCATACAGAGGGAGCAGGACTGAAAAAAAATAAAAAGCATATGGCAGGCAGAGGTACAGTAAATAGTTTCAAGAGATAATTCATCATAGAAGCTTTCCTAATGACACTTGCTCAGTGGAAAGCAAATCCTTTGTCATCCTTCATAGTTAAGAGTACAATATTGTTTATGTAGAGTCAGAAATAAATAGTAACAGCCTCTGGATTACTTGACTAAAACCCTAGGCATCAGCCCATACAAATAGTTTGTTTAAACTGTCATTCAAATTTAGTTTAATGGAAATAAAAAACAGCTAAATTCTGTCATTTTTTTTCCAGGGTGATAACAGAATAAATACTTAGTCTTCAAAATTTCTCAACTGAATCACAATATGAACTTTTCTTTTGCATTACACATCCCCCAAACACATGGTTTTAATCATTACAGTGTTAACTAGCCTCAGTTAATGTTTGAAGAATACTTAAAACTACTTCTGAGGCTCAGGATATGAAATGACCAGACACTTTTATTTTCATATGAAAAGAAAATTAAGAATCTTATTAGGAACAAATATGGTTTGCACACAGCACATTAGAAAGTTCCAATGCAATTATTGTCTGCCTGTAAAAACAGACACACTGTACTGTGTGCTACAGCTTTGATTACAGTATTTTTCCAATCATAAAACATGTGTAGGCCAGCTGCAGTGGCTCATGCCTGTAATCTCAACACCTTGGGAGGCTGAAGCAGGTGGATCACTTGAGCCCAGGAGTTTGAGACCAGCCTAGGCTTCATGGTAAAATCATATCTCTACAAAAATTAACAAAAATTAGCTGGGCATGGTGGTACATGCTTGTGGTCCCAGCTACTCTGGAGGCTGAGGTGGAAGGATCACTTAAGCCCGGGAGATGGAGGGTGCAGTGAGCCAAGATCACGCCACTGCACTCCAGCCTGGGTGACAGAGCCAGACCCTGTTGCAAAAAATAAAAAACAACCACATACAATAACGAGATGAGGAAGGAATGGCTATTCTTGAAATGGAAGCACTATGTAACACTGTAAAAACAAAAGAGAGAAATACTATCCTAAGAAAATGAAGGTTCTCATTTTTTGCTACTTAAATCAAAAAATAGTTTTAAGGGCGAATACATAGTATATCCCAATTTTTAGAAAGGTTTAAGCTCATCTACTGGCTCACACACAAGAAAAACATAAAAATTATGCAGATGTTAGATCTAATTTCAAGTTAGAGCTAAAAAACTGGATTTCTCAAATTTTCAAACTGAAATTTCAAGCAAACTGTGATGTAGAAATAGCCCCTGAGTAACTGAAAGAGGACAGAACAGACTTCAGGAATGCTGGTATGCTGTGGAAAAAGTCAACTCATAGGTGGCATCTAGTATGAGCTACAAACCATCTTCAATTTGGCAGTTTAGGATTTATCTTCCATACTGTGATAACTTCTACTTAGGTAGAAAGAACAGAAAAAATAATCCATAAAGACAATTTTATATGAATTCCTAGATTTAAAAAAAAATATACTCATCTGACAGGCCAGGTCTACTGCCCTTGCTTTTTACTTTTCTTTTTTTCTTTTTTTTTTTTTGAGATGGTGTCTCGCTCTGTCACCCAGGCTGGAGTGCAGTGGCACAATCTCAGCTCACTGCAAGCTCTGCCTCCCAGGTTCACGCCATTCTCCTGCCTCAGCCTCCCGAGTAGCTGGGACTACAGGCTCCTGCCACCACACCCAGCTAATTTTTTGTATTTTTTGTAGAGACGGGGTTTCACCGTGTTAGCCAGGATGGTCTCGATTTCCTGACCTCCTGATCCGCCCGCCTCGGCCTCCCAAAGTGTTGGGATTACCGGCGTAAGCCACCGTGCCTGGCCTGCTTTTTACTTTTCTAAAAAAAATAAAAAATAAAAATAAAAATAAAAAAATAAAAAAAAGCTACTCTCTGCCATGTACCACTATTGTTTTATGTCATTGTGTTCTGACTTTTCAGAGAAGCAGATATTATACAAATATGAGTATTGTATTATCAAGTCTTATTATTAGGCATTGAACAGTTACTAGTTTCATCCTTATGTTCCAAAAAGATGTCAGACTGAAGACTGGTGGTGCTCTATGTGATCGCCCTAGTGCTGCTGAAACACAATTGTCATACACCAACCTGTGCTCCTGTTTTAAGCAATTTTCATCAGTGAGTACGCAACATCCCTCTTCTCACTGACTCGGCTAAACACCATTAACTAATTAGAGATGTTGCTAAACATCATCTAGGATTAAGACCTGTTTAGTATTACTCCAAGCATGACTTTTCTGTGGATGGAGATGGTATAGTCTAGTGTAGGGTTTAAGAAATTTTCAGGTGATCCAAAATTTAAGGATAAGGTGGTATGGTGCTTAACTGAACTTACATGTAGTTACAGAGACCAGAGTTTAAATCATCGTGCCCTCACATCACCTTGGCCAAACTGTTTACCATAGTCTCCTTGTGCAAAGTGGAGATAATATCTACCCTGAATTGCTATTTGGTGATTACATGTAAATTATACAGAGCTCTTAGCACAGTGTTTGGCATATAGTACTTACTGGGCAATGACTTTCCCAGTAACAGAATACAGAATTCAAAGGATGCTTTGGGACTGTTTGACTAAATGATCATTTAGAGGAGGCTGAGAAGTTTATAAACCTTAGAAAAAATATGTAAGATACAACACCATAATTTAAAAATGTGCTATAAACTTTAACATTAAAAACCTTAAAACCCATAAAGTTCAATGTAGTAAAGGCCCTCAGTTTAAGTTTTTAATATTCTGTTGCAGAGAAGTTTAACCTATGCATCATAAAAATAACTGATTCATAAAATCAGTAATCTATTACTTCTTTAATAATATCAGTTGAAAGGCCTATAATATTTGGCATGTTAAACATGTAATTTTTCTCAAACTAAACCTATAAGCAATAGTAGCAGTTCTTATTATAATCTCTATACAGAACAAACTCATTTATTTTCATTTTTAGGAAAGTTCAATGTAAATTATCTCATTCAGTAAATACAACTGGCCATTTATAAACACACAAACCAATCTTTTCCTACTGAATGCAGCATTTTAAAATATGGTTTCGTTTAAACAGTCTACTTATTTTTTTGCTTCTTATTATTCACTTATTCCTTATATTTCTTTTGCCTTAATTTTTTCATTTAAAATTTCTCTTCAGTTGAGTAACAATTATTCTTCAGTCTCTTAAAATCCTGCTCATTAAATTTAATCTGATTCATGCTGCAATAACAGTCTGACTAAAGCCAAGTCAATTACATATGCAATGACTGATCATTTTCAGCTCTGCTATTTTTAGTGGAATTATATAGCTCACCAGGAGAACAAAAGTGAAAAGGAAAAATACCCACATAAATATGACTTCTTAGGGTCATCTGCTTGTGACTGTAGAAACTCATAGAATTACAACTGCACAGAATTATACAGTTTAAAATAGTTTCTAAAGGACTTTCTAATGAACAGACTATGCTTATTAAATAATACAAAGAATTTGTGGAGAATATTTTTTAATCTATATAATAGGGAGAAGATTTCATTTAGTTACCAAATATTAAAAATACATATTATACTTGTTTAATTAAAACAATACCATCCTAACTGTATTTCTTATACTGTAAATATATATGTGTAAAATTTAACCATACCTTCAAAGACATCTGTCATTTTGCAGATATGGGCAAATGTAGCTCCAGTTGCCCAGGTATATACTACATCCATTAAGTGAGGTTTAAATGAGCTTAGATAAGTTTCCTCATCAATTTCCAATTTGGCTTCTGCTGAAACTTTTGCAATTCTTTTAGCACATTCCTTTAAAGATAAAAGAGTTAAAATTCCTTACTTATGATCTCCCATATCACTTTATTCTTTAGGTTTCCAAGCCAGTATTCCAGGAGGTCCCTTTTTCTTCCTAGGTATTATGTCTGCAATGTGGACATTCTGCTCCTAAGTAGGCACAGTGCCTGTTCCATTGCTAAGTGATTAAACGGCCAATCTTTCCCATTATGTTGAGGTAGTTAACTAAGAAAAATGTATCAAGAGCATGCTTTTCAGCCAGTGATACCTTTTCAACAAAGAAACAGAACTCTTCATTAAAATTATTCAAGAGCAGCATTTAACTAATCTCTAATTATTTCATTACAAAACAGATTTAGAGAAATACAAATCCTAGAGCAAAATACATTTTTCCACAACAATGCTTAAAAATGTACATATCTTCATATTGTTTTCCTCTAAGTTGAGAAACTTCATTCTTCTTTACTTGGCAATCTAAAAGGCCAAAAACTCCTAGGCCTATGAAGACTTTGCTGGTTCTAGAAATTTAAATTTCTTAGTGATTTTAAGGCATGTTACATGTTCCACTGAACTGGCCTTTTAATTTTAATCAGAATTTTTTGAATTATTATTTTAAAAATATTTTAACTTTTATTTTAGGCTCAGGGGTTCATGTACAGGTTTCTTATCTAGGTAAACTTGTGACTCAGGGGTTTGGTATATAGATTATTTAGTCAGCTGAGTACTAAGTATAATATGCCACAGGTTTTTTTTTTCTTTTTTCTTCCTCAACCTCTCCTTCCTCCCACTCTCCTCCCTCAAGTAGGCACCAGTGTCTGTTGTTCTGAAGGGGCCCTTTTATGACACATTTTTTTGTTCCTCTCTTGTAATTCCTTAGCTCATCTTTCCTTGTCTTTGTCTAATGTTGAACAGACAGAAAAAATCGGCTTATCCTATGAAAATAGTAAGAGAGAAATTTATTACTATAAACTACTGTGGCTTTGAGGATCCAGAGACAATTTCTTATGATAAAACAGATTTTAAAACTTTGTTATAGGCTGGGCACAGTGGCTCACATCTGTAATCCCAGCACTTTGGGAGGCCGAGGTGGGAGGATCACATGAGCTCAGGAGTTCGAGACCAGCCTGGCCAACATGGTGAAACCTCGTCTCTACTAAAAATACAAAAATTAGCTGAGTGTGGTGGCGGGTGCCTGTAATCCCAGCTACTCAGGAGGCTGAGGCAGGAGAATCATTTGAACGTGGAAGGTGGAGGTTGCAGTGAGCCCAGATCACGCCACTGCACTCCAGGCCTTGGTAAGAGAGCGAGACTCTGTCTCAAAAACAAAACAATAAAACAACCAAACTTTGTTATAAACCAGAATGAAAAAATGTGCAAAAAATTAAAAATAAACTAAATCCTAGTCCTTCAAGATACCATTATCAGTACTGAGGAAGAAAATGACACATGCACTGAGCTGTCAATACAGCCTATTTACATTATGAAGCTTTTAATCTCTGTTCACAACAATGCTATACAGTTCATTACAATAATGGGAAGAAATACTGTTTAATTATTAAAGTAAAAATCACAAGAGATGTTATCAGAGTAACATTAAATTACATGACTGACATCAAGTAACATTTAATCCTTATAGGTTATCTCTGTGAAATGATAAACTACTATGATTAGATTATCAAAAATGTTTATTTTACAATCTACTATTCATAAAATATGTAGTTCAAAAAAAAAAAAAAAAAACCTTACCTGCATTTGACGAAGTGGTCCTGCTAATTGTTCTGTTAATTTGGGCATCTCACTAGACTATAAAAGAAAAGGAAAACAAGATATAAAAACCCACGTTTAAAGTTACTGGTTTTTCACACTACCCGTTTTAACAAATTAAAGCTTGTAAGATAGTCACATATCAAATTATAAGACCTTAGTCATCAGCATTTAGAGTTTCTAATCAATTCAGTTTACACAGGCAAAATCACTATTCCTCTCATCCCAAATTATAATATTCTGTTATTACATTTCAGAGGAAAATACACCGCTAAATTTGCAAAGTGTGCTAACTAGCTCCTTTTTGTGATTACATATGGAACTGAGGGAGGGTAAATATTGTAAACATACATAGTAGTTTAGTTACATCAACATTAAAGGGTTTTATCATAGTTTAACTTTGAAACAGTTTTAGTTTCTAGGCAACTTTCAATCTGTAGAAACTGAAAAGTTTGAAACTGAAAACTCAGGATAAAGTACGTTAAAAATAGTGTCCCTAATTTTTATTTTACCCAGATGTTCTAACAAAGTATAAGACAGCTAAAAGTTTAATCTGAGTTTCAGTATTCTTAGTATTGCTTTCCCACAGCTGAAAATTCTGTCAATTTCTGAATTAGATAATGGAGTTTCAGGTGTACACTAAGTAGCCAAATTAAGTTGGACAAGCTGCTTAAATTCTGTGTACTGGTTTTCTGCCCTGTCAAAGAAAAATAAAACCAGATCCTCAAAATGAGTAGGCTTATGATGAGAATAACAGACATTATTTGTGAAGAAATTTTTGACAAAGGTACTGTACAAAAATAAAATTACTATAAGAATGATATGTATGTATGTATGAGACAGGGTTTAATTAAAGTAATTATGGCTATTTTTTTTTTTTTTTTTGAGACAGAGTCTCGCTCTGTTGCCCAGCTGGAGTGCAATGGTGCAATCTCGGCTCACTGCAACCTCCACCTCCCGGGTTCAAGCGATTCCCCTGCCTCAGCCTCCTGAGTAGCTGGGATTACAGGAGTGCCACCACGCCCAGCTAATTTTTGTATTTTTAGTAGAGACGGGGTTTCACCATGTTGGTCAGACTGGTGTCGACTCCTGACCTCATGATCTGCCCGCCTCAGCCTCCTAAAGTGCTGGGATTACAGGCATGAGCCACTGTGCCCGATCGCTAATTTTTTTTTTTTAAAGCAATTGTAGGCTAGTTGCGACATATCTGCCTTTATTTTAAGCACCAGTACTTATAAAGGACTTGATTTTGATTTGCAACATGTATATATGTATAATAAATCAAGAACCAGATTCCATATTATTGCTGCTAAAACCAAAAATTATTGATGAATGGCAAAAAAGCAAAATAGCCAGAATGACCTTAACATCTCAGTTTAATAAAGAACCCAAGACTGCGAAATGTCTTTGATATTATGTCTATTCATGGTCAACAGCTACTCATCACATTCCTCTCTGCTATTCACTATAGGTGGAAGGCACCAGTCCTGATGTGAGGAGGTTAATTGTGATTTTAACAATGTTCTCCCACCAGGTATGTACAGTTTGTTCCCTCATCTCTCCTATAGGCCTCAATATAAGTTTCACTTCATTAGTGAGGCCTTTTCTAATCATCTTATTTAAAATAGTAACACCATCTCCCCAGTGATCTTTGATTCTTCTCACTTTTCTCCAAAAACCTTCACCCCTATTTGACAGAATGTATGTGTACTGTATTTCTTTATCTTCATCCACTAACATGTAAGTATCAGGAAAGCAAACATTTCTGCTGCATCTCTGGTGCTTAGACCTGTACACTGCCCACATTGGGTGCTTAATAAATTTTTGTATGCACTTGATCTTTATATTATAAAGATTTACATAACCTTTTAAATATTATTTTTAAAATGTAGAGACAGTTTTATAAATACATTTTAAAATAGAAGTTATTATATCAAGCAAATTTCATCTTACTTATAACAAGTATTTTACTATATTTACTAGAAGACAATGTTCTTTTTGGCAGAAAACATTCTGTTAAAAGCATCAAGAAAAATCCACATGACAATCAGTACAATCTTCCATCTCAATGTTAAAAGGCGCCACCACAAGAATTGATGACACTGTATATAAAAAAGTGTGGTTTCACTGAATAAATCTTAACTGTATATATTGACATCTTGCCCCAAGATTTAAGAGCTGTGGTTTAGCTTAACCAACTCCTTTGAAGAGGGAATATAATTGGCTTCTCAGAAAAAGGAACTATTGTAATAGTGCCAAAATATAAAACAACAAGAACATGCAAATAATGAAAAGTAAGACAAAATTTGACATGGGTGGAAGACCACTTATCCCCAAACTATTTACAAACCTACATCTCTGAACCTTCCTATTCCAAGTAAGTTTGACAAATGTTCTTAATTATCTTTATCTTGGAAATTGATATAATAAAATTTTGAGCCTAAGGAAAAACAAACACAATATTTTGTAAAGTAATGCATTCCTTTTGTATGCATATTTCATAGATGCATGGTAGGCAATCCCAGGAAAGCATAAACTGTTTTTGGATTATTGTCCTATTTGTTATCATTGCCACTAACAGCTGTGATTCTAATCAGTAATCAGGGACCTGAGAAAAGTACCCATCTACTTCAAGAAGTAATATATTTGATCTGATTAATAAATATGGAAACAGTTAACAGGTAAACAGACCAATTAAGTGTGGTTTCACTGAATACATCTTAACTGCATATACGGACATCTTGCCCCAAGATTTAAGAGCTGTGGAACTTAAAAAAAAACTAAACAATTTGTTCTACACAATTTACTTAAAAGTTAAACTAAGTATGTATAGTAAAAGGTCCTCCAAAAATTTAGAATATTAAATTATTTTTAGAAGGCAGATGTCCTTGTCTTATTCTCATTCTATCCACTTCATCTACAATAAATAAAGTCTTAAATTTGAAATGCAAAACAATATATCTTACTTTTAAAAATGAATCAAACTGGTTTTTGGAATGCAGTACAAGGATAATTAGTGTTCTTATGTGTTCCACCCAGCACTTCATTTTTTGATTTCTTAAGAACTGTTGAAAGTGAACTAATTACTCATATGAAAAAAACTGCTGCCAAACCAACAAGGATCTTATATTCACTACCTCAAACCGTGCCCATGAAAACTAATGTTTCAGTTCCTAGCAGGATGGACTGCTTCGTCATTATTCTTCAACACCGGGGAGGAGAGTTAATTCAACCTCACTTCCCCCTTTTATTTTTATCAGACTTTCCTAGTTTTCTTCTCACTCATCTTTTTATTTCTAGGACTGTCTAGGACTTGGCCAAATGTTCAATGAATTGGGTTACAGAACAAATTTAAAACTTAAAATCTAATTAATGGTGATTGTTGACAAATCTTATTTTATTCTCCTTTCTAATAATACGTATTTAATCATTTAATTTTCTTAGTACATTTGTGTTAAAGTTGCTGTGATTTCCAATTAACATTACCTTATAATATGTAAATATTAGTAATATTTGATAATATAGCCATAACACTATTAACTACATGATGTGTGAATTAATAAATAAGATGTGCTGAATCAATTAACTTACATTCTCTTGAAACACAAAGCAGCTTAATAATGCTGTTGCCTGTTCTGCAGAAAGGTCATTGAAAAGGCCATTAAACATCATCTCAGTTAGAAGGAGCTCATCAGCACTACAATGGCAAAACAAAAGAATAAAATGTCAGAATATAAAGACACACATGCACACACATATGCCCTTAACGTGTAGTTTTTAATAAAATATATTATTTGACCTTAAGGAGTAATCAATGAGGAATGACAATGATTTATTTAAGGACATAGTAGATCTTTAATAATTACCAATATATTATATAATCAATGTAAAATGGGGATTTCACATAAAGATTCCAAATATCAAAATGCACACATTCGTGAAATAAGAACAATTTCTTAACCTTTAGTATGCTAGGAAAAATCATCACTGTCATTTATTTTCTAGGGCCAAAGGACTCTTTTAATTATTTTTCAGTTATTTTACAAATAATCTGTAGAATAAAGATAATGAAAAACAATTTTACTAGAAATCTTAATTAGAATGTACTCATAAGAAGAACCACATTTTTTTATTTTTATGTTTTAATTTTTTAAAGTTTTTATATTATAGTAGAGATGGGGTCTTGCTATGTTGTCCAGGCTGGTCTAGAACTCCTGAGCTCAAGTAGTCCTCCCACCTCGGTCTCCCCAAATGCTGGGATTACAGGTGTGAGACACTACACCTGGCCAGAAGACTCACATTTTAATTCATATTTTCCAAAGGCTGAAAGTGTATATAACCAAGATGGGCAAGAGCCTTTAAATGCAACAAACTGCTGCTCACCAATTGTCATCCACAAATCTGAAAAATATCCATCTAGGAAATACAATTCTAGATTTCAAGTACATCTCTAACAGGTAGGTACTAGCTCATCACTACGTCTGTTTCTTCTTGCACTTGCACTGTCAAAATGTACAAGTCCAGATTTACATCTCTTTTAAGTTCTAGCTTATTACTTTTGATTCCTCTTTTGCATCATCAAAATACAGTTTTTTAAACTGACAACTTGATTTTGTTGAGAGGAAGGTCATCTTCTTTGCTCCATAATTGTGAAACATTTTCATATACAGACTTATAAGGACAATATATTTATTATTACAAAGATTAGAATGATCAATTCAACAGGTTTTAAAAAATTTCTTCATCATCTCTTTCCAATTTCCTTATATACACAACTGTGTATTTGACCACTTGTGGACCATATAAGGAAACTTTGGTGCACAAATAATAAAAGATGAAAGACTATTATTACAAGTCCTTTTAGCAAAATGAGATGGTCCAGGTTCTTATCATAGACGTTACATAACTAGGCCCTTTCTGTTGAATGATTACATGAATAATAATCTCATATATATATATATCCCTAGAAATATATTGTTCAGCAGAGCACAGTGGCTCCTGGCTCATTTGGGAAGCTGAAACAGGTAGATCTCTTGAGCCCAGGAGTTCAAGACTAGCCTAGCAACATGGCAAAACCCTGTCTCTACAAAGCAATACAAAAATAAGCTGAGCGTGGTGGCACACGCCTGTAGTCCCAGCTACTCAGGAGGCTGAGGTGGGAGGATCACTTAAGCCCAGGAGGTCAAGACTGCACTGAGCCATGATCTTGCCACTGCATTCCAGCCTGGGTGACAGAGCTAGACCTTGTCTCAAAATAAATAAATAAATAAATAAATAAATAAATAAATAAATAAATAAATAAAAATATTGTTCATGCACTAGTTATTATGTCTGAGAATTTACTTAGGGTCTGAGACTTTGCTTATATAATCAATCTCACCATTATCACTTTGACTACAGTGCTTTTTGTCCCTTTGTGTTTATCTTCTGATTTGAGTAATAACTGCAAAATATCTTCACTTATTTTTCTTCTTGGGTGGAAAATGAAAAATTCTGAATTTGCAACTGTGTTCAATTCAAGCTAAAAAAGAAACACTACAAAGATGATGTTTCTAGACTTCTATAATCAGGGTTCAATTGACCCATACAATAACTGTACTGTATTATTAAAAAAGTAAACTTTGCCTTTATTTTTTGCAAAGTCTTTAAAAAAGAATAAAGCCATGAACTATTATAATCTTTACTAACAGTTAAAATATTTATAAATAAAAGTCAAAAACTAAATTTGGGTCTCTAGTGTTAAGCTTAAGAGTTAAGTCAAGCAAAGAGTGCAACAATACAAACGAGGAAAGACTATTTCAAGAAGCTACAGTCTAACATTGGGGGCAGACAAGTAAGGTGATAATCACAGAACAGTGGTTTAACAGAGTGCTCTAATAATTGATTTATACAAGTGTTATGAGGAAAAAAAGGTGAGGAGCCTAAAACCAGATTGAAGAAGTTCAGAGCAAGTTTCGAAGTTCTTTGCAAAAATATGCAAGAATCGCAGGATATGGGGTGGGGGTGAAAGGTCATATGAAGCAAAAGGAAAAGCATGTGTGGGGTGTGGCAACAGACTGCTGGAGAGGGAGAGTAACAATATACTAAATTATGGAATCTATTCTAAAAGCAATAAGGAATCACTGAGGGACTTTTACCAAATAGAATGGCACAAAGGGGCTGGGTGCTGGGTGAAGTGGCTCACACCTGTAATCCCAGCAATTTGGGTGGTAAGGTGGGCGGACTGCTTAATTACAGGAGTTCAAGACCAGCCTGGGCAACATAGCAAGACCCTATCTCTACAGAAACTTAAAAAAGAAATTAGCCAGGCTTGATGGCACACACTTACAGTCCCAGGTTCTTGGGAGACTGAGGCAGGAAGATCACTTGAGCCTGGCAAGTTGAGGCTGCGGTGAGCCGAGATTGCACCACTGCACCCCAGCCTGGGCAACAGAG
Source organism: Homo sapiens (assembly GCF_000001405.40). Taxonomy (NCBI): domain Eukaryota; kingdom Metazoa; phylum Chordata; class Mammalia; order Primates; family Hominidae; genus Homo; species Homo sapiens. Next base: position 55,407,785 of record NC_000005.10, on the reverse strand, counting down.
CAAAATCCCATCTCAAGAAGGAAAGAGGAACGACATACCAGATTTGTGCTTTGGGTTTTGAAAACTCAAGAAGGGAGGCAACGAATAATCAGGAGGGCAACTGCAGTAATTGAGGCCAAAAATAATGAGGGATACACATTAGCCAGTGGCAATGTTTAAAAAGGCAAAATGGGTGAGAGAAGGAGTCTAGGATGATGCCCCAGTTTTTGCAAATTTGGGGGAAAGTTAACAAACTTTGATATAATATTGTTATTACTATAAATGAAAAATGTATCTTGGAATAAAATCAATTTCCATTCTTTCAACACAAAATCTAGTTGTAGATATCTAAAGGAAATTAATTTCTATATTAATTGTAAAACAGGTAATTATTAGAAGGAAATAATCCCAATAACATTAGCATATAAATCAGTAGACCAGTACTGCAGTTTAGATTTAATCCTGGATATGTTATTAATTAAAATCCAATAGCACATTATCCTGTGATAACAACTAACTAGGGCTGGGTAGTCACTGCCCCCTTTTGGTGGCTAAGAGTTGTCCTGTTCACCACAGTCTCCTGGTTCTATGAAGACATCTGAGTCTGTAACATCTGGACAGATGAACGATATAATTACATTTTTACCAAGAAAGTCTGAAATCATTTACAAGGCCTGTAATTCTCTAGTCCTGTCCATCCTGGCCATGCTGAGTACATAAAAAACTGTTTCAAAAGTGTCTTTTATATATTCACTGAGAATTATGATCATCACTATATGGACAAAACAAGATATATCTTCAGACTGGATATTGCTTGAGCTACCAGTTTATGACTTTCCAGTTAAGGAGGACAGAGGCAAGCTGGCTCCTAAGGCAGGAGACATTCCTCGTGGTGGGAAATAACGAACACATTTTTTAGAACAGTATCATAAATTGTATTTTCTAAAGATGGCCACAACAGCATCTCCTATACCACATTCTTCTAGAATTGCACTGATCTATAAAGACTGCCATGTGCATACGTGGAAATTTCAATTTCAATTAAAATGATATAAATTATAAAATTCAGTTCCTTTGTCTAAGCACACATCAAATGCTAAATAGTGGCTACTATACTGAACAGTGTAGACACAGAACAATCCAATTATCACAGAAAGCCATACTGAACAATAGCCACTTCCCCATCAAGAGTTGGAATCTAATTATCCCCCACTTGAATCCAGGAGGGTTTATGACTCACCTGTAATCAAGAGAATGTGGTGGAAATGATGGTGTATGATAACAAAGCTAGGTTACAAAAGGTAAAGCTAGGTCAGAAAAGGCAACCTTAGCCAGCTAGAAGACTCACACTGGAGCCTTCAGCTACCATGTAAGCATCCTGAGGCTGCTGCCATACTGTGAAGAAGCCCAAACCAGCCCACATGGAGAGACCACATGGAGAAGCTCTAACAGAGAGAGAGAGGTCCTAACATTCCCCAGCCGCTCCGGACTCCTACTGTTTCAGCTTAACCACCTGTCTGACGGCAATCCTGGGGGACAGAGCCAGAACCATCCAAATGAGCTCTTCCTGAATTTCTGACCCATAAAAACAATAAGAGGATAAAGTCACTGTTGATGTTGTAAATAATTTAGTTTTGAGGTCATTTGTGACAAAAGATTACTGAAACAGAAAATAATATAACCAGTTTTAATCTGTGGCTTATAATAAGTTCTGTTGTAAAATCCTATTATTAGCCCAAAATCTCATTACAATTTGCTATGCACGTAACAAGATAATGGTTACTAGGCTAAGTTTCAAGGTGGGAAAATGTTAATAATTTTTAAAAAGTATACAAAATTATATATAAGCTAAGATTATGTAAAAATCCCACAAGGCATTAAAAAAAGTCAAAGGAAATACATACAAATGCTAGGAGCGCTTGTGTTAATTACTGAGATCTAAGATTTTTCTAATTTCTCAATTTCATGGTTCAAAACTGTATTTAGTGTGGAAGATATTGTACAAACTTTATATTTTTAAGAAAGCTCTTTTTTCCTAAAGATAATGGTTATTTTTAAAATCACTTAAAACTGCGAGGCGGAGTTGCAGTGAGCTGAGATTGCGCCAGTGCACTCCAGCCTGGGCAACAGTGAGACTCCATCTCAAAAAAAATAAACAAAAATTAAAATTAAAAATGAAAAAAAAAATGAACTTTCTAGAACAATAACCAGATTTTACCTGCTTATCTCACAAGCCACTCGTCCTTTCATCTCTATTACATCAGAAGAAGTAGCAAATCCCAACCTTCTTAAAACACGTTTGCGACATTTGAGTTCATCCATTTGTAGGACTGTTCTTGCTTTCTTCAGTTCTCGCTTTGCAGATTTAATATCTATTGCAATCTAAAGCACATGAAAGTATAAAGAAAGTTCAATAATAAAGTGAACAATGTACAAGGAGATTTATTCATGAAATCAAACAAAAAATATTTTTAAAGAACATCTTACAGTATACTTCTGGGTTAAAGCTTCAGTGCTGGGGAGACTGGGGAAACTGGAGCTTCTTAGATACATTCCCGGAACATTACACAAGAGTAATGATGTATCTGTAAAGTTATTAAATACTACCTAAAATATTAAGTACATGGAAAATACAAAATGTCCATTTGAAAAATTTGAGGCAGAGCAAGCAGATGTTAGAAAGTGTAAAAAGCTTGAGACAGAGAACAGAGGCCGGGCGCAATGGCTCACACCTGTAATCCCAGCACTTTGGGAGGCTGAGGTGGGTGGATCACGAGGTTCCTGGCCAACATGGTGAAACTCCGTCTGTACTAAAAACACACATACAAAAAATCAGCTGGGCATGGTGGCGGGCGCATGCCTGTAGTCCCAGCTACTCAGGAGGCTGAGGCAGGAGAATTGCTTTAACCCGGGAGGTAGAGGTTGCACTGAGCCGTGATGATGCCACTGCACTCCAGCCTGGCAAGAAAGCGAGATTCCGTCTTAAAAAAAAAAAAGAAAAAAAAAAAAGAGAACAGAGCACAGCTCTTGCTTAAATGGAGAGAGGTAAGGAGGAAGGCTAGAAGGAGGAGAGTGAGCTGGATATTGTGAGCTAGACAAGGTAGGCTGTAAGAGTAGAAAAAGTCAGTGGTGAATTTAGGATAGGCTCTCCCAAGACAGGATTCACTAGACAATTAATCACGGTCCAAAAGTACCAATCCCAGCAGCTCTAGCTTTTCATCCTTAGGGCATCAGGGGGTAGCTTAGAGAACAGGGAAAGAAAAATGAGGGTACAGAAATCTTTTCTCTTGACTATCTATATTTCCCCCATGATGTCCTGAAAACTATTCCTTCTCTTTGCCCTTAAGTTAAATCACGAATTTGCCTAGGCTGGAAATGGTTTTAGCAAAGAGAATAGGCCTTTATTCAAAACATAAATGAAACCTTAAAATGAAAATGTATCACCTTGATGTCATCCTTTAGAGTAGATAAGTTTTAAAATTTAGTTAATCAGTAAATATTACATATTTTCTGACTATGACAAGCATACAGTAGTACAAGAACAAAAAACAATGGTATCCTGAAGTGGTGGTTCAGAAAAACACCGACAGAAAAGTTTTGATAAGTTGAAATCCGAAGATAATGGAATTTTTTAGACTGTTTATTAAACTTCTACTAAGGAGGAAAAATTATGAAGGTGATCAGCAACTGATATTTATTCAGAGACTACCAATGTCCTCTATTTCTAGTGCTTTACATTATTTCATTCTTATAGCAATCCTAAAAGGTAGGGAACTAATATTAAATCTGCATTTTACAGATGAGAAAACTGAGGCACGGAGAGATTACTAAGTAAATTGGTCAAGAATACAGAGCTACTGAGTGATAAAGATGGAGTTCAAAGCCAGGCTAGCAGACCCTAGAATCCAAGCTCTTTTCAATTATTTATATTGCTGTGAACAGGGCTACTGAGTGATAAAGATGGGGTTCAAACCCAGGGTATCAGACCCTAGATGCAAGCTCTTAGTGATTATTTATATTTCTATGAACAGATGTGTAGTCACAATGCCATGTCATAGGAAGCAATGCTTTCCAAGCTAGACAATGAATGCTATGCTACCTAGCATGACTTATCAGGCCTACCAGAGTAAAAGGAACAAACCATTGTTTTTTAGGGTTTCTTTGACTGAAGTGACTGAGGATGCCTATGTGAGCAGAGCAAAGCATCGTGCTAATAACTGTGAGGCTTATAAAGCTTAGAAGGTAGAAGAGAGTCCAATATTTAAGACATTTTTTCTTGAGTAATGTTTGTATTTTGAATATAAAAATACGTGAAATATTTTAGATATAATGGGTTAAATAAAAATATTACTGAAGTTAATGCCACTGGTTTTTTCTTTCTTTTTTAAAATGTGGCTACTAAAAAATTTAAATGTGGCTGACACCAGACAATGCTGTACAAGATCTTTCCCAACATATTTATAAAAGAACACAGATATACAGTTGGCCCTACATATCCGTGGGTTCCACATCCATGGATTGAACCAACTGTGGATCAAAAATATTGGGAAAAAAAATGTCTGGACTGCACATGTACACTTTTTTTTTGTTTTTGTTTTTTTTTAAAGAGATAGGGTCTCACTCTGTCACCCAGGCTGGAGTACAGTCGTGCAACCATGGCTCACTGTAGCCTCAACCTCCTTGGCTTAAGTGACCTTCCTACCTCAGCCTCCTGAGTACCTGGGATGACAGGTGCATGCTACCATGCCTGGCTAATTTTTAAAATTTTTTTGCAGTGATGGGGGTCTCATCATCTTGTCCAGGGTGGTCTCAAACTTCTGGGCTTCAAGTGATCTTCCCGCCTTGGCCTCCCAAAGTGTTGGGATTACAGGAGTAAGCCACTGTGCCCAGGCTGTATTTTTCTTCCATTAAAAAAAAAAGAAATTATATATATACACACACACACACACACACATACATACACATACACACACACACACACACATATAATGTGCTTATATTTATATATCATGTGCTTATATACATATAAGCACATTATAGACAATGATGGGGAGGGGGCAGGAAAAGAAAAAAAAAAGACCACTATAATCTTATTGCTGTAACACAACCACTTAAAGTTTTCCTTTCAGTCTTTTCTGGTGTATTTTATATTTTTGCTAAATAGTAATCATAGTCCACTTCAATTTCAGATCCTTTTTTCATGTTATGCTTATGCATGAGCTTTCTTACATGTTATTGCAGAGTCTCCATAACAACTTTATTTAGCCAGTCCCTTCAGCCAGACAAGGTCTTTTTCAGTATATTTGAGCAGCTCAGATAATGCCTTCAAACCACCTCCAAGGATGCTTTCCAATCATTCAATCACGCTCAAGTCTACCTGTTCTTGTGTTGTGAAAACATAAGGCCGACCCTGGTGGCCATGGAGGGACTGACAGCAGGGAGAGAGCTGCTGCAATGGTCCTGGTTAAGAGATGAACAGGTGAGAATCACAACTGGATATCTGTGTAAGTAATGAAAGTTTGTTGTGTCCCAGTTTCCTCATCTTGAGAAGTACCTGGCAAGCTTCCTGCCTAGCAGCACTTGAAGGTGGGTCAGAGCATAGATGTGTTCACTGAGCATGCAGCCAGTATTGTGTATATGCTACAGCACCATATGATGTAAGTTCACAAAAAGCTAGAAGGGAGAGTGCTTTAAAACTATGAACTGAACACATTACTCTATTAAAGGAGTTTCTACTCATGTATTTATCCAATAAACACTGGGCATTTACTTTATAAAGACAGACCATTATGAGAAAATGTAAAGTTAAAATGAAACATCTGACTCTAAGGAGCTTAAAATCTAGTTTGTGAGACACAAAGACAAATGTATTGATAAAAGTGGTATGTGATAAAAGTTGAAAAAGTACAACAGCAAGGAGTTGTAAGTTTCATGGAGGAAAGGAGATTTGTATAGTATAATACATTCCAGTTGAAAAAAAGTAGGTAGTGGAAAGGATTGTGTTCACGTCAAAAAGCTTTTTCTAAATTTGCTATACAGAATGCTTATAATAATGGTTTTACTGGTTAGATATTACAGCTAATTATGCTAAAAAGCTGAACTACTAACATTTGACGCTATTAAGATGGCTACAGCAAAAACCACAGACAATAACACATGCTGGCGAAGATGTAGAGAAAGCAGTTATCTTGCAAATTGCTAGTGAGAACATAAAGTGGTGTAGCCATTTTGGAAACAGTCTGGTAGTTTCTGAGAATAAAGGTAAATATAGAGTTACCATATGATCCATCAATCCTACCTAATTCCACTCAAGAGAACTCAAAACATCCATACAAAAACTTGTATACAAATGTTCACAGCAGCATTATTCATCAGAGCCAAAAAGTTAGAAAAAAACAAATGTCCTGTCCATCAACTGATGAATGGGTAAACAAAATATGGCATATCCACATAACAAAATATAATTTAGCCAGGCCAGGTGCGGTGGCTCATGCCTGTAATCCCGGCACTTTGGGAGGCTGAGGCAAGTGGATAATATGAGGTCAGGAGTTCAAGACCAGCCTGGCCAACATGGCGAAACCCCGTCTCTAATAAAAATACAAAAATTAGCTGGGCATGGTGGTGCGTGCCTGTAATCCCAGCTACTAGGGAGGCTGAGGCAGAAGAATCACTTGAACCCGGGAGGCAGAGGTTGCAGTGAGCCATAATCATGCCACTGGACTGAAGCCTGGGTGACGGAGCAGGACTCTGTCTCACACACACACACGCATGCACGGACGCACGCACACACACAAGATTTGGCCTTAAAAGGAATGAAGTACTGATTTATGCTATGACAGGCATAAACCCTGAAGACATGCTAACTGAAAGACAGCAGACACAAACATCATATATTACATGATTCTATTTATAAGAAATATCCAGAATAGGCAAAACCATACAGATAGAAAGATTTGTGATTGCCAAGGGCTGGAGGATGGGAGAAACAGAGAGTGGCTGCTAATGGGTATAAAGTTCCTTCAGAGGGTGAGAAGAATGTTCTGAAGTTACATAGTGGTGATGGTTGCAAGTATCTGTGAATACACTAAAAACCAGTGAGTTGGACATTTTAAAAGGGTGAATGCTATGCTGTGTAAATTATATCTCAAATTTAAAAAAGAAGAAAAAACAGAACATCCTATGTGAAATATCAAACTATAGCAAAATGAACTTTATCTTGTCTTGCTGATGAGAGCTGACAGGTTCAGAGCTGACAGTTTATTTAAAAGATAGCTCACATTTTCCTGTTTTAGCCAATTAAACCAACAGGATAAGAAAATGACAAACACATATTTATTCAGTGAAACATATAGAATTCTACTATAAAAACCAAATTTCTGCCATACCTGTGCTTTTTTTTCACAAAGCGTATACACAGTTTCCAAATTTGGATCATTGTGAAGTGGATGAGAATACATTCGATGCTCAAAAGCTTCTACTTTCTGAATGACTTTTTTCAGCCCTTGATCTTGAATGCCCATATCATCAATAGGGTCTAATAAGGGGATGCCGTCAGGAAAACGTTTCTGAACTTCCTGAAAAAAATATGTAAAATTCATTTTCATCTTATAGTCAAAATTAGTAAGACCAAACCAAATCAGTGTTTCCCTTTTTTTCTATGCACATGGACATAAAAAGTATACTACATATATAATTTTGTCTTTTGCCAATTTAAATTATAGGGCATTTTTCCATTGCATTTATTTTTGAAAACTCTTTTTCAACGCTATACTATGATTTACAGATGTATTATGATTTGTTAATAAATCTACAAGTCACAATTTGATCATAGTCCTGAACGTGGCACAACTTATTGCTAAATTCATTATTGTATATTTACATTGTTGTAACTTCTTGCCATCAAAAGTAATCTTGTATTGAGCATCTATGTTTAAACTGTTTTCAGATTATTTCCTTGGTGTTGATGCCTAGGGAGGGCACTACTGACTTGTAAAGTATAGACTTTTTAAAAAGTCCTGAGGGCCAGGCGCGGTGGCTCACGCCTGTAATCCCAGCACTTTGGGAGGCCGAGGTGGGCGGATCACAAGGTCAGGAGATCGAGACCATCCTGGCTAACACGGTGAAACCCCGTCTCTACTAAAAATACAAAAAATTAGCCAGGCGTGGTGGTGGGCGCCTGTAGTCCCAGCTACTAGGGAGGCTGAGGCAAGAGAATGGCGTGAACCCGGGAGGTGGAGCTTGCGGTGAGCCGAGATTGCGCCACTGCACTCTGGCTTGAGCGACAGAGCAAGACTCCGTCTCAAAAAAATAAAAAAATAAAAAATAAAAGGTCCTGAGACCTTTAGCTTAAAGAAAAACATGATTAATGGTTAAATGCAATAGACATATTCATACAGAGAAGAAACAGCTCACTGTAGGCTGGTATCCTACTGAGAAACTTTCAGGGTCTTGGATAAGCCTTAAAGATAAGGTAGGATTTGGCTAGTTAGGAACTGGGAATTGGGGAGGAGAAACACATTAAGAGTGACAAACAAATGTAAAGGGTTCAAAGACATTTGCACATTATGTCCTAAATGAGCAAATAAGGCAAGCTCTTTCAAAAGACTGATATCTCTGGTAAGTGCATATGGTACAGTTTCAGGATATATGTCTGCCCTAATCAAAGCAGGCTAGTGTCAGCACAAAAATCCTACACGAGCCTGGCCAAGTTTTATATATAAAGAAACTGAGTCACTGGTGTGAGGTTCCAGAACAGAGAAAACACTAAAATTGCGGTTCTGAAGTTTAAAAAGTATAATTAATGTAGCTAAAGGGAAATCTTTATTTATTATGTGAAGGGTCCTGTTGGCAGGCTAATTTCCCCAATTCTTCCTCCTGTGGCTTCTCACTATGTGGTGAATGATGTAAACGACTATGAAGAACCAAGAAAAAAATAGTCTAACTTTGTTTAAAACATGTTGCAAAACTGAGACTCAGATTATCATGAAATTAATGTGAAAGCTGAAATATATCAACACCAGATACAGCACAGGGATGTTTAAGACAAATACAGACAAGCCTGACATTTGCCAATAGACAAAGAAAAATTAATTTCAATTTTCACTTTAGCAAAATGACAACTGACCTAACCCAGAAGTACAAAACAATTAGTTTTTTCAAAATAATGGCATTACTTAATGCTAAGTTAATAATGATTAATGTGTATTTCTGCTCAAAACTGTGCTATTCTGAAAATATCAGAAAAAACAATTTCAATGAACTTATAAGATATTTATTTACTACCAGACCAATAGTGATAAAAACCTTCTAGGAGTGATTGTTTTGGAAAAGATATCCACATCTACATAAAAATTTTGTAAAACTGTCAGAGAATCACTCATTTCAGGAAGCCCACCATTGGAACACAGCTTAAAAATTCCTACTCTACTCTGAAAGCATCCTACTTATCTTTGCTTTCTCAGATTTTAGTACAGAGCCTTCACTGCACAGTAAATGCTCTTCAAACTATTAACTAACTAAATAACTTCGTTAAAATCACTTCCTTGTTTTTTTTTTTTTTTCTTAAAAGAGACAAGTTCTCACTCTGTTGCACATGCTAGAGTGCAGTGATGTGATCACAGCTTACTGTAGAGCCTGGAACTCCTGGGATCAAGTGAACCTCCTGCCTTGGCCTCCTGAGTAACTGGGATTATAGATGCATACCACTGAGTCCTACTAATTTCTTTTTAAATTAGTTTTACATTTTTTGTAGAGATGGGGGTCTCACTATGTTGCCCAGGCTGGTTTCAAATTCCTGGCCTCTGGTGATCCTTTGTGCTGTGGCATCCCAGAGAGCTGGGATTACAGGCATGAACCACTGCACCTTTTTTCTACTAGGAAATTAAATTTACTACAAAATCTCAATTTTCCCTATTGAAAATAAAACAATTTCATGTATTTATTAACTATATTAAAAAATGGTTAAATGTCCTGTCAGTACATGATTTTATACATAAAACTTGTAATACAGTCTATAGCTTTCACTCATAATGAATAAAGCAGAATGGTTTTCCTTGTGAGTCCTCCTTTACTAACTCACTTTGTTGGTAGATTCAAAGAGAGTACAAATCCACATGAAGGTCTGCTGCCTTTATTTTTATGAAAAATAATTGTCACTATTGGTAGTATTTATAGGTATTCTGAAAGAAAGCAATATATTTAAAAGCATTTCAGTTGCCTCTTTATAAACACTACCTGTATTTACATAAAATTTATACTTAACTTATGAAATTAACACATACCTGTATTGATTTTAAAACACTCTGTCTATTGTCCACCGGCCGAAGGTCTTTAGGAATGTAAAGCCTAACACTGCTGATAGCAGACAGGAGATGCACCAAAACTGGGACAACCTATGACCAAAAAGTTATACAGTATTACAGTTAAATTTGCACATGTTCATATTCTACTATTTCCTAAACTTGGATCCCTAAAGAGGAAGTTGCATTTATGGTATGTAACAGGTATAAGAAGTACATAATAATCACCGTGAAGCATTCTCCCACACTGAAGCTTTTCTTATTAGAGACTGTATTTAAAAAATAAAAACCAGTTCAAACTTCTAAATAACAGGTAAATAAATGGTACATAAAAATAAGAGCTCCCCTCAATACAGAATGCACACTTTACTCATTTTTATGGTCTCAGATATTTGGCAGTTCAAAAATATTAATACATAAAGGTACTATAGTACTAAGAATGAAAGACTCTTGTTAACAGGTTTAGGAAGTCAAGAAAGATTCATGTAAGTTCTGGATGGGCAGAAATGAAGAAGTATTTCAAAGACAGAAAGCAGCATATTCCATTAGACATAATCTTGAAGAACACCTATCTGCAAACTTTCTTCCATGTTTTCTCTTGTCAAAATGGCACATTATCGACATCAAATTTTGCTTCCTTTCAACTGCTCTTGAATCCAGAGAGCCTCTATAAACTGAGGCAAAGTTAATGTTTCCACAGGTCCAAATCTGTCTTCCATGGCTACTTTTACACTGATCACTGATGAAAACACAATTTTCACTGGCTTGCTGATAGCAAATACATTCACAGTGCTTTACTGAACAAAAACGGTACAGTGATTGAACTCAGTCTTCAGCTAGTTGTGTGACCTTGCACAAATTATCTAACCTTTCTAGATTTTCTAGTACAGGTAGAAAGGTTCGATAATTTGCCAAACTTGCCAAAAAAGGTTTAGTTTGTCAAACCATTAACAGCAGTTTTTTTCTTTCTAGTTAAAGTTTTTGGGGTGGGGTGTTTTTTCTTTCTTCCTGCCTGCCTCTTCCTCCTCTTCCTTTTTTAATCATTTGAAATTAACTTGCAGACATCACTTCACTTGACCAGCAAATACATGTATATGTTAAGAACAAGCACATTCTCCTGCAAAGCTATAATGTTGTAAGATCTAAGGAAATATCATATACAATCCCTATTCAGATTTCCCCACTGACCCACTAATGACCTTTATACATTACTATTACCATCATACTTTTGGATTCAGGGTCCAGCCAAGGATCATAAACTGGATTTAGTGGTCATGTCTCCTTAGTCTTCTTTAATCTAAAAATATACCCCACCTTTCTTGCTCTTTCATGGTACTGACATTTTCACAGAATTCCAAGTTTACAGAAAACTTGTAAGAATGAAATAAATCCCACATACCCTTATTTCAATTCACTAATTAGTTATATTTTGCCTATTTGCTTCATCGTTCTCTTTCTACACACATAAAGTACAAGTATTAAAAGAGGAAAATCTAATGTCGAGACAATGATATCATCTAATCTGTAGTCCATATTAAGATTTCGTCCTCTTTCACAATAATGTCTTTTATACCACTGTACCTTCCCCACCACTACTCCATGGAACCAAACTAGGATCATGCATTGATGTCACATTTCTTTCTTCTTTAATCTGGAACAGTTCCCCAGTTTTCTGTGTCTCTCAAGACCTTGATTTTTTAAAAAGAATATAGGTTATTTTATAAAATGAGTCTCAGTTTGGGTTTCTCTAGTTATGAGGAATCATAAGATTCAGATTATCCATTTTTGGTGGAAGTCATGTTCTGTTCTACTCAGTCCACTAGTCAACATTATTAGAGATAATGTTGATCACTTTGATCATTCAATTAAGGTGCTATCTGCAGGATTCTTTATTATAGTATTATTTACTATTTTACTCTCTACAATTAAGAAATTTGTAGGGAGAGCCTTTAGAGACTTTGTAAATATCCTTTCTTCATTAAACTTTCAGTTTGCCAGTTTCAGCATCCACGGATGATTCTTGCCATAGTAAATTACTATTTGTGGTAGTTGCCTAATGGTGACTTTTCTAACTTTTATTTTATTTTATTTATTTTATTTTTTGAGACAGAGTCTTGCTCTGTCGCCCAGGCTGGAGTGCAATGGCATGATCTCGGCTCACTGAAATCTCTACCTCCCGGGTTCAAGCAATTTTTCTGCCTCAGCCTCCTGAGTAGCTGGGATTATAGGCGTGTGCCACCATGCCCAACTAATTTTTATATTTTTAGTAGAGACGGGGTTTCGCCATGTTGATCAGGCTGGTCTCGAACTCCTGACCTCAAGTGATCCACCCATCTCAGCCTCCCACAGTGCTGGGATTAAAGGCGTGAGCCACCACGGCCAGCCATTTCCTTTATATTTTATATATCTCTCTCTGGATGCATGGATTATTTTATTTTCATATGGTTATAAATCCTTTACTATCTTTTTTTTTTTTGAGATGGATTCTTGCTCTGCCACCCAGGCTGGAGTGCAGCGGTGCGATCTCGGTTCACTGCAATCTCCGCCTCCTGGGTTCAAGTGATTCAACTGCCTCAGCCTCCCGAGTAGCTGGGACTACAGGCACCTGCCACCATGCCTGGCTAATTTCTGTATTTTTAGTAGAGATGGGGTTACACCATGTTAGACAGGCTGGTCTTAAACTCCTGACCTCAGGTGATCTGCCCGCCTTTGCCTCCCAAAATGCTGGGATTACAGGTGTGAGCCACCACGCCCGGCCCTTTACTATCATTTTTATTTTTACTTCCAAACTGGCTAATTCAGGGGTCCCCAAGCCCCGGGATGGTACCAGTCTGTGGCCTGTTAAGAACCAGGCCATGCAGCAAGAGTGGTGGGGGAGAGAGCATTACTGCCTGAACTCCCCCTCTTGTCAGATCAGCAGCAGCATTAGATTCTCATACCAGTGCAAACATGGCACATGCAAGGGATCTAGGTCGCCTGGTCGTTATGAGAATCTAAGGTCTGATGACCTGAGGTGGGACAGTTTCATCCCCAAACCACCCCTGCTCCACACTGGTCCATGGAAAAACTATCTTCCACAAAACCAGTTTCTTGTGCCAAAAAGACTGGGGACTGCTGGTCTAATTCATTTTAGAAACAACATTCTGTAAGCTGCATTGGGTCTTGGGCCACCAATTTGTGAACCAGCAGTTGATGCACTGTTTGGACAGAGAAGACTCAGGACATGAAAAATTATCAATACCACATAGCCGACATCCAGAGTGAAAGATGCACAATTTGTATGCACTTAACTACATCTAAAAAGGTAGAAAAATTAAAAATAATTCACTTGGCTTTAGAAAGAGTATTTTTATATACCTGTAGTCGAATTCAATATGCACAGGTATCTGTGAATTTCCTTCAAAACAGAGTAACACTATTTTGTGAAGACGAGATTCAGAAAGAAGACAAAAACTGTCCTATTTCAAAGGCTGCTTTCCATAATAAACTCCATCCAAGAAATGGTCAACTAACACTTTAATGACAGGAAACAGATTACAAAGGCCATTCTATAAATGCCTCCTAAAGCACAGAAAAGGGAAATCCTAAGAGTTCCCTAACTAGAAACATGACATTTTATAAACAAGAAGTTAAATGTTTAAAAATTGAATGAATAGTTGTCATGAAATTATAAATATCAAATTTCAGATATTTAAAAACATCATAATATTTGCATATGGCAGTTTATTCAATTTTCTAAACCTAATTACCTTCATGATATAACTCAGAATTCAGGTTCAACATGATGCAGCACTGGTCTTTGTAAGTCCAAATAACCATGTGAGCAATCAGTGGAAACTTGCTAGAATACCAATAACAGGAAGTATTTTTATCCTTAGACCTTTTAAATCTTTTTAATTTTCCCCTAAATAAGCAAATGTGGTAGACAATATAAGAAGCAAGTTTTAAGTCAATACATTCTAAATACATTTCAAGCTATATAATTTCTTCAAATCAAGACTATCACCTGAAACAAAATATGGTTTTTGAATTTTTCATTCAACAAGCAAGTTGTTTTTTGAACCAACTGAATTTTAATCAAGTCATGGCACACACAGTTATTTTAACCAATGTGCTATTGATTAATTTGCAATTAAAAAACTGGATTTGTGTCAGTGAAAATGGTGGAGTAAGGACCTCCAAAAATCCTTTTCTCCATAAAAGCAATGCCAACACTGAGAAAACTTGTCAAAATCAACTTCTTCAAAATTCTGGAAATTAACCAAAGGCTTGCAGGAATCCAGGGAGCATATATTCAAGAAAAATGCTGACTTTTGGTAAGAATAACAAGCTTTGTGGCAAATTTAACTTATCCTACTCCATCTCCCACTCCTTAGCTTCCTAATAGCCTGAAAATCAAAGAGCAAATCCCACTGAAAACCAGTATGGCAGCCACTGGAGGGGAGAGAATAGGGCTGGAACCTCTTTGAAGGCCTATTTCCATAGAATTGTCATTATTGCAGTCTGGTGGTTCCCCGGAAGACTCCATTCACAAGGCTGTTTTTTATTTGACCTGACTGAGAGCTTACCAGTGCAAACCTTTTTCCTGGCTGTGTTTGTCAAAAATAGTAAGAAGCAACTGCTTAACACCATGGCTGCCTGAGGTTGTGAATGACAGCTGGGAGAAACAACAGGTTAACCAGAAAGCTTAAAAGGAAAGGCTGGGGAGTAAGACATTCATGGGGAATTAGAAAAGCTCCCACACATTTCTGGAAATCTAGAAGGCCATGTACAGGGCTGTGTGCATAGTCAAGAAAGACCTGAAAAGACTCTAAGCTCTCACTTCTGTCTGACCATGAAACTGTACATCCAGGAAGCGGCTAAGGTAATGTTGTTAACTGCCTAGCTGAGGGTTGATGGCTTGCTGCAATATGCATACAAAGCCTCTAAGTAAAGACTGGGGAATTTTTTTTTTTTTTTTTTTTTTTAGACAGAGCCCTTCTCTGTCACCCAGGCTGAAGTGAAGTGACACAATCTTGGCTCACTGCAACCTCTACCTCCTGGGTTCAAGTAAGTCTCCTGCCTCAGCCTCTCGAATAGCTGAAGCTACCAGCGCACACCATCATGCCAGCTAATTTTTGTATTTTTAGTACAGATGGGTTTTGGCCACGTTGGCCAGGCTGGTCTCGAACTCCTGACCTCAAGTCATCTACCCACGTCAGCCCCTCAAAGTGCTGGGATTATGGCATGAGCCACCATGCCTGGCCAGACAGGAGAACTTAATGATTGCAGGCATTTAAGGAAGTCTCTGCACAATTATGAGCTGACCATTAAACTAACCAAGCAGAGACCTTGGTGGCCACACACAATTAAAAAATATAGACTTAAAATAATTCAGAAATGACAACACAAACCAGTGACAACAAATAACAAGAATAAACTCTGGGGGTGCAGGAAAATTCCGATTTACAGAGTTGCTACTGTTAGAGAACCAAACTGGGGCCCGCTTGCCTGCTGCAGTAAGACCAGATATCTACACTGAGGTTTGTAGTGGGAGAAAGGAAGGTGTTTATTTGTAGGGTGCCAAGCAAGGAGGATTAGGTAGTTAATATTTAAGTCCTGACCTTCCAGATGGCTTACAGGTTAAGGGTTTCTAAGGGCAGGAAGGCAGAAGTTACAGCAGTTATAAATCAATATATGGAGGTTATATACTGGTTTGATTTAAAAAGGCAGGACATCTCAAATCAGGGGCCCACAGGTTATAGGTGGATTTAAAGATTTTTGATTTGTAATTGGTTAAGGAGAAGTTTTGTCTAAAAATTTGGGATCAGTAGAAAAAAATGTTCATTCTGGCTCTTTTAGGCCCCTCAGGAAGAAATTTAGAACAAAGAACAGCAGTCAGAGTTTTAGTCCTCTGTTCCTCCTTATTTGAGGCTTATGTGCCAGTATATCTGTTTGGTGTATGTCTGAGTTTTTGAAAAATAATTTAGGGACATATGTGAAGATGTTATTTTTAGTTTTTATAGGGAATAAAACAAGCTCAACTCTACTATGTTTTTTTAGACAAAGAGATTGATTTTTTTGAGAGAGGGTCTTGCTCTGTTGCTCAGGCTGGAGTGCAGTGGCATGGTCACGGCTCACTGCAGCCCTAACCTCCTGGGCTCAAACGATCCTCCCACTTCAGCCTCCAAAACAGCAGGGACTACACGCACATGCCACCATGCCTGGCTAATTGTTATTTATTTATTTTTGTACAGACAGGGTTTCACTATGTTGCCCCAGGCTGGTCTTGAACTCCTGGGCTCAAGCAATCCTCCCACCTCAGTCTCCCAAAGTGCTGGGATTATAAGCATGAGCCACTATACCCAGCCTTGTTTATTTATTTTTTAGGTCTAAGCTAGGTGCACTCTAAAGGAAGGATCCCTAATCCATCTCACTACATTATTTAAAATGTCCAATTTTCAATGAAAAATTATGAGACATGTAAAGAAATTAATAAAGTATGACCTATACACAGAGAAAAATAGTAATTAATAGAAAATATCCTGAGGAAGCCAAGAAATTTGACTTAATAGACAAAGGGTTTAAATCAGCAATTTAAAATACGTTCAAAGTTGACCCCCTCAAAAAATCTGATTTCCATAGAACATCTTCAAGGTAAACTTGAAACCTGCCAAAACAGCAAATATTATTCCATGACAAGTACTGGTATCTTAATCCTCAAATTTTTATAAGTGTACAGTTCTAATCTGTAATCTTCTATTCCATGTCCTTTTATAGATGTTTTTATCTAATGAGGAATGATTCCACCTAGTTCCTGGTCTAGAAAAACAAAACAGAACTCCCTTATCTTCACTCCCTGACGCTGAGTCTCATTTAACTATCATGACGTGGCCATGATAAGGGGAAATGGTCAGACACATGGGAGCTGGCAAAGCAACAGTGTCAAAACTGCAAGTGATCTTTAGAACACACTAAACTGTTCACCTCTGTTAATCAATGTAATTCAGAGCTGGAGTGCTCTTGCCCTCTACACACAGACACACACACACTCTAAGCCTTTTTTAGAAAAGTAAGTTCAAGAATATTATAGATACAAGGAAAAGTCACTTCAGAAAGTAGTCTTCAAGGCCAGGTGCGGTGGCTCATGCACGTAATCCCAGCACTTTGGGAGGCTGAGACAGGCATATCATGAGGTCAGGAGATCAAGACCATCCTGGCCAACATGGTGAAACCCAGTCTCTAGTAAAAATACAAAAATTAGCCGGGCACGGCGGCGAACACCTGTAGTCCCAGCTACTCGGGAGGTTGAGGCAGGAGAATCACTTGGACCCAGGAGGCAGAGGTGGTAGTGAGCCAAGATTGTGCCACTGTACTCCAGCCTGGTGACAGAGCGAGACTCCATCTCAAAAAAAAAGAAAAAAGAAAGTAGTCTTCTATAAACGCTGATAAAAAGCTAAATTTGGCATCATATCCACTCAAAGTCAGACAGGGCAAGGATGATTATGGAAATCCTACTTACCTTATGCAATGGAAGCCTGCTTTTAACCTACCCTGAATAATGCTACACAATCAATGAAGTTGAGAGCTAATATTTCCTTATAAACTGCCCACATAACTATTTCTCTGTCTAGGATTTCTATTCAAGATAATCTACAAGGCAAACAATATATTTATAAAACATATATAATTATATGTAAATATATATAATATGGTTTCTTAACCTATAGTCCCTCTCTCTGTACATTGTTTCATGCCTTTTGTCATTAACCACAAGGAACAGAAAAATGTGAAGTTCTTTCTAAAGAGGGGGTTTCATGCTCTGTACATATGGCTTCCCTTGCTAGGAATATAATTCTTGTCTGTAAAGGTACTCATGTTCCTACAAGTTTGTTAAAATCTCACTACTTCCTTTATAAAGCTTTACTAATTACCCACCCTGAGCAGTTTTGAAGCACAAAATGCTTCCTTATTAAGCTGCATCCCCTTAAAGTCACAGAGTATCTGTAAAATTCATGTTAACAACCCCCCACCCCTTGCCAATTTCCTTAGCAGCGTAGACTGAAATAAACATAACAAAAAATGCTACAGGAGCAGAGGAAAGGCCCTCAGTTTGCCTTGGTTTCATGACTGCCTATATAATTTTCTTGGAAGAATCTGAGCTTTCAGTGTAAGAGTGCTATGACTTACTATCAATGTCTGCCATGAGAAAGGGAGAATGTTGAGATGTGTGGCACATATTTGCTATTCCAACTTGCAACAACTCCTAAAGGCCCTTTGGGGACAAAGAGTATATGCCTAACTGTGGGAGTTTTAGCCTTATTTATAGTTAGGCAGTCAATCAGTAAAATAAATGTTAGAAAAAAATAAAAATCACACAAGTTTCACTTGGTGGTGGAATTCTAGAGGTGAACAAATTAGAATACTAAGAAAAGGAGACCAAAGTTTAGGTAATATTCAGAATTATAAATAAACATTTAAATCGTCATTTAAAAATGTTACAGTGAATTGTCTTTTTAAAAATACTGCCAACTCCAAAACCCATAATAATTTATTGATCCAAAGAAGCAGTCTATGATACTACAGTGGCAGATTTTACTTTCTACAAACCATGCTTATAATAACAAATATCATTACAATGACATTTTGTAAAAGACCTATCCAATACGCCATATTTTACATTCAATTAGAAGCACATGTAAATTAAATGATTTTAACTAAGGAAACTTGGGTAGAAATTTTTCATTGTTAAAATAATGCTTCAGTCATTACAGAGCCTCCTCCTTAAAATTGGGTTATGTTCTGATAAACTAGTTGTAAGTAGAAAATATCGTTAGGTCAAAAATGTATTTAATACATGAACACCTAATGTACCAAACATAACTTGGTGTAGTTTACCTTAAATGTGCTAAGAACACTTACACTGGCTTACATTTGGGCAAAATCATCTAACACAAACCCTATTTTGTAATAAATGTTAAATATCTCATTAATGTATTACTTTTGCACTACTGTAAAGTCTAAAAATCCTAAATCAGGACTGCCTCTATTTCCATGGGAATGGGAAATAAACAGCATGAATGGATTCAAACTGTAAAATCACTCAGTCACAAGCAAGGATAATGAAAAATCTTTATGGCCCTGGCAAAATCCAGCTTCATGTAAAATTTCAATGACTGAATACTTTTTCTTTCACTTTGTCACGATTTATCTTGTTGTAATTTGATAAAAGAAAAATAAAAACAAATCTCATTAATTATCCTACTGATACGTTAGATAGCTTTACTAATATACCTTAAAATACCTTGAAAACTTCTAATTTAGAAATCATGATAGTATGTTCATTACCATCACATTGGAGAACTTTGGTGATGACAAATAAGTTACAGAATATCTGAAATCAGAAGACAGAAAGTTATGTACAAACCTGCATCTCTCCTTTCTCATCAGGTTTAGCTGGTTTTGCAGCTTCTGTAGCTGAATTTTTCAAGCTCTCTTTGCTACAGCGCAGAAGTACTTCTACTACATACAAAGGATCCAGTTCACCAGAGTTAGGCTAAAAAACAAAACAGAAGATGTTCATTCATTCTTAAGAAACTGGCCCATAAATTTTAAGTTCCATCTGTATAGGAACTATTTTCTCAGCATTTAGCATTATGACTGACACAAACTGTGTAATACATACTTATTTTATGAAATGAAAACTGTCTCTCTGGATTCAACATGTTCCATTGGATGAGAAAACACAGAAATAACTTTATATTTATAAATTCTAATTTAATAGTACAAGCACTGTCAAGTGTGTCACAGAATGTTTCTAATAATGTTAAGAAACTAAAATTTTCAGTGTCAGAAAATTAATTTGCATCTTCAAATCACTCTAACATAATAGATTGAGAATAGATTATTTTATTGCTTATTATGCTAGCATTTCTATAATGTGGTTCCAATTTTTATTGTCTTTTAGTCTTTAATATTCTGTAATAAAACTATAATTCTGAAGATCTAACAACTACTAAGATCTCACAACTTCTGCACTATGATAATGTATGTTTGAGTAGCATCTTTGAAGCAATAACAGAAGATATTTTTTCAGTACAGAATGCCGCATTTTTAAATAAAATATTTAAATAATCTGTTTTGCATAAAATATACAAAAGGAAAGTTATACAGCAAAGACTTGACTATGTGGACTCCACCCAGGACAGTTCCTATTAAAAAAGTGAAAATCTGTCAATAAATGACAACGAATCCATTTCTACAATCTATTTCTGCAATAAACTACCAACTGTTTAACAAGAATAAAACATATTTCCAAATGCTGAAGAAAAAAGAAATCACAATTGTTTTAAATCATTGAGTTCAAATTTCCTCAAAGAAAGCATACACTCTATTTTTCCAATACGAAAGAAAAACTTTTTCTCATCATACATTAGTTCAAAATGTGGTTATTTTAAAGGAAGCTGCAAAACATTCCTTAGTTTAAACACAAAGCAAAAATGAAGATAGTTTGATTAGATTATTTTTATCTGCAAAGATTATGTTCAGTCATTATGAAATGAGTTTTACAAACAATGAGCTAAACAAATAGCTATGATCAACTATCAAGTCTTCCTAAGGAGTCAATGATTATAAGAAGACTCAAGGATTATCACATTAGCTTTACAGAGGAGGAAAAAAACCCTCTGAATAAGATGCATAACACAATGTGATAGATGAATTAGCTCCAAGGTGTTAGGAAGATGTGAGTATCTGGACAAAAAAACCCCACAGGCGTATGAGCAATCTTTAATGTTTCTAGATAACTCTGTTGTTGGATTTGGTTCCAATTTTGTAGATTAATAAATTTAATATTCTCTGTAAGATATAACAATCACAGAAGTGACTATTATAACTCAAGTATATCATACATAATCATCTATTTTTGCAGAGCTACTAAAACCAACTTATAGCATTATGGAAATATTCTCAAGTGTTACTATGGAAACACAATAGGAAGCCTTCTAAATTGTAACATTAAATGAAAATTTTGCTGTTAAAAGTATTTCCTAAGATTATAAATTTTTTCTCAGCTAACTTACTCTAGTTTTGCACTCTGTAAAGATGGATCAATGTCCACTTTCAGATAAAAAAACTAGTTAAGTGTTCTATTATCTTAATTTAGATTTTTGTTTTTAAGTCCTAATTTTTACTTCCTAACAGTATAACTGAACTTCTTTTTCCTAGCTTCTCTTTATTCCTTTTAAAGTGTGGCTAATTTCTTGCTATAAACTGAAATTACCTAATTAAAACATAATTTGGTAATCCCGAGCTTGTAGAATGCAAAGAAACAAGCAATTTAAAATAACATTGACAATTACAATTACATTTTTATTTATTTAAAATGCTTCTAACAGTTTTCTTCGTCGGTTTGGATACTCCCTCTGCCTCTGGCAAGCTCTATTGGCCACAAAAATCTTTGGATTTGTATTCTGACCTAGATCCCAAAATTAATAAAAATGTACTTCACATTTTTAGTGAACAAATTCAGGTAGTGCAATGGAAAAATTAGTTTCACCATCAATAGAAACAGAAAAAAATGAATGTGTTCCTCTCTAGTCCTCATTCTATCTTTGCCTAAAAGAACTCTCATCAACTGATTCTACCTTTATAGTTAGGCAGTCACAGAAATGAATTTAGGATCAAAAGAGGCAAGTAATTTTTTAAAAATATGTCTTTTGTGTGTGTATGCGTACTTGTAACTATGTTAGCTATAATTTTTCTCTCCTGAACCTTTGACTGACTACCATGTGATCCACAAGCCTGCTCCCCAGCAACTGAAGAAAATTATGAAAAACCAATCATTTAAATTTTCTGGAAACAGTCCTAAGAGAATATATCAAATAAAGAAAGATCTAGTCCAAAAAAAAATCTAAAATTCAGTAAAGTCTTTGATATCTGAAAAAAGATCACTCCCTTCCTCACTCTTCCCACTTCACTGAAACAGAAACTCCAGACTGGTGAAGCCAAAAATACAGAAGGGCTCAGTATCCCTGCAGCTCTTGCTTGGAAAGGGCTTTTAGGAGGGGCAGGATGTCAACATTTCTCATTCTCCTCCCACCTACCTGTTGCTGCTGCTAAGTCCTCTGCAAGTAAGGCTGAAAGGTAGAGGCTCCCCTTCGTTCACCTAGCCTCTACTGGTTGGCCAGAGGCTCTATCTTGGTGTGGTGCTCCTGAGAAAAAGGGCCCCAACAGCCCTTCCCCTGGTTTATAAGGCAATGGGTCCATGTTGGGAGAGGCAAGATGAAAATACCTGAGGCTACACCCCAACCCTCCACCTATGCCCCTGCTTCTAAAGCAGTGATGTTACTCAGAGAAAAGTGTGCATTCTCCCCACCCCCAGCTTTAGAATTTTGACTCAGAGACTTTGCCTGGGTGAAGAAATATGCCTTAAAACAGACAACTCTTAATATCTTCCCAAAGGACCAGATTTTATTTGTAACAGAGCCTGAGGAAATTCAAGACTAAGATAACTTTCAGAAACAGCAGAGGTTGTGGTGAAATGCAACTGGTAGATCTGTATTCATTGGAGATATAGGCTAAATTGTACAGCAGATAGTTTGCAGAAGAGAACCTGGTTTTAAAAATGATAGTGGGAGGAGCCCTCCTGCTAACAGAGCTCCTGGGTATGCCCAGAGAAAGGTAAAGTCACAGAGACCCCTGTCCAAACCATTGTCATCTCAGGGTGACTGTGGGCATAACCAAGGCTGTGACCCCCAACTCTACCCCAGAAACAAACTAAAAGGCTACATACTATAGGGGGTAAGAGGTAGACAGGACAGAGACTTACAATCAAATAATCCAGCCCGACACTAAACAAATAAACAAGGAAATAACAACAGTGGCCTGCAAGAGGTGGAGGCAGGGAGGGGAATACCTAGAGTTACTACAATATATTATCAAAAAAGAGACATGCAAAGAAACAGGAAAGTTATGACCCATAGAACAGGGAAAAATGTAGGCAACAGAATTTGCCTGTAATAGTGACCAGATGTTAGGCTAAAGAGACTTAAAAGTTGCCACTATAAATATATTCAAAGAATCAAGGGAAATCACAATTAATGAAGTAAAAGGTACAATAACAATGTTGTATCAAACAGAACATATCGATGAAGAAACAGAAAGTACAAAAAGAAACCAAAAGCAAATTTTAGAGTTTCAAAGTCTATTTACCGAAGTGAGGAAAATTACTAGAGGAGCCCAACAGTAGATCTGAACTAGCAGATAATATCAACAGTGAATCTGAAGATAGACTATTGATGGAGATTATGCAATCCCAAGAACAGAGCAAGAACAAACAAATAAAAATGAACCAAGCCTCAGAGAAATATAGGACACCATTAAGTGCAACATACCCATAATGGAAGTTCCAGGGGAGAGGTTTAGAAAAAGAAGTAGAAAAATATTCAAAGAAATAATGGCCTGGGCACAGTGGTTCACAAATGTAATCCCAGGACTTTGAGAGACCAAGGCGGGAGGATTGCTTGAGCCTAGAAGTTTGAAACCAGCCTGGGCAATGTAATGAGACCTGGTCTCTACAAAAATTGTTTAAAGTTAGCCAGGCATGGTGGTGCACACCTGTAGTCCCAGCTACTCAGGAGGCTGAGGTGGAAGGATTGCTTGAGCTCAGGAGTTTGAGGCTGCAGTAAGCCATGATTGCACCACTGCACTCTAACCTAGGTAACAGAGTGAGACCCTGTCTCTAAAAATGACAAAACAAAAACAGAAATAGTGGCTGAAAACTTCTCAAAATTTACTGGAAAAAAAAATTCATCTACATAGCCATAAAATTCAATAAAGTACAAGTAGGATAAAGGCAAAGAAGTTTGGTCACTTTCTATGCAGATACATTTATCATAATAAAAATGTGGAAAGCCAAATCAAAAAGAGAAAATCTTAAAGCAGCAAGAGAAAAAAAGATTAATCTCTTACAAGGGAACTTCAACAAGACTAACAGCAAAAACTTCTCAGCAGAAACAATGGAGGCCAGAAAGCAATGAGTTGACATATTCAAAGAAAAAAACAAACAACTGTTAACCAAGAATCCTATATCCAGCAAAGTTACCTTTCAAAAATGAAGGCAAAATAAAGACATTTTCAGATAGACTAAAAACTGAGAAAATCTGTTTCTGGCAGATCCACCTTACAAGAAACACAAAAAGAAGTTCTGCAGGCTAAAATCAAGTAATACTAGACATTTATTTTAAACTACATAATAAAATAAAGAACACTGGTAAAGGTAATTATATAATTATAAAAGATAGAAATAAATGTCTTTTTCTCTTCAATGATTTAAAAAGCAGTTGTATAAAACAATATGTATACATTATATTATTGAGCCTGTAACATACCAAAATATAGTATCTTGGCAGTAACAACATAATGGAAGTAGGTGGGAGCAAAACTGTTTAAGGTTAAGGCAGTAACTCCAGGTAGTAACATGAATCCACAGGAACAAATAGAACCAAAAATGATAAATAAGAAGGTTAATATAACAAAAGCTATATATACACACTGGCTTTCCTTTCTTCTATAAGCTTTAAAAGTAATAAAAAGTGGCCAGGCATGGTGGCTCACGCCTATAATCCCAGCACTTTGGGAGGCTGAGGCAGCTGGATTACCTGAGGTTAGGAGTTTGACATCAGTCTGGCCAACATGGTGAAACACTGTCTCTACTAAAAATACAAAAAATTAGCTGGGTGTGGTGGCGTGAGCCTGTAATCCCAGCTACTTGGGAGGCTGAGGCAGGAGAATCACTTGAACCTGGGAGGCGGAGGTTGCCCTGAGCTGAGATTGTGTCACTGCACTCCAGGCTGCCTGGGCGACAGAGTGAGACTTCATCTCAAAAAACAAAAAAACAAAAAAAAACCATAAATGATTTTCAAAAAGTAATAAAAAATTTTCAAAAAGCAATAAAAAGTACATAAAGTATTAATCATAATAATGTATTGCTGGATTTGTAACATTTATAGATGTAATATGTATAACCATAAAAAGAGAGAAAATAGAATAGAGCTATACAGAAATAACACCTCTATATCACACTGGAATTCAGTCAGTGTAAACCTAAAGCTTATTCTAATAATACGTATATGGAAAGCCCCAGCAAACACTAAGAAAATCTCTCTCTCTCGCTATATAAATATACATATATATACATGTACACATACATACATACATGTGTATATATATGAAATCTTTAAAAAATTAAAATGCCACATTAGAAAAAATTCACATGATACAAAAGGAAGCAGTAAAAGAAGAGAAAACAAAGACACAAGACACAGAAAACAAAAATTAAAATGGCAGCTGCAAATCCAACTATATCAGTAATAAAACTCAATGTGAACAGATTAAGCAATCCAAAAAAGGAATAGATTTTCAGATTGGATTAAAAAAAACAAAATCCAACTGCTGTGTATGCTGTGTACAGGAGACACACTTTAAATTTACTGATATAAACAAGACTGAAAATTTAAAAATGGGAAAAAATATTATGCAAAGAATAATCAAAAGAAAGCTCAAATAGCTATGCTGATACAAAACAAAATACATTTTAACAGAGCTTGAAAACACATGAAGCAAAAACTGATAGAAATGAAGGGAAAAATAGATAATACAACAACAATAGTTACGAGACTTCAATACTCCACTTTCAATAATAGATAGACCAACCAGACAGAATGGTCTGCAAAGAAAGAAGTCTAAGACCTGAAGTTCTAAACCAACTAGACCTAAAGGACATCTATAAAACATCCCACCTTAAAGCAGCAGAATACACATTTTTCTCAACTGCACATAGAACATTCTGCAGGACAGACCATGTCAGGCCATTAAGCAAACTTAGAACAATTCAAAACTACTGAAAGAATTCCAAGTACATTCTCGACAAAAACAAAATTAGAAATAATAAAGACAAAAATTTGGGAAATTAACAAGTATGTGAACATTAACACTCTCCTAAATAACCAATGGGTTAAAGAAGAAATCAAAAGGGAAATTAGAAAATACTTTGAGATTAATGAAAATGATAAAATATACTAAAATTTATGGAATACAGCTAAAGCGTCTGTAGAGGGAAATTTATAATTGTAAAACCTCTATAATTGTAAAAGCTCTATTTAAAAAGAAGAGGTATCTCAAGTTAATAACCTAATCTTCTACCTTAACACGTTGAAAAAAGAACAGTAAACTGAACCTGTAGCCAGAAGAAAGAAAATTAAAAAGATGGGGCATAACCTAATGAAATAGAGACAGAAAAATAGAGGGAAAAAAAATCAGTAAAACCAAAAGCTCATTGAGAAGATTAACAAAATTGACAAACTTTACCCAGAAGAAAGATTTAAACTACTAGGTCAGATATGAAAGAGACACTACTAATGACCATACAAAAATAAAAAGGATTATAAAATAATACTACGAATAACTGTATATCAATAAATTACAGACAATCTGAAGAACATGCCATACCAAGTAGAAATTGACTTAGTAATCTCTTAGTAAAGTACCCATAAAGAAGAGCACAGGCCGAAGTGGCCTCATTGCCAAGTTCTACCAAATATTTAAGAAGTTTTGAATGTGATGAAGATATTGGGAAAAAATATTTAATACCAGTTCTTCAAAACCTCTTCCAAAAAATGGAAGAAAAGGGGAACACTTCCTAACTCATTCTATGAGGCCTGCATTACCCTAATACCAAACCCAAACAAAGATGTCACCAAGAAAACAACAAACCAACATCTCCTATGAATACTGGCATGAAAAATCCTCAGTATTTCCTATGAATACGGCATAAAAAATCCTCAAAAACATACTACCAACTGAATCCCGATACATAAAGAAAATAATATATCATGACAAACTGGGATTTATCTCAGAAATCCAGTCATGTTAACATCTGAAAACCAGTTAATGTAATATATCATATCAGAATACAAAATAGAATAAAAAGCAAAAATCACATGATCACCTCAATAGGCACATAAGAAATATTTGACATAATATTTATCTTTCATGAGAAAAACACTCAACACACCAGGAACAGAAAGAAATTTTCTCTATTTCTGGGGGATATGGAAGGACAGGTGAATGACATATGTTTCTTTTTGAGATGATGAAAATGTTCTACAATTGACTGTGGTGATGGTTGCACATATCTGCAAATATACTAAATGTCACTGAGTCATACACCCTAACCGGGAAAATTGTAGAGTGTGTATCATCTCCATAGAACTGTTTAAAAAAAGAAACAGGCCGGGCGTGGTGGCTCATGTCTGTAATCCCAGCACTTTGGGAGGCCGAGGCGGGCAGATCACAAGGTCAGGAGTTCGAGACCATCCTGCCTAACACGGTGAAACCCGTCTCTACTAAAAATACAAAAAAAAAAAATTAGCTGGGCTTGGTGGCAGGCACCTACAGTCCCAGCTGCTCAGGAGGCTGAGGCAGGAGAATGGCATGAAACCGGGAGGCGGAGATTGCAGTGAGCCGAGATCGTGCCACTGTACTCCAGCCTGGGCGACAGAGCGAGACTCCGTCTCAAAAGAAAAAGAAAAAAAATAAACAAAAAATGTAAAACCTAAGGTGAAAGGAATCTACAGCACTTCAGTATAGGTAAAAATATTCTGCCTTAGCAAAATTCTCTTACAAACAAGTTATGGAATGAGTAAACTGGCAAAGGCATGCTAGCTTTTCCATCTTGGGTTACGTAAATGTCCATGAAACCACTGTATTTAGCACTCAATGTCACACTTCCAACTCCACATAAAAAGAGAATTTAATAGCTGTCAGAGAGGCTTAAATAAAGACTACTCTGTCCAGTTAACCTCATCTCCTGCAAGGAAGATCACAGCTACATGAAAACAATGCATGTGTCTCTCTGAGTGTGTGTGTGTGTGTGTGTGTGTGTGTGTGTGTGTGTCAGGGAGATTTGGGGAGTGGAAGGAAAGCACCACCACCATTTAATAGTTTTCTCATGGTTGAGGTGATACACAGAAAATATAAAGGACTGGCTTGGTGCGGTGGCTCACACCTGTAATCCCAGCACTTTGGGAGGCCGAGGCAGGTGGATCACCTGAGGTTAGGAGTTCAAGACCAGCTTGGCCAACATGGCAAAACCCCATCTCTACTAAAAATACAAAAATTAGCCGGGTGTATTCCAAAAATTAATTCCTCATGGCAGAATTTATTACTGCTTCTCTTCAGGTAATATTATTTCTTCTTAGACCGATTTCATAAGCCTTAAAAAACATTTCACTAAAAATTGATATACAATTCTAATTTAAAGATAATAGTTTACCTTAACATTTGACTTTTTTGAGAAATTCACCACTACTCCCCAGCCAAAGTCATCTCCTTCATTCTTTACCTAAAAAGAAAGAAAAGCAAGTAAGCAAGAATCAAATGTATATCTACAAGGCAATTTCAGCCTTTCACACCTACATTCTAGACTAATAAAGCTTTCTGAATTTTCTGATAAAATATCTTTGAAAGAGCACTGCTAAATTTAAGAAACAAGATATCAACCCTGCAGGAAAAAAATCAATGCCAAATTTCATTTTAGAAATTGCCCCTAGGACAGCAATAACAGGAATCTCTCAGTTGGCAAATGAATGCTGAAAATGACAGAATGTTCCAAGGATATAAATCATTTATATCTAATGAATTCATCCAGAACTTAAAATTGCCTTATTTTTCATATAGTTATATGAATAGTTATATGAACAGTTATAGTTAGCATTTCATAACTAGAAATATTTTATATGTTAATTCCAAAACTATCTACTTCAATTTATAGTCCCCAAAACAAAAACCAGTGGTGATTAAAAGGCCTTTGCATAAGCCCCTAAGTTAGTGCCATGTGAAACAGGTAAAATAATATGATTAATATAGATCAACTATTGTAGCAGGAAGCATTTTATCAGAATAAAAAATAAATTAGAATCTTTAACAAAAATATGTTTAAATATTGAATTATTCAAGTATTTTATGAAGAAACAATGACATACCTTTACCAAACGACCTGGTTGTAGAAAAGGTAAGCAGTATTTTGGTTTGTGAATATATTCTTCAATTTCTTTACCCAATTTGGCAAGCTGCTGTCTAATCTTATAATAGATAACCACACTTTCTTCATTGGGAATTACTATTTTATTATACTGTTCTTCTGAATTCTTTACCTCTGTAAATAGAACACATGTACAAAATTAAAAGGTTATACATCTTATTTAAATTATACCCAAGACATAGGATTTTTTCTATTAGGTTGGTGCAAGTGTAGTTGCGGTTTTTGTTTACCTTCCACCTTCCTGTAAGTCTCTATGTGTTCATCTATCCAAAAGCTCCCCAAACCCTGTCCTCTTGTGCCTTTTATGGAGGCTTTATTGGATAGACATGACTGACAACTGCAAAGAAATGTGGTTGGTTACAATCTATTACTAATAGACTGAGTGGGAAAACCCAGCAAGATCTGCCCATTATGATTTTTTTTTTTTTTGCACCTTTCCGTATAGCATTTCTTCCTCCAAGGTATGACTCAGGATCTCTTTTCAAATGAGTGCCTTGTGACCTAAAATCAGACAAGGTAGGTCAGAGAATTTTTTTAGGTCAGTCTCTAAAACAGAAAAGCTGGAGATGATTCCTGCCTTGGGGAGAAAAAGCAGCAGGTGAAAGGAAGGCAGCAGAAGGTCAGAGAGAGAATCTATCTTCTGGGACCTGCTTCTGACCCAACATTATAACAAAAGACTAACAAAGGCTATGGGAGTTATAAACCAGGAACCATGGACAAAAACCAACCAATAAATCACAGGCCACACCCTGGTTTTTTGTTAATATGGAACTCATATTAACAGGATATATAATTTCAAAGATATTGGCATATTATTAGACTTGTATTTAGTCATTAATTAGATCAGTCTACCATTAAATGATATGAATATATCTCTTAGGGTGAGGCCATGCAGGTTTGCAGGCTTTTATTTGATCTTGCCTGGTTTTAAAAGTAGGAGTCATCTTGGCAAATATATAGTTTCATATTTTTAGGCATTTGGTATAATTGAACTAGGATATAACTGTTTTGAGCTTCTTTAGAGGTATTAACTAATATTGGATTTTTAAAATGTGTAATTCCGTTTTTAAAATCCATAGCCTTTTTTCTTCTTTTTTTTTAGAGACGGAGTCTCGCTCTGTCGCCCAGGCTAGAGTGCAGTGGCGTGATCTCGGCTCACTGCAAGATCTGCCTCCCGGGTTCACACCACTCTCCTGCTTCAGCCTCCCGAGTAGCTGGGACTACAGGCGCCCGCTACCATGCCCAGCTAATTTTTGTATTTTTAGTAGGGACGGGTTTCACCATGTTAGCCAGGATGGTCTCGATCTCCTGACCTCATGATCCACCCGCCTCGGCCTCCCAAAGTGCTGGGATTACAGACATGAGCCACCAAGCCCGGCCTTTAGCTTGTTTTTTTTGAGACAGTCTTGGCTCACTGCAACCTCAGCCTCACAGGTTTAAGTGATTCTCCTGCCTCAGCCTCCTGAGTAGCTGAGATTATAGGCGTGCCACACCATGCCCAGCTAATTCTTGTATTTTTAGTAGAGACGGGGGTTTCACCATGTTGGCCAGGCTGGTTTTGAACTCCTGACCTCAAGTGATCCACCTGCCTTGGCCTCCCAAAGTGCTAGAATTACAGGCGTGAGCCACCACACCCGACCTATAAAATCTATAGTTTTTAAATACCCTCCCTTCTTTTTAAAAAAAATCTATGGAAGGGACATCAGAATTGGCCACAATGTTGGTCTAGATTTTAGGCAGCAAGAGTAGCCTAGCACTATGTCCTCCACATTGTATTCTATTTAGATGTGATAAGGTTATACAGGTATAGAACTAGTGCCATTTCATTAATGAAGTGCTACAGCAAATTCTAAAAAGATCTAAGAGATTTGTTTTCACTTTAATCGCTGTTATCATGGGCCTCATTACAGTCACTGCAATGGCCACCACTGCTGGAATGGCATTACACCAATCCATTCAAACGGCTCATTTTGTTAATGATTGGTAAGCCAATTCCACCCAAATGTGGAATTCTCAACAAGGCATCGATCAAAAATTGGCAAATCAATGATTTAAGACAGTCTGTTATTTGGCTTGGAGATCGGGTAATGAGTCTTGAACGTCGCATGCAAATGCAGTGCGATTGGAATACTTTGGATTTCTGCATCACCCCATATTCCTATATGACTGATCATTCATGGGAAATGGTCAAAGGACATCTTCTAGGTAGGGAAGATAATTTATCATTGGACATAACTAAATTAAAGCAACAAATTTTTGAAGCCCCTCAAGCTCACTTATCCATTGTGCCTAGAGCTGAGGCGTTAGATCAGGTGGCAGAAAATCTTTATGGATTAAACTCCACGACTTGGATTAAGTCTACTGGGGGCTCCACTATAGTAAATTTTGGAACTATGTTTCTCTGTTTAATCGGCTTGTTTTTAGTGTGCCAGACCAGTCAAGGAATCCTGTGTCAAAATCGAGAGAACGAACAAGGCTTCATCGCCATGGCACATTTATATAACAAGAAAGGGAGAGATGTTGCGGGAAGACAGGGACCCCAAACGGAGGGACCAGCTGAAGCTGTGGCAGAAGAACGTAGATTGTGAAGATTTCATGGACATTTATTAGTTCCCCAAATTAATACTTTTGTAATTTCTTATGCCTGTCTTTACTGCAATCTCTAAACATAAATTGTAAAGATTTCATGGACACTTATCACTTCCCCAATCAATACCCTTGTGATTTCCTATGCCTGTCTTTACTTTAATCTCTTAATCCTGTCAGCTGAGGAGGATGTATATCGCCTCAGGACCCTGTAATAGTTGCATTAACTGCACAAATTGTACAACATGTGTGTTTGAGCAACATGAAATGTGGGCACCTTGAAAAAAGAACAGGATAAGAGCAATTGTTCAGGGAATAAGAGAGATAACCTTAAACTCTGACCGCCAGTGAGCCGGGCAGAACAGAGCCATATTTCTCTTCTTTCAAAAGCAAATGGGAGAAATATCGATGAATTCCTTTTCTCAGCATGGAACATCCCTGAGAAAGAGAATGCACACCTAGGAGTAGGTCTCTGAACTGTCCCCCCTGGGGCGTACCTGTCTCTTATGTTCGAGACTGCCGGGGTGAAATAGACCCCAGTCTCCCATAGCGCTCCCATGCTTATTAGGTAGAGGAAATTCCTGCCTAATAAATTTTGGTCAGACCGGTTGATCTCAAAACCCTGTCTCCTGATAAGATGTTATCAATGACAGTGGTGCCCGAAACTTCATTAGCAATTTTAATTTCGCCCTGGTCCTGCGGTCCTGTGATCTCGCCCTGCCTCCACTTGCCTTGTGATATTCTATTACCTTGTAAAGTACTTGATGTCTGTGACCCACACCTATTCACACACTCCCTCCCTTTTTGAAACTCCCTAATAAAAACTTGCTGGTTTTTGTGGCTTGTGGGGCATCACGGAACCTACCGACATGTGATGTCTCCCCTGGACGCCCGGCTTTAAAATTTCTCTCTTTTGTACTCTGTCCCTTTATTTCTCAAGCTGGCCAACGCTTAAGGAAAATAGAAAAGAACCTATGTAAATATTGGGGCAGGTTCCCTGATAATTAGGCAAATAGTTGTATTGGTTTTCGGTCTATTTTGTCAGATGGGATGAAGGTACAATTCATCCTATATGGCTCTTAGGAATTTTGATAAAAGGGTTAAATATATAGTTGCAGTTTTCTGTTTAGGAATTATCTCTTTTTAGCATTTGTAGTTGTAGCCCTGGTCTTAGGACCATTCTATCAGGTAAAGAAGGAAACAAAGTTGTTCTTTTGAGGTACTGTGTTTTAAGAAACACAAGTGTTTTTTTGGCTAGGCACAGTGGCTCACACCCATAATCCCAACACTCTTGGGAGGCTGAGGCAGGAGCAGGATACCTTCAGCTCAGGAGTTCAAGACCAGCCTGGGAGAGACAGTGAGATTCCATCTCTACAAAAATAAAAAATTAGGTTGGTGTGATGGTACACACCTGTGGTCCTAGCTACTTGGGAGGCTGAGGTTGGAGGATTCCTTGAGCCCAGGAGGTTGAGGCTACAGTGAGCTATGATTTTGCCAGTGCACTCCAGTCTGGGCAACAGAGTGAGACCCTGCCTCCAAAAAAAAAAAAATTGTTTATATATATATATATATATATAAATGTTTTTTGAGACAGTCTTGCTCCGTTGCCCAGGTTAGAGTTCAGTGGCACAATCTTGGCTCACTGCAACCTCTGCCTCCTGGGTTCATCCAATTCCCTGCCTCAGCCTTCTGAGTAACTGGAATTACAGGTGTGCGCCACCACATGTGGCTAAATTTTGTATTTTTAGTAGAGACAGGG
Organism: Homo sapiens; assembly: GCF_000001405.40. NCBI lineage: Eukaryota > Metazoa > Chordata > Mammalia > Primates > Hominidae > Homo > Homo sapiens. Next base: position 55,374,082 of record NC_000005.10, on the reverse strand, counting down.
TTTCGCCATGTTGGCCAGGCTGGTCTTGAACTCCTGGCCTCAAGTGATCCACTCACCTCAGTCTCCCAAAGTTCTGGCAGGCATGAGCCACCATGCCTGGCATTTTTTGTATTTTTTATGTTACATAACAGTAACTAACACAGAAGAAGCCTTCTGTGACTCAATATGTGAGGGTTTTTCTTCCCCACACACCAAGCAGTGGATGCCAGCTGGGTGTCCTCTAATTTAATTTTGACATTATCCACCTGGAGACAGCATCAGGTCTCACAGGTTGAGAGTTCAGTCCCCAAGACTGCCCCCACCCCTACCCCCACTAGTCACAGGTTAAGGTCTCCAAAATTTTAGACACTAGTCACAAGTCCTAAGTTTAGACACTAGTCACCAGTTAGGGCCTCCAAAAAATTTAACAAATTGAAATTTTTACAACTTCCTCTTTATGTCTGATTATTTGTGTGTGTGTGAGTAGCTCACAAAACTCAAAAAAACACATTTATCAGTTTATTACAAAAATATTTTTAAAAATAGATAAAAAAAATATAAGACAAAGTCTAAAAAGGTCCTAAACACAAGAGCTTTTGTCCACACAGAGATGGAGTGCACCATCTTCCTCAACAAATAAATTTTTGTTTCCTTCCTATAAGTCTCTTCATATTTAGCTATCCAAAAGTTCCCCAAATCCTGTCCTCCCTGGACATTTTATAGTGACTTTTAATTAGATGGACATAATTCACAACTATATATAATTAAACAAAAAAATACATAATCTAATACTAATGGAGTAAAAAAACCCAAGAAAGCCCATTTATTTAAAATTTTTGGGTCTCTCTATATAACATTTCTTCCTCCAAGACATAATACAGAATCCCCTTTAAAATGGTGGTCTTATGACCTATAATAAGACAAAGTAAGTCAAAAAAAATTTATTATGAACAGATCTAAGACAAAAAGACCAAAAAAAAAAAGAAATAAAAATAAAAATAAAAATAAACAACCCTGCCTTAAATAAATAAATAAACAAAACTAGGTTAAAAAAAATCTAATTTCTAAGGCCTATTTCTAAGGCCTAAAGTGCCCCAACGTTTTAACAAGACTATATATAACAAAGGGTATAAAAATTATAAGCCAAAAACCATAGACAAACACACACACACACACACACACACACACACACACACACACACACACACACATTACAGTTTTAAATTTTGGTAAAATCCAATTTCTTTTTTTCTTCTGTTGTTCATGCTTTTGGTGTCACAGCTAAGAAATCACTGCCAAATCCAAAATTACGTAAATTCACACCTATGTTTTTTCCTGAGTTTTAAATTTTTAGCTCTTTATCTGAGTTACTTTTTGTATATGGCGTGAGGTAAGGGTGCAACTTTATTACGCATGTTGCAATCCTTTTGTTTCAGCACTACTTGTTGAAAAATCAATTGACAACAGATGTACAGGTTTACTTCTGGACTCACAATTCTACTCCACTGATCTTTATCAAACTGCTCTATGTAACCAGTGTGCTTCAGTTTCTTAATCTGCAAAATGAGGATAACAATAGTGCACGTATCCCCACAAAGCTTTCCTAGGGACTGATGAAAGACACAGAATATACTTAGCTAACAGTATAGCTCATGGTAAACAGAAAGGATATTGCTACTGTATTGTTATTATGTTTATTATCATCATCAACCTTTTCACAGACTGTTCCTAGAGCTCTAAGTTCTAGTCTTTTGTACTACCTTGGGCATACTGCATCATCCTGGTTATTTTTAAATGAACTGCATCACTGCTTACAGGAGCTGTATTTCAGTCATTAAAGACTAGAATACCATCCGTAACAACACGCATTATGGCAGTAAACATTATCAGGAAAAAAAATTAAACCCTATAAAAGAATATTTGACAGACTAAAGTCATTAAGAGTTACACGAAAATGGAGACTGCACACTGAAATGATGATCCTGCTGCCCCGCCCAGAATTACATATAACATTCTATTTGTAGGAATCAGGGGAGCACTAAAGGCAGCACAGACCAGAGGAATTTAAGAAAATGATATAAGGAAATATCTATGGGGGATAACAGGGAAGCATCCAGGAAGATTTTCTTTTTTATATCACTCCAAATCACTTCAGTGCTCAGACTATTTAACTAGTGAGTCAAAAGTCTGAAAGACATTTTAAGAAGTCACATTTATTTTGTAGTTAGAGTCCAGGACTCTAACTACAGCTACATACCACTCCAGAAAATTATTAACTTTAGGTACAGTCTTTTTTCTCCATATTAAACAAACAAAAATCAGTTTCTCTAATCTTTTCTCATGTTAAAAAAAAACTGGTTTTATGTCTTTCAAAATTGATAATATACATGTAACAAATTAGAAAACAAATACATAAATTAATGAGGCAACTTGTTTGTGAGACTGCCACTATGAAGCAAATTAACTTAATTTAAGGATAGTACCTCTTCCACCCCAATCAGACAGTTGAGGAACTTTAGTATAAGAAGCTAGTTTAACTGCAGTGCAAATGAGAAGGCCTCATGGGTCATTGCCATAGGAAAGCCTCAGAATTTCAGAAGATAGCATGTAAAATATGCCCACAAACTCTTAAGACAGCTTGCAACCAATTTCTTCCTCTCGAGGAAGATGAGAGATGGTGGTTGCAAAAACATATTTATAGTATATAATATAGTGTATAACAGTGTATACAATAGATAAGCCTGGGAGTGACTAGGAAATGAACTGCCATGCTCAGAACTAAGCAAATTTTACAAGTAAAAGCACAGATTGCTTTACTGCTCTATGGCAATACTATCATTTTTGCAACAAGCACTTACTGAGCATTTAACATAGATTATCTCATTTAATTCTTAGAACTTGAATGTACTGGATATTATCCCAACTTCATAAACAAACTGAGGCTCAGGTAGCCTTGATTCAAACCCTCATTTAACTGCACAGCTCTTCCTATTACCACTGGCATTATTAATGAAACTAAATAAAAAGACTAAGATTAAGTATGCATTTTTCATTTCAGTAAGGGTAGAGTAAAATCCAAGGACCTCTACTCTTATGGCTCACTGAAAAATGTACTGTTGATTAGATAAATCAAAATGAAAAACATCTCATGTATGTGAGCCATCTATTTGTTACAATGAATAAAACATTCTACCAATTCTACACTTCCAAAGACAATAGCCCACATTTTAATTTTGTTATATTTAAGGTGGTAAAAATAATACCAGTGCCTTGAAAAGGCTCTAGTAGTATCTGCAACAAAAGAAGTATACTCCTGCAAGTAATGACTGAAAATAGGAATGAACTCCATTCAGGATGTATTCTCTCACACTACATGGTCTGTTTGATCATTAACACTCAGCTCTGCAAACTGTACTAGAGGTGTTTCAATTCCCTTATTTCTCTTTCATCACTCAAATTCCTACCTCTTCCATTAAAAAGTATGTTATACTTTTGACAGTATTTTTACTTACTGGTTTCAGGAAGTTAGAAAAACAGAGCCTGCCCCTTTAAAACCAGAGGTAGAGAAATGCAGGGATAATTAAATTCCAAGTAGATACAAGTATTCAGAGGCAATGCCAGTGAGCAAAGATCATGTTACTCACAATCCTTTTAAAAGGTAAGTCAGAACCACATTGAAAAAACAAAACACAAAAGCTGGGGACTGTGAAGACAGAGGACATGAGATGGAAATGTCTACCTAAATGGAAGAAACCGAGGCAAGATTAACAGTTTATGTGGGCCAAGGCTGAGGACTGCAGCCAGAGATATACTTCTAAGTTCAGGAAGTGCTCTAGAGACAAAAGAGGGGCTCCAATTTCTAAAGAAAAAGGGATAATCAGGGCCAGGCACAGTGGCTCATGCCTATAATCCCAGCACTTTGGGAGGTCAAGGTGGGTGGATCACCTGAGGTTGGGAGTTTGAGACCAGCTTGACCAACATGGAGAAACCCCGTCTCTACTAAAAATACAAAATTAGCTGGGCGTGGTGGTGCATGCCTGTAATCCCAGCTACTTGAGAGGCTGAGGCAGGAGAATCACTTGAACCTGGGAGGTGGAGGTTGGGGTGAGCCGAGATCGTGCCATTGTTGCCATTGCCTGGGCAATAGGAATGATGAAACTCCGTCTCAAAAAAAGAAAAAAAAAAAAAGAAAAAAGAAAAGAAAAAGGGATGAATTAGAAGAGCGGCTAGATTACAAAAGCTGTCAGGAATTCTCATTGGTAAAAAGAAATAACACGGGTTAGTGACTGGCTATACAGTGGCTTCAAAAGGTAATTATTTAGTTCCAAGGGTAGGAGACTTGAGACTTGACTTCGGTTATATTTTAAATGACTTTCTCGGCCTGAAAATTGAAAGGGGCTCCCATTCCTCAGGTAAAAGGTTTTCTTTTTAATTTATCAGAGAAATGGTGGAATGTTTAAGTTCATTGAGTGAGCAGTAGAATCCTGCTCTAAGTCATACTGAACAATCTCTGGGTCCAGCCAGAAGTCAGAAAACAGGCTTTAAAAAAATGGGATAATATTTGGGAGTTTTCCCTCTATCCTCCACTGTACCAGGGATGCTTTTAAAAAGTAATTTACTGCTTATCAGAATGTAAAAAGAAAAAGAAACAAAACAAAGGTAGGTGCACCAATACACACTTCTGTTTCACTTGGTTATTCAGTCTCCAAAACAGTCTAACTGCTAGCTGTGTGTGTATGTATAATTATCCTACTCATGCATGACTGTGCTAACTGCTTAGGAGGAATACTTTAATTTCCTTTTTTAAGTATTAAACTAGCTTGTAATCTTACACCTGTTTCAATGACAGCATCTGAAATTTCCATAAGGTAAAATTAATATTAAGTACTAATCTGATTTTAACACCTCCTTAATTCACACTCAAATCCAAAGTGTATTTAAACCTTGTTCATCTTTATTATTTTTATTTTTAATAAAATAAAATAAAATTTATTATTAATACAATTTTTGGTGGGAGAAAGGGATTTATAGCTCTTTTAAAAATACACTTCTCTGAGACTAGAATCATACTTTTCTATCTCTTTGCTAAGACCAGTTTATCAGCCAAACGAGGGGCATTATTAATAACTTTTACAAGAAATTAATAAAATGTAATATGATTTGAAATTATACATTGGTCATGTTATAAGGTTTTTAAAAAAAATTCAAAAATCTGCTTATGGAAATTTACTAAAGGTGAGTGTTGAGATCATCCAGCTCACATTTTAAGAAACTGTCAGTCATCTTCGATTTTTTTTTTCAATTAGAGAGGTTACATTTATTCTCATCACTTTATTAATGGTGAAACCCTGTATCTACAGAAAATACAAAAATTAGCCAGGCATGGCGGCACATGCCTATAGTCCAGCTGAGCTGGGAGGATCAACTGAGCCTGCACTGAGTTGTGATCGTACCACTGCACTCCAGCCTAGGCGACAGAGCAAGACCCCATCTAAAATAAAGTAAAATAAGAGTGGAATTGTCCTATATACTCATGATAGAAAGGAATCTCCAATTTGTCCTGTTAAATAAATCATGATAGTTATAAAATTGAAACATTATTCAGTCATTAAAAATCATGCTTTCTTGAAATTAAAACTTTTTGTTCTTTTTTTGAGATGGAGTCTCGCTCTGTCACCCAGGCTGAAGTGCAGTGGTACAATCTCGGCTCACTGCAACCTCTGCTCCCGGGTTCCAGCAACTCTCCTGCCTCAGCCTCCCAAGTAGCTGGGATTACAGGTGCCCACCACCATGCCCGGCTAATTTTTTTGTATTTTTAGTAGAGATGGGGTTTCATCATGCTGGCCAGGCTGGCCTCGAACTCCTGACCTCAAGTATCTGCCCCCCTGGGCCTCGCAAAGTGCTAGGATTACAGGTGTGAGCCACCACACCTGGCTGAAATTAAAACTTCAAAAGTCAGAATCAATGAGCTACTAAATACAAAGCATTTAATAAAAGGCTAGGCGTAAGGTAAATATTTAACAAATGATATTAATTATAAGCATTATCATTACCAGTATCATTATTACAAAAACTCCACATCTAAATTTTGCCTTTAAAAAGCAAACTTATTCGTGAAACAAAATAGAAAAACTCCAAAGTGTTAACAGTGGTTGGGTAGCTATTTCTGTGTGAGATTACAAATGATTTTAACTTTCCTCTATCTTTTGTCACATTTTCTTTCTCCTTTTTACGATGACTACGCACAATATTTTTATAAGATTTATCCAAACCAGTGGTTTATTCTTTTTCACATTCAAATGAAAACCAGTACTTTAAATCGTTGCCTCCATTTTAGCTTTTAATCAGCTCTTATGACCATCAGTCACACTACCCTCTAAGGTAAGAATCAATGTACAATTCCACTTGAACATAATTACCACAGGACATTTACTTTTTGTGCTTTAGTAAGCATTACCTTAATATTAAGAACTGAAAATTCCAAAAAGCTAAACTCTAATCCAAGTTAAAGCATTATATTTCCCTAAACATTCACAGGCTTATGCCAGGGCACTCTTTTATAATGAGAAATGGTGAAAGGACAAGGCTAATAGGCATGTGCTGCTTTTTTTTTTTTTTTGAGTCGGAGTCTCCCTTTGTCACCACGCTGGAGTGCAGTGGTGCAATCTTGGCTCACTGCAACCTCCACCTCCCGTGTTCAAGTGATTCTCCTGCCTCAGCCTCCCAAGTAGCTGGGACTACAGAAGCCCACCACCATGCCCAGCTCATTTTTTGTATTTTTAGTAGAGATGGGGTTTCACCATGTTTGCCAGGATGGTCTCGATCTCTTGACCTCGTGATCCACCCGTCTCGGCCTCCCAAAGTGCTAGGATTACAGGCATGAGCCACTGCGCCCAGCCGCATGTGCTTTTTACAGGTCAAGTTTTAATATACTAGGCTTTGTGTGTTATTTCATTATTCAGGACCATGAGTTATATGACATATATGCACAAGACAAGAATTATACTAAATTTGAGCCAACTATAGAAAAGTTTCCTGCCAGGGTTTTCTTTCCTTCATTTTGAAATGTTCTATTCAGTTACAATGACCAGACTACAGTTGTGCAGTCCATTACGTATGAACCAAAATTTACCTTACAAAAACAAAAGCCAAAGCAGCCAATAATGCAGACATTTTGCTAGTCAGTCTCCTAGCTACACTAAGCTCTGTTATGGTATTTTATACTTACTCTCTACTACTCCTGGAATTGCTCTATAATGCTGAAACTGGTAGAAGGATTTTTCCAACATGTACTCAGGATTAATTTCTTCTACACGTAGTAAGTTCAAAACCATGTTGTAGGTCAAATGGAAAGCACTATTTAGAGGATCAGCGGAGCCCTAAGAGAGAAAAAAAATGTCAATTTTGTAGTTTTCCAAATAAATTTACACAAGTACCTTTAACCTACTATAATGCTCAATAACAGTCTACATTAAGAAATACTACAGAAATGTATTAGTTCTACCCTTTAGTTAACCAATATAAAATAAAACCACAGGTCTTTGGGAAAGTGAAGGGAAAAAAAAATCAGTATGAAAGTATTTAAAATACTGTTTGCCAAATGTGTAGCTCTCTGCCCTCTAAGCATATGACAGGATTGCTCTTTGTGGTCCCCCACTGCAAGGCTGCTCACTGCAGCCTTGAAATCTTGGGCTCGAGCAACCCTCCAGTCTTAGCCTCCTGAGCAGCCGTGATTACAAGCATGTGCCACCATCCCCGGCTAATTTTTTATTATTTTGTAGAGATAGAGGTCTCATTGTATTACCCAGACTGGTCTTGAACTCCTGGGTTGGCTCAATCCTCCAACTTCAGCCTCCCAAAATGATGGGATTATAGGCAGACTATTCTTTATCTACACTTTAATTCCTTTTTGTCTTCCTAACTGTGGCTGTTACTCAAGAGCTAGACTAATGACTAGACAGTATAAAATATTTTATTGTAAAATAAGTTATACTGTAGAATTTTATTGTAGAATAATGCAACCTAAACTCACAAGGTTTATACCCAAAATAGTTCCTTCACACATAAACTTCTCTTTCAGCAGTGTCTCTTCAGAAGTTTTTTTTTTTTTTTTTAGATGGGGTCTCGCTGTGTAGCCCAGGCTGGAGTGCAATGGCGTGATCTCAGCTCACTGCAACCTCTGCCTCCCGGGTTCAAGCAATTCTCCTGCCTCAGCCTCCCAAGTAGCTGGGACTACAGGAGCGTGCCACCAGGCCCAGCTAATTTTTTGTATTTTTAGTAGAGACGGGATTTCACTGTGTTAGCCAGGATAGTCTCGATCTCTTGACCTCTCCGCCCACCTCAGTCTCCCAAAATGCTGGGATTACAGGCATGAGCCACCGCGCCCGGGCCTTCAGAAGTATATTTTAATAAAAATGCTTCAGAAGTATGAAAATGGTTGTGTAGTTATTTAAATAAGAGAATGACCAAATTCTCGGACGATACATGTAGAAACATTTAGAAGTGCAGTATCACTATGTAGGCCACATATTTCTAAATGGCATAGCAAAATACACAAATACTCTTAGAGTACTCCTGGGTTCTTAAATTGAAGTCCACAGGACAACCTTATGAAATCCAGAATTTTAAATGTATGCAGTCAGGATTTTATGCAGAAAAAGGGGAGACTTCTCATCTGTGTCTCAAGTAAGGATATTTCTTAGTTCCTGAAAACTCAAGAGCCACGTACTTTAGGAGGATAGTTAGTAAGTCCCTAAAACCTTGATCTTTACCCACTTTCCTTAAAAATAGGGCCAAAAGGAGTGGTGAAGTTAGTAGGAAAACTAGATTCTTGGAGAAAAGAGAGATTAAAGAACTTCATCTACTTTATAATTTTGCAAACACATTGTTTGCAGACTTTCCTGTTATTTTTTCTTCTATGATTATGTCCACCAAGAAATCTCGGGTTTCAATATAAGAAATGTTTATTTCTAACCCCATGCTCCGCTTCTATATTCCCAACTGCTGTACAAACACCCATGTAAATTCTCAGTCACCTGAAACTCAACATGGCTTTTTGACATTCTACCCAAGTAAGCCCAGCATAGTTCCAACTTACACCTGCTGTACCAGTGTAATGACTAATAGTCCCCTCTTTCACTCTGACAGTATCCCAATTTGGATGATAAATAACATCACTATACTATCTAAAATGAAATTTCTCTCTCTTGCTCTTCCTCATTTCTGACCAACTTTCTCTTTCACATATATTGATGGTTAATGAGTTACTCATTTAAATTCCAGCTTAGGAGTTTGTTTATTCTGCGTTCTCTCTCCCTTTTTAATCAATTATTGCAGACTATTTACTCAATTTGTCTTAGATTAGTCCTTTTGTTTCTTTACCACTGCCACCACTCTAGTCCAAAGGTTCATCAAATCATACCTAGATTATGACAACTACCATCCTAACACCTAGATTACTATAACTACCATCGTAACTGTTCTTGTTTCAATGTCCTTTCCAGTTTGACTTGCCGCTGCCAGATGAATCTTCCTAAACATGCTTTCGCTGTGACATACTACCCTACTCAGCAATAATATATGATTACTTAAAGTCCCTGTAGGTACTGAACTCAGTTTCATAGTTTATACCAAATTTCATTTTATTTTCCCCCAACGAAATAGAATGGAAAATAACATAATACATCATAGCAGAAGTGTGTTAAGAAACTTTTATTTCTCAAACACACACCACACAGAAGTGTACTGGACATGTTGTAAACTCTATTGTTTTCTAAAGAAAAGGGTAAAAATGGGAAATACTGAGGCTCAGAACTGAACACCCAATTTAGCAATCAAGTTAATAAGCTTATGTCTCTCATCTATAAGTATCCACACAAATCCTCTGTCTTAGCAAAACTAAGAAATCCAAATACATGTTAATTCTCGATGCTAAAGCCTCTCCTGTTTCCTAAAGTATCATTCTTTCTTTTTAGCCATGAAAATTAAAACGTAACCCCCACTCTGATTCCATTCCTTTGGAGCTTGCCCCACCTACATTCCTCCATAAAGCCTTAGACCACAACCATCTAGTCCAGAATCATCTCAAATTTCCCTGAACTAGAATTATCAGAACTTATATTCTAGCACTGGGCCATATATTGCTTCCTGTTCGCTTTCTATGCATGAATGTAGATATATTCCTTAAGTTTAGAAATGATCACCATTTACTGAGGGCTTAGCATATGCCACTCACTGTACTAAATAAATACTAAATCTTCAATTCACAACATTCATAACAGTTTTCTGTCTCCATTTTAAACAAGAAACAGAGGCTTAGAGAGGTGCAGGGAACTGCCAAGACTAAACAAATAGGAGCTAAAATCTAGGAGTATCTAGGCTTAAAGTCTTCATGGAGGGCAAGTCATATTGGAACTTATTTTATATACCTATCAATCCAATACATCCCTCATATTACTAAAAATATAAGAACTCTTTAAGTGTTGATCAAGTACTCTTTTTACATATTTAATTTCATCAGTTAACTAAAACAATGTATCAAGAGACAGCCTAATAAGAGGATCACCTAAAATTTAACTGAAACAAGACAGGTAACCAATGATAAAGACATTATGTAAACTTTGAAGGATTCCAGGAAAACTTCGAAGAATTCCTTTTTGCCAATTTGCTTACTGAAAAGATACTAAGATTGAGAGAGCCAAACATACCAATTTTCTAGAAAAGCTTTTGTAATATTTTATAAATACTAATATAATGATCTCTTACATTTTAGAATATATGGTTCATTTAGGCAAGTAGTTCTAAAAATTAACAGGCTAAATATTTTTGCATTATGAACCATAAACGTGGAAGATGAGGAAATAAATAAATGTGAGTCTTCCCACTTCTTCAAAAAAGGCCTGTACATTGTTATCTTATGTACAGTTACAGAACTAACTTTAATAGAATAGGTATGTGCTTCTTAAATTTACAAATAATTTAAATAACCAGTAAGGTCAAAATTATTTTTCCTTCAATTCAGGAAAATTTGATTCATTGTTGAAAAGAACACACCACTGACTAGAAGTATCACACTATTGAAATGAGCACTTTATGTACTCTAAGTAACTAGTATGTTTATTTAGTAATTTCAGAAATTATAGAAATGGTTTTATTTTGATAAAACCAATAATAACATTTACTCAAAGTACTGTGATATTTTTACATTCTTTGGAAAATATGGGCACTATATTGGAGCATGTATTTCTTCTAGTTATACTGGAAAAATATAATACCTAACCGCTAACAAATAAAAGATGCATTCACCAGTCTTTCTGAAAGGCTGTTTAATAATACACACTTTCTCATTTACTCAACTTTTCATTTGAACACACATTATGAAAACTGATTTTTTTTTATAGCTCATATCAAGTAATCAAAAATGTATCAAAAGAACTGCTGTCTTGGCTGGGCGTGGTGGCTCATGCCTGAAATACTAGCACTTTGGGAGGCCAAGGTGGGTGGATCACCTGAGGTCAGGAGTTCAAGACCAGCCTGGCTAACATGGCGAAATCCCATCTCTACTAAAAATACAAAAATTAGCTGGGCATGGCGGCACATGCCTGTAATCTCAGCTACTTGGGAGGCTGAGGTAGGAGAATCACTTGAACCCAGGAGGCGGAGGTCGCAGTGAGCCAAGATCACACCACTGCACTCCAGCCTGGGTGACAGAGCGAGAAACTGTCTCAAAACAAAAAACAAACAAACAAAAAAAACAAAAAAACTGCTGCCTTATGTCAAATTCTGTTTAAGCTAATAGCAGATACTTCAACAATAGCAGGACTGGAAAAGTTGAAAAGGTTTCTCTATTGCTCCTTTAAAAATTCGCCAAGCCAGCCAGCGCGATGGTTCATGCCTGTAATCCCAGCACTCTGGGAGGCCAAGGTGGGCAGATCACTTGAGCCTGGAGTTCAAAACAAGCCTTAGCAACATGGCAAAACCTTGTCTCTACAAAAAATACAAAAAAAAAAAAAAAAAAAAAATTAGCCAGACGTGGTGGTGCATGCCTGTAGTCCCAGCTACTTGGGAGGCTAAGGTGGGAGGGTCGCTTGAGCCCTGGAGGTCAAGGTTGCAGTGAGCCGAGACTGCACCACTGCACTCCGGCCTGGGCAACAGAGCAAGACCTTGTCTCCAAAAACAAAAACAAAAACAAACAAACAAACAACAACAACAAGGCTGGGTATGGTGGCTCACGCCCGTAATCCTAGCACCTTGGGAGGCTGCGACAGGAGGATCCCTTGAGCCCAGAAGATCGAGATCAGCCTGGGCAACAAAGGGAGACCCTGTCTCTATTAAAAAAAAAAAAAAGGGCTGGATGCAGTGGCTCACGCCTGTAATCCCAGCACTCTGGGGGGCCGAGGCAGGCAGATCACCTGAGGTCAGGAGTTCGAGACCAGGCTGGCCAACATGGTGAAACCCCGTTTCTACTAAAAAAAATACAAAAATTAGCTGGGTGTGGCGGCAGGTGCCTATAATCCCAGCTACTTGGGAGGCTGAGGCAGGAGAATCACTTGCAGTGACCAAGTTAAAAAATTACTCAAGCCATAAAAATGAAGGAAAAAAATTATTAAAATATTTCAAATTCACAATCATTAAATTATTTACATGCTCAAATATATAAATATGTGTGTGTGTATGAATGTACTGAGATTTTGAAAGCTCCAACCAGCAACAAACACATGTATTTTGCCATGTTTCTAACACCAATAGGAAAAATAATTAAATATGACAAATAGACTTGAATTATACTAATGTATAAAGTAAACCTACTATTTCTACATATAAGGTGACTATGAAGAAGCTACGTATTTTAATTTTTGAGAAAATGACTTTAAGTACTCAGTATTTCTATTAAAGTTCTGAAATTACTTAAGAATGATCAATTATTTTTGCCTATAAGAAAATATACCTGACATGACTATTTTTTAGCCTATCTACTTTAAGTACATCAAAGAACAAACTGTTGTCTCATGTCAAATAGTGTTTAAACTAATAGTTGAAAAATCTATTTGCAAGAGGTACTGAGAAGCAGTACCATATAGTAGTTAGAAGCATAAACTCTGAAATCAGACTGCCTGAGTTCAAAAGCAGGATTTGCCATTTAACAACAACATAGCTCTGGACAAATTTTTTAACCTCTGCATGCCATTTATAAAATGGAGATAATAACATAATTATTGTAATTAACATTTGGAACATATTGAATATTCAATAAGTATTAGTTGTTACAAATACTGAATAAGTTACTTATAAATTCCTTAATGATAGTAAAACCACCTGGAAAAAAACCTAGAGGAAAAAGGTTGTATGCCAGTCTTGATAAAAGAAATATGCCTAGAAATGCAGACACAAAAACAGGTACTCCTTTCAATCAGTCAAACTGTATAATATTCAAAGTGAAATGTTCTCCTTCATACCCCAAGGATGGCTATTAACCAAAAGGGCAGCTAACAAGTGCTGGCTAGAATGTAAAGAAATTAGAAGCCTCATATAATGCTTGTGGGAATGTAAAACGGTGCAACTACTAAAGAAAACAGTCTGGCAGTTCCTCAAAAGGTTACACATAGATTTACTCTATGACCCTGCAATTCCATTCCTAGGTACACAGTCAGGAGAAAAGAAAACACATATTCAAGTAAAGACTTGTAAAAAAAAAAAAAAGTTCATAGCAGCATTACTCACAACAGCCAAAACATGGAAACAATCCAAATGTCCATCCACTGATGAACAGATCAAGTTTGGCATACCCATACAATGAAATATTATTCAGCAATGAAAAGGAATGAAGTACTCATAGATGTTACAACATGCATAAAACTTGAAAACATTAGGCTAAGTGAAAAAAAGCCAGATACAAAAGGGTACACATTATACGAGTCTGTTTATATGAAATGTCCACAACAGACAAATCCATAGAGACAGAAAGCAAATTAGTTGTTGTCTAGGGCTTGAGGTAGGGGTGGTCTTGTGAAGAAAGAAGAGTGACTGTTAATAGGTACAGGGGTTTCTTTTTGGATTGATGAAAATATTCTAAAATTGATTGTGGTGATGGTGACAAAACTCTATGAATATATTAAAAACCATGGAAATGAGTGACTTGTATGGTATGTGAATTATAGCTCAATAAGTCTATTAGAAAAGTTAATTTTAAAAATGCAATGAAAGGTGATAGAACTTTACACTTACAAAGTAACAAATCCAGAAACGTCAAGTAAATGGAATGAAAACTCTGCACTAAAGGAACCAGATGCTGTCATTAAAATATTACCTCCTATAATCTGGCAATCCGATTCTGTTCTTTCCACACACACAGTACAAGGAAAGAAAAATAGCATGTGCTATATCTGGCACAATTAGAGAAAAGAATAAAAATACAAATTTTCAGCCTTGTTTAATTTTCCTTTCATGAAGCACTAAAGAGGTTTCCAAGTGTTAATCTCTAAAGTTGAAAATAAGACACAATACGATTATTATGAATATGTACAGACAAGCTTTGTCTTCACTCATGTAAAGACATATAAAGATATACACACCTTCATCAATTTTGCTTCAACATACCAAGCTTCATTATGACTATATCTCAAATTCTCCACAAAGTTCCCAAGTCTAAAAAGTTAGACACACAATCTGTTTCATAGATACTGACCTAAGTGTGTCTTAACATGTTTTGAAGTAGCTACTTTTAAGTAGCTAATAAGCTGGCAATTAATTTTGTGTTTTTAATTAAAGTTTCCTATCTTATTAACACTTTTCTCTATATGGATAAGAAGAAAAAAGGCAACCAGGCCAATCTTCCTTGAGAAGCTCTTCAAAACAAAATCCTAGACCATCCGAAGCACAAATACTAAGCAAGCAAAATAAAAGTCTAATCTGCAATAAAGCTTAAAATGTGTCCTTTTTGATTGGGATATTTATAATCAATAGGGTAAAGTGTAAACGCAGATTGCTGAATTAACCTATTAAGCTATCTGCGCTTGCAAAGGTAGAGGAAGCTCATTGCCTGCCCAAAACACTTGATTATCAGTAGAACAGAACTTCCTGTTCTACCAGGTAAAGAACAACTTGTGCAGTGGATGGGTCAAATAAAGAGATTTCTTAAATTTGGAGGACAAAGTAAACATTTCTGCCCTCTCTGGAGATCTTCACACCCTATCCATTACATGAGTTGCTCTCCACCTATTAGGTGAAGTAGGATACAAGATGTTAGTATTTTGAGTAATCACACCCTTCCATCTTCCCAAGCCCAGATAGTTTCAGTATATTAACTCATTTCACTTAGGTGTCTGACTGACACAACCAATTCTGAAATGGCTCCTGAAGTATATTTCTGGAATTCTTGGTAAAGGTACACAATCTTAATGTAGTTACCTTAAGTAATTGTTTTCCAATTGTTGGGCTCATCTTTTCATCTACCATAAGAATTACAATTCCTCTATCATCCATTCCTCTCCTTCCAGCACGACCAGACATCTGAATGTATTCACCAGAAGAAATCTGAATGAACATAGTTAAAATTCAGAGTTTAGGAAAAAAACTGGTAAAAAACATATTCTTAAAATTTCTCTTTTTATAAAATTTATAACAAGTTATAAACCCTAAGAAAGGAAACATGATTAAAAACAACATGAAGTTTGAGAAGAGTTAAAGTCAAAGCACAAAAATGCAAAACATGTGAGAATAATGTTTCAAACCGACATCACACTGACATAACAAAACTAAATTTTAGACTTATTATCATTTTGGATCGAAAATTTATGCTTTTAATCTAAATTTAAAGCCTAAAATTTAGGCTTTTAAAAATTTTGGCTTTCCACATAAGCCAATTACTGTTAATTATGCTTACAAATATATGACAGCTTCTGGGAAATATTGGCTAATTCACTGGCAGTAAAAAATACCTTTGAGCTGGATATTCTGGAAAACAGCAAAATCTTGATCTCCCGACCTTGTGATCTGCCCGCCTCAGCCTCCCAAAGTGCTGGGATTACAGGCATGAGCCACCACGCCCAGCGAAAACAGCAAAATCTAAGAATGCAATGACTCAAACTCAACCAAGTATCAATTCTGACTTGATCATAATTAACTTTCTGAATCTGCAAAATGAGATGACTATAATTCATGCTTTTGGAAAAAACAAAATTCTCTCCTATTTTCTTGGTATGTATGCTTGGAGTTTGGTTGAGTCCATCTGTCACCAGGAACAACCTGATAGAAGAAGGTTAGTAAGCCACCTGTATACAGGCTTTCAGGGCACCACTGAACCACTTCAACACTGGACAAAGTTTTTTCTGTAAGTGCATGTGTACTCTTCTGTGGAAAGGGTCCAGATTCTTTTAAAAAAACTGTAACTCAAAAAGAGTTAAAAACCACTATAGGTCACAATGCTGATGCCTGAGGATGGTGGTGGCAGTCCTAGCTCAGACATGGTTAGCAGAGCTGCTGAGATGCTGAAAGCCCACTGCCTGTATGAGGTATAGATGGAACACTGCCTACAGAGCAGATCCCACCAGCCTCACTGGAGAAGATGCCTTTATGTCCATGATGGGCTGAGGGAAAAGCAAGGTCCTTCCCTAGCCATCCAACGATGTCTAGCTGGATCTGGTCAAGAAGGTGCAGCTGTTCAGTGGCACTCAGAGTGGTATGTATAAGCACTTCATCATAGAGGCAGGCAGGTTTCCAGCAGCCAGTCAATATGCAGTGTCCCCAGTACCGGCCACGAAGAGCCTCCCTTGTGATCACACAGCCAGGGTGGCTAAATACAGGGCCAAGTTCAACCCATATATGACAGTTAAGTATGACATGAAGACCCCAATTGGCAAAGGAGATTCTGCCAAGTGGTATGCATGGAGCACTGAGCCACTTGGCAGCATACACCAAGATAATTGAGATCAAGTACCAGGAGGGGTAGGAGGTGTGGGAGTCAGAGCTGTGCGTGCTGCACCAGGTGCGTCATGCCAACATTGTCCAGCCGGTGGAGGTGTTTAGGATGCAGGAGCATGTATACATGTTGATACAACTGATCCCTGCTAGCATAGAGCTGTTCAACCACATCATCACCAAGGGTTCCTTCACTGAGCATGACGCCATGTGAATGCTGCAGATGGTGCTAGATGGCATCCAGTATCTGCATGCACTGGGCATCACAAACCAAGACCTCAAGCCTCACAATCTGCTCTACCACCATCCAGGCACTGACTCCAAGATCATCATCACTGACTTCAATCTGGTCAGTGCCTGCAAGAACAGCAACAACTACAACGGCCTGATGAAGACCACCTATGGCACACCAGCATACCGTGCCCCAGAGGTTTTGGCCTGCAAGTACTACACCATTCAGTGCACGTGTGGGTCCCAGGCATCATCGTCTACATCCTGCTGAGTAGCACTATGCCCTTTGGGGACAACAATCATGCCTCAGAGACAAGTATAGTTACTCGAATGAGCCCTGGCTACCCAGTATGTCCAACCTGGCTAAGGATTTCACTGACTGCCTGCTGACAGCGGACCCTGGAGCTCATATGACTACACTGCAGGCCCTGAGACACTTGTGGGTGGTAAACACGGCAGCCTCTTCATCCACGAAGAATCTGCACCAGTTCATCTCCCAAAACCTCCTCAAATGTGCCTCCTCACACTGCCAGAGCACCAAATATGCCCAGTCCACGTGTTAAAGCCACTTGACAGGCTCCAAGCTGAGTCACATGCAAGAGCGTGAGCTGCAGAAACTCAAACTTGCATTACCAGCCAACAGTACAATGGCTGACCCACCTGGCTTGGTACAGACACAGCATGATCTCAGCCTGGCCATTCATTGCTGTACCATCTAGGACTGTTACCCTCTCTGGAAATAGGTCTATACAGCAAGCAAAAGGTGAAGAATGTCTGGTCCCACTTCCTTCTCTGTGCCTTCAGCAGCCCCACTCCTTGCCATGGGCCTGGGCCATATGTGACAAGAGTAGAGGTGGCACAGGGGGCTGTCTGTGACTCCCTGAATGAGGCATCTGGTCTGGCACTGACACTCATTTTGGTGGGAAACTGCTCTGGTATGAGTTGGAGAAAGGACAGAACCTGGCCTTCACTGTCTCCCTAACCCTTTGACTCTTCCCCAGAACAAGTCGGGGCAGCAGTGCTGGCTGAAGAGTGTTCTATAGCCTCAGGACCCTTTGGGACAGTTAATTCTAGAACTACCCCCCATTCCTCCACAGAGCCTTCTTCCCTGACTCTCTACATTCCAAGGCATCTTGATCCTTAAGATTATGCTCCAGTGGGAGGCCCAGGTAAACACAAAGCTTATGCCTTGACTGGACTCGTAGCCCCTGGCTAGATCCAAACAGTCCCCTACCTCCCAGCCAAGACATTTCTTTCTCCATGGTGCCCCCACAAAGACATCTCCTGGCCCCAGGATTCGCCAAGAGCTCTGGTGGTAGGGCAACAGCATGGACCTTAACCCTTCTAGATGGTGTGGCCATGCTGGTGGCAGGGTTGCCCCAGGGTCCAGCCTATCTCTGACTATGAGAGGGTCCCTGGCCCACCAGCCTACCACCCTCAATGCCTTCTTTGCAGAGCCCACTATTACCTCCCTTTCCCCCTTGGATGTCCATTCCATCCCCCAGGTGCCTCCTTCTTAACAGTGGAGGGGTTAAAGGGAGTCTCACTGCTGCTACCTGGGGAATGGGACCCTTGAGGGCCAAAGCAGAGGGCAGGGGGTTCACCATTAGGATTCCATTGTCAGCCCTGGTTCAATCCTTTGATATGGCCCATAGCCCTTTTCCATCAGGCTCCAGTGCTCCCTCTTCTACAGTGGCATGAAGGTGCTATCTGGCATCTGGCATAGTATAGAGAGCCTGGGAGTGATCACTGCACATCCATCATACACACCCATCATGCACACCCACTGTCCTCCACAAGGAAGCAGGAAGGAAAGGGTTGCTTTGTGAGGGAGGGTCCCAGGCTGCTTAACTCTCTCCTTCTCTTGAGCTTCTACGCATCTCTCCCTGAAACTTAATCATATTGTGTGAAATGTCTCTGAACCCTGGGTGGCTGGGCACTGACCTTCTCAGAGCTTCCCTCGCCCAATCCACCCTGTGCCTGCTTCCTCTCATGGCATTAGCCTTCCAGTCTGGACCCCGATGAGTCTCAGGCTAGAGGGAGTCCCTGTGGGAGGTGGGTGCGGTTGGTTGACTGCTGTCCACTAGAAATCATCCTCAAATCTGTCATGGTACCTTCCCCCCACCACAAACCAGGCTGGAACCCAAATTCCCTCTCTCCACAGCTGCCTTTATTGGGTAGGAAGGGGCTAGGGCCCAGCCTTAGCCAGACTGCAGAGTCCCTGCTAGCACAGAGGGTTTGGCTCCCACTCAGCAGCTCTACTCAGCTTTTCCCAGGGGCAGCCTTGGCCAGGCCCTCCTGACCCAAGAAGTTCTGGCCCAGAAATGTCACTGCCTCACCATACTCGTATTCCTCTTTTGTAGAGCATCCAACATTTTAAAATAAAACACATCATGAAAAATGTTTCGCCTTTATTTACAGTTTCAGCGAGGGTACTTTTCAGCATTTTGATGATTTGTAATTCCTTTCAGAAACTTCTCCAAGCAGAGAGAATCACCAATTTCAAAGAAAAAAGGTTAAATAAAGGACTATTTTCCCCAAAGCCAGGCTATGTGAATTCAAACTAGAAATCTTTGTTCCATCACTTTCCTTTCACCCCCGCCAATATTCTACTGTCTGCTTAGCAAATTCTCATCTGCTGTTACTTATTTTAAGGACTGCCTTTCAATGAAGCATTCCCTGACCCCCAAATGACTTCCTTTCTTATGCTATATCCCTGAACATACTTCTCAAGAGTGTTTACAGCATAACATTTTATTGTATATCTGTCAAGAGAAACGAGTCTGGATTGTCTTTTTGCTCTGTTTCTACTTCAGCATCCCAGTCACCTACAGAGTTCTAAATTCATATTTTAAGTTTGGTAATTGTTTACTAAATGGAGTACTTGCCTTGGGATTAAGGATTTGCTTTTTACCCCAGTTCATTGTTTCACCTATGCTCCCAACTTTCTCTCTTTGCTTCTGCCTTGGACATGTGTGCAAACCTGTTAGAACTTCTTTTTTAAATCTGAAGGGCAAAATAGATGCAAGTACAGCCACTGTAGTGGTGCTTTAATACCTTAAACTTTAAGAAATGAAAACTCTAGACATATTTAAAATGATTTAAAGCATTCATAAACCACTTGCACACTTAACCTCCTATCATCAAACTCCTTCACTTAAAGGAATCTCTTTTTTTTTGAAGGAGAGGTAGGAGTGAAGGAGTTAGGATAAAAATTTAAGGGAACGGAGGTTTGTTCAATTAATTAATTTATTCAGAGACAGGGTCTCACTCTGTCCTCAAGGCTCGAGTACAGTGGTGCAATCACAGCTCACTGGAGCCTTGACCTCCTGGGCTCAAGTGATTCTTCCACCTCAGCCTCTCAAGTAGCTGCGACTACAGGTGCACATCACCACTCCCAGGTGATTTTTGCATTTTTTGTAGAGATGGGGTCTCGCTATGTTGCCCAGGCTGGTCTCAAACTCCTGGCCTTAAATCATCCTCCCACCTTGGCCTCCCAAAGTGCTGTGATTATAAGCCTAAGCCACCACAAATGGCCAAAAGCCAAGGTTTAACCTTGATGAAACTGTATTAGCTCAGGTTCAAGTTCTTAAGTAGGTGGGACTTAAAATCTCAAAGACTATGTAAGCCAGTTATCTATAGTATAACAAAGACAAAAATTATTTTGATATATGAATTGCTTTACTTACCCATCGGAAATCCTTCCCATCAAATTTGCGGGCATTTGTAAATAAAACAGTTCTAGCTGGCATGTTAATTCCCATAGCAAAGGTCTCCGTGGCAAATAAGGCCTAAGTAAATAAGTAATTCTATAATTAAACATGTATTTTAAGCTGAAAATCTGGTTTTATAATTTTTAAGTAAATGCATTATTAATCTTTAAAATTAGTTAATGAGATCCTACAAAAATAACAAACAATATGTTCTCAAACCTATTTCGTATTTTATATATAAAATTATTAATTAACATTTAATGTCTCTCGTAGCCCAGAAGTTTGGTAATTAAGGGAAAACAGACTTTCTTAAATTCTAACAGTGCCAACTAGAGAGAATACACACTGGTCTTACGAACAAAGTTTTAGGTCATAGAATATTTTTCTAAACACGAACACATTTCCTGGCCTTTGCAACTGATGACACAGTGATTTTGAGGACCACTTCAGTATTAGAAGATCTCTCAAGGAAGACTAGAATCACTGACTCTGTAATTCACTTCTAAGACCAACAAAAATAGTGGTTTAGGTACAAAAGGATATATGTATAAGTAAAGTCACTGAAGTACTAAATTCTCTAGGAAAGAAGTAAAAATATTTTAGTTCATCATCTCAATAGCATACTATTCATTCATTAAAAAGAATGAAAAAGAATCTGACATATGATGAAATTATATAATAGGGGTAGTATAATGACTTTTTTTGTTGTTTACAAAATGACTAATGCATTATTTGTATGTATACTAGTAGATATTTCTGGCAAGTGATGGGATGATCTTTCATTTTTTTACTTTACATACAACTGCTCTATTTGAATTTTACACCCAACAAGTACTGCTTGTGTATTTTTTAAAAGATCCTTAAAAAGTAGGGCTCAGCAAAATATACAATCTAGAAGGGACATACCAGGATCTAAGTAAGTATAAAATTCATTATCTAAGTGACTTCAAATATGTTCTTCAAGATAAGTAAATTTATCTTAAATATTTTACTTAGTGCTGAGGTTCTCATGATAAATCTCACATTTGATTTTTAAAATTCTAATAATTTTTAAACATAATGTATGAGGCTGGGCATGGTAACCTATAATCCCAGCACTTTGGGAGGCTGAGGTGGGAGGATCACTTAAGGTCAGGAGTTCAAGACCAGCCTGGCCAACATGGTGAAACCCCATCTCTACAAAAAAACAAAAACAAAAACAAAACAAAACAAAACAAAACAAAAACAAAAACAAAAACAAAAAACAAGAAAAAAAAATTAGTTGGGGATGGTGGTATGCTCCTGTAGTCCCAGCTACTTGGGAGGCTGAGGCAGGAGAACTGCTTGAACCCAGGAGGCAGAGGTGCTACTGCACTCCAACCTGGGTGACAGAGCAAGATTCTGCCTCAAAAAAAAAAAAAAAAGTATGAGTCATATATAGACTTATGATTACATTTTGATGTTGTTTCCCATTTTTAATATCCCATTTCTTGGTATAAATATCAATATCATTTAAAAAAAGTAAATCAGATGCTCTTTGGTTTAAATTAGAATATTAAAAAAACTCTCTTTCCTAAGTCTAACCAGCAATTTCCTTGTCTTCTCTAAACTAATCCTTTTATTCTGTATGCAGAAAGAAGTTTACAACCCCGGGTTTAGTAATTAAATACACCTTCTGCAACATTCTGTGGTATCCAATAGTGTTACCACTACATTCTTTGGTTTTGTTCTTGTTTTTGAGAGTTTTGCTCTTGTTGTCCAGGCTGGAGTACAATGGTGTGATCTCCGCTCACTGCAACCTCCACCTCCTGGGTTCAAGTGATTCTCCTGCCTCAGCTTCCCTAGTAGCTGGGACTGCAGGTGCTTGCCACCACGACTGGCTAATTTTGTATTTTTAGCAGAGATGGGGTTTCTCCATGTTGGTCAGGCTGGTCTCGAACTCCCGACCTCAGGTAATCCACCTACCTCAGCCTACCAAAGTGCTGGGATTACAGGTGTGAGCCACTGTACCCTGCCACCACTACATTCTTGAAGAAAGGAAACAAATGTTTTTTTTTTACCTACACTTCAAGATTTATTTAAGTATAACATCATATATAAAAATTAAGTTCATTATTTAAGTCATTTCATTAAGCCTTGTTAAAAACACACATATTGCCTATAAACAATGTTCTCTCATTTTCAAACTCTTCATACAACATGATATGGGGGCATAAAAAATAAAAATAAAACCATACCTTTATCAATCCTTCAGAAAAGAGAATTTCTATAGTTTCTTTCAAAATAGGAAGTAAACCACCATGGTGAATACCAATTCCCCTCTTCAAAAGAGGAAGTACATGTTCTACCTGTGATTTTGGAATAACACTGATTTTATAATGATGTGAGAAAAGGATTTTTAAAATGTTAAACTAAATTAAGAAAAACAGTAAAGAATGCTTTCTCTTTAAAGAAACTTAATAAAATCTTTCCAGAATAAAAGCAAAACTCAAACCTATATTCTCACGGATTATTAAATTCAATATAATTCTGGCCAAGCTCATAGGAAAGGCATATAGTAAGTATACTTTACAAATGCTTTGCTGTCTTAAATTTTCCAGCATCACTTCATCTCCTCAAAAAACAATTACACATTATAGGGGCAGAGTTTTTGCCTGTAGAAAATAAACTTAAAAGATACTGGCAACTCAAACCCCCAAAAAATAAATCACTGTAACACATATTTAACATGAATATGTACTTAATCTAAAAATAAACCAATTATTGAAGAATTCTTTCAACAATCTATCAAACGCCATTAAATACTTACTACTAGAAGTGCGCTATAACAAAGATGTATAAAAACATGGCTCAGCCCTTAGATACTAATAATTCAGCCAGGAAGAAAAACTACAAAAAAGTTTATACATTAAATACCCTTTTCAAATAGCAAGAAACATGTTATCACAGTCTTATGGAAAATCCCTTACAAATCAAGGCATTCATCTGTAAAGGAGAGTATGATGATCTCCCAATGTTTCTTTCCACTCAACAAAACTTTCATACCAGTCTAAAGCACTATTTCTCAGCTCTGGATGCACAGCAGAATCACCTGGGGGGCCTTTAAAAGATTCTGATGTCCAGAATGTACATCAGATCAATTAAATCAGAATCTCTGGAAGTGGCACAAAAGCATCAGCATATTTTGGAATTCCCAGGCTGTTTCAACAGTCAAAGCAAAAATACACTGGATTAAGGCAAAGTAGGTATGTTAAATTCCTCACTAAACACATGATTTTCAGTAAGTGTTCTCTTTTATTTTATGTGGTAGCCTTCTGGATTAAAAAAGTTAATGACTTAAAACTAGCATTAAAAATTCTGTAATACTGAGAACACTAGCAGTAATTTTCACACCATACTAGCTCTCAGAGAAAAGTTCCTTCAGGCAGCAAATCTTTCTTCCTATTGCCTTTTTGAAGTTTAAAGTAAAAGTCAAAGTATCATTAAGGGCATATCACAACCCATATGCTACAGTGTGTGAAAAGTGCAATAGAGTAATAAAACCAAGCAATGTAAAGTGAATATATGCAATCTATTATTATCTACACTTTTATCTACTGATACTGAAAACTCACCTGAGGGAGTTTTTTATCTTCATCGGATAAGCAATCAATTGCATTACTGAATACTTCTTCAACCATCTTCTTTTCTTCATCTAGGAGAAAATTCAAGGGTACAGAAATATCAAAATGAGTTAGTGATACCAAACTTCACACATTACAAAGAATAAGAATCTAAAGGCCAGGCGTGGTGTCCCAAGCTTGTAATCCTAGCACTTAGGGAGGCTGAGGCAGGTGGCTGGCTTGAGGCCAGAAGTTTGAGAACAGCATGGGCAACATGGCGAAGCCCTGTCTCTACAAAAAATACAAAAAAATTAGCCAGGCATTGCGGCGTGCACCTGTAGTCCCAGCTACCTGGGAGGCTGAGACAGGAGGACTACCTGAGCCCAGGAGGCTGAGGCTGCAGTGAGCCATGATCGCACCACTACACTCCAGTCCTGGCAACAGAGTGAGACCCCATCTCAGAAAAAAAAAAAAAAAAAGAGTCTTTAAAGAGCAAAAGTAAAGAGGTGGCATTTAAGATGGTCAAGCAGAAAGTAGATAAAAATTACCACATAATCAATATAATTCTCTGCCTTTCAAAACATATCTAGTAGACTTAATTCATGAAAAAAGTACTATCTTACAAAAATAGTAACAATAACCACATCTGGTGCTTTACATACAACATTTAAGTCTAACAATTACAGGACACAGGAACTATTATTATCTACATTTTACTACTAAGTAAAGTGAAACTTAGTTTTTAATAATTAGCACCACTATTAACTGTGAGAAAAACAATTCCAAAGCCCATGCTCTTTCTTAACCATTGCACTGCCTTCTTGTACAGTGTCTATCAAATAATATGTATTAAGCATTTGTTAAACTGAATAAATATTTGTTAATCAGTATGCAACCCTGCAACTTTAAGTTTATTCGGCACTTGTAGGTAAGAGAAAACATTTATGGGCAGAACAATTCAGTCTTTAAAAAAACACAAACTATTAGTGGCTTTAGAAGGCTATGTCAGCTATCTGTCATTTGTTACTTTTACTCATGGAAAAGTAGGAATTAGCTTTAAAATGCACAGATAAAAAAACAAAACCTGCCTTGATAAAGAAAACAATACAACTGAAATTTAAATTTGGATGGCTTAAGATATTATTTACTTTTCACTGTACTGGATTACATGTGCAAAAGGCAGAGTTGAAAGATAATCGGGTTGGTATTCAGCACACTGCAATTCTTGGCCAGTGGTTTGGTTTGAATGTGTCCCCCTAAAGTTAATGTGCTGACCCCTTAATCCACAATGAAACAGTGTTGAGAGGTAGGGCCTTTAAGAGACAGGGTCCTCATGAATGGATTAATGCCTTTATCAGAGGAGTGGGTTAGTTATCACTGGTATGCGTTCCTGATAAAAAGATGAGTTCAGCCCCCTTCTCCCACCCTCTCTCTTGCATGCTCTCCTGCCCTACTGTCTTCAGCCGTGGGATTCCACGACAAAAAAGGCCCTCACTAGATGTGCTGGGTCCCTCAAATTGGATTTCCAGCCTCTCAAACTATAAGAAATAAATTTCTGCCTTTCATAAATTACCTAGTGATATGGTTTGGCTCTGTGTCCCCACCCAAAACTCATCTTGTAGTTCCCATGATTCCCATGTGTTGTGGGAGGGACCCAGTAGATGACTGAATCATGCGGGTGTCTCTTTCCTGTGCTGCTCTCGTGACAGTGACTAAGTCTCATGAGATCTGATGGTTTTGAAAATGGGAGTTTTCCTGCACAAGCTCCCTCTCTTTGCCTGCTGCCACCCAAGTAAGATGTGACTTGCTCCTCCTTGCCTTCCACCATGATTGTGAGGCATCCCCAGCCACGTGGAACTGTGAGTCCATTAAACCTATTTTCTTTGTAAATTGCCCAGTCTTGGGTATGTCTTTATCAGCAGCGTGAAAATGCACTAGTCTCAGCTATTCTGTCACAGCAACACAAAATGGACTAAGACAGCCAGGTTGTGCTACTGTCTTAACTGTGTGACTTCAAGTGAATTACTTTTGCAATTAATGTATAGGAATAATTTACCGATTTGCTAGAAGTTATATCACTTTGATTGAGAATTACAAAATAGTTAAGCAAAGGGCAGGTCTTACTGGTTTAGACTTCAGTGAGAATGAAGCATGGTATTTTCTATATAGAAGGTGGTCTAACCAAGCTATGAGACCTACCCTTAAGTGGTCAAATAGAGAGCCACAATAACTGAGGAGTTTACGGTAACAAAGTATAAGAAGGCATGATTCTAATATTTTTCATAGGGTTCTCCAAATTTTAAATAGAACAATGTACTCATATCTTTCAATAAAAGGAGAAGAAAGGGAAGAAAGTATAAGTCAAAGGCCTTTAAAGCTTTTACAAATGTGCTGAGTACTGCTGTAACTGTAAGGTGAATGGCATATCCTAGTAATATGTAACAGATAAAAATATTACTAGAAATATATTTTACGCTCATTTTCACATAACATTAAAATGATACTGAAATGATGTAGTACCTGTGTTGAAATCTAATTTGGTCATTTGAAGTGCATAGGCTTCACAATCTTTCTTACTAAAACTGAAAATAATCACAGGTTGGAAATTTCTTTCCATAATCATCTTCACAATTTTGAAAACATTTGATGGTCCTGCAAAAACAGTAAACAACACACCAAAATTAACTCAAAATAGATCACAGATCTAAATTTAAAAGCTAAAACTATAAAACTTTTAAGAGAAAATATAGGAATAAATCTTCCTGACCGTGGGTTAGACAAAGCATTCTTAGATATGACAACAAAAGCATAAACAACATAAGGAAAAAAATGCATGAACTGGACTTCATCAAAGTGAAAAACTTTTGTGATTTCATGGATACCATCAATAAAGTAAAAAGACAACCTCAAACAGAATGGGGGGAGATATTTGCAAATCATCTATCTGATAAGGGTCTAGTATCCAGAATATGTAAAGAACTATCATAATTCAACAACAACAATAAAAAAACATACTTTTAAAATAGAGAAAGAATATGCAAATGGCCAATAAGCACATGAAAAAATGTTCAACATCATTAGCCACCAGGGAAATGTAAACTGAAACCACATTAAGATACCACTTCACATTCAATAGGATGACTATAATCAGACATACAATACTAAGTATCGTGGAAAAATTATATGTGAAAAAATTAGATCCATCAAATTATACCACCATCTTTCCAAATGGGAAATCAGGGCAAAATACATAATCTGTTTCATTTACCCATTACCTAGCCCAGGGATGCTGTAATTACAGAAAGATGCCTCTGTTTCTATGGAGGAGGAGTACGGTGATACAAAGGATATAGAGAAAATGGAACCCTCACACATTCCTGGAAGGAAATGTAAAATGGTATAGCCACTTTGGAAAATACTTTGGCAGTTTCTCAAAAGGTGAAACATAGACTTTCCACATGGTGCAGCAATTCCACTCCTAGGTACATATCCAGAGGAAAACACCTATTCACACAAAAACTTGTATTAAATAGTACATGCATCAATGTTTACAACAGCATTCCTAACAGTCAAAAACCAGAAAAACCCAAAAGTCCATCCAATGATGAATGGAGAAACAAAATGTGGTATATCCATACAATGGAATGTTATTTAACCATGAAAAGGAATGAGTACATATAGCATAAAATGAACAAAATAGCCGGGCACAGTGGCTCACACCTGTAATCCCATCACTTGGGAGGCCACGATGGGCATATCACTTCAGGTCAGGAGTTTGAGATCTGCCTAGCCAACACAGTGAAACCCCGTCTCTACTAAAAATACAAAAATTATCCAGGCATGGTGGCAGGTGCCTATAATCCCAGCTACTTGGGAGGCTGAGGCAGGAGAATCACTTGAACCCAGGAGGCAGAAAGTTGCAATGAGCCAAGACAGCACCAGTGTACTCCAGCCTGGGTGACAGAGCGAGACACTGTCTCAAAAAAAAAAAAAAAAAAAATTAAAAGTAACGAACCTTGAAAACATTACATTAAGTGAAAGAAGCCAGTTGCTCCAAACATGAAATGCACAGACAAGGGAAAGCCACAGAGATCGAAAACAGGCTAATGATTAACTAAGTCTGCGGGATGAGAAGGGAAAGGTTGGGGGAAAAGGGAGAATAACTGTTAATGTGTACAGGGTTTCTTTTTGGGTTCATGAAAATATTTTGGAACTAGACAGTGGTGATGGCTGCACAATTCTGTAAATATACTAAAGACTACTGAATTGTATACTTAGATGAGTGAATTTTATAGTATGTAAATTATACTTAATGTCATACAAAAAAGATAAATATTTATCCAATTTTATCACATATCGTCTAGACCTTTACATAGCTTGAGAAAAAAAAACTAAGACAAAAAATATCAGAGTAATCTGAATATACAATTTACATGTAAAATTCTCTCAAAGCAAAGTTCCAAATTACCTTTTGTTCCTCCTTTCCGCCCTTTCTGGTCTCCTTTGGCCAAATCACCTGCATCTCGAAGCACTTGCATTGCAGTATTAAAATTATCTTCTCTGAAGTCACCCTGGAATCACAAATTTTTTCTGTGTAACTTCACTAATACTTAATCATAATTCAAACATTTTTCATACATAAGGCTTCCCCAAATAAAAATAATTTAGTATAATAATGAAAGCCACTAAAATAGTCCAAACATGATCTGTGGTAAGAGGTATTAAAAGGTGAAAAAGAAGGAATAAAAAATGAAGAAAAGCAAAACATAAGATATCTGAAACATGTCCAGAACCCCTATTCTCTAGGTATTTTTAAATACTGGGAAAGGAGGGAAATCTGATTCATGCATAAGAAAAACACAAGTCTCAAACATAATGTTTGAAATAAAAACACACAAAAAAATCAAGATCGATTGATTAAAACTAAGACAAACAAATGTATCTTTTCCATTCTTCTCTAATTCAAAATTTAAAAACAACAACAACAAGATATTAATAATAAAGTATGACATTATAGATTTAAAAAGGACAATTACTCTCTTACATTTTCATCAACCACAAGATGCAGGCCATCTCCCCCTGCTGGAAAAATGTAGTGTTGCAATGGAGTGGGCCGATAATCTGTGTAAATAACATGACAAGGCTGTAAAAAGAAAGAATTAAACATACAAAATTTTATTTCCTCAAAATAAAACTGTATCTTAGTCCAACCTAAAAGATCTTAAGAAAATCAAGTAATGAATTCAACATTTCAAAAAGAAAACACTTCAAAAAATTCACTAAAACCCAGGCAAGAGAAAAACGTAGAAAAATTAGGTCTATGAAATTATACTACCATCTTCCCAACTTACCAATTCCCTAACCAGGGCTAAATACATGACCTGAGCATCAACTACCCATTACCTAGCCCTGGAATGCTGTAATTACGGAAAGATGCTTATTTTTCTATAGAGGAGGTATACGGTGATACAAAGGATCCATGAAGTAAAATGGAACTTTTCTGCCCCACCCAGGCTTTTCAAAACCTTAGTATAAAGCAGCACTTGATCTAGCTTCTCCCCAAGATCCATTGGATTTTTCTATCCTACAGAAGCAATATGGGAGAATGCCATAAAAACACGATCAGGGAGCTTATAAACAGATAAGTTCATGAGAACATCAGTGTAAAGGAAAATTAAGGGCAGAAAAATAAAAGCAAGAATAAATTCAGTATACATAAACAAATGCCTATTACAAGCATATACAGACGCTAAAGTCAGACTAGAAAGGCAATAACAGAAAGTCAGTAAAAAGTCTGTGTTTACATGAGAAAAATCAAATCAAATGCTCCAGAGATGCCCAGCTTTTCCTGGCACCAAGGCATTAGGGGAAATTCTGTGTACTCATGGATAACTATTTGAGTAAATGCAGTAGTTTCTAAACCTGGCAGATCATCAGATCAACTTGGGGAATTTTTAAAATTGGAGTTCCCAAGGCACTATTACCTGAGATTTAGATATAGTGGGTTTGAGATGGGGCTCAGAAATCAACATTTCTAAAAAGTCAGTCAGTTGATTTTGATAAGCTGCTTGATTTGAGAAGCAGTTTACCATTAAAATGTTTTTTTTATTATTCTGGACAACATCAGGAGAAAAGCAAAGGGAGAGTAAAGCAAGACTAATCTGTAACATTTTGAATATTGAAGACATCAAAAAAGGAGGAAAAAATACCTGTTTATGTAAATGGCAAATCCATTCAGCAAACTGTCGGGCATTTGGAATAGTAGCCGAAAGAAAGACATAGTGGACGTTATCAGGAAGCAAAATAATAGTTTCTTCCCATACTACACCACGTTCTGAAAAAAATAAATATATACTTTGGACTATAGTTGGACTACAGTGTCACTCTGTGATAATATCTAAAATTATATTCTCTGAAGCTTTATAGTTAGAAATGCAGACTTTACTCAAGAATATTTTAAGCCACAGAACCTTACTGAAAACTATTTCTCACCATTAATCTATCCAGTAGAAAATTAGTAGACTAAACCACTATAAATACAATGTACTCTGAAATAGCCTACAAAGAGCAATTCCAGGGTTAATCTTTCCAAACAACCTAACAAGAGCCTCAATGACAAGGCAGCGGAACAGTATTTCTACTGCACATTGAAAAGTAATGGTTACTAACTTGTAGAAAGTTATAGCAACACATTTAGAAGATACTATTCCTATTCCAGACGGCATCGTTCACCCAAATTATCCTTGTGATCCTCTGGAGATGAAAGAAAGACTTGATGAAAGATAAAACCGTAAGTCATTTTTTATTAAAACGGAAAAAGTTTGACAGCTTCCCTCCTAAAATAGACAAATCAACAAAGGATTTCTGATTCTAAAACCAAAACAACTCTGTTAAGAGCTTAATTTTATAAATTTGGAAAGGGTGAAATATTCAAAGGGTAAATGATTTCTTAAATTCTATTGCTTTCTCCATAAATACAGGCTGATTTAGTGAGCTAGTTTAAATAAAAACTAAATCTTATTTTAAGCGTGTACATATTAAACATTTAACTTTTCAATGTGTTTGTTAACGTTAGCCCTGCCAGCACCCTACAAATTCCAAGCATACTTACTTTTTCATTACGAGAGCGTAACAGCCTAAGTAAGGGGCATTTGTAAGTTTTTCTTTTTGTTCATTTTTATTTCATAATCCTCACTTTTTGTTTTTACCATAAACACATATTTCATAGTTACTGAACTAAATAAAAATCAGGAAAGTTAACTTTGCAAGCTAGAAGTTTTAGAAATTCTGTAACATTAGTTCTACTGGTGAGCTATTAGAAGCACGCCATCTTTTAATTTCTTTTGCTTTATTTGAATTTGCATTTCTCACCCAGCAAAAGTTACTATTAAAGAGCTGTACTTGAATGAAATCTTAATGGAAAAATAATATCATGTTGTCCACTATTTAAAGAAGCAAGGCTGGGTGCGGTTCACGCCTGTAATCCCAGCACTTTGGGAGGCCAAGGTGGGAGGATCACTTGAGTCCAGGAGTTCAAGACCTGCCTGCTCAACGTTGTGAGACGCCATCTCTACTAATAAAATAAATAAAAATTAGCCAGACATGGTGGTACACGTCTGTAGTTCCAGCTACTTGGGGGACTGAGATGGAGATCAAGGCTGCAGCGAACCATGATCCTACCTAGGATCCTACCTAGGATCATGCACTTCAACCTAGGCAACAGAGTGAAACTCTGTTTCAAAAATAAATAGGTAAATAAAAATAAAGAAACAACAGTTTATTAGAACCCTAGCCACACAAAAACTAGAAGCAAAGTTTAACAATAACTTGCTCAAAATTCCTAATGTCATTCTGAAGGGAAATACATGATATACATTTCAACACTGAATATACCTGAATCTCTCATATAATGAATTTCATCAAATATAACCCAAGCAACTTCTCTCATAACTTCGGAACCTCTGTAAAGCATACTTCTCAAAATCTAAAGAAAAAAGTAAAAAATGTATTTAGTTGGATTCTGACATAACAGCTAATAGTTAGAGAAAAGTTGTTTTTTCCAACAAGGAATTTTGGATATTCTTTATTAAATGGAAATATTAAAATAATTTTAAGGGGTTACAGAACTTACTATTTAACAAATATTAACAAAAGTAATATTCAATATTACATTGTTGTATATTATATTGTATATTCCTTTTCTCATAAAAAGCAAAGTAAATGGCTTCTAAACAGTTACTAATCAGATACAATCCACAGAGAGAATTATCACCCCTACTCTCCATATGTCTAGAACATGATGCAACTTCCTTCTATACACAGCACCGTCCCAAGATTCATACTTTCTAAAATATAAGTACAACTTAAATTATCCTCTATTCAAAACACTGGATCATCCCTGACTGTTTGCCCATTTTTTCTGCCTCGTTTTCTTGCAACATGGATACTTCCTGGCAACTGTTACCCTAATTTTTGGAGTTAATGAAAACCTTCCACAGATGAAAGAAAGTTTTGAAAATGGAAAATAAACTTCCATGAGGCGACAAAATGAAAAGTGAGCAATGCTTTTGGCTGGTTCTCCAAATCAGAAGCTAATTTATGCTCACCATTATACCATATCCTTGGGGTTAAATGCAAAGATATAATTAAAGTATGTACAAAAATACTTAGTAAAGGTAACTAATCATGTCCAAAACTTAAGATATTCTAAGTATATGCAAAACTTAACTGCAATTATGGGAAGAAGGTAAACATAATACTGCACTCTAAAAAATCAGTTACTTGGCTGGGTGCGGTTGGCTCACATGTGTAATCCCAGCACTTTGGGAGGCTGAGGCAGGCAGATCATGAGGTCAGGAGATAGAGACCATACTGGCTAACACGGTGAAACCCCGTCTCTACTAAAAATACAAAAAATTAGCTGGGCATGGTGGCGGGCGCCTGTAGTCCCAGCTATTCAGGAGGCTGAGGCAGGAGAATGGCGTGAACCCAGGAGGCGGAGCTTGCAGTGAGCAGAGGTTGCACCACTGCACTCCAGCCTGCGAGACAGAACGAGACTCCATCTCAAAAAATAAATAAATAAATAAAAATCAGTTACTCATCTACTTGTATCAACACTCAGATATAGAAGACGGCAAAGTCACATGAAATGAAGAGTCACTATTACTATATATTCAAATGCTTAAAACTATGTACATAAAACCAGTAAAATATTTTCATGTCACTGACAGAAATAAACTTTAAAAATACCTGAAGAAAAAAATGTATCTGAGACAAATAATAAAGTATGGTAATTTAGAAATGTAATATTATCAGAACACTTTAAGATAAATGTTATCCATTTTGCCTAAGTCTAATCAGAAAATAAAGTACTATACTTTACCTAAGTAGAGCAACCAATAAAACTTCCCAGGTTCTAACTGAATAGTCACATTAATTTAATTAAAAACGAAAAGTCAGATGAGGCACTACATGAATTACCTCTGTGGTCATAACAAGACAAGATGCCGTAGGATTAATAGTAACATCACCAGTCATCAAACCAACATCTTGAAATTCTTCATACATTTCACGGTATTTTTGGTTACTCAGAGCCTTAATTGGGCTGGTAAATATTACACGCTGCTTTTCCCTTAAGGCCAATGCAATGGCATACCTACAAATGTGAAAACAAATAATCATACAACTTTTCCTTTAAATTATGACTTTAAAAATTCTGTTAATATTTAAATTGTGTCCAAATTTTCCCTAATTATTTATCTTGAATGGACTCTGAAGAACAGTAACACCATATCTATTATACTAATAATTATAATAAATATGAAATAGAGTGATCTAAAATCATTTTAACTCCGGTCACTCAGAGTTAATGCAACTTAGTCACTAATAGCAATAGATTACTAACAGTTACCTATTTCTTGCAAGGAAAACACCTTTGGTTCTAAGACGGGCTTCCAAAATTCAGAGCCTCTGTCTGTGAGTTCACACATATACAGATGATCAAGTGCTTATAGCCCCTGGAAAATGAAGTGTTTCCTCCTCAAGTTTCACAAATAAGTTAATCTATATGTATTCTTTTCCCACATGTAACAGTTAACAAGTCAGTCCTCTGAAAATTATGGTAGGTTCTGATTATGGAAAATTTCTTTCATAGCTATTAACAGAACACAATAGAGCAGTTTTGTTTTTCTTTAAATATAGACAGATAGCATTAAACTTAACATTGTAGTAGATCCTCCTTATTTAAGATTCAGCTCCTGCCCAGAATAGGCTTATTATAATGTATTTGGGGAAATAAAAATAACATTCATCCCAGCCAGTGAAATAAGCAATTTTTAAAAAATCAGAAGTTGTCCAAACATCAAATATGAATTACAAGAAACATACACAAAAAGAAAATACAGAAATGCTACATACATTATCTAAACTTTTCAAGAAAAAAATTGCAAGATATAAAAACAAACAGGAAAGTATGACCATATGTAGGAAAAAAGAAGCAGTCACAAGAAACTGACTGTCTCAAAAAGGAACCAAAACTATTAACAACATAATCAAATGGAAAGTCTACAGATTAGGCCGGGCGCAGTGGCTCACACCTATAATCCTAGCATTTAGGGAGGCTGAGGTGGGTGGATCACATGACGCCAAGAGTTCGAGACCAGCCTTGGCCAAAATGGGGAAACCCTGTCTCTACTAAAAATACAAAAATTAGTCAGGTATGGTGGTGTACATTTGTAATCCCAGCTACTTGGCAGGCTGAAGAAGGAGAACTGCTTGAATCCAGGAGGTGGAGGCTGCAGTGAGCCAACATCACGTCATTGTACTCCAGCCTGGGTGACAGAGTGAGACTGTGTCTCAAAAAAAAAAAAAAAAAAAAAAGAAAAAGAAAGTCTACAGATTAACAATCAAAAGAAAAAATTCTCTAGATGGGCCCATAAGCAGATTTGTGATGACTGTTATCAATGAACATGAAGATAAATTGAGAGAAATTATCAAATCTAAAGAGAAAAATAAATAGAAAAATAAGAGACACTCAGGTATCTGCAAGACATCCTCAAGTATCTCAAAGGAAATTCCAAAATAAGAAAGAGGTAGGAAAAAAAAAACAATAAAAAACTTCATTTGTTTAAAAGACATTAGAGATCCAAGAAGCTCAATTAACACAGCATGAAAAAGCAAAAAAGAACCATACCTAGAAACATCATAGTTAAACTGCTAAATGACAAAGGCAAAGAGAGTCTTTGAAAAACCACAACAGAAAAACTCAATACATAAGAGAACAACATAATTAAGGCTGACTTCTCATCAGAAACAATGGAGTAGAATGAAATGATATCAGTAGAATGATGTATCTGGAGTTGAAGGGGAAAAAAAATCGGTCAACCAGGAACTCTATATCCAGTGACACCGTCCTTCAAAAATGAAAGCAAAATAAAACTACTCTGTAAGAAATATTTATTAAAAACCTTTCAAACTAAAAGGAAGCAATACCATAAAACAGAACAATTAAGACTATGTATGTAAAGGTATATATAAAATTTTTATCACTTAATATTTTTAGAAAACACAATTTAAAGCAATGATTATACTGTATTACAGATACTGTATTATTAGATTTATAGCATATGTAGTTGAAATATATGACAGTATTAAATAGTACAAAAATGAGAAGAAAATACTAGGGCAAGTTTTCAATATTTTCCATAAATTGTGACTGTGATTTAGTTAAACATGCATACTGTAAGCCCCAAAATAACCACTAAAAACTAACTCAAAGAAAGCTAAAAAGTCAAGAGAAATTAAAATGGTACACTAAAAGATATTTGTTAAACAAAATAGAAGGCAATGGAGGAAAAATAAGGATCAAAAAAAAAACATGAGAAATATACCAAAAGACCCCCAAAACGAACAACAAAAGGCAAATATAAATCCAACCATATCAATCATTAAATTAAACTACTGAAATTTCACGAAGTATCTTCTCTAATCACAAATTAAGTTAGAAATAACAAATGGCTAAGTATATGGAAAATCACGTTTGAAAAGTAAACAACATACAAGGGAACCAAAAGAGAAATGAAAAAGTGGATTAAATGAAAATGAAACACAGTAATATCAGTTTACAGGATGCATTTTAAGCAGTACTGAGTGAAATTTTATAGTTTTATATAAACACTTACATTAAACATAAAGAATTATCTAAAACCTCAGGAAATTTCTACGCCAGGCACAGTGGCTCACACCTGTAATCCCAGCACTTTGGGAGGCTGAGGCAGGAGGACTGCTTGAGCCCAGAAGTTCAAGACCAGTCTGGGCAACACAGACCCTGTCGCTACAAAAAATAAATTAAAAATAAATAAATAAATAAAATATAAAAATTAGCTGGGTGTGGTAGCGCACGTCTGTACTCCCAGTTACTAAGGTGGCTGAGGTGGGAGCATCAGTTGAGCCTGGGAAGTCAAGGCTGCAGTGAGCCATGATTATGCCATTGCATTCCAACCCGGTTGACAGCAAGACCCTGTCTCATAAAAGAAAAAAAGAAATTTCTAGATAGACACGGTTTACCAAAATTGGCTTTAAAAAACAGGAAATTAAATTAGGAATTAAAAATCTTCCCACAAAGAAATGCCTAGGCTTAAATGGCTTCACTAGTAAATTCTATCAAACATTTAAGAAGTATGCCAAATACACAAAGTCTTATGGAAAACAGACCAGGAGGCAACACTACCAGCTTACTTTAAGTCTCCAGTATTACTCCGACACCAATGCCAAAGACTTTATAAGAAAATCACATACCATTATTCCTCATGATGACACAAAAGTCTAGAATAAACCAGAGTCAGCTCTCTACACACGCAGGTTCTGAGGATTGAAAATACACTATCGTATTTGCAAGATGAGGAACCCATGGATACGGAGAGACAACTGTTCACATCTGAAGGTTCCACAGGGCCTACTGCAGAAATTTGAGCATCTGTGGATTCTGCTATATGAGGGGGTCTGGGACCCAATCCTCCCTGGAAAATGAGTGACAACTGTACTGGCAAACTGAAATCAGTAACATACACAAATGATCATCTGCCATAAACAACCAGATTTATTCCAGGAATACAAGGTTGGTTTAAAATCAGAAAATTTAATATAGTACACTAAGAGAATAAAAAGCTAATACTACGATTTCCTCAATAGATGGAAAAATCATTTCACAAAATACAACATATCTTGATAAAAATTCTCAATTTTTTTGTTTATTTTCATTTATTCCCTACTAAGAACAGAAAGAAACAACTTCATTCTCATAAAGAGCAACCAGCAAAAAACAGCTAACGTCATACTTAATGTTGAAAGACTGAATGCTTTCTTCCTCATATCAGAAATAAGGCAAGGATGTCCACTCTCAGTACTATCCAACGTTGTACTAGATATTGACAATGCAATAAGACACACATATTGAAAAGGAAGTAAAACCATCTTTTTTCACAGGCAATGTTATCATCTATATAGAAAGTCTTATGGAATGTACAAAAAAGTTAATAAAACTTAAGGAAACATGATGAGGTTGCTGGATAAAATACCAGTATATAAAAATCAACTGTATTTCAATATACAAGCTATTAGCAATCCAAATATGACCTTAAGAAAAAATGTGATTCACAATAGCATAAACAGAAATACTTAGGAATAGGTTTAAGAAAACACGTATAAGACCTATACACTGAAAATTGCAAAGTGTTGCTAACAGAAATTAAAGTTGACCTAAATAATGGAGAAATACATCATTTTCATCGATTGAGTCAATATTGTTACAATGACAATTTTCTCCAAATTAATTTTTAAGTTCAACAAAATCCCTATCAAAATTAAAATGGGCTTTCTGGTTGGAAATTCACAAGCCAATCTTAAAATACTATTGGAAATACAAAAGACCTGGAAGTGCCCAGTTTTTAAAAATAATGAAGTTAGAAGATTCTCATTACCTAGTATCAATACTTATTATAACCCCACAGTAATCAAAATAGTGTACTAGTGTAAAGATATAACAAAGTCCAGAAACGATCCTACACAATTTACGAGTAATTTACGGGAATTCAATTCAATGGGAAAAGATAGTACTTTGAATTGGAACAACTGGATATCCAAATACAAAAAGCTAAATTTAGACCCTTTCCTCACATCTTACAGAAAAACTAACTTGAGAAGAATCACAGATCTAAATGGAAGAACTAATACTATGAAATTGCAAGAGGAAAACGAAGAAGAAAATACTTGTGATTTTGGGATAGGCAAAATCACAATTAGGTAATTCTTAGGTATACCAATTGCATGAACAATCTATAAAATATTAAGAAATTAAACATTTAAATTAAAATGCTTTCTCTACAAAAGGAAATTGAGACAAGCCACAGAATGAAAAACATATTTATAAATCACATCTGCTTTTTAAAAAAACTTGTATGCTAATAAAGACTTCTTACAACGCAATTAAGACCAACAACCCAATTTAAAACATCAGCAAGACTGAAATAAACAATTCAAAGATATATAAAGAAATGATAAACATGAAATGATGCTTAACACCCTTAGTCATCACAGAAATGCATATTAAAACTACTTTGGGACATCACTGAAATGGGTATAATAAAAAAAGACAATACCAAGAGCAGGGAAGGATGCAGAGAAACTGGCACCCTCATACATTACTGGTAGGAATATAAAATGGTACAGCCACATTAAAAAATAGTTCAGCAGTCTCCTCAACAGTTAAATACATATTTGCCATAAAATACAGCAATCACATTCCTAGGTATCTACCTTAGCTAAGAGAAACGAAAACATAGGTCCACTTAAAGACTTGCACATGAATGTTTACATCAGTATTATAATGGCCAAAAGATGATCAGTGTTTGCCTGTGGCTAGAGATAGGAATGGGTTTGAATGTAAACACACATAAGAGAACTAAATAGATGGAAGTCTTCTAAAACTGGTAAGGGTTGCACAATTGTACCGATTTACTAAAACTCACTCAAATACATATTTATGATAGATAAATTTAATGGTAAGTAAATTATATAATAAAGCTATTCACATAGACTTAAAAAATCAGCAGTGTCAGAAAAAGTATTTGTTTTACATATATAAACAACCTGATACCAACACGTTAGTCCTAGTACCAGGTTTATAAATAAAATGTTGCACCCTGCTATAGTTAACAGGTGAAGTAGGAGTTTACCTAAAGTCCTTTATCACTAGGGAAAATATGTGAGATCTGGTGTGCAACATCTGGTGTGCATATACAATTAGGTACTTCATCAGGTTTACTTTTTACTGAAGTGAAATTCACATAACATAAAATTAACCATTTTAAAGTGTATATTTCAGTGGCATTTAGTACATTCATAACGTTAGGCAACCAGTACCTCCATCTAATTCTAGTATTTTCATCACCTCCCAAAAAACTCTGTACTCACTAAGCAGTTATTCTTTACTCCCCTCCTCTCACTAGTCCCTGTCCCTCACCAATATGCTGTCTTTCTCTATGGATTTACCTATTCTGGATATTTCACATAAATGGAATCATAAAGCAATCTTTTGACTCCAACTTCTTTTAGTACGCATAATGTTTTCAAGCATGTATCAGCACTTTATTCCTTTTTATGGCAGAGTAATATTCCACTGTCTGGATATACTACAACTTATTTATCCATTCATCATCCACTGATGGACATCTGGATTGTTTCTACCTTTTGGCTATTGTGAATAGCGCTGCTGTGAAGATTTGTTTAGGTACCTGTTATCAATTCTTTGGGGGTACAAATCTAGGAGTAGAAATGCTGGGTCATATGATAATTCTAACATTATAACAAACACATTACATTCTACATTATAACATTCTACATTATAACAAATTCTACATTATAACAAATCTAGGAGTAGAATTGCTGGGTCATATGACAATTCTACATTATAACTTTTTGAAGAATTGCCAGACTGTTTTCCACAGCCAACCTCATCAGGTTTTCTAGTATCTACAATCCTGGTGAATTTCTTAAATTCCCTTTACGACTTCCTAGCCCAAGTTTTAGAGCAGGTTTCAGCATATCTATATGAAAACTTCCTCTACAGAAAAATCTCTCCTCTTGTAGGAAAAATGAAAGCAAGGTTACACTAATGGCCAAAAATCAAATTATTATACATATGCTGGCTTTAAATGCATAAAGCACCAAACATACCACAATTAAATAGTGAAAAAAATAATTGAACTAAGAGTAGTCAAATCTCTTCTTCTATACCTGTGCCTTAGGAGGAAACTGGTTTGTGAATTAAGCATCTTCTGAACAGGAGTGGACTCTTAAGAAATTCCACTGAACATAACTAGGGTGATAGAGAACCATAATGTGTTTAAGGCTGAGAAAGAGATAAAGACTATTCTGCAACTGGCTGATACTGCTGAGATGACAATATAAGATACAAACTTCACTCCTCTA
Source organism: Homo sapiens (assembly GCF_000001405.40). NCBI lineage: Eukaryota > Metazoa > Chordata > Mammalia > Primates > Hominidae > Homo > Homo sapiens. The sequence goes on along the minus strand of NC_000005.10, from coordinate 55,333,179 downwards.
ACTCAACGAAGAGAAAAACTGAGACTTACACAGCTAAGCCAAGGTCTGGAAGGAATGAATACAGTGACCAGATAAGCCCTGACCAGGAATACAAAATTATTCAGCACCCAACAAGGTAAAATTCACAATGTTTTAGTATCAATAAAAGGTATGCAAAGAAGCAGGAAAATATAACCTATAATGACAAGGGAAAAAAATCAATAAAAACAAATCTGAAAATGAGACAGATGACGGAATTAGGAATTAATAACACAATGACCAGATAAGCCAAGGTCTGGAAGGAACTAATAATAGATAAGATAACCTGTTAAGGAAAAAAATATTCCAGGATTCATGAATTATTTTGATCACTACTATGATTTAGATGACCCCTACGAAATGTATGTAGAAATTTAATTGCCAAAGTAATGGTATTTGGAAGTAGGGCCTTTAAGAGGTGATGAGGTCATGAAAGCTCCATCTTCATGAATATACTAATTACATTATCTTGGGAGGGAATTATCAAGGGGGTGGGCCCCAGTTAAAAGGACAAGTTAGGCCCAATTTCCTCTCCCTTTCTTGCCATGGGATGACTCTCGCCAGAGGCCTGTGCCATGTTCTTGGTTTTCTCAGCTTCCAGAACCATGAGCCAAATAAACTTCCTTTCTTTATAAATTACCCAGTCTGTGGTATTCTGTTAAAGCAGAATACAGCAACAGAAAACAGACTAAGACAACCACCATGCCAAGGTAAAATGGCTGATGAACAGGATGACTGGTGCCATTTTTTTTATCTGTTTCTTTTCTCTACAGTCTTCTTTACTCTTTAGGTATCCCCTGTTAAGAGTACCTAATTCAGCTACTCAACTGGAAAGGTCATAGAGAAATATGTTATAAATTGTAAAAGTTAAATCAAAAGAGTCAATCTACAACAGATTGCAAAACGCCATCCACATTAATGAGCACCATCCATCCACTTTTAGAATGGCCCAGTTCCATCAAACATTAGTATTCATCACCTGGTGATCTTGTTAAAATGTAGATTCTCAATCAGCAGTTATAGGGTGGGGCTAGAGATTCTGCCTAACAAGTTCCCAGGTAGTATCAAGGACTATACTTTGAGTAGCAAGACTACACAATCTTAGTTATTAAATATATTTTAGAAGAACAGGAACCTACCAAAATACGTGCACTATTGTAGTAATACATAATGTACATTAAAAATAATACAGAAAACATCCACTTACACCAAGATGGAGTAACAGAAACTGGCTTTACCCACCCACCTGAAACAATGATAAATAGCACAAAATATATGAAACAGTGGTTTCATACACTGGATATAAGAACAGTACGCCCCAAGAGAGAGAAAACAAAGTAGGTAATCCAAAATTACTGCCTAGATTTTCCAAACTGCAGTTCTAAGATGGGCAACCAAGGTAAACCCTGGAAGTTTCCCTAAGTTGAACAGACCAAGATCGTAGTCTGTGAAGGCCAGGGCAGCTGGAGTTTGCAGGGCAGAATACCAGAGGAGACAACTGCAAAGAGAAGGTTCTGAAAATCTGCTGAGCATCTGCAAGTCTTCAGGTAGTAATGATCCGTGAATAAGTCTTAGGAAATTATGAGGCCAGGGAAAAACCAACCAAGAGGAGAAGAGATAAAAATTACCAAATCTTATACACGACTGGCAGAAATGTGGTTTCCCACCAGCTACAGTGGAAAACCTCAGAATTCACAAGATACTGCATGGAATACTGACTAAGTAGTGGGGAAAATCAGCCCTAGACTAAATGCTACTCTGGTCGTGCCTAAAAAAGTCATAAAAGTAAGCCTCAAAAGGATATTTTTTCCAAGTAACTTAACTATACCTCAGAACAAATCTCACAAATATGTACAAAAATGCAAAAGTATTCAGCACCGAACAAGGTAAAATTCACAATGTTTTGGCATGCAATAAAAAAGTATCAGGTATGTCAAGGTGCAGGAAAACACAGTCTGTAATGAAAATTTTTTTTTAATCAATAAAATCAGATCCAAAAATGAGACAGATGACAGAATTAGTAAACAGGGATATTAAAAGTTACTATAACAGTACTCTATATGCTCAAGAAAGCTGAGGAAAATTAAACAGCACGTTAAGTAAAAATACGGAAAACACTGACGAAATCAAAATTTTAGAGATGGAAACTGAGTGTCTGAGATTAAAAAAACACACTGGCTAGTATTAAAAGCAGATTAAGACACTGCAATAAAAAAAAAGTGAATAAACCTGAAGTCACAGCAACAGAAACTATCCAAAATGAAACAGAATAAACACCAAAAATAAAATTATAATAAATAAACACAGCTTCAGTGGGCTGTGAACAACTTAAAGGGGCCTGCTGTAAGTATAACTTGAGTCCTCAAAGAAATAAAGGAAGGGCAATATTTGCAGTAAAAAATGTCTGAAATTTCCCCAAATATAATGAAAACTATAATAAATCCACACATCTAAGAAACCCTACAAACTCAAGTATAAGAAACATGGGAAAAAAAAAAACTATCTCAGTCACATTATAATCAAGAAGTCAGTGACTAAAAAAAAAATCAAAGAAGCAGGAAAGTCAATCCATCAAAGAGACCAGGAAGTAATCAGATAAACGAAGTAGTAACAAGGACATTTAACGTTTTTGTAACTGTACCCTATCTGTTCAAGCAGTTAGGATTTCTATAAACTAGAAATAGAAAAAAACATTACGAAAAAAAGGAAGCTAAAAAAAGTTAAGAGACACGGAGGAAAACAAAAATAAATTGAACATCTAGCAAAGAAAAGATAATATCTGAGATTAAAAATGCATTCAGTTCATGCCTATAAGCCCAGCACTTTGGGAGAGCAAGGCAGGAGAATCACTTGAGCCCAGGAGTTTGAGACCAGTGTAGGCAACATAGCGAGATTTCATCTCCACAAATAATCAAAAACTTAGCCAGTCATGGTGGCACATGCCTGTGGTCCCAGCTACTAGGGACGCTGAGTTGGACTGCTTGAGCCCACAAGTTTGAGAATGCAAATGAGCTCTGTTTGTGCCACTGCACTCCAACCTGGGCGACAGAGCAAGACCCTGCCTCAAAAACAAACCAACCAATAAAAAAGTAGCACTCAATGAGATTAACAGCAGATTAGAAAATTCAGAAGCAAAGATTAATAAATTTAAAGACATTGCATTAGAAATGACCCACAAATGAAACTCAAAAGAAAAAAAATGAATATAGTATCAGTGAGTTGTGAGACAACTTTAAGCGGCCCAAAAGAGTCCTGGAACAAGAGCCCTGAGGACTGCAAAAACAAACCCAAAGACAAGAAAAAAATGCAAAAACAACACCAAGGTACATAAAAAACAAACTGCTTAAAATCAATGATAAAAATCAATCTTAAAAGCAGCCAGAGGAAAAAAGACACATTATGTACAGAGTATCAAAGGTATACTAGGATTTCTTGTCATAAACTATGCAAGTCAAAAGGCAGTCTTAAAAGAAAATTACAATTCCATACCAAAGGAAAATACCTTTCAAAAAAAAGTAAAAGATTTTCAGACATACAAAAGTTAAGATTTTCTCATCAGTAGAACTGCACTACAATAAACTGCTAAAGGCATTTCTTCAGATAGAAGGGAAATGATGCTGTACAGAAAACAAGATCAAACATAACTTATCAGACGTGTCAAATTATTTAAGAAACATATCAAAAACATGGCCAGGCATGGTAGCTCATGCCTGTAATCCCAGAAATTTGGGAGTCCAAGGTGGGACGATTGCTTGAGCCCAGGAGTTTGAGACCAGCCTATTTAAGTTTGAGACTCTGTGTTGCCTCTAAAAAAAAAAGAAAAAAAAAATTAGCCAGGTGTGATGGTGCACGCTTTTAGTCCCATCTACTAGGAAGGCTGAGGCAGGAGGATCGCCTGAGCCCAGAGGTCAAGGCTGCAGTGAGCCATGACTGCGCAGAAGAAAAAAAAAAATCATGTCAATAGATGCAAAAAAAGCACTTGACAAAATCCAGTATCTAAATATTTTATACCCATAGACATAAATACATATGCAAACAAAATCTCTGCAAACCAAGAACAGAAGTTCCTCAAACTGATAAATAAAAAGCATCTGTGAAAAACCAACAGGTAATATCATGCTTAACGATGAAAGCCTGAGTGTTTTTCTCCTAATATGAGGAACAAGAAAAGAATGTCCTCTTTTATTACTTCAAGTAAACATTGTATTAGAGGTTCAATAAGACATGAAAAAGAAATTGTTCAAAAGGGACAAGTAAAACCATCTTCACTAGCAGAAATCAAACAGCAAAAAAGAAACTTTTAAAGAGTGAAATAAGAAACAAAGTGACTTTAAAAAGGAAGCTACTCACTCGGCGCATACTGTTTTTCCCGCTGAGGTATGTGCAGATACTAGAACAGACTGATTATTGTCAACACACTGAATGGCCTCTCTTTGAAAAGCATCAAGAATGAACGGGTATTCCTATAAAAACAAAACATTAATATCTGCATAAAAACATCTAGTTGTATCAGAGCATACTTAAAATCAAAACACAAGCAGGCTACCCCCCAAAGCATTCTGGGAGTATTCCTTTATGATTTTATTTAGAAAATATACTACACATTAGTGAAAATAAGGAAGAGTACACTACATTTTTGCCCAAACAACATAGAAGCTAATTCTGCTCTCTAATCTTTCAATCATCACATTATGTTGGTGTCTATTATATTAATAATAAAATAATCATTACCATTTACCAAAAACAAGCTCTGTGGCCAGGCACTGTGTAACACATTTTCCATATATTATTACTAATTTTCACAACAACCCCTATCATAGATATTATTTCCTTTCATAGGTAGGAACTCTGAGGCTCTAAAAGTCTCTCAGTAAAGTTCACTCCGTAGAGGCAGAATATTACATCTATTAGACTTTAAGAGTTCATGCATACTCTACCATACCGCCTTTTTTATTTAAGAAAATTACTTGGAAAATTAAACCTTAAAAATTTCTTGGCCTTTTAAGGTCTATCAGGCCTTCCAAATCCGTCTAAAAAAAGCACAGAGTTCCGGTTTCATTAGAAGCCTGTTAAAACCCTAAAACTATAGGCAAAAACTAGTACACATGTATTTTTTTCTGGAGAAAGGTTGATAACTTTCATTACATTCTTTTAAAAGGTTGAGAATCATAATTTTAATATTTTAAAATCTCATCATGTAATGGCTGGTTTCCAGCATAGTTGTTAACTGATTCAGTTCTCATTATATTTGTCTTTAGTTGGCTTGTTCTTGATACATACATATACATGTTGTGGGAAATATAAAAATCTCATTTGAAATAAGAATTTTAAGAAAAAGAGAGTCTCACGAAACTATATAAACTGTATTACCCAAAGTACAGACCTTAGCAGCTTTTCCAACTCGTGGTTTAAGTGGTAAATAATCCTCTTCTGCAGGAAGTGCAACCTGACAACAAAGTAAAAAAGAAAAAAAAACCTCACCAACTATTTGAGAACTGATGTATTTAGCATTCCATAATGAATGATGGTTTGGAAAATAAAACTGATGAACTAGAGTGATGAACTTTAGCTGTCTCAGACACTGTAAATCAAATAACTGTCTTTAAGAACAAGGCAAAAAGCTAGTTTCAACACTCAGAAATTACATCTACTCGCATTTGTCTAAGGGTAATAATTGAAAGCTGATGTTTATCTCCCTGAGGAAACTGTGTACTTTTTAAAGTCGAAACTACTACAAAACAGAAGAATAACAACACAGTGGGTAGAAAACAACATAGAACAGAAAGAGAAACTTTTGAATGCTCATATGCTGACAGGGAATGGCAATTAGAAAAAAAGAGACTCTAGAAATAGTTAAGGGAAAAGGAAATTAATAAAGTCTTTGTGCAGTGTGGCGATTCCTCAAGGATCTACAACTAGAAATACCATTTGACCCAGGATCCCATTACTGGGTATATACCCAAAGGATTATAAATCTTTCTACTACAAAGACACATGCATACGTATATTCATTGCAGCACTATTCACAATAGCAAAGACTTGGAACCAACCCAAATGTCCATCAGTGATAGACTGGATAAAGAAAATGTGGCACATATACACCATGGAATACTATGCAGCCATAAAAGTTGATGAGTTCATGTCCTTTGCAGGGATATGGATGAAGCTGGAAACTCATTCTCAGCAAACTATCACAACAACACAAAACCAAACACTGCCATGTTCTCACTCGTAAGTGGGAGTTGAACAATGAGAACACATGGACACAGGGCAGGGAACATCACAAACCGGGGCCTGTAGAGAGGTGGGGGGCTAGGGGAGGGATAGCATTAGGAGAAATACCTAATGAAGGCTGACAGGATGATGGGTGCAGCAAACCACCATGGCAGGTGTATACCCATGTAACAAAACTGCATGTTCTGCACATGTACCCCAGAACTTAAAGTATAATAATTAAAAATAAATAAATAAAGTCTTTGTGGAGATAGGATAAGACACAACCAAGAATACTGGCAGAACAACCATCCTTAGTCTGGAAGGGGAATGTGACACGTACAAATAGCCTTGGTGATGGAGGTTATAATCAGAGGACATTTCAACTTGATATCCTCAAGCCTGTGAAGAGGAAAAGTCACCCTGCTGAGAAAGTGGGAAGAAGTGACAGAAAGGTGGGCTTGAAGATAATCATGGAGCACAGAAGGGGCTTTTGACCTCCTGAGAATAGAGTTTGTATTTCTTTTTTCTTTTCTTTTTTCTTTTTTTGAGACAGAGTCTCACTCTGTCACCCAGGCTGGAGTACAGTGGCGTGATCTCAGCTCACTGCAACCTCCACCTCCCTGGTTCAAGCAATTCCCCTGCCTCAGCCTCCTGAGTAGCTGGGATTACAGGCACATGCCACCATGCCTGGTTAATTTTTTTTGTATTTTTAGTAGAGACGGGGTTTCACCATGCTGGCCAGACTGGTCTCAAACTCCTGACCTCAGGCAATCCGCCTGCCTCGCCCTCCCAAAGTGCTGGGATTATAGACGTGAGCCACTGTGCCCAGCCATGTTTATGTTTTTCCATCTTTTATAAGCCCAGATAACTGAATAGGGTCTAACATATCTTGAATAATCAAATGGACATCACACCTGTCAGACACTATGTACTACCTCTAAAGAAACATAAGAGACTTTCAGTAGAAAAATATTTTAAAAGATAAATTTCTAGAAATCATGTCCTTTGCAGTAACATGGATGCAGCTGGAGGCCATCATCCTGATTTAACGCAGAAACAGAAAATCAAATACCGCATATTCTCACTACGTTTAGTGAGAGCTAAACATAGGGTACACATGGACATAAAGATAAGAACAACAGACACTGAGGACTCCAACAGCAGGAAGTGAAGTGGGAAAGGGTTGAAAAACTATTTAATACCTACTGGGTAGTATGTTCACTATTTGGGTGACGGGTTCAACTGAAGCCCAAACCTCAGCATTACACGATATACCCATGTAACAAACCTGCACATGGCTAGGCACAGTGCCTCATGCCTGTAATCCCAGCACTTTGGGAGGCCAAGATGGCTGGATCACTTGAAGTCAGGAGTTTGAGACCAGCCTGACCAACATGGTGAAACCCAGTCTCTACTAAAAATAAAAAAAAAAATTAAAAAAAAAAAATTAGCCAAGCGTGGTGGCACGCACCTGTAATCCCAGCTGCTTGGGAGGCTGAGACAGAAGGATTGCTTGAGCCTGGGACGTGGAGGTTGCAGTGAGCCGAGATCACATCACTGCACTCCAGCCTGGATGACATAGTGAGACTCTTAAAAAAAAAAAAAACAAAAAAAAACCCCCCCAAAAAAACAACACTTGCATATATGTACCACCTCCTGAAAAAATCAAACTTGCATATGTACCACCTCCTGAATCTGAAGTTAAAAAAAAAAAAGATAAGGTTCTAAACCTACATTGAAAGTCTTTTTGTTAATTTGGATTACTCTGCTTATTCAACAGACTTTTAATGAGATTCTCCAATTACCTCTAAAAATAACTTGCTATAATGTTTATAATAAAAAATTTTGAGAAGGAAATAGTGTTATAGTTCCATCATGTCCCTAATGTGTATAAATTCTCACTTCTAAATGGATACAAGCTATCTCTGACCACCATCTTGTGGCAGAACAAAGAAACTGCAATTTATCAGTCATTGGAGCAAGACATGAAATAGCATGTAACCTTCAAAAATAGCACTGTTACTTAACTTTAGGAGTATGAATGCTCTAAACACCTACTCTGTGCTAGGTACTTTACCTAATTTACTTCTATAATCCTCACAACCACACCACAAGGTAGATCCCTTTATTGCAAATTTAAAAACTACAAAAAAACAATGTTTTTAAATAAACAAAGAGGTTAAGAAATTTACCCAAGATTGGCCCGGCGCAGTGGCTCATGCCTGTAATCCCAGCACTTTGGTAGGCTGAGGCAGGTGGATCACGAGGTCAGGAGTTTGAGACCAGCCTGGCCAACATAGTGAAACCCCATCTCTACTAAAAATACAAAAATTAGCCGGGCATGGTGGCGCACGCCTGTAATCCCAGCTACCCAGGAGGCTGAGGCAGGAGAATTGCTTGAACCCGGGAGGCGGAGGTTGCAGTAAGCCGAGATTGCGCCATTGCACTCCAGCCTGGTCGACAACAGCGAACCTCTGCCTTAAAAAAAAAAAAAAAAAAAAAAAAAAAAAAAAAAAAAAAAGTTAAAATAAGAAATTTACCCAAGATTATAGTTAAGAAAAATGCTGGGGGAGGATCTGAACCCAAGTTTAATTACAAAGCCCCAACTCTTCCACTAGGTACCCCATGGAAACTATTTATTGTTTCCAAGGTCCTCATGGCTAAACTGTTTGCTGATCATCATACTAGATAGTCCAAAGAAAAATCCCATTTGTAACACTAACCTTCTGTATGCTGTTTGTGCTTACCTCATGTGTACACCCTTCAACAGTTTCAACTGATTGTACCTTGACTCTGGGCATCAGGTCTGCCAAACTTAAAAAGAATTGTTTAAAGTTACACAAAAACAAATTACTTTTCTATAATTTGATAATAAGCCTCACATTGCACTGTTAAGGAAAATGACACTGTCCAATCATCAGTATTCCAAATAGGAAAAACTTTGGCTATTAAGAATACATAGAAATGTTTTCACATTATGCAAATATATGCTGAAAATTAAAAATGACCAGTTAACATCTTTTATTACAGATACAGAACAGACTGCCGAGTGATTATTCAAATAATTATGTCAGCTTAGTTCCAATAACTATTTTGAATAAAAAGTGCCTCTACCAAGCACTGTCACCACTTCAAAACATAAGCTGGTTATAAACCATTACACAATAGAAAGTATAAAGTAAACTAGCCCAATTCATTTGTTGCTATTATTTATAGAAGTGTTCCTGGCCAGGCACAGTGGCTCACACCTGTAATCCCAACACTTTGGGAGGCTGAAGTGGGTGGATCACTTGAGCCCAGGAGTTCAAGACCAGCTTGGGCAATACGGCAGAAACTCACTACAAAAAAACTCAAAAATTAGCATACGTGGTGGCACGCGCCTGTAGTCCCAGCTACTCAAGACATTGAGGCAGGAGAATCACCTGACCCTGGGGAGGCTGAGATGGCAGTGAGCTGTGATCACACCACTGCACTCCAGCCTGGGTGACAGAGTGAGACAATGTCTCAAAAAAAAAAAGTTCCTTATTCTCATCAAAATCCTACATTATGCTATCTAGGTCCTCTGTTAAGACTCTGAAAAGGCAAAACTGGATAAACTGAAGAAAAATAGATGTATTTCTGTGCTAGATTATTATCTTACTTATCGTACTTCTGAGATTTAAGTCAATAATATTACTTTGGACAAACTCAAAAGTTACAAACAAGTAACAATGACTTTAAACTACAAATATTATTTTGTAACTTATTATAGTAGCCTGGGAAAATGGTGCATCTTAAATATTCCAGTGACACATCTATCACCATTTATAGGAGATAATTTTACTAACTGTAACAAAAGTTAACTGGTTTTAAAAAAAAATCACAGAAATTGTAAACTCTTCATGGTAGTGCCAAGTTCAAATATGGAACATTAGAAGGGAGGAGCAAAGTTGTAAAGATCATTACCACAATACAAAACAGGTCAACCAAGGGTACTGGCATCAACTTTTAGAAAGCTCCAGCTTCCAAAATCAGATAAATACCAGCGATTCCAGCCACAGATACCCATAGCAGGAGTCTTGAGATGCACAGCCACTCTACTCCACATGCAACAATGAAAATCTAATTCGCTCTAATGTTCCTTCCCACTTATTCCTTCCACTGAGTTAGCTTTATTTTTTCCTTTTATTCCACTCTTCCAGTTATCCTCCTCCTGAGGCATTACAAATAAAGAAAACGTATTTTTTTTAATCAGGTTTTAAGACTTTTTTCTCAAAACTGGATTCTAAAGTATTAAAAGATGAGTATTTTCCATATTGCTTTCCAACTCCCCAAACTTAGGTAAGTGTTCTACATTTACATGCCTGTGTAAAAATAGAAAGAATATCTTCATTTCTCTAATACGGGCATATATCTAAGTAGCAACATGGAGACAATTTTTAAAACCTCATGTAACCACCTGAATTATGAGTTACTAACATTTAGGACTTTGGAAATATTACCTTAAGTCTTCAGTTATTGACTCTTCTATCCTGGGCTTCTTTCCAAAAATGGGTTCATCTGTACCTTCGAAATCTACATCTCTCTTATTTTTTCCATTATTAGTTGATTCTGATTGTAATTTACCATCAAAACGTTTCCTGAAAAGTAAATAGTTTGGAATGAATTCTGCAGTATCCACTTTTACTTTAAGGGCAACATCATAAAATACTGCTCTATACCATTAACAGAAAGTCATGTTTTAAATAGATGAATGTTACAAACAACAACTGGCTGAAGCCCGGAATACCTTAACTTTATAACTAGTAAAACTGAATACTTTACTGCATTTGTATTTCATTTTTCTTTGACGGTTTAAAATTATCTTAAAATTCACATTAACATAACTATTAAATATATTTTCTTTAAAACTGTAAATTAAAACATCATTAGACATTAACATGAGTTACCTTTAACAAACATTTAATGCTTTCTCTAAAGGCATGATACTACTATTTGGAAGAAAATTTTTTGTGATTAGATTTGCTGGTCAAAAGTAGTGACAATAAATGACGTTTGGAGCCGGGCACGGTGGCTCATACCCGTAATCCAAGCACTTTGGGAGGCCGAGGTGGATGATCACTTGAGGTCGGGAGTTAGAGACCAGCCTGGACAGCATGGCAAAATCCCATCTCTACTAAAAATACAAAAATGAGCTGGGTATGATGGCGCATGCCTGTAGTCCCAGCTACTCGAGAGGCTGGGACAGGTGAACTGCTTGAACCCAGGAGGCAGATGCTGCAGTAAGCTGAGATCACGCCACTGCACTCCAGCCTAGGAGACAAAGCAAGACTGTCTCAGGAAAAAAAAAAAAAAAAAAAAAATAGATGTTTGGTACACTGAATATCCATAGGGGAATTCAATCTGACCTTTACCTCATCATACACAAAAATCAATTCCATGTGAATTTTAGATGTGTGAAAAGGCAAAAATAACAAAGAATCTAGAAGATAAAATGAGAAAATGATCTTCCGGACTTCTTAACCAGGACAGAAAATTAGGGGTGAGGATTATAAATCAATTTTTAAAAGATAACCCAATTAAAAAAATGAGCAAAGGACTTAGTGGGCACTTTAGAAAAGAGGATATTCAAATGGGCAACAAGCACATGAAAAGGAGCTCAACACCATTACTTATGACAGAATTGTAAATCAGATATCAGGTCAGTGGCTCAAACTTTTTGGTTTCAGAATCCTTTCTCAGTCTTAAAAGTTATAAGAAACTCTAATGAATTTTATGTGGTTGTATCTATTGATATTTGCAATATTAGATATTAAGATTAAAATTTTTTTAAATACTTATTAATTCACTTTAAAATGGCAACAGTCAAACCACTACATATTAACATGAGTAACATTTTTGGTAAAAAATAACTATTTTCTAAAAAAATTTTAACGAGAATGGCATAGTTTTTATATTTTTCCAAATCTCTCATGTCTGGCTTAACAGAAACAGCAGGATTCACCTGTTTCTGTATTCAACTTGCTATGACATGTTGTTTTGGTCAAAGCATATGAAGAAAAATCTAGCCTTACACAGATATGTAACTAAAAAAGGACAGGGTATTTTAATAGACTTTTCGGAAAATTGTGACTTTGCCCCTCTGATCCCGTAACAAAACAGTCACACTCAGAACTGCTATTCCATTTAGTCATGAATTGTGCAAACGATGTTGAGCCAAAGCCAAACATAAAAATATATTTTGTATGATTCCACTTACATAACAGTCCCAAACAAAAAAACTAACACATGTTGTTATCAGGACAGTTATTTTTTCTAAGGGACACAGAGGGGTTGTAATATTCTATTTTTTTGCACAGAATGGTGGCTGCGTGGATGTGTTCCACACACTCTAAAAATCCATCCCATAATCTGCACACTTTTCTTTATGTTTTATTTAAACAATTTTTAGGCTGGGCAGGGTGACTCATGCCTGTAATCCCAGTACTTTGGGAGGCCAAGGCGGGCAGATCACGAGGTCAGGAGATTGAGACCATCCTGGCTAACACGGTGAAACCCCGTCGTCTCTACTAAAAATACAAAAAATTAGCCGGGTGTGGTGGTGAGCACCTGTAGTCCCAGGTACTCGGGAGGCTGAGGTAGAATGGTGTGAACCCGGGAGGTGGAGCCTGCAGTGAGCTGAGATCGTGCCACTGTACTCCAGCCTGGGCGACAGAGCAAGACTCCCTCTCAAAAAAAAAAAAAAAAGACTTTTTAATAAAGGGTAAAACAATACTGATCCATATGCTTGAACAACCTTTCCATAATGAAGTCCATTCTCTGATACCTAGCAAAACCTAAAATTTGTAAATTCTGTCACTCCCAATTTTGCGAAAAAGCTATTCATTCTAGTCCCATTTTTGTTGCTGACTACTTATGTGAACCTCTTCTGGACAGGTCATCAATATCCTTGGGCCTCAGTAAAACAAGACATTTGGACAATAACTGAGATCCTTTCTAGGTGTAACATTCTATTATTCTATCTCTGAGTAAGCAACAACTAAGCCACTATATTTAAAACATTCTATTAGGAGCTGGTTAAAGTCTATAAAACAAAGAAACATGAAAGTTCCCAAACCTTTGAGAAACTGAAATTCATGGTAGAACACTTCTGGTCAGAAGTGCTACATTATTCTTTAATATTGCATGTCAGACTTTTAGGACTCTAATTATTTATTTCTCTCATAGCTTGGTATGTACGTCACATGTGGAACTTGCACACAAACATCTGAGTTATCCAGAAAGGCTGGAAATGAAGTGTTGTAGATAACCAGCTTACTTTTTAAGGATAAGGTTTTAATTTATTGAAACCATCTGAGAATGTTATTCTTCTTAGTTCATAAGGGTAGCATGCTCTATACATAGCACAAGAAAGAGCACCAAATTGGCCATTAAGCCCAAACAACAAATTTGGCCAACATCTAATTATAACTTATTGGCCAACAAACCCAAACTGGGATAACTAGCCTGTAATTACAGAGGATAAAAATCAATCTCTAACCTATAGAGGAATTTGGCAACACCTAGCAACACATTCTAAAATGGTCATGAAATTCAAAGACTAGTACATATTACATGAGACAAAAAAGACATGACAACCAAATCACTTAATCCTATATAGAATTATTTTCTTATAAAGGACATTAAAGCAATTGGCAAAATCTGGATAAGTCTGATTAGGTAACAGTACTGTATCAATATATAATTTCCTAATTTTGATAACTATAAACTGTGGTTACATAAAAGAATGCTCTCATTTTCAGAAAATACAGACTAAGCAACTTAGAAATCTAGAGGTAAATGGGCAACATATCTGCAACTTACTCTAAACAGTTCAGAAAAAATTATGTATCCACAAACATACACATATACATATGCATTATGGGAAGAAAGAGGAAGGGAGGATAAAGTAAACGTGGTAAAGTGTTAAAATTTAGAATATTTGAGTGAAGATGTACAAGAATTTTGGTGCCATTCTTATATATTTTCTCTAAGTCTGAAATTATGTCAAATAAGAAGTTTTTTTAAGTACTCACACTACCTGAAATGACATTTAGTACTACTTGTAATAAAAGTTAAGCAGTGACTGTTGTGTACAACCATTGTATCTCGCCTAGAGAAGAACATGTGCCAAGCAGAAGTATTTGGTCTTTTTAAACTTTTATTTTAGGTTTGGGGTACATGTGAAGGTTTGCTACGCAGGTAAACACGTCATGGGGGTTTGTTGTACATATTATTTCATCATCTAGATATTAAGGCCAGTGCCCAACAGTTATCTTTTCTGCTCCTCTCCCTCCTTCCACCCTCCCTCCAAGTAGACCCCAGTGTCTGTTGTTTCCTTCTCTGTGTTCATAAGTTATCTTTTAGCTCCCATTTATAAGCGAGAACATGCGGTATTTGGTTTTCTGTTCCTGCATTAGTTTGCTAAGGATGATAGCCTCCAGCTCCATCCATGTTCCTGCAAAAGACATGATCTCATTCTTTTTCACGGCTGCATAATATTTCATGGTGTATACGTACCACATTTTCTTTATCCAATCTGTCATTGATGGGCATTTGGGTTGATTCCATGTCTTTGCTATTGTGAATAGTGCTGCAATGAACATCCACATGCATGTGTCTTTATGGTAGAATGCTTTATATTCCTGTGGGTATATACCCAGTAATGGGATTGCTGGGTCTAATGGTATATCTGTTTTTAGCTCTTTGATGAATTGCCATATTGCCTTCCACAACGGTTGAACTGATTTACACTCCCACCAACAGTTATAAGTGATCCCTTTTCTCTGCAACCTTGACAGCATCTGCTATTTTTTTAGTTTTTAGTAATAGCCATTCTGACTGGTGTTAGATGGTATCTCATTTGTGGTTTTGATTTGCAATTCTCTAATGATCAGTGATACTGAGCTTTTTTTATATGCTTTCTGGCCCCATGTATGTCTTCTTTTGAGAAATGTCTGTTCATGTCCTTTGTCCACCTTTTAATAAGGTTGTTTTTCTCCTGTAAATTTAAGTTCCTTATAAATGCTGCATATTAGACCTTTGTCAAATGCATAGTTTGCAAAAATTTTCTCCCATTCTGTGGGTTGTCTGTTTACTCTGTTGATAGTTTCTTTTGCTGTATGGAAGCTCTTAAGTTTAATTAGATCCCATTTGTCAATTTTTGCTTTTGTTGCAATGGCTTTCGGTGTCCTTGTCATCAAATCTTTGCCCATTCCTAGGTCCAGGATGATACTGCCTAGTTGTCTTTCAGGGATTTTGTAGTTTTGGGTTTTACATTTGTCTTTAATCCACCTTGAGTTGATTTTTCTACATGGTGTAAAGAAGGGGTCCACCTTCAATTTTCTGCATATGGCTAGCCAGTTATCCCAGCAGCATTTATTGAATAGCGAGTCTTTTCCCCACTGCTTCGTTTTGTTAGTTTTGTCAAAGATCAGATGGTTGTAGATGTGCGGCCTTATTTCTAGCTCTCTACTCTGTTCCATTGTTCAATGTGCCTGTTTTTGTACCAGTATCATGCTGTTTGGTTACTGTAGCCTTGTAGTATAGTTTGAAGTAGGGTAATGTGATGCCTCTCCAGCTTTGTTCTTTTTGCTTAGGACTGCCTTGGCTATTTTTGGTTCCATATAAATTTTAAAGTAGTTTTTTCTAGTTCTGTGAAGAATGTCATTGGTAGTTTGATAGGAATAGCATTGAATCTGTACATTGCTTTGGGCACTATAGCCATTTTGATGATACTGATTCTTCCTATTCATGAGCATGGGGTGTTTTTCCATTTGTTTGTGTCTTCTCTGATTTCTTTGAACAGTATTTTGTAATTCTCATTGCATATATCTTTCACCTCCCTGGTTAGCTGTATTTCTAGGGTGTGTGTGTGTGGGAGGGGGGAGGTGTGTGGCAATTGTGAATGAGATTGCTTCTCTTATCTGGCTCTCAGTCTGGCTACTGTTGGTGTATAAGAATGCTAGCCTTTTTTGTACACTAATTTTTGTATCCAGCAGCTTTGCTGAAGTTGTTTGTCAGCTGGAGTGTTTGGGCCCAGACTATGGGGTTTCCTACATATAGAATTATGTTGTCTGCAAACAGTTTGACTTCCTCTCTTCCTATTTGGATGCCCTTTCTTTCTTTCTTTTGCCTAACTGCTCTGGCTAGGACTTCCAATACTATGTTGAATAGAAGTGGTGAGAGAGGGCAGCCTTGCCTTGTGCCAGTTTTCAAGGGGAATGCTTCCAGCTTTCACTTTTTCAGTATAATGTTGGTTGTGGGTTTGTCATAGATGGCTCTATTATATTGAGGTGTGTTCCTTCAATACCTAGGTTACTGAGAGTTTTTAACATGGAGGGGTGTTGAATTTTATCGAAGGCCTTTTCTGCATGTATTGAAATAATCATGTGGTTTTTTGTCTTTAGTTCTGTTCATGTGATGACTCACATTTGTTGATATTTGCATGTTGAACCAACCTTGCATCCTGGGGATGAAGCCTACTTGGTCATGGTGGATTAGCTTTTTGATGTGCTGCTGGATTTGGTTTGCAAGTATTCTGCTGAGGATTTTTGCATTGATGTTCATCAAGGATAGTGGCCTGAAGTTTTTTGTCGTTGTGTCTCTGCCCATTTTTGATATCAAGATGATGCTGGCCTCACATAATAAGTTGGGGAGGAGTCTTTCCTCCTCAATTTTTATGAATAATATCTGTAGGAATGCTACCAACATTTCTTTGTATATCTGGTAGAATTCTGCTGTGAATCCATCAGGTCCTGGGCTTTTTTTGGTGGGTAGGCTATTTATTACTGATTTAATTTTGGAGCTTGCTACTGGTCTGTTTAGGGAATCAATTTCTTCCTGGCTCAGTCTTGGGAGGGTGTATGTGTCCAAGAATTTATCCACCTCTTGTAGGTTTTCTAGTTTGTGTGTGTAGAGGTGTTCATAATAGTTTCTGATGGTTGTTTTTATTTCTGTGGAGTCAGTAGTAACATTTCCGTTGTAACTTCTAACTGTGTTTATTTGATTTCTGCCGGGGTATAAAACAATGATGTGAGCGTTCCACAGGTTTTTTTTTTTTTTTTTCAAGTTGGGTCCCAGCTGTATCATCCAGGGTGGCCCCAGCCTCCCTACTAGCTGGGACTACAGGCATGAGCCACTGCCCCCAGCTCCACAGTCTTATACTTCACTGTACAATTATACATAAGTATAAATACAGACTATTTTTAAAATGCTAGTGTAGAACAACCACCTTCTTAGTTGATGGAGATTTGTATGAAGTACACATATACTCAGAAATAGTTCTATTCTGAGAGCTACAAAGAAGTTAACCTGATAGTAATCTCCAGTGGATTAACTATTGCTCTATGCCGCAATGGAATATGGGTTTTTGTTGTTGTTGTTGTCTGTCTCGAAAAATATATATAATAATAATAACTACAAATATTTGTCAAAATGATTTTAGACTATCTGGGCAATCTGTTTAACACAATGAAAATCACTGGTTTAAAACGGATCAGATGCACATGTAACAAATAAAACCATACAAGGATTTGAAGAAAACATGACAAAAAATCCAAGAGCAACAAGAACGACAAACGTGACTTTATTAAAATTTTTCTGAATGACAAAACATTGGGGAAAATATTTGCAATTTATGTTAGAGAAATAATATCCCTAGTCTATAAAGAGGTCCAAAAATTAAGAAGGACCAACTATCAATTTTTTTAAAGATGAAAAGAAATATAAATTAACACGAATTGAAATACAATTTCTCATCTATCTCACTGACAAAAATCCAAGTTCAATACACTGTGAAAAAGGCCATAAAGTACTCTCACACATTACTGTTTGTATCAACTTTCTATTGCTGCTGTAACAGATTACCACAAACCCAGTGGCTTAAAATGGGCCCCCAACCCCTGGGCAGTTCATGGCCTGTTAGGAAACCAGGCTGCATAGCAGGAAGTGAGCAGCGAGTGAGTGAACATTATCACCTGAGCTCTGCCTCCAGTCAGATCAGCAGCAGCATTAGATTCTCATGGGAGCACAAACCCTATTGTGAATTGTACATGTGAAGAATTTAGGTTGTGCACTCCTTATGAGAATCTAATGCCTAAGGATCTAAGGTGGAAGAGTTTCATCCCAAAACCATCCCCCTACTGCTGGTCTGTGGAAAAACTGTCTTCCATGAAACCAGCCCCTGGTGCTAAAAAGGTTGGCGATGGTTGGCTTAAAATAGGACAAATTTACTGTTTTATAGTTCAGAAAGAAAGAAGTGCAATATAGGTCTTACAAGACCAAAACTAGGGTGCTGTGTTGGCAGGGCTGTGTTCCTACCTGAAGGCTCTGGGGGAAAATCCATTTCCTTGCCACTTCCACTTCTAGAGATCACCCACATTTTCCGGCTTATGACCCTGTTCCTCCACCTTTAAAGTCAGCCAGAGCCCTTCTAATGTTGCTGTCTTTCTGGTTCTCTCCCTTCAGCTTCCTTCTTTCACTTTTATAAACCCTTGTTATTACTTCGGTCCCAACTGGATGATCCAGAATTCTCTCTCCACCTCAAGGTCAACTGATTAGCAGCATGAACTCCATCTGCAACTTTCTCCTTTGCCAAGTAACCTAACAATTTCAAACGTTCTAGGGATTGGGACATGAACATCACTGGGGGACTGTCATTGCTACCACACTGTTGAAAACACAAAATGGTACATCTCCTGTGGAGAGGAATTTGGCTACATCTAGCAAAAATGCCTACTTAGTTACTCTTTGACCTAGTAATTCGCTTCTAGGAATCTATTCCAAAGATAAAATGGCAAACAACAACAACAAGAAACAGACTTCTACAAAACAGACATTGTTGCATCATTTGTAACAGCAAAAGACTGAAAATAGTACCATGTTCATTCAGAGAACATTGATTGAAGGACTGCAACTATGCAGTTGTTAAAAAAAAAAAACAGCTCTCTACATATTGATATACGATGATCTCTTGGTCAAAATATCAAGTAAAAAAAGATGAACAGTTTTTAATGCTACCTTTTGCACAAGAAGTGAGAAATGGAGACATCTGATAGACACATGTACGCACAATTTGATATTTTCAAAAAGAAAAGAGACAAAGCAAAAACTAAAGGGGAGGGAGGAAATGGAAGAAGGGGCAAGGATGGAAGCAAGAATGTACTGTTTTAAACTTTTGATTTTGGAACTACAAAATCTTTTACATAATTTCTTAAAAATTAAATTTTTAGCAATTCTTAAAAACTGTAAATACACTGAAACAAATGAACACAATAAATATCAAATTAGTGGCATAAACATTTAGAGAAAAGAACTACTACAGAGTATTTTCACTGTTACCACAATATATTGAGGGCAAAAAGAACCACAATTGCATTCAATATCTTATTAATTGCAAAATTATTTTTAAACTATTGTAAGTATATATAAGAAAAAGTTTAATTATGTAATTGTCAGCAGGAATGAGGATTTTCTTTTCTTTTTTTTGAGACATGTCTCTTTCTGTTACCTAGGCTAGAGTGCAGTGTCATGATCACAGCTCCCTGCAGCCTCAACCTCCCAGAGCTAAAGCAATCCTCCAACCTCAGCCTCCTGACTAGGAGGGACTACAGGTGCATGCCACAAGACCCAGCTAATTTTTTTTTTTTTTTTTGTAGAGACAGGGTTTCACCACGTTGCCCAAGCTGGTCCCGAACTCCTGGGCTCAGGCAATCCACCTGCCTCAGCCTCCGAAAGTGCTGGGATTACAGAAATGAGCCATGTGCCTGGCCTAGGAATGAGGATTTTCAACAAAACCGAGAAATGATACATTTATAAAAATCCAAAAAGTTAAATAAAAACCCTGTGATGTTAATTGTACTGGAAATGTCAGTATGAATTCTATTTTTTATAAAAACAAAGATTCCCTAGTTCTTTGTACTGTAAAAACCTAAAAGCAATGAAATCCAGTAGCATTGTGCACCCTAAGCACAAAATAACATTTCTCACTATAAGAAATTAGAGACTCCTTAGAGATGTGGCTGATTCCAAGTTTAGCACTGAAAGTGTATAGTGAGTCCAGAAAATCCAAAAAACACATAAGCTATCAAAGACTTATGATGTCTTGTCAAAAAGACACAACAGCCAACCTCAAGAGCACTCACTGTTCAAAAGATTGGAAATCCAAGTTTCAGAAAACGTAACAGAAACAACTCAAATGTCCAGTAACAGATGGAGGTATAAACAAATATGGTATATGCATAAAACAGAATACTATTCAGCCAGAAAAACAAACTATTGATATACACCACATGACTGAATCTCAGAAGCACTATGTTGAGTAAAAGAAGCCATGTAAAAGGAATACATAATGTATTTAAATAAAATTTTAGAAAATATAAGTTCTAGATAGGTGGCGACAGGGATGTATTAAAAAGGGGCACAAAAAAACTCCTGAGGGTGATGGAAATGTTTATCTTGATTGTGGTGGTTTACTGCACTTCAGTTATACCCCAATAAGATTAAAAAAAAAAAGAAGAAGAAATAAGTGCAAAGGAGTAAATATATAAAAATCCACTCATTTACCCAGAAACGAAACATAATCATACACCCATGTTGGTCACCATTGAAACTTCCTTAGGGCACAACTCATTTCCTTAAAAATTGTTAAAGGATCAAGCATTTATCCTGCCTTTTCTTTATGAACTGTATTTCAAGGTAAACAAACAGCTGATGAGACAATGCCTTTTTTAATAGGTGGATTCCAGGTAATAAATGCAGAGAGAAATGATAAAAACAGAAAATCGCCACTGTGCAAGTACTAGTGAAGTAATGGACCTGGGCAATTATCACTAGGTGCTAAAGCCGTCATGTGAAAGGTTGATGAGGAATCAGGGTGATACTATTTTCGCCAACTTGTCAATCTTAGAACAGTAGAATATTCAGACATTATGATGTAATGAAATAGGAAGTAAACTGAACCTGAATCTAATCAAGCCACTAGATCAGAGCAGTCCAGTATATATACATACATATACAAGCTACAAGCTGCATATGTAATTTAAAATTTTCTAATAACCACATTTAAAAAGGTAAAAAGAAACTGTTGAAATAAATTTTAATATCTTTCATTGAACCCAATATATGCAAAATACTATCATTTCAATTATAACCAAATTAAAATTAAGGAGATATTTTACAATTTTCATATTAACGTTTCCAATTCTGGTGTGAATTTTACACTCACCGAACATCTCAATTCTGACAAGTCATATTTTAAGTGCTCAACAGCTACGTGAGGATAGTGGCTATTATGTCACAAAATGCAGCTCTAGGGATGAGGACAGTTTACAGAAGATACTTGAGGATACAGGAGCAAGTTAAATGGCAGTTTAAGAAAGCAAATCCAGGATGTGGGAAACTCCACAGAATAGATGACCTGGTTTCTCCCTTCACTCATCCCTCCAAAATAGAAATCAATGGCAGAAAGAAAAAAGAGGGAGGCTGTTGTAGCATAAAATACTTAAGGGACATAACAATAAAAACAGTGTAGGGTTTTGTTTGAATCCTGATTCAACTACCAATGATCAAAAAACATCCGAGACAACTGGGGACATCTCACTGCAGATTCAGTATTTAACGATATTAAGGAATTATTGTTAGTTTTGTTGGATGACATAAATACTGAAATATTTAGGGAGAAAAAACAACTTGCATTTGATTAAAAAAAAAAGATGTAGGAATAGACTGATCATGACTTGATATTGGTGAAGCTGAGTTATGAGTACATGAAGCTCTTCATACTGTTTTATATATAAAATACATAGTTTGACAATTCTCATAAAGTTTTTTTAAAAAGTACTCACTGGCTGTGCACAGTGGCTCACATCTGGAATCCCAACACTTTCAGAGGCCAAGGTGGGAGGACTGCTTGAGGCCAGGAGTTTGAAACCAGCCTGGGCAACATACTATGAGACACCCGTCTCTACAAAACATTTTTAAAATTAGCCCGATATGGTGGTGTGTACCTGTACTTCTAGCTATTCAGGAGGCTGAGGTGGGAGGAATGCTTGAGGCCAGGAGTTCGAGGTTACCATAAGCTGCTAAGCACCAGTGCACTCCAGCCTGGGTGAGAAAATGAGACCCCATCTCTAAAAGGTAAAGAAACTATTTTTTTAAAAAGCATCCACTTGATCTAGAATACTAAATAAAGGGCAAGTTCCTCTGAAGTTCCATGATTTGCCCTCCTATGTTACACAGATCAGATGAGAATCACACTATGCATAATGTTAGTATGGCCACTGCAATCAGGCAAATAGGATTTTTTCTCTTTTTTTTTTTGAGATGGAGTCAAGCTCTGTCGCCCAGGCTGGAGTGCAGTGGCACAGTCTCGGCTCACTGCAACCTCCACCTCCCAGGTTCAAGCCATTCTCTTGTCTCAGCCTCCCAACTAGCTGGGATTACAGGCGCCTGCCACCAGGCATGGCTAAATTTTGTATTTTTAGTAGAGATGGGGTTTCGCCATGTTGGTGAAGCTGGTCTCGAACTCTTGACCTCAGGTGATCTGCCAGCCTCCGCCTCCCAAAGTGGGATTAGAGGCGTGAGCCACCACGCCCGGCCAGGATTTTTTTCTTAAAAATATCTAGAAGACCTTGCTAGAAGTGTTGGTAGTAAACAAAACCCTTTAAGCTACTAACGTTCTCCTGTGTTTTCTTATTTCCTTTCTCTAATATTCATTTCCTAATATAATGAAATGTAAATTAGATTTTTATTTCCTCTTTTCACTTTGGAAGGCTGTCAAACAGCTTACCCCAACTAACCTGCAAATAAAACTCATTTTATCCTAGCAAATTTGAGGTAAAGTATATACTAACATGGTAAATTATACATGTATTGTCTTCATAATATCATAGTTGCCCATTCAAACACTCTAGCAACTATTACTTCCTGTCTTGAAAGAAATAAAAATAATTGGTCCTCCTTTCTTATTTTCTCTGAAAAGCTTCCCCAAACTCTCCCAATCCAACTTAATGCGAGTAGACTATTTTTCCACTTTGTTCCACTCATTTCGCACTCCTGATAGAATTTTCTCTTATCCCTCTAATCTCTTATTTAGGCTTATGTACCCTCTCCAGAAGTTCTGTGTTGTGTCACTTACTTCCCCACAGAGATCTCTATCTCAAGGAGACCAATTCAAATGATATTCAAATATATACCTCCAGTCCTGGTCTCTCTCCAAAACCCTATTAAAACTACCCAGTGGACATTTTCCTACAGACATACTAGCATCCCTTCACATTGTCTCAAGCCAAATTAATGTTATCACTATATCAAAACCTCTGAACGTCCCTGTTTTTTTCACCCTGACATGCAAATTAAACATCTCTTTTGACTTCCTTTCCCTTGTTTTCCTTAATTAATGAAGGCCTGTCCATTTTTTCCTTAACATGTTCGTACCTTTCCATTCCTCTGCCACTGCCTGAGTTGAGGTTCTTTTCATCTTTACAACCAGATAACTAACATAATTTCCTAATTTACTTTCTCACTGTCTATCTTCTTTCCCTATACTATTATAGTACTCTGCCAACCACTGCCAAATTAATTTTCCTAAACTATCATTCTACTTATCCAATCACCTTGTTCAACAGGGTTTTAAAAATGAAATCAAAACTCCTCTGCTTGATATTCAAGGCCCCTCATGTTCTCAAATCAATGTATATTCCCAGTCTTATCTCTTGTAGTCCCTAAATGAAACAGTTCCTCTTGCTCAATTTATGCTCCTAAAAACAAACAAACTTGGCACCATTAACAACACAATTTCCTTAACTCAGAATATTCTCTTGTATATAAATAAGCCTTCCTGAAAGTCAGAAATAGGATCTCCCTTTCTTGAACTTTTATAACACTTAATTGTATATATCATTCATTTTAAGTTAACGACCTCCTCACCTATACTGTAACTCTTTAATGGGTACCTGTTCTCTTTCCCTACACCGAAAATTCCTTGAGAGCAAAATCATGTCTAATTTAATTTCAAGCATCTATTGGGTATCTGGCCCCACAATGCCAAGAGTATATTTTGTTGATTGTTAATTAATCATCTTACTTTATTTAATACAAGTAATAGCTTTTCCTTGTTCTACTATAAACAGATCTGTACACTTTCTGGTGGCTGTATGCACCAGTCTAAACATATGGGTAGGGTCCAGTAATTTTTAAATTTTTTCTCAATAAACTCACGATAGCTACCATTTATTAGTGATAGCTAGCTAACCACTGTTAGGCACTTTACACGTGTATCTCATTGAATCCTCATATCCACCAGTGGTAGGCACTATTATCTCCATTTTACGGAAGAGAAAACTACTACATCTTGGAGATTAAATGTCTCTCCCTTCTCATGTTATTATCTGCCCTTTCCCCTCCAAATCAATTCATATCATTTTTTCTAAACCTTTTCACCTTTTACTCAACTAATCATTCGTTTTGTTTATTAACGACTATGTGCCAGGTGTTGTGCTGATGCAGGAGACAACCGCGAAGATGGGGACAGAATCAGTAACATCGACGTAAGGGAATTGAAGCAGAAGATCACGCTGCCTGCAGACACCAGGAAACGCCAAGACCCCCCTTCCACGAACCAACATTCTTCCACCCTCTCCAACTTTTTTCTGGAACCCCTTCACTTCCAACGCCACTCAATGTACACTTCACTTTCTCGTGCTCTTCCTAAGAGAGTAGTGTTTTCTTCCTCCCCACCGAGAAAAAAAATAAAAGCAACAACTGGAACTTCTTCCTTACCCTGCCTTGTCTGCAGACCCTGGAGGCCCCTTCCATTTCCCCTTGTCCTTTTCCTTGTCTTTTTTGGTTCCCGCCGCAGTGGTCGAGTCGCCCTCGAACACGCTGAACAGCTCATCTCCGAATGCGTCCGCCATTTTTGGGAGCAGTGAGAGCAAATCTCCCTCCTACCCACGATGCCCCGCGACCGAAGACAGTGACGTCTCGTGAAGGCTCAACAGTGGCCCGCAGGAGACAAAAGTAGTCGAGTCGCGCAGCCGACAAAAATGTTCCCCTGACTTTTTTTTTTTTTCCTGCTTTTCTTTCCTTTCCTTTCCGACCTAAAGTGGATAAGCTGCTCAGTGGATAAAGAGCGAGGGCGGCGCGTGGCGCCTGGCGTGTGGCAGGCAGCTGGCGACTCAAGGAGGCGGAGCCTGCTGAATTCGACCAATTGCGAGGCAGCGGTCGCCCCGGCCCGAGAAGCCCGGATCGAAGCGCAGGGTGGCAGCCCCGGAGCCGGGGAATGTGAAGAGCTCTCGGCTGTGCAGTGGTACCGTCGGGGCCTGGGCCGCGAAGGATCTTCTGCCACAGCTGCAACATGGGCGGCAAGAACAAGAAACACAAGGCTCCAGCGGCCGCGGTGGTCCGGGCCGCCGTGTCTGCTTCCAGAGCCAAATCTGCCGAGGCTGGAATTGCCGGGGAGGCCCAAAGCAAGAAGCCAGTGTCCAGGCCGGCCACCGCTGCCGCTGCCGCTGCCGGCTCCAGGGAGCCCCGTGTCAAGCAAGGTACGAGAGGTCCCCCAGCCCCTGGCTGTCTGCCCTGAGACCTTGCTGCTTGTCCTGAGGAAAGGGCCTTAGAACCCGGGAGGAGCTTCGGGCCCAACATTTCTATTTCCCAACACTCGAGCTGCTACCTCCCCATGGGGTGGCCTTGTTTTAGATTAAAAAAGTCTAAGCTCTTTGGGCCTCCAAAATTCTGACAGTAGCCCTGTTGCAGCCTGGCATTTCTCTTTTAACTCACACTTCTCCCCCTTCTAAAAACAAAATAATTGCATTAGCTCCTGTTTCAGCAGGAATTCATCCTGAGCACCATCTCAGCTAGCTAGGCTAACGCAAAGACGAGTACTGAGTGGAGTTCCTGACCTCCTGGTGCCAGCCAGCCCCATTTTCTGTCAGTTTTTCATATCATTTTCAGCAACAATCTAGTGTCTCCATGCGTTCTGGAAAAATCAATACTTAATAAAAATTACAGGACTTACACACTGGTTACACACTGGTTACGTGTAATCTATTGTAAAATTGTCTGCCCTCGTTTCTGCCGCCATGCAGTTTTGCTTACTGTACAAATTGATTTGACAACTCAACTTATAGATGGCCGATTCCTGCTGCAGATGAGCAGGCCACATATTACGGTTGAGCTCAAAAGATGAACAATTACATTCTGTTGTGTTCTTCTCGGGTTGTTTGCTTGTACTTATTGGAGTATTCAAGAAATATTTGCTGAGCATTTATGTGTATATATGCAAATATTTAGTATGTGTCTGATAAGATGTGAGGAATGTGATGAGCAAAAAGAGACATCACCTCATGGAGCTTGCCAGTCTAATGTCAGAGATAGGTATTAACTAATAGGTAACGCACACAGACATATTTATAGCCTTATAATAGATAAGTGCCACAAAGAAAAGCCAGGGAAGACAGTTTAACAGGGTAATCTAATTTTTCTCGGGATGAGCAGGTATCATGGATGGTGTCTGGAAATGTAACAGTTAAGCTGAGATGAGGAGAATGAAAAAGGAGTTAACTCTGTGAAGCATGGCAGAAATTAGTATTCCAGGCGGGCGTAATGAACATCATGTGTAAAAAGTTTGAGTCAGGAAAGAGCTTGGGGCTCTTGAGGAATTCACAGAACATAAAGCATCGCCAAAGGATGAAATGAGATGAGACTGAAAAAGTAGGCAGGTACCAGACCTTTACCTAGAAGGTGGAAACAGTTCTTTGCCCTGCGATTTATTGTAGTGTTAGCTACAGAGTTAGCATACTTGTAATTACAAATACATAGAATTTCTCCCTGACAACTATGGCAGTTTTATTCTGTGGATCAGCCTCTTTTTTACTTTTCCTTTGTCTTTTACTGACATTCCTCTGAATTTGAACCGATAGTCATTTGTTGTATTCTTTGAATTCCCTTTCCTCCAGCCCCAAACTGTGACCCTTTCTCAAGGTGTCAATCCTTGACAGTATAGTTCACTCCTAAAGCCCTTCTAGGAGTGTTCATCTATTTCCATTACTTCTATCTTTTCCTTTGTAGATGGCCTCTCTTCCAAGCTCAAGTTGGCAATTTATACATTTTGCTGGATTCTCTGACCCTATTTTTTGCAAGCATCTCAAATTTAACAGGGCTAGTACTAAACCACTCTTCTTTCCCCAAACTAACTTTTTCTTCGACTTCCTTGTTTCTGTTTTTCCATATTTCACTTTGCATTTGTGTAGTTCACATCCTAGTCTTGGTACCTGTGAATTCCTGGAGTAGCAACGAAGTCTTTTAATAGGGCTCCACAGCTGTGCTCATTTTGCTTCCTCCAGTTGGTCTTGCATATCAACATCAGACTGATCTTCCAGAAATGCTGCTTTGGTCGTAACACTTCCTATTTTCTTCCATGGCATCCTCACTGACTTTGCAATAAAATCCAAATCATTTAGCTAGCTTCTAAAACCCTCTTTCTAACCTTTTAATAATTCCTCTATTCAACTATAGCAAGTCTGGTGTGTTTTCATTTCTCCAAATGGAGCTCTTAGCTTTCTCCTTCCTCGTATTTATTCTTGCCATGTTTTTCTTCATGGAGTGCAATCTGTCCCTAACATCATCTACCAAAACCTTAAAATACCCATTTCAGATAACAACTTCCTTTTGAATTCTTCCTGCTATTCACAACTGACGTATCATAGTTGTTTAAATCATTCTTTTTGATAGTTAGTTCTTGCCTTATGATATGTAAAGAATTATATGTTTTATATATCCAACAAAATTACAGGAGGTAGGAACAGTTTTATGGATATGTGTTAACATTTCCCCAGTATCTACTCTAGTGCTGTGCATATTGTCATGAAGAAAATTACTTGGATAACTGGTAAGGAAAGTTCAAAGGAATTATTAAGACCAAGAAATCAAGAGAAAAAAACTAGAGGTTATCTACTAAATTTGCACATAACTTTTGGGTTTATTTTAGGGTGCTTTTAATATATAGTATAACGTACAATAAACCTATTTTGGAGAAAAAAGTGGAAAAATGCTCAACTCTGTGTAGTTCCTAATGTAGATGTAATGGTTCTACTCTACTTCCGTCCCTCCTTATCTTTCCAATTTGACGGCACAGCTGGTCAAAATTGTCCTCTATCGTAGAGGTTCAGAATCACCAAATGGCTTGCACAACAAGTAATACCAGTCTTGTTTTTTTTTTAATTTCATTTGCTCATGAAAGAATTTCTGAAGAGGCCGAATAGGGAGGAGGGTGGGGAGAGGTTCAGTATTAAATAGGATGGTCAGGGAAGGAAGGCATCATATAAGAAGGTGGCTAGGCGCAGTGGCTCACGCTTGTAATCCCAGCACTTTGGGAGGCCGAGGCAGGCGGATCACGAGGTCAGGAGATTGAGACCACGGTGAAACCCCGTCTCTACTAAAAATATAAAAAATTAGCTGGGCATAGTGGCGAGCGCCTGTAGTCCCAGCTACTCGGAGAGGCTGAGGCAGGAGAATGGCGTGAACCCGGGAGGCGGAGCTTGCAGTGAGCTGAGATTGTGCCACTGCACTCCAGCCTGGGTGACAGCAAGACTCGGTCTCAAAAAAAAAAAAAAAAAAAAAAGTGACATTTGAGCAAGCAAAGGAGGCAGGTAAAGTAGTTACACAGATGACTGGGTAAAGAGTCTCCTGGGGAGAGGGAACAGAAAGGCCTTGAGATGCAAGCCTGGAGTGTTCTAGAAATAGCAAGACCTTTCCCCATCTTTCTTTTACTGTCCTTCTCTTTGCCTTTCTTTTCTTTTCTTTCTTCTTTCCATTCCTGTGCTTTAGAAGTGCCACTTCCTTAGCCTAAGTATAATTAAGCTGCTTTATCATGTTATGACTGAGACCAAAATAAGAGGTTCAGTAATTTAAGTTTTCTCTTCCAACCAAGAGGCTTGTGTTTCTGAAAATCCTTGAACCTAGTTGAGGCTTAAAATTTTAAGAGGGGAATAAGAATTGGGAATGGATGTCATAAATTTATGAAAGCCATTATAAATTTTTTTTT
The DNA here is from genome assembly GCF_000001405.40 of Homo sapiens. Taxonomy (NCBI): domain Eukaryota; kingdom Metazoa; phylum Chordata; class Mammalia; order Primates; family Hominidae; genus Homo; species Homo sapiens. The sequence goes on along the minus strand of NC_000005.10, from coordinate 55,303,886 downwards.
AGGGTCACTAAAATAGAAAAAGTGCTATGAGGAACAGAAAATAGTGACTTGGTAAACATTAAATGGAGAATGGAGGGTCTATTTTGGTTTGAAATAGGAATAGCTTCCCTTAGAAAACATTTAAACTGAGATGATCTGCAGAGTATTTGTGGCAGAGGGAAAAACAAGCCTAAAAACCCTAAGGTGGAAACAAGTTTGACATGTTGTAAGAAGATAGTGCTGTGTGGCTGGAGCGAAGAAAGAAAAAGTTAAAATGTGGCTGGAAGTCTGGGAAGGAGCCAGAGCAAGTTCAATGGGAAGTGGGGGCCGGTGTTGGTATTAAGTAGAGGAGAAACTTTAGCTGGTTTACATTTCAAAATAATTAGTCAGGCGGCCCTGGCAGTGTGTACTTCCTCACAGGCCTTAATTGCTCAGACTACATCAATTCACCCTCATCTATTTTCTTGGCACTCTGCACTTCCCCTTTATTACTCATCTGAGTATTAGTTGCTTACTAATTATATTACTGTTCCAGAATATAAGCTCCATGAGGACAGGCACTGGGTCTGTTTACCACCAGAGTCCCTGTTTGGGTCCCTTGCCTGATTAACCATTCTGCAGATGTACACACTGTCGATCAGAAGGGAATCAGAGTGCTAACAACTCAAAGTCAATGTCTTAGTCATAGTGGGTCATTAGCATTGCTTTTTCCTTTAAAATACAGTATAAAAAGAATATGTAGCAAAAGAAAAGATTATTGGGCAATAAGAAACTGATTCTGGTTGATTTTTTTTTTTTAATTAGCTGAGTCATTTTGAGGAAATCAGTTTGTCTGTGCTTCAACTTTAATGTAATAAATATTTTTGAGAGCCAGCTATATATGTTGCATCGTTCCATGACCTTTCATTTATAAATTTGGAATTCATAATACTTTGCCTTGGAGATATTGCATACTAACATCCTTACTTCCAGTCAGATTTCCAGTAACTTCCACCATCTTAAACACAAAACCAAAAATTGTAAAAGTCTCCAGGCAATAAGGAAAGTAGCTGTCATAAATCTTATGCACTTTACTTGGCAAAAGTGAACGTGGCCCAGTGAATGTTGAGCAGGATTCCTTGATTTCTCTGATCATTTTTCAGAAACTCAGCTCTTTTGTTTACCCTCTGGAAGTTTGCAGTATAAGCCAACTTCAAGGAAGTGATACAGTTGAAACTCTTAGGTGAAATGTTTGGAGGAGACAAATGAGAATTTTACTTTAATCTTTTCAACTGGGTAAATTAAAAACCAACCAGTTTTTTTTTTTTTTTTTTTTGATAGGGTCACTCTGTCGCCCAGTGGCTCACTACAATCTCTGCCTCCCAGGCTCAAGCAATCCTCCCATCTCAGCCTCCCAAGTAGCTGGGATTACAGGCACAAGCCACCACACCTAGCTAATATTTTGTATTTTTTGTAGAGATGGGGTTTCACCATGTTGCCCCGGCTGGCATTTTTAAAGGAATTTACAGTCTTACTCTTGTCAGTAGCATATGAACTTTGAACTGTTTCTCCATGTAGTCTTGGTAATGTACTGCTCATCTATCTGTAACTTTTTAAAAGGGTTATAGCTGGGGCCTCTTGATGTGTTTGGGGACCTCTAAAACTGCATGCTAAATTTGTGCACAAGCTTACTATAATTGATAAGACTCCCCAGAAATAGTTAAAGACTACTAAATATATACTCTCCTTTATGACCATTGACATGAATTTATAGGAGAGATTACTAGAATTAAGGTAAAGTTTGAGACTAGACGATAAGGAAACTAACAATACTATACCAGACTTGTTATTATCTTTTTACATATGCCATGTAGCTTTGGGTACCTCCGATATAACTATAGCATAGCAGTAATTGACAGAGAACCACAAATGTTTCTCTTTCAGACTGCCCAGATGTACAAGTTAATTTCAAGTAGTTATTCTCAAAAACTTTTGTTCTTTTAAAATATCTAATTATATTAGCTACCATCTTAAAATGAAGAACCTAATGTAACCCAGCAGAGAGCAAAGTCTTTGACTTTAAAATCATAAGAACATTTAATGTTTAAATGTCTCAAAGTAGAAAAAATACTTCTTATTTTAAGGTGTATAAAAACCATGCAACTAGATTTATGATTCTGGAATCATTCTTGTTTTTTTTTTTTTTTTTTTTTTTGAGATGGAGTTTCACTCTTGTTGCCCAGGCTGGAGTGCAATGGCGAAATCTCGGCTCACTGCAACCTCCGCCTTCTGAGTTCAAGCGATTCTCCTGCCTCAGCCTCCCGAGTAGCTGGGATTACAGGCATGCACCACCACGCCTGGCTAATTTTGTATTTTTAGTAGAGATGGGGTTTCTCCATGTTGGTCAGGCTGGTCTTGAACTCCTGACCTCAGGTGATCCACCTGCCTTGGCCTCCCAAAGTGTTGGGATTACAGGCGTGAGCCACCACGCCTGGCCTGGGATCATTCTTATACAGCAGTGTTTCTCAAAGTGTGCTCAGGAGGTCCTAAGGAACCTGAGACTTGTTTGCCAAGGGCTCCATGAAGTGAAAACTTTTCATAATAATTCTGAGATGTTTTTGCCATTTTTCACGCTCATTTTCTCATGATTATGCAGTGAGGTTGTCCAGTTGGCTACATGATGTGTAATGTTACGGCAGATTGAATGCAGAAGCTAGATGTTACGAACTGAATGTTTGTGTCCTCAAAAAATTAGTATGTTGAGACCCTTACCCCCAGTGTGGCTATATTTGGAGATAAGGGCTCTAAGGAAGTACATAAGGTTAAATGAGATCACAGGGATGGGGCCCTGATCCAACAGGATTAGTGTCCTTATAAAATGAGATACCCAAGAGAGCTCAGTTTCTCTGAGTAAGCACAGAGAAAAAAGCCATGTGAACATATAGCAAGATGATGGCCACCTACATGCCAAGAGAAGAGGCCTCAGAATGAAACCTCCCTTGCTGGTACCCTAATCTTGGACTTCCCAACCTCCAGAACTATGAGAAATAAATTTCTGATGGTGAAGCCATCCAGCAGTCTGTGGTATTTTGTTGTGGCAGTCTGAGCAGACTAAGATACCAGATATTAAAGAGATTTGCAAAAACGGATATTATTTTTTGTCTTGAAAAATATAGTCACATTTCATCTTAAGCATCATTTATATTAATGGAACAGGTTTATTTTTATTATTTTGTTGAGGTCCTTTTGTTTTTTTGAGACAGAGTCTCGCTCTGTCTCCCAGGCCAGAGTGCAGTGGTGCAGTCTCGGCTCACTGCAACCTCTGCCTCCTGGGTTAAAGCAGTTCTCCTGCCTCAGCTTCCCAAGTAGCTGGGATTACAGGCATGCATCACCAGGCCCAGCTAATTTTTGTATTTTTACTAGAAATGGGGTTTTGCCATATTGGCCAGGCTGGTCTCAAACTCCTGACCTCATGTGATCTGCCCGCCTCCGCGTCCCAAGTGCTGGGATTACAGGCATGAGCCACCACACCTGGCCTATTATTATTATTATTAGAGACAGGGTCTCACTCTGTTGCCCAGGCTGGAGTGCAGTGTTGCAGTCACAGCTCACTGTAGCTACTACTGCAGCCTTGAACTCCTGGGTTCAAGCAGTTTTCCTGCCTCAGCCTCTTGAGTACCTGGGACTTCAGACATGTGCTACCACAGCTGGATAATTTTTGTAGAGGCAAAGTCTCACTATATTGCCCAGACTGCTCTCAAACTCCTGGGCTCAAGAGATCCTCCTACCTCAGCCTCCCAAAGTGCTGGGATTACAGGCATGAGCCACTGCGCCTGGCCAGATTTATTATTTTTGGTGAATGAATGTTTTAAAATTTCCCTTTTAATTTATAATATACTAAGTATCAATAGACATAACCCACATAAACAAAAACTATTTGGATCCTCAGTAATTTTTAAGAGAGTAAGGGGTCATGAGACCAAAAGTTTGAAAATAATGTGTGTTGTTTCCTGGTTACTCATTGTTAAAGGACTGAGACTAGACAGCGTTTCTGTTCACTGGAACAGACTTGGCAACTGTAGTGGGTTGAGTGAGTAGTGTCCCCCCAAATATTCATGTCCACCTGGAACCTCAGAATGTGACCTTGTTTGGAAATAAGCTCTACAGATCTGTGGATCTTGAGATGAAATTATACTAGATTTAGGGTGATTCCTAAATCCAATAATGAATGTCAAGAGAAAGGAGAGGGACATTTGGACACAGAGAAAGGGAAGAAGGCCGTGTGAATGAGGAGGCAGAGACTGGTGTTATGCTGCCACCAGAAGCTGGAAGGGGGAAGGAACGATTCTTACCTAGAGCCTTCAGAGAGAGCATGGTCCTGCTCACACCATGATTTTGGAGTTCTAGCTTCCAGAATTGTGAGAGAATAAATTTCTGCTGTATTCAGCCATCAAGTTTGTGGTAATTTGTTATGGCAGCCCTAGGAAACTATAGCAACCCTGGACTTGAGTTCAAGGAGAAAAGATGATAGGAACTCCCACCTCCCTTTTCACTTAGCATACCACCTTCAAGAAAGAGTGCTTTCTCTTTAAAATTGTCCATCTACTCTGCCAACAATCATATCTTAGAAGTTTTGCCTCAGCTAAGTGCCAGGAGAAAAGCATCTGACTAAAAGATATGAGGATAAAGATAGATTTAACCTAAAAGATATGTAGGCATTTGCATTTTATGAGAAACTGGTTAACATGGAGTAATGCTAATTGGTAAAATGTTGAAAATTTAGAGAGGATATTGCTAGCTACTAGATTGAGTTATTTGGTGAAGTATTGGGGAAAAAAGCTGAAATCAAATATTTAATATTTAGCATTCTTTTTTTTTTTTTTTTTTTTTTTGAGACGGAGTCTCGCTCTGTCGCCCAGGCCGGACTGCGGACTGCAGTGGCGCAATCTCGGCTCACTGCAAGCTCCGCTTCCCGGGTTCACGCCATTCTCCTGCCTCAGCCTCCCGAGTAGCTGGGACTACAGGCGCCCGCCACCGCGCCCGGCTAATTTTTTGTATTTTTAGTAGAGACGGGGTTTCACCTTGTTAGCCAGGATGGTCTCGATCTCCTGACCTCATGATCCACCCGCCTCGGCCTCCCAAAGTGCTGGGATTACAGGCGTGAGCCACCGCGCCCGGCCTAATATTTAGCATTCTTTAGAGGAAAATTAAAATAATGTAATAGATATTAATCATTAAATTGCCTTGTCTATTTGTATTTACAGGTCCAAAAATTTATAGTTTTAATTCTACAAATGATTCTAGTGGTCCTGCAAATCTGGATAAATCTATTTTGAAAGTAAGTAACAAAGGTTTTGAGTCATTTCAAGAAATGTTTCCCCCTTTTTTCCCCCAAAAAAGATGTATCCTTAAATGTAAGAAAATGATGGGGTGTTTTAAATTTTTGTAAATAGTACTCTAAGAGCTAATCTCTACTAAAAATAAGTAAATCATACACATATGTTGAGAGACAGTAAGAAATGAAGGAAGGCCTGGTTAAGATCTAAACTTCTTAAGCATGGCATATACATTTTTTCAGGTCTGTCTTAGAATACCGTTTCACCCTCCTCTCTGCTACTCTGATCTCTACTTAATATTTTAGTTCATGGGACATCTCATGAATATCTCATTTGTTCTTCTAAATCCGTGATTTTACAACTTCTAGCTTTTACCCATGTACTCTCTGCGTAGAGTGCCCTTATTTCCCCTTTTTATTTGTCACCTCTGTGACCTCTATGAAGTCCTTTATCAACCGCCAAGTTGATTTTCTTGGTGGTTCTACTATTACTTGATATATCTTTTTTGAGAATTGCCATGCTGGGTTATAATTTGTCTCTTTATATATATTTTCTGGGCTAGACTGTGAATTTCTGAATTATATTTTTGTGCTTAGTTTATAGTAGGCATTTAGTTAAAAAGTAACAAAGGGAAGATATTTTTGTAAGTAGATGCTTGTGTACTCTTAGGTCAAAAATAACAAAAGAACAGAAAATAAAATGGCTAGTAGGAAAAAGTAGGAATCAAAGTCTAGAAGCCAAAAGAATTTGTGTAGCTTATTACGACATATTTAGTTTTCAGTTTTACTTGTTATACCCGTTTTTAGTATAGTGTTCATTCTTTTAGGTTGTGTGCTTGCAGTGGTTTACATTAAATCCCTCCAAGAATTCTGATTCAGTATGTTTGGGATAGAACTTAGGAATCTTTGTGACAGCAACCCAAGGGTGGTCCAAGGACAATGTCTCGTGACATTGCCCTCAAGAGGCTTTTTCTTGCCATGTGTTATCTTGTTGCTTTTTTCATATCACATTTTTTCTTAAAGAAATGATAGGAATGTGGTCAAATGGGTGGTAGTCCAAAAAATGATAATTACTGTATCTGATTTTAGCTGAAATTTTGGGCTTGGTTGGCAGGAATATAGAAAACTGTATGATTGGCTTTTAATTTTTTAATAATTTAGCTTCTAAATGATATGACCTTTTTGGCCTCAACAGGTGGTAATTAATAACAAACTAGAGCAAAGAATTATTGGAGTGATCAATGAGCATAAAAAGCAAAATAATGACAAAGGAATGATTTCTGGAAGACTTACTGCCAAAAAATTGCAGGTATTTTGCAAACTTTTTAAAGTTCCTTAGTTTTAGTGAAGCATTTTTAGACAGCTCCTCATGTGAGATAAAAATGGCTTTACAACTTCCATTGAGATTTTATGTAGATCATTTCCATCTCTAAGAATAGAGAAAGAATTGTGCACACCTTAAATCAAGAAGGTACAAGTGCACACATTAAAATGGTGATATGAAAATTAAGGTATATCCCCAGAATTATATTATTGAGCACCTACTATGTTAGATTCTGTGCTGGGCACTTTGTTTACATTTTCTCTGACACAACAGTCCTATGAAGTAAATGTATTTGGCCCCATTTTTTCAAGTGAAAGAATTGAGGCTTGCAAAGATGCCATAAATTATACCCTAAGGTTACTAGTAAACAGGGTCTGGATTTGAACCCAGCTCTGCCTAACCATAATGATTATGCTTTAGAAAGTATGTTAAAATGCTTTATCTTTATCTATAAAGATGTTCACTGAAGCACAGCTTGTAATAAAAAAAAAATATGTCCTAAGTGTTCAGCCATAGAAAAATATAAAATTAAATCAGGATATGTCCACCCAGTGGAATATTATGTAACTATTCAAAGTGATGGTGCAGAGTTTCTACTAACTTGGGAAGGTGCTTATGTTATAATGTTAAGTGAAATCTCTTTTTACAAAATTATGGAAAAATGACTGAAAAAAATGTACTACATTTAGTATCTTTGGATAGTGAGAATATGGATAATTTCTCCTGGTTCTCTTTTTTAAAGATCTCTGGTTTCCAAATTCTTAATTCAGTAAACACATTTCATTTTTAACTGGGAAAAAAAAGATAGTTTTGAAATTATAATTTGTGTCAAAGTTTCTGGTTTAAAATGAATGGGATAATTAGTAACACAGGAAGGGAACTTTGACAAATGTGACTTTTTTTATATTTGCTTGTCATAGGATTTATACATGGCTTTACAAGCATTTTCATTTAAGACAAAGGACATTGAAGATGCCATGACCAATACACTCTTATATGGAGGTGACCTTCATTCTGCCTTGGATTGGCTCTGTTTAAACCTTTCAGATGGTAAACAATATCATTAAATTCTTTCAGTTTCTAAACCTTTTGAAGTAGTTTTGGTATTTGTATCAACCTTTTGGCTCATACTCATATTTTTTCACTGTCATAATTATTTACTTTTAAAGTGTTCTTACCTTCTGTTCTTTTCAGGATATTTTCCTTAGAGATTGTGGCCTATGCAAGAAAATATTATGTTTTGTGTTCAGTTGTTGATTGTTATTTTGCTATGTCCTTAATACAAGGTTTGCCTCTCAGTAAGCTATGTCTCCTGGCTTTTCATTTAGAAATTAGGACTGTCCTTGAATATATAGTATTTTATTAAGCAGAGGATCATGATTGTAATCTTTGGCAAGAATCTGGAGTGCAAATGGCTTGTGGTGACTAAGGATACTACCACATGCTGTGACAGAAAGCCAAAGAGTGGGAAGGATTAAGATCTTATGACAATTTAGGAGCCTAACATTGAGGGTGAAATAATGGCCAAATACAAGAGGGCTAGCTATCATCTGATGAGTACGTTCACTTCTAGGTTGACGGATAAAACCAGGTTCATCTTAAGATTTCTATTCTTAGGAGATGAGGGAATAGAAGAAAATTAGGTGCTCTAAGTCTAGGCAAGGTTTACAAATGCTTAACAAATATTTGTGTGTTTTATGTATCATATGCCTGTTTATTTTCAGCATAGTTTCTTTTATTTTAAGATGCACTTCCTGAAGGATTCAGTCAGGAATTTGAAGAGCAGCAACCTAAAAGTAGGCCTAAATTTCAGTCTCCTCAAATACAAGCCACTATTTCACCTCCATTGCAACCTAAAACAAAAACATATGAAGAGGACCCTAAGAGTAAGGTAATTTGAGAATTAAGCATTTAAAGTTGTATAAAATCAGAATGGAGCACATGTAACAGTTCAAAGAGTATAAATATTAGGTTTCTATAACATTTTTACTTCTTACAAATAACTAATTGGTTTGCTAGACTTTTCTATCATTGCTTGTTTTAGTTATATAACAAACCACTCCAAAATGTAGTGGCTTAAACCAACTATTATTTCTCATGATTCTGCAGTCTGTGCTGGGCTCAGCAAGGTGTTTCTTCGGTTCCAGGAAGTATCTTCCAAGGCTGGAACATCCAAAGTGGCTTCTTCACTCCCATGACTAAGCTGGAGACTAGCCAGGCATCCCTCTGTTTACATGTTTTTTCCACATGACTAGCTTGGGTTTCCTCACATATAGTGGTCTTAGGGTGGCTGGACTTCTTATTGCATCTGGCTTCCAAGAATATTTTAAGATGATAAGCCAAAATGTACAAATTCTTATCAAACTCCTGCTTTATTATTCTTGCTAATGTCCCATTGACTGAAGTAAGTCACATGACCAAGCCCAGAGTCTGTGGAAGAAAATTACAGATGAGTGTGAATAATGGGACTGTAATTCATTAGGGCATTACACTTAAATACTCTGCATATTGTAAAACGTCTACGAAAAAATAATCCTCATAAAACCACTGTTTTTAAGGAATAACACTAGTTTTTTTGTTGTTGTTTTTTTGAGACAGAGTCTTGCTCTGTTGCCCAGGCTGGAGTGAATGGCACTGCACTCACTCGGCTCACTGCAAGCTCCGCCTCCTGGCTTCACGCCATTCTCCTGCCTCAGCCTCCCGAGTAGCTGGGACTACAGGCACCCTCCACCACGCATGGCTAATTTTTTTGTATTTTTAGTAGAGATGGGGTTTCACCGTGTTAGCCAGGATAGTCTCTATCTCCTGACCTTGTGATCCGCCCGCTTTGGCCTCCCGAAGTGCTGGGATTACAAGCGTGAGCCACCGCACCCAGCCAACACTAGTTTTTAACAGTTCTCCTTTCATTCTTTTTTACCGCTTTATGTAAACATATTCTTTGGATTTTGCAATTGTAAATTTCTTAATGTTAAGGTCAATTTATTTGTCCTTCACTGAGCAATAAGGAATAACAGCTTATATGTCTGCTGCTTTTGAGTGTGAGGAAATTGTAAAAGCAGTGACAAGATAGTTTTGACACCTTTTTCTAACTTTGGTTTTTCAGATATTTGTTTTCTCTTTCTAGCCAAAAAAGGAAGAAAAAAATATGGAAGTAAATATGAAAGAGTGGATTTTACGATATGCTGAACAACAAAATGAAGAAGAAAAGAATGAGAATTCTAAAAGTTTAGAAGAGGAGGAAAAATTTGACCCTGTGAGTAGAAATTTGTGTTAGGCTTCTAACTGGATGCTCTTAAGCAAGATATATTTCCTTTTCTGAGCCTTAGTTTGCTCATTTGTAAATTGGAAATGTACCTCCAAGGGGTTGATGTGAAGATTAAATAAAATAACACTTAGGCAAAAACTTAGCAGAAAGTTAACTGCTCAAAAGATGTTAATTAACATTTCTCATATTTAAAGAGATAATCATCAAATATTTTAAAATGATTTTTATGAGTAAGGAGTATGCTAAATTCTTTAGGTAATAAAAAAAGATAAGGCACGTTCCTTTACAGAAGTTCACGGTCTAGAGAGAAAAACATAGACATCATATGGTAAGATAGAAATATAAGGCAGAAAATATACTAAGTCAAAAAAGCAAGGTATGGGAAATACTGTAATACATATATCTGACAAAGGACTTCTATACATAATTATATAAAGAACCTTTAAAAATAGACACCTCACAAAAGTAGATTAAATTAGAGAAATGAAAATGAAAACTTAAATGAGATACACTATATATCCATCAGAATGGCTAAAACTAAAAGGATCAGTAATACTAAATGTTGGGAGGAATGTGGAACAACTGGAATACTCATATTGCTAATGGGAGTGTAAAGCTAATGGAAATGTAAAATGGTACAGCCACTTAGGAAAACTGGTCCTTTCTCATAAAAGTTAAACAAATACTTGTCATGTGACCCAACAATTTTATTTCTAGGTATTAAGAAAAATTAAAACATTTGTTCACAAAGACTTGTACACAAATGTTCATAGCAGCTTTATTTATATTAGGCAAACACTGCAAACAGCCCATATGTCTGTCAACAAGCAAATGGTAGAAGTTGTAGAACAGCATGTGTAATCTGATGAATTCATTTGTGTAAAAGAATATATATAGCTACGTATTTGCTTTTTTACATAAGCAAAGAAAACATCTGGAAAGAGACACAAGAAGCTGTTACTGGTGATTAGGACCAGGGTGGTAGGGTGGGATGGAGAATTCTTTTTTATATTCTTCTGTATATCCAAGTTTTTTTAAACCATGTTTCTGTATTAAACTAATATAAGTAAAATATTTAGGGCAGTATAAGTCTACTTTGAGATTTGGAGAAAGAAGAGGTCTCTTCTGATTGGAGCATTAAGTCAAGACTTCAAAGAGATGGGACCTAAAGGATGCACAGAGTTCAGACAGGCAAAGAAAGATGGGAAGATGGTCCACATGTGTGAAATAGTGTGAACAAGGGTACAGCTGTGGAATTGTACAAGGAGTCTTTCAGTAGTAAAAAATGGATGAGCATATATAGAGATAAGATGTATAGATGAGTACTGGTAGATAGGAGTAAACAGGTGAGTTCACCTGAGACTGGAAGATTTTGATGTCCAGAAGGTGATTTTGACACTTTTCCTTGACAGTAAAGAGCCACTACAGATTTAGGGGCAGGTAACTGACAAGAATTTTTAGGTCAAGCTTAGTAGCATTCGAGGTGGTTTGGAATATTGAGTGATGTTTAGAGCAATTTGGAAAGGGTAGGGAGGCCATTATGGTAGCTATTGCACTTGCTCAGGTGTGAGATAATAAAGGTTCATATCGGTAATTGGAAAGGAAGAGAGACATTTGTAAAGCAAGAATCAGTAGAAATTGGTGATTTACGGAATATAAAGGCTAAGGAAGATTTCTTCAGAGAAGATACACAAATCACCAGTAAGTGTATGAAGAAATGCTCAACATTACTAATCATTAGGGAAATGCAAATCAAAACCACAATGGCATACCATTTCACACCCGTTAGGATGTCAGCTGTCAAAAAAAACTGGAAATAATAAATGTTGACAGGGATGTAGAGAAATTGGAACCCTGTGTACTGTTGGTGGGAATGTAAAATGGTGCAGCCACTGTGGAAAACAGTTTGGTAGTTCCTCAAAAAATTAAAAATTGAATTACCATATGATCCAGTAATTCCATTTCTGGGTATATACTCAAAAGAATTGAAAGCAGAGTCTTGGAGGAGATATTTGTACACTGTGTTCATAGCAGCATTATTCACAATAGCTAAAACGTGGAAGCAATCCAGTACCTACCAATAAGATGAATGAATAGGTAAAATGTGGCATGCACATCAAACTGAATAGTATTCAGCCTTAAAAAAGAAGGAAGTTCTGGTACATGCTACAACACGGATGGACCTCGACCGACATTATGCTAAGTGAAATATGCCAATCACAAAAAGACAGATACCATATGATTTCACTTATATGAGGTTCCTAAGTCAAATTCATAGAGACAAAGTAGAATGGTGGTTGCCAGGGGCTAGTGGGGGATGGGAGAATGGGTAGTTATGCTTAATGGGAATAGAGTTTCATGTTTGCCAGATAAAAAGCGTTCTGGAAATGGATGGTGGTGCTGGTTGTACAACATTATGAATGTATTTAATACCACTGAACTGTACACTTAAAAATGGTTAAGATGACAAATTTTATGGGGGAAAAATGTGCCAAAGATGGCAAGAGGTGCATAAGTGGAGGGATGGTGGTATCATTGCCAAGTACAGGAAAGATGGAAAGGATAAGTATTATTTGGGTGAATTTGAGGTGGTAGCTAACCCTCCTGTCTGTTACACTGTATTGATATTTGTCTTTACACAAAATGGTACCAAAATTCGGCTAGATATGCTTGCTTAATTGTCTCTTTTTCCTTCTTTTAACAGTTGTGTTTCCTTCTGCAGTCCATAGTTTTATGCTTCTAATCTGCTGTCACTTATTAACCTAAGGGGGAGAAAAACAGTAATTTGAGTTTAACTTTAAACTCTTCCTAGTTTTTGCTCAGGAGTCAAGTCATGTCCTTGAGGGTTATGACATCCGTTTTCCTCAAAAGCCATTTTTTTCCTGTCTTCCATAAGATAAGAGATATGTGAAGTTAACTTTCAGATGAGTATTATTATTACTGCATGAATAATCCTTTAAATACACATACTTATGAAACAATTTTTTTTTGAGACAGAGTCTTGCTTTGTCACCCAGGCTGGAGTGCAGTGGTACGATCTCAGCTCACTGCAGCCTCTGCCTCCCAGGTTCCAGTGATTCTCCTGCCTCAGCCTTCTGGGTAGCTGGGATTATAGGCATCCACCCCCACACCCAGCTAATTTTTGTATTTTTGGTAGAGACGGGGTTTTACCATGTTGGCCAGGCTGGTCTCGAACTCCTGACCTCAGGTGATCTGCCCACCTTGGCCTCCCAAAGTGCTGGGATTATAGGCGTGAGCCACCACACCTGGCTGAAACAGTTTTTATAGAAATGAGCTCTACTTTTTATTCTGCAGTTTGCTTTGGTTTACTAACATGTCAAGGAAGTTTCTCCATGTGGGTCACCCTCTTTCTTTTGCTAACCTTATTTTATTTTCTAATGACTGAATAGTCTTCTCTGTAGAGATGTGTCATATATGATTTCCAGTTTTTCTTTTACAGTCAGTGCCTCACCAAACATCTATGCACCTGCAAATCTGTGCATTTGTTTTATTTCTCTATGAAAAATTCCTAAAAGTAGATTTGCTGGATCAAAGGATAAGGTAAAAATATCACAGATTTTGATACAGTTTATTGACCATAGATAAACTAATCTTGCTCTTCTTTTTTTTTCCCCCTCCTCATTGTTTTATTTGGAACAGAATGAAAGGTACTTACATCTTGCAGCAAAACTGCTGGATGCAAAAGAACAAGCAGCTACCTTTAAACTAGAAAAAAACAAGCAAGGCCAAAAAGAGGCTCAGGAAAAAATAAGGAAATTTCAAAGAGGTAAACACTTTCAAATACTTAGATGTATAAATGTAATTGTCTTCTATTTGTTGGCCTTCCTGGGATGGATGATGCTTCCTTTTAATATGTCTACCCTTTTCTAACAGTTTATACATGGGATTAGCAAACTTTTAAAATAATAAGTAGTAAATACTGTGGACTTCATGGGCCATACAGCCTCTGTTACAACTATTCAAATTTGCTGTTACAGCACAAAAGCAGCCATAGACCATACAAAAATGAATGGCTATGTTCTAATCAGACTTTATTTATGGATACTGTAAATTTCAGATAATTGTATCATGTCACCAAATGTTCTTATAACTACTTGAAAATGTAAATACCATTCTAGCTTGCAAGCCATACAGAAACAGCCAGTGGACTTGATTTGGCCTACAAGACATAGTTTGCCAACCTATGATTTTTATACCATAAAATATCGTGGTCATTCAAGAGAGAAAGGTGAATACAATTCCATGAGTATTTATTTTAATGAAGATGTTTGTTTTTCCAGGCTTATTGCACCTATTAAATAATTTATTTTAAAATTTTTGTATATGTTGTGAAAATTAATAAATTGCCTCTGATTCCTGCACAGATTCCTAACAGGAATTATTAAATAATTGGCTACAAGGAAAAAGAAGGAATGCAGTTTTTTTTAATCATTTTAAAAAATAAGGCATGAAAACCATGAAACTCTTGGTGTATAAATACCAAAAAAGTAAATAAATAAAAAATAACAATTTTTTTAAAACCATGAAACTAAACATTATATTTTTTTCTTGGTAGAAATGGAAACTTTAGAAGACCATCCAGTATTTAACCCAGCCATGAAGATTTCACATCAACAAAATGAAAGGAAAAAGCCTCCTGTAGCCACAGAAGGAGAAAGTGCATTGAATTTTAATTTATTTGAAAAATCTGCAGCTGCTACTGAAGAAGAGAAAGGTAAAATTAAGGGAAGATGGTCAGGGTGTAATTTGTAAATAATAAAATGTCAAGAAATATATAATGGTAAAATTCGTTACTTTGCATTCTGGCAAAGTACGTAAGATGGCAGTGAAGTTACACTTTATAAGCTGTCTTGAAAAAGTATTAACAATTATGATTACACATGTACAGCATTTTGTAATTACAAATAAATATCTTGCCTCAGTCTCATCTCTCTCTGATTCATCTCCAGACTGCTGCCAGAGTTATCTTTCTATAATACAGATCTAAATGTGAGTTTCCTGCCACCTTTAATGGCTGTGAGCCTACTGACATCAGTAACAAGTCCAAATCTTTTAGCATGGCATTCTGGATCTTTTGCATTCTGCCACAATCTACCTTTCTACCTTATTTCATTGGCTTATTACTCCAGCCACCTTACTCTTGAAAACGTTGGCTGTTTTATGGTTTCATTACTTCGCTCATCTTGCTACCCCCTACTTGGCCAACCTGTTCCCAGCTCAAGGCTTAATGCAAACAGCTCCTCTTCCCTAAGCCCTCCCTAACTCCTTCCATACCACCAGACAAGTAATCATGTACTTCTTTGTGCTCCCAAGTTAATTATTTTTTTAAAAAATTTTTGAGTTAATTATTGATATAGCAAGTACAGTATTTATCAGATTGCATTTTAGTTTTGAGAAGACCATTCACTATAGGATCAAATAATATTTTAGTGTTAATCATAATACTATAATTTGCATTATAGTTTTTAGAAGACCAGACTGAATGGTCTTCTAAAAACTATGGAAGTGTTTTAGTTATTTTTTTAAAATAATAGTATATAGTAAATAGTATAGTATTATGTACTATAGTTTAATAGTATACTATTTACTAATAGTAAATAGTATAACATATAGTATTTATCACATTGCATTATAGGTTTTAGAAGACCATCAAGCATAGTATTTGTCAGATAATATTTATAGTATTTATCATAATACTATAATTTGCATTATAGCTTTTTTGTTGTTGTTTTTTGTTTTTGAGATGGAGTTTCACTCTTGTTGCCCAGGCTGGAGTGCAATGGCATTATCTCAGCTCACTGCAACCTCCATCTCCCGGGTTCAAGTGATCCTCCTGCCTCAGCCTCCCAAGTAGCTGGGATTACAGGCATGCACCCCCATGCCCGGCTAGTTTTTGTATTTTTAGTAGAGATGGGGTTTCGCCATGTTGACCAGGCTAGTCTTGAAGTCCTGACCTCAGGTGATCTGCCCACCTTGGCCTCTGGGGATTACAGGCGTGAGCCACTGTGCCCAGCCTTTTTCTTTCTTTCTTTTTTTTTTTTTTTTCTTTTTTTCCAGCTCAGGCTGGAGTGCAGTAGCACAATCTCGGTTCACTGCAACCTCCACCTCCTGGATTCAAGCAATTCTCCTGCCTCAGGCTCCCCAGTAGCTGGGATTACAGGCGTGTGCCACCACGCCTGGCTAATTTTTGTATTTTTAGTAGAGATGGGGTTTTGCCATGTTGGCCATGCTGGTCTCAAACTCCTGACTTCGGGTGATCTGCCCTCCTTGGCCTCCCAAAGTGCTGGGATTACAGGCATGAGCCACCGCATCTGGCCACACATTATAGTTTTTAGAAGACAAGACTGGATGGTCTTCTAAAAACTGTAGAAGTTTTTTAGTTAATTGTTTTTTTAAAAAAAAATTCTGAGTTAATTATTGATATAGCAAGTATAGTATTTATCAGATTGCATTATAGTTAGTTTAGTCCCACACTAAATTGTCAGTTTTTTAAATTATTCATTCTTTCAGTAGTATTTATTGTTTTTGTGGGGGATTTTTTTTGAGACAGACCTTCACTCTGTCACCCAGGCTGGAGAACAGTGGCACGATCTTGGCTCACTGCAACCTCAGCCTCCCAGGTTCAAGCGATTCTCCTGCTTCAGTCTCCCAAGTAGCCGGGATTACAGGTGCATGCCTGCATGCCCGGCTAATTTTTGTATTTTTAGTAGAGACGGGGTTTCACCACGTTGGCCAGGCTGGTCTTGAACTCCTGACCTCAGGTGATCCACCCACCTCGGCTCCCAGAGTGTTGGGATTACCGGTGTGACCCACCATGCCTGGCCTCAGTAGTATTTATTGTGTGTTCAGTAATGAACAAAATAACCTAGTCTCTGCCTTTTCCAAGTGTACAGTAGAAAAGGTAAGCTTCAAATATATACAATACGTAATTACAAATTATGATGTGTACTATCAAAGGAAGTAGCTTCTAATATAGATAACAAAGGGGTCTAATTTGGATTGGGAAGACCTTGCTGTAATGACATTTACTCTGAGATTTGACAGATGTTTAGGTGTTAGCCTGGTGACAAGTTGGTGGAACAGTCCTTCCAAGAAGGAGAGGGTACATTGGAATATCTAAGGTAAAAAAGAAAGCAGCACTATTCAACAGAATTTTCAATGATGGAAATGTTCTATATCTGTACTATCCAGTGTCATAGCTGCTAGCCAAATATGAGTAAGAAGCATTTGAAATGTAACTAAGAAACTGAATAATTTACATTTAACCACATGTGGCTATGTCTGCTGTTCTGAGACAGGCATACTTAGAGCATTGAAGAATTGACTGATGGCCATTGTGGTTATAGCATAATAAGCAAGAGGGAAGAGTGGCAACAAATAGGCAAAGAATAGTAAGGAATTTGGACTT
Source organism: Homo sapiens (assembly GCF_000001405.40). NCBI lineage: Eukaryota > Metazoa > Chordata > Mammalia > Primates > Hominidae > Homo > Homo sapiens. The sequence continues at coordinate 55,286,575 of NC_000005.10, read as the reverse complement.
TATCTGTAACAGGAAGCTGTTGAGGGTAGTGCTGGTGCCGGTGGCAGACAGCTGATAAACCTAGAAATGACATCTGATTTCTATTTTCTTAATGGTTTAACTACAGAGTAGCCTTCCAAATGTTGCAATTTGTAGTATCCTAAGTTCATCACATGCATAGTGTCATATTTTACAAGAATACATAAGTTCCTCAAGATAATTATTTTTAAAGATTGAGAATTTTCCCGGGTTCTATCCATTAAGAGGATTTCCTTATGTCACATAGAAGAAAATCAAGCTTTTCTATTTGCCCTTTCTTCACCTGTTCTTTTTTTTTTTTTTTGAGACGGAGTGTCGCTCTGTCACCCAGGCTGTAGTGCAGTGGTGCAATCTTGGCTCACTGCAAGCTCTGCCACCCAGGTTCACGTCATTCTCCTGCCTCAGCCTCCCGAGTAGCTGGGACTACAGGCGCCCGCCACCACGCCGAATAATTTTTTTGTACTTTTAGTAGAGACGAGGTTTCACTGTGTTAGCCAGGATGGTCTCGATCTCCTGACTTCGTGATCTACCCGCCTCGGCCTCCCAAAGTGCTGGGATTACAGGCATGAGCCACTGCACCTGGCCTCAAGTATTATCTTCTAAAAGTGCTGTTCTCCAAAGCAAGAGAGGACTTTGATCACTGAAAAGAGAATGCTTGACCATTTTTAAAGAACCAATCTTTGTTTACCATTTTAGATAAAAAGAAAGAACCTCATGATGTAAGAAATTTTGACTATACTGCTCGAAGTTGGACTGGAAAATCTCCCAAACAATTTCTGATTGATTGGGTCAGGAAGAATCTTCCCAAGAGTCCAAATCCTTCCTTTGAAAAAGTTCCAGTAGGTAGATACTGGAAATGTAGGTATGTTTTTTGTTGTTGTTGTTTTTAATTAACTGAATGAACTTTAGAAAAATTTAAGGTGGAAATCTTTTTGTTCCCTGTGAGGTAAGCAGACATTTAGGAAGCTCTCAATTCTACATCTCAGGTTTATTGTCTGATAGATTATCATTATCTAATAATGCCTTCCATGGAAATATTTAAATAATTAACAAACTTGAGTTTAATGTTAATGGAATTCTGAGTTTTTTTTATCTGACTTTGTCAACTTTATTTTTTTAAAATGCGTTTGCTTCTTTGTAGGGTTAGGGTAATCAAGTCTGAAGATGATGTCCTGGTAGTATGCCCTACAATCTTAACAGAAGATGGCATGCAAGCTCAGCACCTGGGAGCTACTTTAGCCCTTTACCGTTTAGTTAAAGGGCAGGTAAGACTTTTTAGGCCTAACTATATCTGTATGTGGAAGGCAGTATTTAATTATGGTTCAATTTTCTCTTTATTGACTGTTTCTTCTGATTAATCCTTTCTCATTATTCCTAATTTGGCTTCCTTTCAACCCTAAACATAGTTTGATCTTTCGTTCCTCTTAGGCCAGAAGTCTGAAAGAGAGAGTATGATGATCCGACTTTTGGAGCTATGCTAATTTAGCTATGCTAAAAACAGTTGTTAGTGTGGTTGAATTAAGGAGAATTTTTGTTTTGAGACAGCATCTTGTTATGTTGCCCAGGCTGGAGTGTGGTGGCAGAGTCATAGCTCACTGAAGCCTCAAGTGATCCTCCTGCCTCAGCCTCCCGAATAGCTGGGACTACAGGCATGTGCCACCACATCCAGCTAATTTTTTTTAAAAAAGTTGTATAGAGACAGGGTCTCACTATATTTCCCAGGCTGAAAATTTTTTAAGTTTGTTTTCCTTTAATGTTATATTGTCTCGCTCAACTTAAAAAAATTATGTAGACATTGCTTCCATTTTTCAATTTTAGGTTATATTAACAATACACTTCCAGTTTCAGGAAAGATTAAAATAAAGTGCTACTGAAGGAAGCTCTTTAAGAGAACATAATGCTCTTTTTTAAAATTTTGGATTGTCAGTGTTTCCTTTTTACAGTAAATGTGTTTCTTTCTTCGTAGGAAATTAGAACCATTGAAAATTTTAGACACTGATTAAGTGGAACTCTGGACAGTAGTTCTTTTCCTATTTCTGCCAGTAAAAGTTCTTAATGTCTTTATTTCCCTTATTTTGCAAAATAAGGCACTATGAACTATTTGCTTGATAAAAATGGCTATCAATGTCAGAGAGAGAATTGTGGATTCTTTATAGCACAGAATTGAGATAACTTAGATTCTATCCAGTATAGTTAATTTAAAATACTTTAACCTGTAACATTATACAACTGCCAGAATCTCAAAAGAACTGCTTTGTGGTTCATTAACATTTTATATAGTGCCACTGCAGGAATAAGTAATAGACATTTGTTCAGTAGTTCAACATATTCCGAGAATAAGCACCTCACATATCTTAACCTCAGAATATGCCTATAAGGGAGGTACAATTACTAGCTCCATTTTAAAAATGCAGAAGCTGAGACACATAGAGATTAAGTGAATTGCCCAAGGTTACACAGCTAGTCAGTCAAGAAGCCTGAATATGATGTGCTGTTTTTGAATTTGCATCATACACATACATATATTAAAGTAATAATAATTTGAGTCAAATTATATTTTAAGATGAATATAGCTATCAAGTGCTAATCAATTGAATTTGCATCATACACATACATATATTAAAGTAATAATAATTTGAGTCAAATTATATTTTAAGATGAATATAGCTATCCTTTTAAGTGCTAATCTATTGAATTTCCATATTGAATAGTTAGTGAAAATAACATACCTCTGTTTTTCCTTTAGTCAGTTCATCAGTTACTTCCTCCCACTTACCGAGATGTTTGGCTGGAGTGGAGTGATGCAGAAAAGAAAAGGGAAGAATTAAATAAAATGGAAACCAATAAACCACGTGATCTTTTTATTGCCAAACTTCTGAATAAACTGAAACAGCAGCAACAGCAGCAACAACAGCATTCTGAAAATAAGAGAGAAAACTCTGAAGATCCCGAGGAATCTTGGGAAAATTTAGTTTCGGATGAGGATTTTTCTGCACTGTCCTTGGAATCAGCAAATGTGGAAGATTTGGAACCTGTTAGAAACCTCTTTAGAAAGTTGCAAAGCACACCTAAGTATCAGAAACTTCTAAAGGAAAGACAACAGCTACCTGTATTTAAACATCGGGACTCAATTGTTGAAACTCTTAAAAGGCATCGGGTAGTGGTTGTGGCAGGTGAAACAGGGAGTGGTAAAAGTACTCAGGTACCACATTTTCTATTGGAAGATTTGCTTCTAAATGAGTGGGAAGCAAGTAAATGTAACATTGTCTGTACCCAACCCCGAAGAATCTCAGCAGTTAGTTTAGCCAACAGAGTATGTGATGAATTGGGCTGTGAAAATGGACCTGGAGGAAGGGTAAGCTGTCATTCAACTCCACCTCAGTGAATGATGGTGACATTACTCACCTTTGCTTTTGTGATCCAAATGGAATGTGTACCATATGTGAGTTTTCACTGCTATTGGTTGATCAGTAGCACATTTCAGGCACTTTTCACATTTTCTTTGATAGATGTGATAGTATGCCACTGTCCTATGAGAAGGATTATCAGTAGAGTTCTGTCATTAAAATTCTCATATAAAAGAAAAAATATATTAACTATAATAATTGAATATTCAAATATGTTACACACTAAATTGAACAGCCAAAGAATGTGGACAAACTCAAATTCTACTAAAATATATCTCAAGTTTTTGCAAACCTTTTCTGTGGAATATATTCCTGAATGATTTTCATTAATTCTTTTCAGTGAGCAGAAGGGAAAAACAGTATAAATTAAAATGTTAGTATTTTCCAACCCCATATTTAAAAAAAAAATGAGAAAAATACTTAAATATCTATTGTCATGCATTTTGCCATGCAAGTATATGCAAAACTGGCCAAACCTTAACCAGAGTGACGGCAAAGTATAGGAATTAGTTTAATTAATTAAACTAGTTAGAACCAAATATGACAAATTGCAAGTTCATGTAATTCTGATTATTTATACTTTGAATTGTTCTTTCTGGAGATGGCATATTATATTTTTATCTCTAAACTGGGTACCCCTTCATTAAAAGTTTTCTATTTAGCAAATTGTCTGGGTTTCTGTCATGGAATAGAGGAGGAAAAAAAAGGCACGGTTTCTGCTGTTAGAGAATGACAGACATATACACAAATAAGACAACGGAATGACTGAAGGAGTAAGAAAGAAAATGTGATGGGGAATGTTACATTAAAATTCCGCTAGGCACTCCTAGTATGATACTAGCTGCTTTTTAATGGTGGCAAATTTTATGAGATCTTGATAGAAAAGTAGACCAAATTATAGAAGCTGCTTAAAATTCCATTCCTGAGTACCTCAATATTTTGCTCCATGATTATTTAGGAAGAAATTAATTCAACATTTATTAATGTTTTAATAATCATATTAATGGTATTTAAAGAAAGTGAACAGTTTTTTTCTCAACATCTTGAAAAGAACAAAAATTTTGGGGCTGGGTGTGGTGGCTCACGCCTATAATCCTAGCACTTTGGGAGGCTGAGGCGGGGGGATCACCTGAGGTCAGGAGTTCGAGGCCAGCCTGGCCAACATGGTGAAACCTCATCTCTACTAAAAATACAAAAATTAGCTGGGTGTAGTGGCATGCCCTTGTAATCCCAGCTATGTGGGAGGCTGAGACAAGAGAATCGCTTGAACCCAAGAGGTGGAAGTTGCAGTGAGCTGAGATTGCACCACTGCACTCCAGCCTGGGCAATAAGAATGAAACTCCGTCTCAAAAAAAAAAAAAAAAAGTTTTTCTGTTCAAATTTGCCAAAATATGAAATATATTTTATAGCTTTATATAGTTGAAGACCATGGGAAAATGCTTTTAATAATAAATTGCACTAAATAGATTTGCTAATATTTGTTAATAAACTAATAATTACTAATATAATAAATTGTACTAGATTACTTACAATGCTCCATTTAACAGCAAGATCAGCACCTCTGCTTCACTTTTTAAAGCTTGTTTCCCATATTACTCATGAGAATCTAATCAAGGCCTTATGTTCTCCCTTTAGAATTCCTTGTGTGGATATCAGATCCGGATGGAATCTCGAGCTTGTGAATCTACCAGGTTACTCTATTGTACAACAGGGGTTTTGCTAAGGAAACTTCAAGAAGATGGTCTTCTAAGTAATGTGTCTCATGTTATTGTAGATGAGGTGAGTGGATTCTATAGTTGTATTCAAAAATTTGAAATATTTTTGTATTAAAAAGATGTTACTCCTAATACTAGATAACATTTTCTTTATGCTTACTAAATTATTATATACCTTATATATAATAATTTCTTGTAACAAATGTATCTCCTGTTAGTTGGTTTCATAAATACTATATAATATTTGCTATATGCTTTTCTATTCAAGGGGATATATATTTGTGTGTGTGTATATATATAGCGTGTGTGTGTGTGTGTACATATATATATTGCTATTCAAAGGGTTATATATAGCGTGTGTGTGTGTGTGTGTATATACATATAGCATGTGTGTGTGTGTGTATACATATATATACATGTATAAAAATCATCAGGCTGTAGAAACTGCACTGTTTGGGGAGTCAGGTCTTTGTGGGGTCCTTCATACCAGCTGGCATCAGTGGGGTCCTTCAGACCAGCTTTGAGTCAGTAGTTTCACTGGCACATAGGACCTGAAGGAATTTCTCAAATGGAAAATGTAGCATTTCATAATGTTCAAGTTATCTATAGAGTAGTTAAGGGGAACGATAATCTAGGGTCTGTGTGATTCTAGGACAATAGGCAGTGAACTACTATGAAGAAGCAGGTCAGAGAACAAGCAGACCTAATGATGAATGCTGAATGTGCTGCAAGCTTGGTTTACGTTTGTTTTTCTTCCTTGATTAATTTTATAAAGTTTATAGGCATGGTTTCACTCTTATCACTAAGATATCAAAGAGAAAGAGGCTGAATGGCTGCTTTTTTATCTGGCCCATGGGCTCCTGCGGGAAGGGAGTAAGGGTAAGGTGTCACATTGTGGCTTTGTATGACCAAGACCTAGATTTAATCAGTATCATCAAGGGTCAACATGAACCAAAATGCTAATTTTTTTTTCTTATTACCATTCTTAAATTAAGCTACAGTATATTTATAGTGAGAAATTCTTACTGTTAGGTAAGTTGAAACATCTGTAGCAGTTAATAAGTTCTGTTGAACTCCAAATTATTACCAGAAAATTGCTTGGTAAATATAGATCAGGATGAACTCTAAAAACCAGACCAACTTCAGGAAGTTGTGTTCTTTCATGGTTTTGTATTAGCCATTTGTAGACACAGTTAACTGAATTGAGCTCCACTGTGATGCCATCAACCTCTTAGACACTACAGCAAGTAAAAAAAGCCTAGAAGTGAAATTCATCGTCATGTTAAGTATTTATTGTAAGAGATGTCAGGACAAAGTCCATGACATTATACAGGACCCTCTTTATGAAGACAGTCAGGATAATGCTCCTTCTGGCCTTACTATTAGGAATTGTGTGATTTTAGTTTGTAGTCAGTGTGTGAATTGAGTAGGTTTTCTTGATGGCTGCTAGTGTGCTTCCAGCCAAATTTTCTGCCCATCTATACCAAGTATACTTCATAGTATGCATTTTTATTTGCTCTATTTTATGTTCTATCCTTATTTTTTTCCTTTAAAAAAAAAATCTGGCCAGGAGCAGTGGCTTGCACCTATAATGCCAGCAATTTGGCAGGCTGAAGGGGGGAGGATCACTTGAGCCCAGGAGTTTGAGACCAGCCTGGACAATATAAGGGAGACCCCCTCTCTCCAAAAAAAAAAAACAAAAACAGCAAAACAAAACAAAACAAAACAAAAAACCCCACACATTAGCTAGGTTTAATGGCTTTTCCCTGTAGTCCTATCTACTCACCTATAGTCCCATCTGCTTGCAAGGCTGAGGTGGAGGATTGCTTGAGCCTGGGAGGTCAAGGCTGCAGTGAGCTGTGGTAGCGCCACTGCACTCCAGCCTGGTCAACAGAGCGAGAGCCTGTCTCAAAATAACAAACAAAAAATCCTTATTTGTATAAATTCCTATCTATTTTATGAAATTTTCCAGATCTATGCCATCCATTAGATTTCCTTTCTGAGCATCAGACTTAAATATCTAGCTACCGTCTAGATACCGTCTCCAGAACTCCAAACTCAGCAGTTCCACTACTCAACATCTTTCCTCCCTGTTCATCTTTTATAACTTGCCCCTTCTCATCTCTTCTCAGTCTCTGAATGATCCCCAGTCACCTGGTCAAACCACCAAAGTAAAAGTGTCTTTAAGATTTTTCCTTCTTTCTCCCACATCCCCTGAATCCAGTCATATAGTCCTTTTATTTTGCCTTTCTCAAGTACATTTACTTTTCTCCGTATTCACTGGCGTTACCCTTGGAGAGGCCACGATTATTTCTTTAACTACTACAAAAGTCTCTAATGAATTAAACTTCCTGCTTTATTTTGCTCTCCTCCACCACATTTTCCACATTGTAGCCAGGATTATCCTTTTTAAAATAAAACTCAGACCACATGATTCCTCTGCTTTAAAATGCATTAATCACTGCTCTTCCTGACTCATTGGGATAAAATCACAACTCCTTAACACAGCTGACAAGGCCTTACAGGGCAGTTTATTGAGTATCTTACCAGCTTTATTTCTGACCCATTCCCCATCCCATGCTCAAGTCATTGTTTTTGTTTCTCCGGTTTCTGAAAGTTAGTATGATCCTTCTTTCTACCATGAATTCATACACACTGTGTACCTTGACATGACGGCTTTTTTCTCCTTTTTTCATCCCGTTTCTTCCTTCTCTTTTTCTTTTCATACTCATTCCTCAGTCCTCAGCATCAGTGGCATTTGTCTTAGTAGCCTTCTTGACCATCTGGATTAGCTATGCTTCAAATATAATTTCAAACCATCCTATACAGTATCTTCTTACTGCACTGAAAACTCAAAGGAAGAGAACTCTCTTGGTTGCTTTTTAAACTCCAGCATCTAGCACAATGCTGAGTACTTATTGTTGGGCTTTGTTCTAAGGGCTTTGCATTATCTCATTTGATTGTCACAACTCTGTGAAATTTGCATTATTTGTATTCTCCTTTTATAGAAGAAATAGACCCAGAATATTTAAATGACTTTTCCTAAGTCACACTGTAAGTGGCCAAGAATTGGACCCTAGCAATTGATTTCAGAGTCTGAACACTTAACCCCTACTGCCTCCCTTCCAAACAAATGAATGATAAAACCTGTTTTGTTATCTTGATACACTTTATCCTTTTGTGCTACCTTAAATCTGTTATAAAATAGAGTAGAAATAAGTCACAGTACAGAAAGTTGGAAGACAGACTCATACAGTCCACAGATACTAAAGTTCTGACAGTATACCTCATCCGTGCTCTTCCCTAAGATGCATGTGTTGGAAGAGCATAAAACCCTTTTTTCTGACAGTGATAGAGATTCTGTCGGATTCCTGCTAGTTAATGCCTCTTTTTCTACCTAGTAGATAAACCATCTGTCTTGTAATGGTGACAGTATAGTTTTATATTAGTGGCAGAGATTTAGGAGTCACTCTTGCTTCTAAGTGAAATTTGGGATATACCTTACATCTTTTTTTTTTTTTTTTTTTTTTGAGATAGAGTCTTACTCTGTCGCCCAGGCTGGAATGCAGTGGTGTGATCTTGGCTCACTGCAAACTCTGTCTCCTCGGTTCAAGTGATTCTCCTGCCTCAGCCTCCCGGGTAGCTGGGATTACAGGTGCACACCACCATACCCGGCTAATTTTTGTATTTTTAGTAGAGACAGGGTTTCGTCATGTTGGCCAGGCTGGTCTCAAACTCCCGATGTCAGGTTATCCGCCCGCGTCGGCCTCCTAAAGTGCTAGGATTACAAGTATGAGCTACTGGCAATAAGGAACTCCTTTTTCATGCACCCCTCAAACTTAGGGTTGCACCCAGCCTTATCAGCTACATCTGATCTGATTTGCAAACCGTCTCCTAGGGTAGAGTCATGCTGTCATGGCTAATCTAGTTCACTATATGATTTTCAGTGACTTCCAATTTTAGAGAATGACTTTATTTTCAGTTCTGAAGATCTGTCTTATTTAAAACTTACAGCTTCTCCCTCCCCGCACATGTACTGACTGTACTTAGATATTGAATAACTTTTAGTAAATCTGGGTGTCTGATTGTTCAAGCCTCTTACTAGAATTTATACAATATATGATGAACTTTTTTATTCCCTTTTTAAAACTAGGTTCATGAAAGAAGTGTCCAGTCAGACTTCCTACTAATTATCTTGAAGGAAATTTTACAGAAACGTTCTGATCTACACTTGATTCTAATGAGTGCCACTGTGGACAGCGAAAAATTTTCTACATATTTCACACACTGCCCCATTCTCAGAATTTCAGGAAGAAGTTATCCTGTTGAGGTAAGTTTTCTTTATAATGTGTGTATAAGCAGAAACTGCATTCCCACCAGGTTCTTTCCCTAGAAGATGGGCACTTGTAGTCAGAGGCCAGAACTATTCCTAGGTACAGTGAGTCAGCAGAGGAGCTGGACACAGCCTTAAGAATCAGATGACTGTTACTGCCTTGCCTGAGGCTGGATAGGAGAGAAAGGAGGGTATTGACTCAAGACAGCAGTGAGGGCTAAAGAACATAAACCTATTTTCACGTGAAAATCATTATATTCAGATTAAGAGTTGCTGCCCTTCCCTGGTCATCTGATGGCTATGGGAAAAAAAAATAAAAAGAGTGGCTACCTGGCAATAAGGAACTCCTTTTTCACCCACCCCTCAAATTTAGGGTTGTCTTTGAAGCTTCCTTTCTACATATTCCATTCTTGATTCTTACCTTTTCAGTTCAGCTGATACAATCTATTCTTAACTGTTTCACATTATATGTGTATATATAAATATATCTCATAATGTAATTTGTCCTGAGACTTTAGAGGCAATCCCTCTATGTCAACCAAGTCTTCATTCCCAAATAATACTAAAAATTTTTTTTCATAATATTCTAAATTAACATTTGGTGACATTCAAAAGGTGGTGTCCCCTGTTCTCTTTAAAATGATATTTACTGAAACGAATTTGAATTCACCCATTTATATGCCTTATTCTATGCAGGTTTTTCATCTTGAAGATATAATAGAAGAAACAGGCTTTGTACTGGAAAAAGACTCAGAATATTGTCAGAAATTTCTGGAAGAGGAAGAAGAAGTAACCATTAATGTTACAAGCAAAGCAGGGGGAATAAAAAAATATCAGGTAAAAAGAAAATATTTTGAAAGATATCAGATAATGATATCCAGGGCCTAACCTGCCACAAGAGTTTCAAAATCATGTGGTTAACACAGTGAATTTGAGTATAATTTGATAGATGAGGAACAGATCTGAGAATGAACAAATTTTAAAGGTCATTTCTTTAATCTTTATTTCATAGACTGTAGTCTTTGATTTGTGATACTTTGATTGTCCTCTTAGACTATTCTGGGCCATCTTAGGTACGCATACAAAATCAAGGACCATACAAATTAGAAGCAACTTCTTTTTATAACAGTGATCAGTTATTGAGGAGTACATTAGTAGTGATTTTTCTCTACTTCTCTCAACACCATAGGTGCTCAGGATAGGGCAAGTCCCAAATCTAGATCCTTGCCATTGGTTTTCTTAGCCTCTGTCCTGGCAGGAGCAGGGCAGAGGCAAGATGGTGATAGGTAGATAGTGATAGATAGATAGATAGACAGACAGACACACACACATACATACATACATACATACATACATACATACATACATACATACATAGTGAAGCTGTCTAGGGCATAGTTCTTCCTGGGAAGTTAGTCTCAATGACATGTTTTCAGAAATATCACAAAAACAATGTTATCCTGCATTTTAGCCAGTAGTACTAGATCCAGCATTTTTGTCATAGCCATGATATTTCATGCATGTTTCCAATTTGATGAAAACAAAGTTATCTTTATATTTTAATTAAGCAGATAGACAAAAATTAAATTTTTAAAGCAAAAATTAAAATCTTGCCCTAAAACCCCAGAGGTAAAAATTACAAACTAAAGAAAGACTTTAGAATATAGTTATTTCAAAAGAGATGATTGGAATCCAGGAGCCAAAGTAGAATGTAGAAGGAATGAGCCAGGTACAAACTACTTACTAACGTTATGACCTCTCTTGGCCTGGCTGCTTTTTAGTTGCCACAGAATGATGCATACATGATTACAGTATGTTTTTCTACAATTCTTTTAGTATGTATATGCCAAGATAAAAAGGTTTTGCTATACCTAAGGGCTGGATGACATTAAATTATAGGACAGAGATGATATTTTCTGATACTCTCACCACTATTAAAAAGTATACGCTTCCTGTATTTTAACAAAATAGTAATGGTGACAATGAGAAAAATATAGATTTGAATGAATGCAAATACCGCCTTTTTTCCTTCTTTGTCTTACAAAAATACTTAATATTTTTATTCACCTCCCTCTGGTTGGATTTCTTTTAGGAATACATCCCAGTTCAGACTGGAGCACATGCTGATTTAAATCCATTTTACCAAAAGTACAGCAGCCGCACTCAGCATGCTATTCTATACATGAATCCTCATAAAATCAACCTGGATCTCATTTTGGAACTTCTTGCATACTTAGGTATATTTCTATTTCTAATGGGTCTCCATTTGATTTGATAAAACATTTCTACTAGCTGGAGATGTTTTATTAATATTTTATATGCTGTTCCTTATCTTCTTATTTTGAATATTGTATCTTTTTAAAAATTTCAGATAAAAGTCCCCAATTCAGAAATATTGAAGGAGCAGTATTGATCTTTTTACCAGGACTTGCTCATATTCAGCAGTTGTATGATCTTCTATCAAATGATAGAAGATTTTATTCTGAACGGTAACTACTCATCTTCATTATATTCCTGGTAGTTTTAAAATAGGAAAATATTTGGTACATTAAAACCCTTGATCAGAGTTTTCAAAGTCTTTTCACCATGGGTTAAAATTACCTATGGGGAAGTAAGATTTTTTTCTTTAAACACTTCCATTATAACATGTTATCTACTAAAAATTTTTAGGTACTATATTCTGCATTTATTCCATTTTATTTTATTTTTGAGACAGATTCTCTCTCTGTTGCCCAGGATGGAGTGTAGTGGCACGATTGCACCTTTAGCCTCAAACTCCTGGGCTCAAACAATCCTCCCACCTCAGCCTCCTGAGCAGCTGGGACCACAAGTTGTGCACCACTACGCCCAGCTAATTTAAAAAATTTTTTTCATAGAGACAAGGTCTCCCCCTGTTGCCCAGGCTGGCCTCAAACTCTTGGGCTAAAGGGAACTTCTCACCATGGCCTACCAAAGTGCCAGGATTACAGGCGTGAGCCACTGCCTGTAGCCTTCATCTTTTTTTTTTTTTTTTTTTGAGGCAGAGTCTTGCTCTGTCGGCCAGGCTGGAGTGCGATAGCGCAATCTCAGCTTACTGCAACCTCTGCCTCCGGGTTCAAGTGATTCTCCTGCCTCAACCTCCCCAAGTAGCTGGGACTACAGCCGCATGCCACCACGCCCAGCTAATTTTTATATTTTTAGTAGAGATGGGGTTTTACCATGTTGACCAGGCCGGTCTCAAACTCCTGACCTTAGATGATCTGCCCATCTCAGCCTCCCAAAGTGCTGGGATTACAGGCCTGAGCCACCGCACTTGGCCAGCCTTCATCTTCTTAAGATTAAGCAGAGGGAATCCTGTGGTTAAAAAGTAAGATGGTGACTCCTGCCAACCCGCTAAATCGTGCAAAACTCCAACCAAGCTGCAGTTTATCATCCATATATATTTAATCAGCTGTTTACTATATGTTTTGATAGAGTTTATTACTACTGTAGTAAACCATATAAACCACTTCAACATTAGAAAGAACATTAAAAAAATTTAATCCTATTCGCATAATTTGTTTATATTCTTTGTGATGCATGTATATGAGGTTTCATTGTACAATTCTGTAAACACTTGTGTATGTTTAAATTTTTTCATAGTAAAAAATCTTAAAGTTGCTTGCTATATGCAAATAAATTTTGTTATTCTTTGCAGTGTCTTCTAAAGAGAAACTCTTGCTAAGAACTATGATTTTAACTTTCAGATATAAAGTGATAGCTCTGCATTCTATTCTTTCAACCCAAGATCAAGCTGCAGCATTCACACTTCCCCCTCCAGGAGTCAGGAAGGTAAAATTTAGTACAGCAAATTTATATGTGATCCACCTGAGAGTATTTTATGATGGCCGTATAACTTTTTATCATCAAAGACAGTTGTTAACATTAAGTGCCTTATAGCGCATTGCCAACTCCAAGTGTTCTGCACCTTGCCATCATCAGAAGTGAACCCAATGTTACAATTCAAGCATTTGAATATTTACATTATGTGCTATTTAAGGGAGAAGACTTCATTGAGGGAGTGCTAGTTGAAAAACATAGTATGGATGTTGCCTGTTGAGGAAAAAAAGTCACAACTTTTTCCCAAGAAGGCATCACAAAGGAGATTGGATATTTAAATCCTGGGAGTATTCTTGTTGTTCTCTAGGCAGATCTTCTCTGATGATTTTTATTGTACATAAACCATTGGGTAGGTCACAAAGCTAATAAGTAACAGAGCCAGGACAACAACCTAGTTCTCATTAATGTGATTTTTTTTTCCTAATAATAGTGAAGGGTTGTGCTAAGCTGTCTCCATTCTCTACCCAGTTCCCCATTCTACTTATGTTTTTTTGTTTTGAGACCGAGTTTCAAAACAACACTCCAGCCTTGTTGCCCAGGCTGGAGTGCAGTGGCACAATCTCGGCTCACTGCAACCTCCGCCTCCTGGGTTCAAGCGATTCTGCTGCCTCAGCCTCCTGAGTAGCTGGGATTACAGGCACCTGCCACAAAGCCTGGCTAATTTTTGTATTTTTAGTAGAGACAGGATTTTGCCATGTTGGTCAGGCTGGTCTCAAACTCTTGACCACAGATGATCCTCCCGCCTCGGCCTCCCAAAGTGCTGGGATTACAGGCGTGAGCCACCGCACCCAGCCCTACTTATATCATTTTTAAGAGATTGACTAGAATTAGGGGAGTGGTATTTTTGTTGGAATAAAAATCTGTATTTTAGATTTAGTCTAATTAGTAAGCTAAGCTGACAAAACTAGAGTAAATTAAAATTACACAGTAATAGCAAATAGATTGTAAATTTTTGTGACTGAAATTGAAATTCAGTTTTTAAATTTCATCAGCTCAAACTAAAGAAATTTAAATAATGATACATTCATGAAAGTAGTCTAAATGTTTTAAGCTTTTTGTTTATTTTCAGATTGTTTTAGCAACCAATATTGCAGAGACGGGTATCACTATTCCTGATGTTGTATTTGTAATTGATACTGGAAGAACAAAAGAAAATAAGTAAGTTTAAATTTCCCAAATCAAAACATTTTTAACCTGGAAAGAGGTTGGGGCTCTTGAATTCTTGGGAGAAATCCTAAAATTATTTAGGGAAAATCCTAAATGTCCTAGTTCTGTCCAAAGCAAAAGCCTTAGAGAAACTATAGGAAACTTTAAAATATCTGAGAGTAAATGTCAGAATTTCATTTCATGGGTTTTCCCATAAGTAATACCAGTATACTGCTACTTTTAGAAAAGTGCTGAGAAAAATTTTCAGAACATAAATTTTTATAGATATTTTATTTGTAAAATAAATTGTTTAACAAAAAGCATTCTTTGTGATTATTTAAAAAAGAAACATGGCTTTTGGAGTAAGAGCTGAATTTAAATCTCTTGAGCAAGTAATGTAACATATAACCTCTCTAATCAGTTTCTTCATTTGTAAATGGGTAAAATGAAAATTTCTTTTATTTTATTTTTGAGACGGAGTCTTGCTGTGATACCCAGGCTAGAGTGCAGTGGCACAGTCTCACTGCAGCCTCCACCTCCCTGGTTCAAGCAGTTCCCCTGCCTCAGCCTTCTGAGTAGCTGGGATTACAGGCACATGCCACCACACTCGGCTAATGTTTTTGTATTTTTAGTAGAGACAGGGTTTCACTATGTTGGCCAGGCTGGTCTCGAACTCCTGACCTCAGGCAATCTGCCTGCCTCGGCCTTCCAAAGTGCTGGGATTACAGGCGTGAGCCACCTCGCCCAGCCAAAATGAAAATTTCATAACTGAAAGTGCCTAGTTCAGTAACTGGAACCTAATAGGTAACTGTAACTGAATTTTCAACAAAAAGATTACTACTGTATAAATAATGTTTATATTGAATAAATAGGACAGACCACCTTTAGTAATTTACTATAATCTAGATACACTACCCCTGTTTTAGGAAACCATAGCAATATTTGCAAGAGAGTACCACCATTCAATAAAAAGTAGATTCTTGATTCTTTGAATTGTACCTCTAGAGAAAATGTTTTCAGGGTTTAACTGTATCGTGAAAGGTATGTTGAATTGTAATGTTCACAGTAACACTTCTCAAAATATTTCAAAAATTATCGTCACATAATTAATAGGTATTCTACTAAATTTAAAAAAGATTCTGTGATCAGATTAGTATGAGAAAGGATAAGTTAAATAATTTTTTTCTTTTGCCAGACTTTTAATTTGTAGTATATTTAGTATGCAATGTTTACTAAATTATTTAAATATGAAGCATAATTTGAGAACTATTGGTCCACAATAATGGATTTTTTAAGCCTGTGTTTAACTTAGTTGTAAGAGTCAAATCCAGCTTTTTCCAATTTTGACTTAAGTCAATTATCTACATATTCTCTCCTAAAACATTTCTTTAGGTACCATGAAAGCAGTCAGATGAGTTCTTTGGTGGAGACGTTTGTCAGTAAAGCCAGTGCTTTGCAGCGCCAGGGAAGAGCTGGGCGGGTCAGAGATGGCTTCTGTTTCCGAATGTACACAAGAGAAAGGTATGGCATAGCACTGGAAATGTAAAACACATAAACCAGTATTGTGTGACATTTCTGATAATATGTATTTAGTATTACTTTATTTTTCAGATTTGAAGGCTTTATGGATTATTCTGTTCCTGAAATCTTACGTGTACCTTTGGAGGAATTATGCCTTCATATTATGGTAATCTCAAGGGAACTCGGATGGATTTTGTCCTTCGCCCCTTTCTAGAAAAGAAAAAAAATGAACACCTAAACTTACCTTATATTGCTTTAGATTTTCAACTTTTTTACTCTTCTTTAATATATGCCCTTATCCATCTTATTATAAGTAAATCCACTGTGTTTTGATTTTGCCAGACACTTACACTTTATAGATTAAAATACAGCCTCATAATCTAGACTAGTAGTTCTCAACTGGGGGCACTGTTGCCTACCAGGGGACATTGGGCAATGTCAGGAGATATTTTTGGTTGTCATAATTGGACAGGGAGGGTAAATGGTATCTAGTAGGTAGAGATCTGGGATACTCCTAAACATCTGACAGTGTACAGGGCAGCTCCCTAAAACAAAGAATTATCCAGCCCAAAATATCAGTAGTACTGAGACTGAGAAACCCTGACTTAAACAAAGGTCTTCTTAGACTGAAAGATCTATAATATCCTTCAGTTCTTAGATTTTTGACTCCTATCAAAATCAGGAATGAAGAAACTAAAAATGTGGACTGGAAAATCTAATCCTTATTCCCTCCCCACCCAAACACACACATACACTCATACACTCTTCCCCCCAACTCCTCTACCCCCATTATAAAAAAAATAACAGGATAGCCCTACTTTCACATTTTACCCTCTTTGCTCAAAATTTTACTGAAGTCAAATTTAGTTCCACTAACATCTCATTGGGTAGTGTTCATTCTTTGATTTCATACCAATTTTATTGCTTTTTTAATCTGCAGAAATGTAATCTTGGTTCTCCTGAAGATTTCCTCTCCAAAGCCTTAGATCCTCCTCAGCTCCAAGTGATCAGCAATGCAATGAATTTGCTCCGAAAAATTGGAGCTTGTGAATTAAATGAGCCTAAACTGACTCCGTTGGGCCAACACCTTGCAGCTTTACCTGTGAATGTCAAGATTGGCAAGATGCTTATTTTTGGTGCCATATTTGGCTGCCTTGACCCAGTGGTAAGTCAAACAATGCTGCTGCTTCTTTACTTTAAATATCCTTTGACCAGGAAATTACAAGTTTGGAAACAATTGTTAAGTAAAAATTTTTTTAACTAAATAGAATGTCTATACGAACATTAAAACCGAGAGGGCCTGAATGCTTGAATTTTTTTTTTTTTTTTTTTTTGAGACAGGGTCTGGCACTGTTGCCCAGGCTGGGGAGCAATGGTGCAATCTAGGCTCACTGCAACCTCTGCCTCCGGGGTTCAAGTAATTCATGCCTCAGTCTCCCAAGTAGCTGGGATTACAGGCACGTGCCACCACACCTGGCTAATTTTTGTATTTTTAGTAGAGATGGGGTTTCACCATGTTGGCCAGGTTGGATAAGAATTTTTTAATATAATATTTAACTTTTTATATTTATATACTTGAAAATCTGTTCATCCATTACTGAAGTGTTCTGTAAGTACTATTTTGTGAGTGATTTTGGCTTGTCTAAACTTTTGTTTTCAACCCACTTGAAATATTTAATGGAATATGTAGTGGATGATTCTTAGGAAGCTTTGAACACTACCAGCTTTGAAAAGTAAAATTAAAAACTTTTTTTCTTTCCTTTTTTGTCCTCTCTCTCTGAGCCAATAATTAGCAGAGTTCTCTTTTCTCAAATTATGTCAGAATTAACAAATTCAAATCTGTCTGAGTCTCTGGGCACAAAGCTTTACAACTTTATCAAGCTATGGCCTTTTCTGGGATTACCAATAAAGGCTATTTAAATACAGAATGGAAGCCTGGGCAACATAGTGAGACCCTGATTCTGCAAAAAAATTAAGATTAAAAAATTGGCCGGGCATGGTGGTGCACCCCTGTAGACCCAGCTATTCAGGAGGCTGAGGTGGGAGGATTGCTAGAGCCCCGGAGTAGGAGGGGGCAGTGAGCTATGATTGGGCCACTGCACCCCAGCCTGGGCAACAGAACAAGACTCTGTCTCTAAAAAACCCAAAAATAAAAATAAAAACAGAATGAAGAAAATGTGACTTATTACTATAGTCTCTCTTTGTTTGGTATTTGAAATAGATATTCACTGGAATTTTGCCAAGTTCAAAAAATAACCTCTTCCATGATAGTTTATCTGAAAACCTACAACAACAAATGGATTGTTATGTAGTCCAAATTATTTTTAAAGATCACGGCAGACTAAGAGTGGAAATTCAGTGGTCTTGAGGCCAAGATAACTGAGTTAGGATTCCCAGATTGCCTCTAACTGTATGACAGACTGTAAATCATTTATATAAATGTTCAGATTTTTTTCTCTGATTGTGGTGATAATTGCCTCCTTACCTCACAGAAAGGTTATAAAAGGATTTATTTTTGAAATTCCTTAAAATGAAACAAAAAATAACTGTTTAAAATGAAAATATAAGTTAGCTATAGAATATTTTATATTAAACATTAATTAGTATAATAATACTAATAAACATAATAAAATATTGAAAATAAACAGGCAACTTAAAGTGTGATTGTTTTATGATTTGCTTTCTTTTATAAGTTAACTTTCACTGTATTGCTCTTTAATGATAAATTGTTTTGTCATTTATGATTTATGGATAGGCAACACTAGCTGCAGTTATGACAGAGAAGTCTCCTTTTACCACACCAATTGGTCGAAAAGATGAAGCAGATCTTGCAAAATCAGCTTTGGCCATGGCGGATTCAGACCACCTGACGATCTACAATGCATATCTAGGGTAAAAACATAATCTGGCTGTTATCAGTAAGCCAATTACCTGAGGTTATTTACTTTAAAATATATTACCTTTGACTTATTAAAATTGTACTTCTGAGGTTTAAATTTATTTTTAGTTATTTCATCTGTCAAGGTATAATTATGTTAGAGATTCATGTGTTTTATAATCCTTCCTAAAACTTAATAATAATATATTTGGTATTATATGTATATTAACTCATATTTGAAGTAACTTAATAATTTACTGTTAAACATAAATGGAAAATATCTGTCAATGCTGTAAACAGATCTGTTAATAATATTCTTATATACAATTGGTAGCTGCTACAAGCAAGATCCCTCCCCTTTTAAAATTATAATTTAATTAAATCTTACTTTGGTTACTAGCTCTGAAAAAGAGTTTGGAAAGAGAACATGGTGAACTTTATTCATTAATTGACATTTTATTTATCTAGATGGAAGAAAGCACGACAAGAAGGAGGTTATCGTTCTGAAATCACATACTGCCGGAGGAACTTTCTTAATAGAACATCACTGTTAACCCTAGAGGTAATTCTTAATATGGATCTCTCACTCAGAGTCATGGGTAACTATAATAAGTTATTCTGGAAAAAAGAATGCCTAGGAAAATACTTGTCACATAGTAAGGGCTTAGTAAACATTTGTTGAATTAGTACATTTGTGATTGTACTTCTTTCTTCCAGCAAGTAACTTGTACGTATTACACAGTGATTTAAAATAGTATTTAATAATCATAATATGTTCAAGAAATAATTAAAAAGACTGGCTCATTCCTGTAATCCCAGTGCTTTGGGAGGCTGAAGCAGTAAGATGGCTTCAGGCCAGGAGTTTGAGACCAGCCTGGGCACATAGTGAGACTGCGTCTCTACCAAAAATAAAAAAATTAAATGGGCATGGTAGCACACGCCTGTAGTCCCAGCTACTCAGGAGACCAAGGTGGGAGGATTGCTTGAGCCCAGGAGTTCAAGGTTGCAGTGAGTTACAATTGTACCACTATGTACAGAGTGAGACCCTATCTCTTTTAAAAAAGAAAGAAAAGAAAAAAGATGCAACACAATTTCATAAACACTATCTTGGGAATTAGAAGTCTCAGTTTTTCATTAAAAAAAAAAAAAAATCACCTGAGGTTGGGAGTTTGAGACCAGCCTGACCAACATGGAGAAACCCCGTCTCTACTAAAAATACAAAATTAGCCAGGTGTGGTGGCGCATGCCTGTAATCCCAGCTACTCGGGAGGCTGAGGCACAAGAATCACTTGAACCGAGGAGATGGAGGTTGTGGTGAGCCAAGATCACGCCATTGTACTCCAGCCTGGGCAACAAGAGCAAAACTCCGTCTCAAAAAAAAAAAAAAAACAAAAACAACACAAGGACTGGGCGCAGTGGCTCATGCCTGTAATCTAGCACTTTGGGAGGCCGAGGCGGGTGGATCATGAGGTCAGGAGTTCAAGACCAGCCTGGCCAAGATGGTGAAACCCCATCTCTACTAAAAATACAAAAATGAGCCAGGTGTGATGGCGGGCACCTGTAATCCCAAATACTCGGGAGGCTGAGGCAGAGAATTGCTTGCACCCGGGAGGCAGAGGTTGCAATGAGCCAAGATCGCACCACTGCACTCCAATCTGGGTGACAGAACGAGACTCCGTCTCAAAAAAAAGAAAAGGAAAAAAAAAAAAAGTTGAAAGGAGAGAATCTACATTTCTCAACTCTGAAATGTGGTTATTTAATTACGAAAAATTTCAAACACACATCAAATTATATGGACATAATGAACTTTCACCCATTTCCCACTTTCATAATTACCAACCTGTGGTCAATCTACTTGTACTCCTTTTATTCTACTATCTGCCCCCTAGATTTTGAAGCATATCCAAGGTATCAGATTTTTTTAAAACATTATCACACCTAAAAATACTCAATTCCTTAATACCATCAAAGATACAGACAGTGTTTAAGTATCCTCAGTTACCTCATTACTGGCTTTTTTTTTTTTTTTACAGCTAGTTCAAAGGATGATCCAAACAAGGCCCACACTTTAAATTTGGTTCATATGTTTTTTAATAAAGTCTCTTAACCTATAGTTACCACTTTCTCAGTTTTTTCCTATTTGCCATTTATTTTTTGAAGAAACCAGATACATTGTCCTGTAGAGTTTCCTGCATTCTGGATATGGCTGATTGTATCCTTGCGGTATTATTTAACATATTCTTCTGTGTCCTGTATTTCTTATAAAGGGGTGGTATATTGAGAGTTTAATCCAATTCAGGTTCATCTTTGTTTTTTTTTTTTCTTTTTTCTTTTTTTCAGAGTCATCTCCCTTTTTGTAACATTAAGATATATCAATGGGGTCAGCTAGGTTCATCCATTACAAAATTCCCCACTGGCTTTTCATGTAATGCTGTTAGCAGCCATTGATAACACTCAGACCTATTGTTTCATTAGAGTCTGGATATGGTTGATTGTATCCTTGTGGTATTATTTAACATATTCTTCTATGTCCTGTATTTCTTATAAATGGGTGTTATATTGAGAGAGTAATCCAATTCAGCTTCATCTTTGTTTTTTTTTTTTTCTTTTTTCTTTTTTTCAGAGTCATCTCCCTTTTTGTAACATTAAGATATATCAATGGGGCCAGCTAGATTCATCCATTACAAAATTTCCCACTGGCTTTTCATGCAATGCTTTTAGCAGCCATTGATAACACTCGGACCTATTGTTTCATTAGGGTTGCAAATGATGGTATTATAATTCTACTTGTTAGCTAGAATTATTTCATGAAGAATTACTTTTTCCTTATCAATATTTGAATACCCTGAGGTACAGTCTATACAAGAAAATTAGGATAAATGCTTGTTTCCTTCTACCTAGCAGTTTTCATAATGAGTTGATTCCTAAGCATCTCCACAAGTAATCAGTGAATCTTGTTTTTTTAAAAAATTGTTATGAACTTAATGATTTAAATATATTTGATGTGTTTTAGTTCTCTACAGATGTTAATTTTTTAATACTCAAATTGTCCCCTCTTTGGGAAGTGAGAGCCCCTTTGGGTTGGCTGCTGAGTCCTTTTCATATAATCTTAGCAATCTTTGATGGCTTCCTTGCTTTTCGTACGGAAGACTTCTCTAGTGTATTTTATGCTCCAGGCTTGGAATCAGTCATGTTTCCAAAGAGCTCTGATTCCTTTTCAGGAAATTCTATTATATGTCCCTAAATATTGGCCAGCTATTTAGCTACAGCCTGGGATGGCTAGTTATGAAAAGGCATTCAAAGCATCATACTTAGTGGCTGGTTGTGATCAACTTTATCAGTCTGTTCTTAGGAACGGAAACCAGATGGTTTAGCCCATTACTCAGGTTGCCATTCAGGAGTAGATTTATTTCTGGGAAGAGAGAGAGTAGAAGTGTAGTTAAAATGTAAAGACAGGTGAATGTGAAAAGCAGGGCTCCCCCACAAATACTGTCTTTTTGTTTTTTTATTGATACTTATTTAAAAGGAAGTGATGTTTAATACGATATGCTATAAAAGTTTTTTTTTTAAATAGATGGGGTCTCACTGTGTTGGCCAGGCTGGTTTTGAATTCCTGGTCTCAAGCGATCCTCCCATCTCAGTCTCCCAAAGTGCTAGGATTACAGGTGTGAGCCACCTCACTTGGCCCAGATATGCTATAAAAGTATTCAGAAAATAATGTATCTCTCACATAATTCCCCTTTATATACTCATATTTTAAAAAGTAAAAAGGTTTTTTTCCCATATTTGACACACTGCTTTTTTGTGATTAAAAAAAACTGCTAGGATGACAGCAGAGACTTCTCTAAGTGGAATGAACTTTGTCCTTCTCGAAGCACATGAAGGGCTAAATTGAAGAAATAGCCCCCTCTGGCCAACTGACTGGGAACATGTAGAAATCCCAGTCAGCTGGCCCAGAGGGGGCTATTTCTTCAATTTAGCCCCTTTTCCTTTATCTTCAAATTGCTTTCCACCCCTTCTTCTGTGAGCCTTTTCTTCACCTCCCTGAGACTACAAAGTTTTAGATGTCTTCACCAACCCTGTGGTGTTATGGCAGCTGTCTGTTTGGTCTTTTCTCTCCTAGAATCAAAGTCCCTTAAGCCCCAAACTTAAAACATAAAGGATATCCTAAAGGTAAACATCACCTTTTAATTGCTTGTATCCTGTGTACTTTGAAAAATGCCCACCCTTCCTGTGCTAGTTTTGCTGATCAGCACATATTAAACATAGAAAAACATTTTAGGCAACAATTTTAGATTAAATGAAGTTGCCATTAATAAATTCTTTCAAAGTTCTTTAAGAAATTAAGATGAGATTTCCAGAAACAAATAAAGAAGGTACTTGCAATCTAGGATCAAGATTTCTGTCAATTCTTTCTCAATGCTGACCATCCTCATTGAGTAAAAATCTCCAGAGAAAAAGGAGAGCTACTATGGAAGTAGATGTAGTGAATGAAAATGTGTTCAGACACATTTTTCTGGCTCTCAAATTTTAGACATTCTTATGTTTTGAGGCACCTGAAGTCTTTGGGTGAGGAGAATAGCTGATTCTAATTCTTGACTTTCCAGTATCTTTTTTTTTTCCCTAAGGTAATTTGGGCTATCGTTAGCCAAATAATCATTAGCATCCTGTCAATTTTTATAGGAAGCAGTAATATAAACTACAATGTTATTTGGAAATTCCTCTAATCAATTTGATTATTTGTGTTTTTAACATAAACCAATCTAGGATGTAAAGCAGGAGTTAATAAAGTTGGTTAAGGCAGCAGGATTTTCATCTTCCACAACTTCTACCAGCTGGGAAGGAAACAGAGCCTCACAGACCCTCTCATTCCAAGAAATTGCCCTTCTTAAAGCTGTACTGGTGGCTGGACTGTATGACAATGTGGGGAAGATAATCTATACAAAGTCAGTGGATGTTACAGAAAAATTGGCTTGCATTGTGGAGACGGCCCAAGGCAAAGCACAAGTACACCCATCCTCAGTAAATCGAGATTTGCAAACTCATGGATGGCTCTTATACCAGGAGAAGGTGAAGTACTCATTCCTAAATTCCAGTATTCAGAGCATTATTCTGCAAGTCATTCATAACAAGTTAGGATGCCCTAACAGGTATTTTATTTGGTTCTCAAATTGAGCTATTCATTTTTGTTAATATTTGAAATCAAGATGCACATAGCTTCTCAAACAAAAGAATGCTTATTTTCTCTTCAAAAACAAATAGTAAGGTTTCTACTCTGCCCATCATCTTTTCTACTTGGAATAAAGACAGTAATAGCAAATTGATGTTGGTTAATAATGTATCAATCCCCTTAGTATTTCATTAAAAGGTGCTGCCTCAGAAGGGAATAAAAGACAGGTTGTATGTGCTATTTCCAAATAAGGGGAATATTGGATGGTGTAGTAGAACTGTGGATGATTTGCAACAGTTTCGGTCAAGTATCACCTAAGATAATTTAATAGCAAATATTTATAGATTACAATGAAAACAACCTTTTGAATTGGAGCTGCATGACCACTCCATTTTCTTATTTTTTAACATATGGTAAAGGTTAAGATGGCATTTTCTCTTTATATTTTGGGTTTTTGTTACCTGTCTCATTCACACATTTTTTAAGGCAGTATGAGAAGAAAAGGGAACATAAAGAATTGAAACATATTTCTTCTCCCTTTACAAAAAGTGCCTCCATTTTGTTTCTTGACCTTTAAAATAACAAAGATCCGTAATTTCAAGCACTGGCTTGAATAACTCTCAACATTTATCAAACTTAAATGTAAAACGAGAGATTACTGATTGATGCCCATAGCTGAATGTTGGTTTAGAAACCAGCAACTGAAAATCATAATTTTAACATTAATTATTTAATATCATTAGCATATAAAATTGCTTGTACCTAGTTTCCTTTATGTTCAAAGTATATAACTCAGCCTTAGCAATAATATTTAAAATGCCTTTTCATAGCATTAATGCACAGGTGGTAATAGTAATTATTATAAAATTGATAAATTATGCACATAAGAAAATGAAAATGTAGCTTTACAAATACTCTGAGCTTAAAATGTAGAATAACAAATTGTAGAAAAATGCTTACTTGAAAAAGATAAATGACCTCCTTCTATTTTTATATTTTGAAGTTATTTTCCCCCCTTTTTCCCATGTAGATAAGGTATGCCAGAGTGTATTTGAGAGAAACTACCCTAATAACCCCTTTTCCAGTTTTACTTTTTGGTGGTGATATAGAAGTTCAGCACCGAGAACGTCTTCTTTCTATTGATGGCTGGATCTATTTTCAGGTACATAGTACAACTGATTTTATTGATTATTAAAAATTTTCAACTTCCAGTACCATTGAGGTACATTTTTTAAATTTTATTGGAGTTTGCATAATTTCTTCTTAATATGAGTTAAGTAGAATTCCTTATTTTATCTTGCCTCTGTGGTTTTAAATCTGTTAAATTTGGAAATCAAATTATATTGCTATTACAAATTCTATTTATTATTAATAACAATTCTAGCTTTCTATGTGTTGGGTACTTCAATAGTTAACTTTATGTGGATTTTCCCAAATTAATATCCTAGCAACCTTGTTAGGTAATTTCTATAGTTTCTTTTACATAGAGACACTCAAACACAGTGAGAAATTAAATAATTTTCCCAGGATTTACGTGGATTGTTACTGACAGAGCAAGATTCAAATCTAGGACTATTTGATACCCAAATTTATTCTCATTCCACTACATTGTGGAATAAAAAGGAATAAAAAAGACCAAACAGATTTATAGTTTATAATTCATACTGTTGAATTCTTCTCTGGAAAAATTAGACCAACCTATGCTTATTTCTGGCAATAAGTTTATCTGTTTCTCTGTACTCCCATCAAGATTGACCAGCTTAAACTAAGCAAACCTATTACATTGTTAGGTTATTCTATGATAGCTGTTTGTCTAGGACTGGAGAGGTGAATTTTAAGTGCAGCTTTACAATTATATGCAGTTTGTGCAAAGAAATTGGGGTGGTGGAAATGTTTTATAACTGGATTGTGATGGTTGCACAATTCTATAAATTTACTAAAAGCTATTGAAATTAGTGAAAATGAGTGAATTTTTATGGTAATTTTTATATCTCAATAAAGCCGGGTGCCATGGCTCATGCCTGTAATCCCAGCACTTTGGGAGGCCGAGGCAGGTGGATCATGAGGTCAGGAGTTCGAGACCAGCCTGACCAACATGGTGAAACCCTGTCTCTACTGAAAATACAAAAAATTAGCCAGGCATGGTGGCAGGCACCTGTAATCCCAGCTACTCCGGAGGCTGAGGCAGGAGAATCGCTTGAACCTGGGAGGCGAAGGTTGCAGTGAGGCAAGATTGCGCCACTGCACTCCAGCCTGGGCAACAGAGAGAGACTCCATCTCAAAAAAAAAAAATTTCCCTCCCCAAAACTGTAGTCTTAACTTCCACAGAGTTGATATAAATAGAGAAGAAAACAATTATTGGAGTAATAGTTGCCTTATTTTGGGAAGAGTTACCAGATTTAATAAGGAAATTGACAGGTTTGCATGCCTAGCTAGCAGAAATAATTTGTATTTTTCCCATTGTGTTTTCCATTAAAAGCAAGATGTGCTAAGGCAGATTGTAATATAGGCTTGCCTTGATTTACTTAAACACATTCACACTGCCCTGGATTGACTTTGTCCATTTTTTCAACTCCTCTTAACAGGCCCCTGTAAAGATAGCTGTCATTTTCAAGCAGCTGAGAGTTCTCATTGATTCAGTTTTAAGAAAAAAGCTTGAAAATCCAAAGATGTCCCTTGAAAGTAAGTGTTTGCTTATAAGTGAAAGACCATATACACATATGTGTATGTGTACACATACCTATGTATTAATGTGTGGAAAAACTTTCTAAGAGGCCAGGCACGGTGGCTCACGCCCATAATCCCAGCACTTCTGGGAGGCCAAGGTAGGCAGATCACCTGAGGTCAGGAGTTCGAGACCAGCCTGGCCAACATGGTGAAACCCTGTCTCTACTAAAAATACAAAATTAGCTGGGCATGGTGGCGGGCACCTGTAATCCCAGCTACTCGGGAGTCTGAGGCACAAGAATCACTTGAACCTGAGAGGCGTAGGTTGCAGTGAGCGCCAAGATCACATGATTGCACTCCAGCCTGGGCGACAAGAGCGAAACTCCATCTCAAAAAAGAAAAAAAGAAACTTTGTAAGAGAAAATCTGAAATATTCTAGAAATTTTTTTTTGTAACATTGGAGTATACTAAAGCACACTGAAGTCGTAAAAAATCCCATCTACTTTATGCTGAATTCCATCAAACTCAATTAGTGATTATTCACAGCCTAATTATCCTCTTAAGGTTTAGTTTACTCCTGTCTCTTTTAAACTTCATTTCTAAACTTCTAGCCATTTCATAGAAAAAAAGGTTAATAAAACTGAGCATAGTAAACTTTGTTACTTATTAGCATTTTAGTAAACTGGTAACATAGCTATTATTTAAAAAAAAATAATAAGCCAAACATGGTGTCATATGCCTGTAGTCCTAGCTACCCAGAAGGCTGAGGTGGGAAGATTGCTTGAGCCCAGGAGTTAAAGTCCAGCCTAGACAACATAGAGAGACTCTGTCTCTAAGAAATATATGTATATATACACATACCTATATATGTATTTGTGTGTGTGTGTATGATTAGGGACTTTCTGTTAGGTTTATTTCAGCATGGTTTTTCCACCATGTGTTTCTTTCAAATGCAGAGCTATTTCTCTGTATAAAATAAACACATTATCCTTCAACAGAAATCTGAAATGAGCCGGGCATGGTGACACCTGCCTGTAATCCCACCACTTTGGAAGGCTGAGGCAGGAGGATCGCTTGAGGCCAGGAGTTCAAGACTAGCCTCGGTAACATAGGGAGATGCCATCTCTACAAACAATTAAAAAAAGTTAGCCGGGCCTGGTGGCTTGTACCTGTTGTCTCAGCTACTTGGGAGGCTGAGGCGAGTATCCGCACTCCAGTCTGGGTGACAGAGCAAGACCCCACATCAAAAAATAAGAGAGAAATCTGAAATGGACATCTGAGTTTGCAGTTTGCCCAGTGCAGTGTTTCTCAAACTTGCCAAATCATCAAAATCATCCTGGCAGTTGCAAAGAATACAAGGTCCAAAGACCTACCCCAGACATACTGATCTCTATGGGAGAGGCCTGTGGCTATATTATTTTTTAAATATTTTATTCTGTAACATTTCCCCTCTAAGGCTATCCCATTTTTAAATGCAGTTAATTATTTTTAATAAACTGAGTTGTTTTTCTGGTAGAATGTCCCACATTTAGGATTTGGTTAGTTACATACTCATGCTTTAACATGTTCATGTATTTCCTATAAACTGGTAGTTATATTTGGAGGTATGATTAGAATAAGTTTTGAGGAAAATAATACTTTCTAGTTGGTGCTGTATTCTCCCCACTGCGTCACACCAGGAAGCACTTAAATTTGGTTGTCCTTTTAATGTTAAGAATTGATCAGTGACTTCAGTATGATTGTACTGAACAAAGTATCCCCAGTTTATTCTCAACAGTCACAGGCAAGTTGGGGGAGCTACTGATCTAGTTCTACTACCCTGAAGCCTCATACTCTGTGTTTATTTGTATAACTAAATATGAATGCATAAGCATTAAAATGTATTAATTTTCCTATACTGCTGGAAACAGATCAAGTCTTAACATATTAAGACGTGGGCTCTTTTCTCAGGAAGCTTTGTGCATTATAACTTTGGCATTAGAAAGAATTACATTTTATAAAGTATAGGTTGAACCTCAGCTTTTAATTAAGCAAAATGATTTTTTGAAATGATATCAGTGTTTCCCTTTGCCATAAGAGAGAGAGCAGAACTTACCAAGTTGGGTGTAGTATATACGTTTGACTTGGGAGGAAGGAAGAAGTATGTTAGTGCTCTCTCTTGGATTTATAACAAAAAGTTGGTAGAATGCCAAACATTTGAAAAACAGTAACTGAACTTACTCTTGTACTTTCTTTTACTCTCTCTTCCTCAATTTAAAAATCATGGTTCTTGGAGCCAGGTATGGTGGCTTGCGCCTGTAATCCCAGCTACTCAGAGGGCTGAGATGGGAAGATTGCTTGAGCCCAGGAGTTCAGAGCTGCAGTGAGCTGTGATCACACCACTGCACTACAGCCTAGGCGAGAGTGAGACTCCATCTCTTAAAAAATAAAAAAGAAAAACGTTCTTTCTAGACCTGCCATTGTTCCAACTTCAAACAAGTGACCTCTCTTTTTCCCCTCCCTCCCACTTTTTTGTTGTTGTTTCTAATGCCACTGTAACCATTGCAACTATTGAAAGCGACAGCATTCTCTGAGTATCTAACGTAAATGTAGAATTTCAGTTTTGCAGCCCTGATAATTGTAACTTCCTAAAGAGTGGTTGTGAGGTTCTTAGGAAGTCACAATTTCAGAGTTAACTATTAAGTAGAAGCAGTTGTTAACAAAACCCCTTTAGCAAATAATGCAGCCTCTGTTGCTCTGTTTGTCAAATTAATTGGTATTTGATTCCTTTGTTGTGTAGAGAGGTCTGTCACTTCCGCATTGACACCTCTCCAAGAGCGCTTCCCTGTTAGAATTTTTTGTTTCCTTTGGACTAAACATGGAGAAACTGGTAACAGTTCTTTCTTCCTTGCTCATACTTTGGAAATTCTGCCATACTCTGAAGAACACTGAAGAGTCAGTAGAGCCTTCAGTATATTGCAGCCAAGTGAAAAAGTTGAGAAACTTACTTTCTTCAAGGAATTTTTATAGAATAAAATTTATAATTCCTTATAAAGAAGTAACATTTCACATCATATTATCTCTTTGGGGTTTAGCCTATACAAATGTTATCTGTTTTCAAAATGTTAACTTTTGTCAAACTAGGTATGGCATAACCTACAGCAATAAAATCTATGTAGGGCAAAAAATATTTTATAGGTGTCTCTAGTTTTATTACTGGTGTTAATTCTGTATTCTAATGTAAAAATTTTTAGTGACATATACCTCTTATTTACATGTGCATACCTTGGAAAATTAGACAATGTTGCATTTATTCGTGGCTTTTTTTTTTCCTTCCACTCAGATGACAAGATTCTGCAGATCATTACGGAATTGATAAAAACAGAGAATAACTGAAACTGAAATTCATGGTCAACTGCTTTAAAAATTAAGATGAAGATACAGTCATGAAATTATCTGAAAATGGGTCATCACATTAAGTATTTCATTACTTAAAATGTTGGTACTAGCCATTAACTTAAAGGTGGTGGGAAAAAAGCACATACTTTAAACATGTATAATTTTCTAGTTCCTTTTTAATGATGATTATTCTGAATGTATTTGCCACTACATTTACAATAAATTCTTTGGTATTATGCATGTTTTGCTCATCGTTGTGTTAATAAGGGCAAGGCCTATGTCTGTGGTATCTGTAGCTTAATGTTGTGATTCCCTGTGTAGCTGCCTCATCCCCTATCAGTCCTTGATGTCTGCAGAATTTAAACCCTATAGACCCAGAAGGGAAAATAATCTCCAAAACCAATTATAATTAAATTTCCATGAAAAGGAACAACTTCAGAAGTCAGTTATTTAGTATTTGATAGTCAATTTCAGAACCTAAATAAATGCACTATTAATAGATGCCACCTATTTCAGTAACATTCAAAAAGCATAAACATGTGGTTCTGGAAGACAGGCAAGATTGACTAATAAATACTCCTGTCAGCCTTGGGATGGATAGTTTGCACTGTTTTCCTCAGGCTACCGCTGTGATATCCCTGCCCCTGAACCCTTTTTATATACGCGATTGAACTGGTAAGGTCAGTAACTTTGAGATAGTAAAGTATGCGTAGGTATTTTTCATTGGTCCTATTTGTTTTGGTTACTAACAATCTTTTGAAATTCCATTTTTATTACTTAGAGGGATTTCTCATTTCTTAATCAATAGATTTTTGATAAACTTCAAATATAGTCCCTTTTAGATCAAAAGGCAGAAATTGCATCTGAAGATCAAAAGATTAGAATTTAATAGGAACCTAGTATAACTGCTTGGCTCTCA
Organism: Homo sapiens; assembly: GCF_000001405.40. Lineage (NCBI taxonomy): Eukaryota > Metazoa > Chordata > Mammalia > Primates > Hominidae > Homo > Homo sapiens. The sequence continues at coordinate 55,255,565 of NC_000005.10, read as the reverse complement.
TAACAGGTATATAATTTTAATATTTTTTGATGAACAAATTAAACCGTAACTTTTACCTTATATGCAAATGGAAGTAAAAACAATACTTAGTAGCAATCTCTAATTTTAGGTTTCTACTTGCAGTGTGGCAAGGGAATTGAGAGCAAGGAGTCAAATGTGACCATGGTTTGAAATCTCTAGTGCCATTAATAAAAATGGGTATGTCAGGAGAAAGAGCTAGATTGGGTGTTGAAGGCAGTTCCTCTTGGGACACATGGAGGCTAGTACTCACTCCAAATTGTTTTGTCTGTTAACTCATTTACAGACAACCTACGAGGTAGGTACTATATTAACCTACTATTTGTATTTTACAAATGAGGAAACTGAGGCACAGAGAAGTGAAATAGCATGTCCGAGATCACACTGATAGTAAGTAACAGAAGCATTATGGCTCCAGTACTATTTAGATTTCTGAAATGTAATCATTATTCCTTTGAAATGTGAAACAGTGACTCACATCAGGTAAGGTCATAGGGTTAGAGTCTTATACACAGAGATGATAATTAAAGATGTGGGAGTTGAGGTAATCAGCAAAGGGGTAAGAAGATCAAAGTCCCTTTCGTCTTTCATCTTCTCAGCCGTCACTCAGACCCAGGTCACCATTATCTTTCACTTACACCACTGCAGTAATCTCTGAACTAGGCTTTCTCCTCCTTTTTATACCTCTAATCCGAAAAAGAATGATATTTTTAAAGGGTATCTGTGTCACTTGGCTTCCCATTGCTCTTAAAATTTAAAGTTCTAAACATGACCTCCAAAGCTCTCTAACTGATCTGGACCTTGCTATCCTCCAGTCTCATCTCCACTCTTTTGTCTCATGGTGCTCCAGCCACACTAGGCTCCTTTTCAGTTGCTAGAAGATGTCAAGCGGTTTTTCTGAGCATTTACACATGGCGTTCTCTGCCATAATACATTGCTTCCGGTTCTTTGCCAAGCAGACTTTCCTGGTCTAAAGCCCTCCGCACAGGCCACCCTACTGAAGTGCATATCCCCTTTTACTCATAACACGGTACTTTTCTCAGCTTGTACCATTTGCTTTTCATCTTCTTCTCACTAGAACATATGCTGCACCAGGACTGTTTCACTCGCTGATACATACCTAACACAATGCCTTGCATATATAGGCATTCAATAAATGCTGAATGAGTGAAGGATAAGGAGAACCAGAGTAGGGCTATCTTAATGCCAAGGAAGAAGATTTTTGAAAGCAAAAGTATTGTCAACAGATGTTACAGAGTAGGGAAAGATTACTAAGGTTTAATGAATACATCAACCTTTTGAGATCAGTTTGAATGGAGGGTGGGAAGGAAGGACTCTCAGAAGTCCCACAACTACATGCACATTCAATGATACACCAGAAGGACTTGCAAGACTCAGAGGCTACAGTTGATTTTGTAGAGAAAGGATATACAATGGAATCAGCAAGGGGAAAAGACACATCACATGGAGTCTGGAGAAATCTATACACAGGCTTCCTATGTGCTATGCAGTTTCTGCCCAGAGAAACCTACTACAGAATCAGAGTGCAAGGACTTTTATTAGGGGCAGGTCATACAAGCACAAAGACCAGGCATAACAAAATTCCAGGCTCCCAGAAGGAAAGCAGGCATTTAAGTGTTCTAGCAGGCAAAACAGTGTTAACAAAAAGCAGAGGACTTTTCACAAGTCAAGTTCCCAGGCTCCAGCCAAGGGCCAGCCCTACAAGCAGTCTCTTCTAAAGACCTCTGGCTTGCTATGTTAACTCTTTTCTGCATGAGTACAAGTCATAATTTTAGGGAGTGAATAAAAATGAAAAGGTGGGGCAGCAAATAGAATATTCTTTATGGATGTTATAAAGGAACAGAATGCATAATAGGTTGAATATGAATATATTCACAAAAGGTTGAAGACCCTCACTGATTTGCAGGCAAAAATAGAAATAACCAGCATAAAGTGAGGATAATATTAACATCAGAGAGGGCTCAACAAAGAACTAAAACAGAATAACATAGGAATCAACTTGGAAAGGCTTTTTGGTTTTCCCCAGCAATGCTTACTGGCTTCGGATAAGCTGATAAAGTTGACAGTGGATAGGATTTTTTGGTTTCTGGAGTTTTTTGCATTGAAGTGACTATGGGATCTTAGAATGAAATAGATTGTGTCATTGAAATGGGTGACTGAAATCGCTTATTTAGAGGCAAATGGGGCCAGATCAGAGGCCATGGACCAGGAAAATGGAGACGTCAGAATCTAATCCCAAATTCATTATGAATAAGTCAATGGTAGGGAGGCCAGTTAGAGGAGAGAATTTCAGAATTTAAAATCTTGAGATGTAATTGTTTCAATAATAAATAAACCTAAAGGGTTTCCCTGCTGATGGATAGCAAAATGGATGTGGGGAGAATTTAAAGTAGGGACAGGATGAACAGCATATTTGTTCATCAGTGTGGATGCAGGAAAAGGATGGAGAAGACCAGGCCAGGTGCTACAGTCACTAGGAAAAGGAGGCGGGTGCCCTCGATCTTAACATACAGTGGTAAGAAAAATCAAGTGTCATATGAGAAAATCACACTCTTCAGATAAGTTGTTGAGTCCTGGTGGTAGTTCAGGAATATGCCTGCCTGTTTTCATGAAATCCGTTCTTATGCATGAGACATTTAGAAGTAGATGAAGAGTCGGCTGAGTGCAGTGGCTCACGCCTGTAATCCCAGCACTTTGGGAGGCCGAGGCGGGTGGATCACCTGAGGTCAGGAGTTTGAGACCAGCCTGGCCAATATGGTGAAATCCCATCTCTACTAAAAATACAAAAATTAGTTGGGCATGGTGGCAGGCACCTGTAATCCCAGCTACTCGGGAGGCTGAAGCAGGAGAATCTCTTGAACCCGGGAGGTGGAGATTGGAGTGAGCCAAGATTGTGCCACTGCACTCCAGCCTGGTGACAGAGCAAGACTCCGTCTAAAAGAAAAAAGAAGTAGACGAAAAGTCTTCACTGGAGAGGATTAGTGGGAAGGAAAGGGAGTATTACCAAGGGAAAGTATATTTCCAGTTTTTAAATTGAGCATTATATGATAAGCACTGAACTAAGAGCTTTACTATATTCTTGTTCAGTCCTCACAACAAGATGGTAATATATTTTCAATTTACAAACGAGAAAACCGATGCTAAAGGTCACTCAGCTAACGGGGAATAAATGAAAAGGTCATTCAAAAATAACCTAAGCAGTCTACTGCTGTGGGGTAAAGGGAATTTTCTTCCCTCCATCCTTCTGAAAGTTCTATAATTTCCCTATAAAATAAACTGACTATAGACAGATTAACAGGGAAAAAAGGCATAAAAATGTATTAATGTGCATAAACATGGGAGCTATACAAAATATGAGGCTCAGAGGAGGGGGGCCAGATGAAGTTTATATAGTATAAAAGAATAGAGGCTTAGAATGTGGCAAGACAGGTTATGGGAGGGAGAGGAAAGGAAAAGCATGGGGAGCAAAGGCTACATCTTGTATGTAGATGAAGTCTCAAGGGTAGCAGCCCTCAGAAAGAATAGAGGGTAGCCCATGGTAACATTTTTGTCAGACCTTTAAAAGTGTCAGATTTTTAGTCTCCTTTTCCTGTGAGGTAATCTTTCCTAGATCTGGATAAGGCAGATAAGGAGGGGCCTCAGAGAGAGCCTGTTTGCATCTGGGGTTTACTTCACTAATATAGATTTCCTCTACAGAAGCAAATCTCCCCCATAAAATGACAGTTTTTCAGAGCAATTACCTGTAGTGTGCAGCCCCTCCAAATTGCCATCTTGAAATATGGCCAAAAAGTATTTGGGAGCCAGTGTGGTGGCTCATGGCTATAATCCTAATACTTTGAGAGGCTGAAGTGGGAGGATCACTTGAACTCAGGAGTTCAAGACCAGCTTGAGCAACATGGCAAAACCCTGTCTCCACCAAAAATAGAAAAAAGTAGCTGGGTGTGGTGGTACACACCTGTGGTCCCATCTATTCAGGAGGCTGAGGTGGGAGGACCACTTGAGCCAGGGTGGCAGAGATTGCAAGAAGCTGAGATCATGCTGCTCTGCACTCCAGTATGGATGACATTGAGACACCGTCTCAAAAAAAAAAAAGTATTTGGGGGGTGTAAAATATTAATTGGCATAAGGATAGACATATACAGTCTCTGACTTAAGATGGTTTGACTTGAAATTTTTTGACTTCACAATGATGTGAAAGTGAAATGCATTCAGTAAAAACTGTACTTCAAATTTTGTTTTCATATTTTCCCAGGCTAGTGATATGCAGTATGATTACAGTATTTTCAATTGATGATACCTTTATCAGGACATAACCCCATTGTAAATTGAGGAGCACTGGTAGATAGAATTAAAAGTTCAGACACAAACCCATGTGTCTATGGTTTGCTAATTTTCAACAAGGGTGTCAATGGTGCAATAATCTTTTCAACAAATGGTGGATACCATGGATAGCTATGGATAACCACTGGATAGCTACATGCAAAAGAATGAATTTGGGCCCTTACCTCATGCCATGTACAGAAATTAAAGTGGACTATAGAGCCAAGTGTAGGCTGAACGTGGTGGCTCATGCCTGTAATCCCAGCACTTTGGGAAGCCAAGGCAGGTGGATTGCTTCAGCCCATAAGTTTGAGACCAGCCTGGGCAACAGGATGAAATCCCATCTCTACAAAAAAGTGCAAAAATTAGCAGGGTGTGTTGCTGCACACCTGTTGTCCCAGCCACTTGGGGGGCTGAGGTGGGAGGATCACTTGACCCTGGGAAGTTGAAGTTGCAATGAGCAGAGATCACGCCACTGCACTCCAGCCTGGGTGACAAAGTGAGACCTTGTCTCAAAAAAACAAACAAACAACAACTACATCGAAAACAAACAAAAAAGAGCTAAGTGTAAAAACTAAAACTACAATACTCTTAGAAGAAAATATAGGAGTAAATCTTTAGGACCTTGGATTAAGTAGTGATTTCTTAGATGTGACACCAAAAGCACCAGAAACAAAAGAAAAAAAATGGTACTTCATCAAAATTAAAAATAATTGTCCAATGCTGAAGGATCCCATTTATATGTGGAATCTAAGAAAGTCAAACTCACATAGGCAGAGTTGAACAGTTTCCAGGAGGTAGAGGAAATAGGGAAATATTGATCAAAAGGTACAAACTTCTAGTTATAAAATGAATAAGTTCTGGGGATTTAGTATACAGCATGGTGACTATAGTTAATAACAATATATTGTTTACCTGAAATTTGCTGAGAGAGCAATCTTAAGTATCCTCATCTCACATACATGAAAGACTGTGTGGCAAACGATGAATTACTCTGATTGTGGTAATCATTATATAGTGTAAACATAGATCATATCACTTTGTACACCTTGAATAAATATAATTTTTATTTGTCAGTTATACCTCAATAAAGCTGGAGATAATTTAATTATTAATATAATAAAAATACTTGTTCTTCAAAGGACACCATCAAGAAAGTGAAAAGGGGCCGGGCACGGTGGCTCACACCCGTAATTCTATTACAGGAAAGGGGTCCTGATCCAGACCCCCAAGAGAGGGTTCTTGGATCTCACACAAAAAACAATTTAGGGCAGGTCCATAGCGTAAAGTGAAAGCAAGTTTATTAGGAAAGTAAAGGAATAAAAGAATGGCTACTCCATAGACAGAGGAGCCCCGAGGGCTGCTGGTTGCCCATTTTTATGGTTATTTCTTGATGATATGCTAAACAAGGGGTGGATTATTCATGCCTCCCCTTTTTAGACCATATAGGGTAACTTCCTGATGTTGCCATGGCATTTGTAAACTGTCATGGCGCTGGTGGGAGTGTAGCAGTGAGGATGACCAGAGGTCACTCTCATTGCCATCTTTGTTTTGGTGGATTTTAACCGGCTTCTTTACTGCAACCTGTTTTATCAACAAGGTCTTTATGACCTGTATCTTATGCCAACCTCCTATTTCAGTCTGTGACTTAGAATGCCTTAACAATCTGGGAATGCAGCCCAGTAGGTTTCAGCCTCATTTTACCCATTCATTATGGAGTTGCTGTGGTTCACATGCCTCTGACAATTCCAGCACTTTGGGAGGCTGAGGCAGGTGGATCACTTGAGGTCAGGAGTTCGAGACTAGCCTGGGCAACATGCTGAAACCCCATCTCTACTAAAAATACAAAAATTAGCCAGTCATAGTGGTATGCACCTGTAGTCCCAGCTACTTGGGAGGCTGAGGCATGGGAATTGTCTGAACCCAGGAGGCAGAGGTTGCAGTGAGCCACGATTGCACCACTGTTCACTCCAGCCTGGGCAACAGAGCAAGACTCTGTCTCAAAAAAAAAAAAAAAAAAAAAAGAAAGAAAGAAAGAAAGTGAAAGGACAACCCCATAAAACAGGAGAAAATACTTGCAAATCATATGCCTGATATAGGACTTGTATACAGAAGATATAAAGAATTCTTACAACTCAATAATAAAAAGACAATCCTATTTAAAAATGGCAAACTAGGAATAGAAGGAAATTACATCAATATAATGAAAATAATATATGAAAATCCCACAGGTAACATCACACTCATTGATGAAAAACTAAAAACTTTTTTTGTAAAAATAGGACCAAGACAAGGATACCCACTCTTGTCATGCTATTCAACATAGTACTGGAGTACTAGCTAAAGCAATTAGGCAAGAAAAAGAAAAAAGGCATCTAAATTTAAAAGGAAGAAGTAAAACTCTGTTCACAGATGACAGATGACACGATCTTATATGTAGAAAACTTTAATGATTCCACAAAAACTGTTAGAAATAATACATTCAACAAAGTTCCAGCATATGAAACCAACATACAAAAATTAGTTGTTTGTACACACTAACAATCCACAAAGGAAATTAAGAAAGCAATCTCATTTATAATAGCATCAAAAAGAGTAAAATACTTAAGAATAAACTTAAACAAGGGAGGAGAAAGAGTTATCATTGAAAACTGCAAAATATTGCTGAAAGAAATTAAAGACACAAATAAACAGAAATGTTCACAGATTAGAAGACTGAATATTGTCCATATGACCCAAAGCAGTCTATAGACTCTATGCAATCCCTATCAAAATCCAAATGGCATTTTTTACAGAAATAGAAAAAAACAATTCTAAAATGTAAATGGAACCACAAAAGACTGATTGCCAAAATAATCTTGAGAAACAACAATAAAGCTAGTGACTTCACACTTCCTGATTTCATACATATTACAAAGCTACATTAATCAAAACAGTATGGTATGGCATAAAGACAGACATATAGACCAACAGGACAGAATAGAGTTCCCTAAATGGTTCATATGTGTATTCCAGCAAGCTGATACAGAAACAGCAGATATGATAATAATATGGAAATGCAGGTTAGGAATTTTTCAGTCACTCTGAAGGTACTGGGAAATATTTTTCCTGAATGATATACCTTTAACATCCAGATCTTCCACAGGAAAAGAAAGCCTAGCCACTCCATCCATCCATTTATTTCAAATCTGTATAGTTGAACAAACTATAGACCAAATCCTACCTCTCAACAGAGCGGCCCAATCTGCCACACGCTGAGTGCTTTTGTTAACTGCAGACCCTTGATGCCTTTTCTCATAAACTCTAAGCAGCATATGACGAGGCAGCCCTCAACAGCTGCTCTGTTTTGATCTGTACCCTATGATTTGACATCCAAGTAGGCACATTACACATTGTGTGCTGCCCTTCAGCCTTCCTTTTTGTTGCTTTTCAATAGGACGGCTTTGCTTTACATTTGGAACAGGGGTTTATCTTACCATAGTCTGAAGATACTAATTGCTGCCCTCTTTGTTTTCTGTGTGGTAGAGAAATAAAAGACAGGATAGATCTGCTGAGGTTATGTTAATATATGATGCCCCCCTGGGTATAAGGAGTTCTTTCTCCTTGAACATCTCTGGATGCTCATTATTTAAAATCATCATAAATATTATCAATAACAACAACACAGAGATGCATTAGCTTTAGCTTGCATTTAGTTGGGATATTCATTGTATACAGTAAGCCCACTTCCCACTACTACTCCTTTGCAGGTTACCTTGAAGTAATTATTTTTAGAGGATTTAACTATCAGTATCTAAATATTTGTAGGATTCCTGCCCACCAGAAAATGTTGCTCCCCAAACAAAAACATATTCTCAACATTATGAGAAATCTCACTTAGGGAATAGATTTGCACAACATTAAAAGAAAAAAACTGACATGTGGACTTGCAAACACTAGCAACACACAAGAACTTCTTCAAAGAGGCATCCCTGGCTATGCAATTTAAAGTAGATACCCATTCACACTCTAGGCCACCACACTTTTAAATCTATTTTAAGAATGTATTCCTGTCTGATATGGCTCACTTTTTTATTTTCAGCCTATCCACTCCCAGCTCTATGCAAGCAGGGGCCTTGTGTGTCTTATCCACTGCTGCAAACCTAGAGCGATGACTGGTACTTAGCAGGTACTCATTAAATATTGGTTGTGGAGGAACAGAGATAGACAACTATAGTGTCCAAGTACAGTTACATTCTAGTAACCAGAGAAATTTTTAAGAGCTTCCTTTCATGTTATATCTTAGATCTTCTACTTCATGTAAAATATATATTTGTACCAGAAATGGAAGGTGGAAAGATAAGCTGTATTTTTCAACAGGCTAATAGCCATGGTTCAAGAACAACGGCACAAACTTCTCTCACTCCTGAGGCCAGCCTGGTTTCAGAGATCTTCTCTTCACTCCCAGCAAGACTGCCAGATATAAGAATTTGCACTCTTTGGCCAATTTAAACTCATCTATTCAGCACCAGAGCTCTCTCTGAAAAGTGAAGTAAACTGTCACTTCCTTATGTGATCATCACCTAAAAGGTGGCTGGTTCATGGAAATTAGATGGCACTCTGTGGTCGTCTCACTCCAGATAGCTTTATGCTTTCTTTGGCCTTAAAGCCTTGCTTCCTTTACTCTATGCCCAAGTCTAGCTCAATTTTTACCTGCTGGCACATACTTGGGTAAGGGGATTCTGCCTGTCTTGCTATAACATATCTCAGAGCCTCCCAGATTTGTCACAAGAAAGTGCAACCAGCTCTGACCCTGTTGGCTTCTCCTTCCTCTGGGGGCTCTGTCCCTTGGCAAAGCTCTCCTTTCAAAGCAGTGGCCTGAGGACGGACTCAAAGCCTTTCCTTAGTTCTCCCTTCACATTTAATAAATACAGAACAGCACAGGGGTGAATGTCCAAACTGGAATCATACACTTGAATTTAAATACCGAATATTCCACTTACTAGCTGCACCTTCAAGCAAGCTCCTTAATCTGAACTTGTTCTCTCACCTGTAAATGAGGACAATAGTCATACCTATCTCATATGGTTGAGATAATGCTGCAAAGCTACAATAAAATATCATGTACAACTTTATAAGCTAAAGAACCCAGCAAATGTTAATGATAACAGCATCTACAGGATCTGCCCTATTGCCTCTCTGACTTCATCTGCTACTCTTTTCACTTCTACTCCAGCCACACTGGCCGCCTTGCTGGTCTTCCACACCCTGGGCTGCCCATGCCTCAGAGCTTTTGCACTGGCTAGTTTCACTGGCTAGTATACCCACAGATGTCCACATGGCCAACTCCTCCACTTCTTAGGGGTCTCTGCTCAAGTGTTACCTTTCCAATGACTAGCCTATTTAATGCCACAACCTGCCCACTGGCATTCCCAATGCCCCGGAGCCTGTACTGGTTATCTTTCCCTGCATCGTCACCCCATATAAGCTCCACAAAGGCAGAGATGTTTGTCTGTTCTATTCATTGATATAATCCAAGTTCCAAAACAAAAAGGAAAACCAGCTTATATTAAGCTATTCTTGCATTGCTATTTCAAAAAATACCGGAGACAGAATAATTTATAAAGAAATGAGGTTTAATCGGCTCACAGTTGTGCAGGCTGTACAGGAAGCATGGTGCTGGCATCTGCTTATCTTCTAGAGAGGCCTCAGGAAGCTTACAATCATGGCAGAAGGCAAAGGGGAGCAGGCACATCACATGGTGAAAGCAGGAGCGAGCGAGCGAGCGAGAGAGAGGTGACAGAGTGGGAGTGGGGGAGGTGCTGCACACTTTTAAAAGACCAGATCTCATGAGAACTCACTATCACAAAGACAGCACCCCAAGCCATGAAAGATCTTCCCCCCATGATCCAAACACCTCCTACCAGGCCCCAACTCTATTACTGGGGATTACAATTCAACATGATATTTGGGCAGGGACAAATATCCACACTATAGCACAGTCTCGCATACAAAGTTACACAGTTTTGCTCCTGGGGTGCCCAGGGGCTGTTTTATTCCATCCACTATTTTCTGATATCCATATATAATAGGTATTACCACCTTAAAGGCCTCACCTAGGGTCCCTGCTCTCTAACTTTCAGCCAGGTGCATATGAACAGTGTCATTTTTAAAACAAATGACATATCCATACAGCTCAAAATTAAAAAGGTAGATGAAGGTACACAGTAAAAAGTCCCTCTTCCTCTTATTTCTGTCTCCTAATCTGCCAAATCTTCTCTCCAAAGACAGCCAGTGTAACCAGTTACTTGTGTATCTGTCTAGAGAGATTCAACGCACATGCAAGGATGTGTGCATATGTGTATATACATGTACACATATATACATATCTTTTATACAAGTGACAACATATTAGACATGCTATTTTGCACCTTACTTTATTTCAGTCCTCTATTTTGAAACTCTGGGGCCAGCACGGTAGTTCACGCCTGTAATCCCGGCATTTTGGGAGGCCGAAGCAGGCGAATCATCTGAGGTCAGGAGCTCGAGACCAGCCTGGCCAACATGACAAAACCCCATCTTGACTAAAAATACAAAAAGTAGCCAGTTGTAGTAGTGCCTGCCTGCAATCCCAGGTACTCGGGAGCCTAAGACAGGAGAACCGCTTGAAGCCAGGAGGCAGTGAGGCTGCAGTGAACTGAGATCACACCACTGTACTCCAGCCTGGGCAACAGGGCGAGACTTCATCTCAAAAAAACAAAAACAAAACAAAACAACAACCAAAAACCTCACGAAAATCATTCCACATCAGTACAAAAACATTTGCCTCATTCTTTTCAATGGCCGCATAATATTCTATTTTTTGGATGTCTCTTATTGAAGACAATCAATGTTTTACTTCTAACAAGGATGTTGCAATAAATATAGTTTTATAAAGTCATTTTGCATTGATGTATACTAACTATCCAGAAGTAGAACTGCTGAGCTAAAGACTAGGTGCATTTTAAATGTTTACAGATCTTGCCAAATTGTCTTCCAAATGGTTGTAATTTATATTGCAACCAACAACATATTGATAACCTATATCCTCTTATCAAATGTTTGGATTGTTATCAATTATGATAAAAGTTTGGATTTTTCTGAGTTTCAGCATCTTTTCATATAGGACATTTTTCTTGTAAACTATTCAAATATTTGTTCATTTTTCTGTTAGAGTGTCACACTTTTTCATACTGATTTATAAGAGCTTTTTATATCTTAAGAAAATTATGCCAATTGCTTCTCGGCCTTTTGGCTAAGATCAAGGTAAAGAAAATTATGCCTATATCTGTGATATAAGTTATTTTTCTAGTTTCAACTTTTTTTTTTACTTTTCATAATCAAATTTACAAATCTTTTTTTTTTTTTTTTTTGAGACGGAGTCCTACCCTGTTGCCAGGCTGGAGTGCAGTGGCATGATCTCGGCTCACTGCAACCTCCACCTCCCGGGTTCAAGCGATTCTCCTGCCTCAGCCTCCCAAGTAGCTGAGACTACAGGTATGCGCCACCACACCCAGCTAATTTTTGTATTTTTAGTAGAGACAGGGTTTCACCGTGTTAGCCAGGATGGTCTCAATCTCTTGACCTTGTGATCTGCCCACCTTGACCTCCCAAAGTGCTGGAATTACAGGCCTGAGCCACAGTGCCCAGCTAAATCTTTTTTTTTTTAACAGTCTCTTGGTTTTGTGTCATACTTCCCTATTCTGAGAATATCACAAAATCTGCAGCTTATCACTTTCAAACTCACCATTGACAATGAAGAGCAAATCTCCTGGATACCCCAATACCAGGGTAGGGTATGGGGATGCAGGGGAGTGGCAAATCCAAGAAAGAGATTTCCTTCCTGCAAATTACCAACATCTTTCCCTTTATTCTGGCTCCTTTTCTAGAAAGCTCACTTTTTCTCCAAGCAAATGACACCAAGAATGACCTCATTCTTCAGATGAGATTCTGCTCCCTATATCCTGGTGTATGGTATAATGAAGCTACATAATACCCAAAACAAGTTTGATAGTGTAACAAAATCTTGACCATATCATAAGTAAATTGCAACACACTAAATGTTACACACACAGTATCAGGAAGGTTCCTTGCTCCTCACAGCCCTGAGTCTACATGGGCAACACCACCATCTAAAGGGAATCCAGCAGAGTAAGCATCAGGCTACCATCACAGTTTGACGAAATGCTTGCAAGGCCCACTGAAACAAGTCACTTAGTATCCCACACCATAACAGAGTTGAGGCCTGGGCTGGCTTCAAGCATAATTATGCTGCAGTGCTTACTACCTTTTAGTTCTTGATGTGCTCTTCTGATCCAGACCCTGGAAGGACAGAGGTTGCTGCTGGAGACCTTTCCACCCAGCATCTGAATATGGCAAAGAGACTTAACCTTTACAGAAGTAAAATTTCTTGGGCCAGGCACAGTGGCTCATGCCTGTAATCCCAGAACTTTGGGAGGCTGAGGTGGGTGGATGACTTGAGCCCAGGAGTTCAAGACCAGCCTGGGCAACATGGCAAGACCCCGTCTATAAAAAAAAAACAAACTAAAATTAGCCAGGCATGGTGGCATGTGCCTGTAGTCCCCAGAGGCAGGAGGATTGCTTGAGCCCAGTTGGGGGGAGCAGGTGAGGAGGCTGCAGTGAGCCCTGATGGTGCCACTCTAGCCTGGTGAGACCCTGTCTCAAAAAAAAAAAAAAAAGAAGTAAAACTTAAATGTTACACCAGGTGATGTTTATTTGGAGAGCTAGACCTTTAGTTCAGTACTCAAAGACCAGCTTCAGATCTCAAAGTCCAGTGGAACTATAATATGAATAGTAGCCTCTTTGCAACTATAATAAATACACATACTCCCTACAAGAAACCAAAAAACAGGTATTAGTTTTCCAACCACCCTGGATGACAAAGACACATATACCTTATACCTTAGCTAGAAAAAAAACCATAATTATAGCAGCAACTGATATTGAAAACTACATGAACGTATTATATGTCTTCATTAATCCTTATAACAATGTTATAGGATACCCTTACTATCCCAATTTTTTAAACACTAGAGCAACAGAAATAAAAAGGTTGAATAACTTGCCCACGTTCACAGAGCTAGTATACTGCAGACAGGATTGAACTCCAGAAGTCAAACTCCAGAGCCAAAGCTCTTAACCACTGCACAGTACTGCCTGTGCCGGGCAGATTGCCACAGATAGGAGGGAATCTGAGGAGAGTTGGGAGAAAAAGCACATCTATGCATGAGGAGAGAAGCAGTGCACTTGAGCATGTGTGCTGAACTTTTAGTGAACTGGGGATTGGCAAAACTCCAGGAAGGCAGGTAACAAAGAGATAGCCTTTTTCCCAGGTGGACATTTAGACATGTAAGTCAAACGTCCGGGTTTTTAAAATGTGCTAAAAATGCCTGCCCTTTGTGTACTAAATACCAGCAAAACTTGTCTGACTTCAAGTTATATGTCTCAATTTTGATGCTTAAATACATTAATAGAAAATAGAGTCTTAAGTAAATATTAGAATTTTTAGTGACATCAAAACTGAGTTTAAACATTATTTTAAGGTGCTAGCAAACGTTCACATTTAGATGGCAACCTACTTTGTTTGCTAAAACAAGGCACTGTCAGTAAATGCATTGTTCCTACTTCAGCCCCCATCATAGAGCTGGAACACGGTGAGAGTGGGGGCTTTTGTCTCAAACTGAAGTGCCAAACTGGAATTAAAAAAAACCCTCTGGTTCCATCATGTTAATACTGCCTTGCAGATTTCATAAACCATACCTGAAAACAAACAGGTCAAATCGTGGTTAAGCAGCTTTTGATGTAGAAGCCTGAGTTTAATTTGGTTTTACATTTTTAAAGTATTTTAGGTTTACCTAGTGCATTTAAGGAGCACTGGGCCCAGGTCCCAGAGAGATTAGTAAACAGAAATTAATTTTAAAGACTTTTCATGGGGAAAATAAAATGCTTTTAACTTGGACCATATTGTTCATACCAACTACAAATACTGAGGAGAGGAAAACGTGGCACTGATATCTCTGACAGTCTTGCTTTAAAATCTCTAGAAGGTGGAGCACAGGACCAAGAGATGTGCAGGAATATCACTTCATTATATGTCCTGTCTAAAACTACATTGAATTGGGTTTCAACAGTGCATTCTACAAAGAGGCAGTGGAACATGAGAAAAACACTGTGGTGAGATGGAGGGAGACATAAAATTCGTTGTTTAATGTCAATTATGGTATTTACCCTTATTCATTGCTAACACCCAAATTCACATCTCTATCCCAGACTTCACACCTGAACTCTCAATTTGTGTATTCAAATACCTGTTTTACCTCCCCATGTGGATGCCTGGAAGATGTCTCAAGCATAACAGACTCAAACTCCTTATCTTCTCCATAAAACCTTTTCCTTCCCTCAATCCTTTCCATCTCAGCTAATGACAACTTCATATCTTCAATTATTCATGTCAGAAAATCTGGGATCATCCTTGACTCTTTCTCTCATACCCTGTATCTTTCTTTTTGGGACAGGGTCTCGGTCTGTTACCCAGGCTGGAGTGCAGTAGCTTGATCATAGCTCACTGCAGCCTCAACCTCCTAGGCTCAAGGAATCCTCCCACCTCAGCCTCCCAAGCAACTGGGATTACAGGCACCAGCTACCACGCCCAGCTAATTTTGTGATTTTTGGATTTTTTGTAGAGGCAGTGTCTCGCAGGCAGGTCTTGAACTCTTGGCCTCAAGCAGCCCTCCCACCTTGGCCTCCCAAAGTGCTGGGATAACAGATGTGAGCCACTGTGCCCAGCCCCTATATCTTTATACCAAATTCTGTTGGCCTATATTCAAAATATATCCAGAATCTAATCACTTCTCACCATCTCTACTACCTACTATCCTGGTTCAAGGCCCCATCATCTCTCACCTGAATTATTTTAATAGTTTCTTAAGTTTCAATTTAAGTGTTTTCTGTTTTCAGTTTAAGTGTTTTCTGTTTCTGCCTGCGTCCTTCTCCTGCCACCCACATGTATTCTCAGCCTGATTAATTCTTCTATTTTTCTTTTTTTTGTTTTTGTTTTTGTTTTTGGAGACAGAGTCTCGCTCTGTTGCCCAGGCTGGAGTGCAGTGGCATGATCTCGGCTCACTGCAACCTCCACCTCCCGAGTTCAAGTAATTCTCTGCCTCAGCCTCCCGAGTAGCTGGGATTACAGGCACCCGCCACCACGCCCAGCTAATTTTTGTATTTTTAGTAGAGACAGGTTTCACCATTTTGGCCAGGCTGGTCTTGAACTCCTGACCTCATGATCTGCCCGCCTTGGCCTCCCAAAGTGCTGGGATTACAGGCGTGGGACACTGCGCCCGGCCCAATTCTTCTAAAATAGTGTTGTACAACAGAAATACAATGTGAGCCACATATGTAATTTTTTTAATTTTTTGAGACAGGGTCTCACCCTGTCACCCAGGCTGGAGTGCAGTGGCACGATCATATAACTCACTATAACCTTAAACTCCTGGGTTCAAGTGATCCTCCCACTTCAGCCTCCCAAGTAGCTAGGACTACAGACATGAGCCACCATGCCTCATTTTTTTCTAATTTTTTAGTAGAGATGGGATCTTACTATGTTGCCCAGGCTGTTCGTATGTAAATTTAAAATTTCCAGAAATCACTTTTTGTTTTTTTAAGAAAGAGTCTTGTTCTGTCCCCCAGGCTGGAGTACAGTGGCACAATCTCAGCTCAGTGCAAACTTCGCCTCCTGGGTACAAGTGATTCTCATGCCTCAGCTCCCCTAGCTGGGGTTACAAGCATACACCACCACGCCTGGCTAATTTTTATATTTTTAGTAGAGATGGGGTTTCATCATGTTGGCCAGGCTGGTCTCAAACTCCTGTCCTCACGGGATCCGCCCACCTCAGCCTCCCAAAATGCTGGGATTACAGGCATGAGCCACTGTCCCAGGCCCAGAAATCACATTTTAAAAACTGAAAAGAAATAGATGAAGTTAATTGTAATAATATATTTAATTTATAAAATCTAGACACCTCTTGTCAGAATCTCTGTCTGCATCTCCCACTCTTCTGCCCCCTTACTCTGCTCTAGGCACACTCCTGTTTCAGGGCCTTTGCACATGCTCTTCCCTTTGCCTGGAATGCCCTTTCCCCAGAATAAGCATGATTCACTCTCTCAACTCCTTCAGGTCTTTGCTCAAATGTCAACTGCTCAGTGAGGCTTTTCCTGACCTCCCTATTTAAAATTCCTATAACCCCATGCCCTAAAGTTCCCATTCCCCTTTCCTGCTTTATTTTCTTAGCTCTTTTTTACCATCTAACATAAACATACATTTATTTGACTATTATGTCTCCTCCCACTAAAACATAAAGTTTATTAGGGAAGGAATTTTGGTCTATTTTATTCACTGTGGTATTCCCAGCACCTAGAAAAGTGCCTAATACATAGCAGGAACTCAAAAAATATTTGATGAATAAATTAACAAATGACTAAAAGTAAACACTGCTTTTAACAATGAGCACAAGCTATAACATCAGAAGGCAGAGGAAAGAGGTAAGGATGTCATGATGACCATTTAATGAAGACATGGCTGAGATTCCTTCCTTTCCTACTCTATCTATAGAGGAGAAACGACCAAGGGGAAATAAACTATGCCTTTTCTTGGAAGCAGTGGACAGGAGTCCTAGATATAAAACCTAGCCCTGAGCTTTGAAGGTAAATTTAAGAAGGCTTTTATATCCAAGTTAAATCAATTAAAATAGGTTTTATCCAATATTAAGAGTTAGAAAAAAATGTAAAAACCATCCCCTGAATTAAAAGACTGCCTACAACTGAGATGCTATACTAAGAAAAGCTCCTTTCAAGGTTTGTTTTGCTAAATTCCATGATGCACAGTGGAGCCATATACAAGTTTATATTGAATATTTTCATTAATCAGTCAAAATCTTGGGGATATTGTTTTAACTAAGCAACATTTGAGAACAAAAGGTAACCACTGGTATTTACATATGTTCATTCATTATTTAAATAATGTCTTTTGGTACTTGCATCCTGATTAAGCTCCATCTTTACATTGAAGACTTAATTGAATGGAAACATGGAACTTTCTTTTTGACCTTAAACAGACTGACAGGTTTCACTGTTTTAACTGCCAACCCACTTGCCTAAGTACATAAGCCAGACTCACAGACCTCCTTGAATTCACCTAACCTTCAACATGGAGCCCCCTTTGTAATCTATTTCCTAAATCTTTAGAATCTAATATCCTATCTCCATCCTCATTACCCACAATTGTCTCTTGCCTGAATTACTGCACCTAACTGGGCTTCGACCTTTGCTTCTCCAATCTCTTTTCCACATATCAGCTAGAGTAATTTGATATTTTGTTTTTTTTTTTTTTTTTTTTAGGCAAGATTTGGCTGTGTTGCCTAGGCTGGAGTACAGTGATATGATCTTGGCTCACTGCAACCTCTGCCTCCCGGGCTCAAGTCACCATCCCACTTCAGCCTCCCAAATAGCTGGAACTAGAGGCACATGCCACCATTCCCAGCGAATTTTTGTATTTTTGTAGAGACAGGGTTTCACCTTGTCGCCCAGGCTGGTCTCAAACTCATGAGCACAAGCAATCCGCCTGCCTCAGCCTCCCAAAGTGCTGGGATTATAGGTGTGAGCCAGGACACCCAGCCTTAAAGTAATTTTTTAAATAAAAGACTTGCTTTGGGAAGTCGTAGTTAACTACGACTTGCTTTGGGAAGCCTTTCCAGGCCAGGCTAATTGCTCCTACTATGGGTTTCTGTGACATCAGGGCTGCCAGATGTCAGGATGCCCAGTTAAATTTCAATGTCAGATAAACAACACATCATCTTTTAGTATAATATGTTCCCTGCTATTATATACTAACTAATGAATAGTTTTTTCTTATAAATATGTCCCATGCAATATTTGGGACATACTCAATGCTCAACATTTTTTTATTTGACATTCGAATTAACCCTGTGTCCTGTATTTTATCTATCAACCCTAAATCCAGTAAATCCTCTATCAGTAATCCTTTACCACGCAGTAATCATTTAAACAAGTGCAACAAGTGGTTCTTTGTTCCCCCAACTACTATGCAGCTCTGTGAGGGCAGGGCCGTGCAGTCTTACAGTTTTAGACCCAGCACCTGGCACAGCAGGCATTCCAGAAGACTGAGGAATACGTCCATCAAGCCAAAGCTCAAGTACCACCTGTTGGGAATTGACTCTAACTATAGGCAAACTCCCTGGGAGTGCAAAGCATTTTCAGCGTGGTGCAAAGACAGTCTCACGTCCACAGACGGATCAAATGATGGTGCTTTTTTTTCAGAATAGCTCCAGTGTGGCCGGGCGCGGTGGCTCACGCCTGTAATCGCAGCATTTTGGGAGACCGAGTCGGGCAGATCACCTGAGGTCAGGAGTTTAAGACCAGCCTGGCCAACATGGTGAGACCCTGTCGCTACAAAAATACAAAAATTAGCCAGGGATGATGGCAGGTGCCTGTAATCCCAGCTACTCAGGAGCCTGAGGCAGGAGGATCGCTTGAACCTGGGAGGCGGAGGTTGCAGTGACCCCAGATCATGCCACTACACTCCAGCCTGGGGGACAGGGCAACACTCCGTCTCAAACAAACAAAAAGAATAGCTCCAGTGTGATAATACTGTTGACTCCCCAATGACAGCTTTAAGGTGACCCGAATATTTTACGTTCAAAAAGGACATTGAATTTTCACATCTATTTTACTTGACCCTCAAGGCAAATAATAATATCCATATTTAACAGATGAGGAAATGGAGACTCAGAGGGGGAAATGTCTTGCCTAAGATAACCAATAAGAGAGCCACAGTTTTACCCTCAGGAGTTGACTTCACTAATTAGATTTTCAAAAAAAAGAAAAAATAGGCTAGGCATGGTGGCTCACGCCTGTAATTCCAGTACTTCTGGAGGCTGAGGCAGGTGGATCACGAGGTCAAGAGATCAAGACCATCCTGGCCAACATGGTGAAACCTGGTCTCTACTAAAAATACAAAAATTAGCCGAGTGTGGTGGTGCGCACCTGTAGTCCCAGCTACTCAGGAGGCTGAGGCAGAAGAATCACTTGAACTCGGGAGGCGGAGGTTGCAGTGAGCCCAGATCTCACCACTGCACTCCAGCCTGGCAACAGAGTGAGACTCCGTCTTAAAAAAAGAAAAAAATAGATGGCTGGGCACGGTGGCTCACGCCTGTAATCCCAGCACTTTGGGAGGCCAAGGCGGGAGGATCACCTGAGGTTGGGAGTTCAAGACCAGCCTAATATGGAGAAACCCCCGTCTCTACTAAAAATACAAAATTAGCCAGCGCGGTGGCGCATGCCTGTAATCCCAGCTACTAGAGAGGCTGAGGCAGGAGAATCGCTTGAACCCAGGAAGCAGAGGTTGCGGTGAGCTGAGATCATGCCATTGCACTCCAGCCTGGGAAACAAGAGCAAAACTCTGTCTCAAAAAGAAAAAAAAAATAGATGAAAGCATAATTAGATTTAAAAAAAAAAAAAGGAAAAAGGAGTTGACTTCCTGCTCTTTTCACTTTACCACACTGGCCACCTGGGCCAATATGAAAAAATCAGAATTCCTGGATTCTTTCTTCTCACCCAGAAAGCTTCTCTAGGAAGAAGTCTGGTATCTGAGTCCTCTCCACAGGTTCAATTGCTCCTCCCATAATGTTGCTCCTCCCAACAATAGTCTGAGAGACAGTAAGGCCTGGCACCACTCCCAGTGTTTCTTAGCTCGTCTCCCATGTTAGAGATGAGATTATTTATTTATTTTTCTTTTGAGACGGAGTGTTGCTGTGTTGCCCAGGCTGGAGTGCAGTGGCATGATCTTGGCTCACTATAACCTCCCCCTCCCAGGTTCAGGCGATTCTCGATTCTCGTGCCTCAGCCTCCCAAGTAGCTGGGATTACAGGTGTGTGCTATCACCCCCAGCTAATTTTTGTATTTTTAGTAGAGATGGGGTTTCACCATGTTGGTCAGGCTGGTCTCAAACTCCTGACCTCATGTGATCCACCTGCCCTGGCCTTCCAAAGTGCTGGGATTACAGTCGTGAGCCACCACGCCCGGCCCAAATGACATTATTTAGGGCAGAATAGAGAGCTTGCTCAGAGTTATGGGGAAATAGGAGGAACAGTGGTCAGAACCCAAAATCCATTCCTTTTCTTTCACCTGCATCTCTAGGAGACACCATCCCACCATCTACTAAATTTTCATAGACAGAAACTTGTACTTTGAGCAGACACATTTATCAGCTTTCTTCTGGAATGAGGTTAGGTGGCTGAACCTGCTCTTGGTTTGGCACCCAGTAGCCTCGCCTCTGGAAAACACCAGGGTTGAGGGTACCTGAGCTTTCTGCCGTTGCTAAGTGCCTGTGAGGTTGATTATGGGCTACTTGTGCTCCTGCAGCCCCTTCTCCTATAGGGTCAGAGACCCTCAGGAAGATTCACTCAGGCCACAGAAGGGCTCCAGCTTCTACCAGGACGGGAGTCTGTGGACTAAACCCGAGGCGCCTTGAGGAAACTGCCACGCCCGGTCGGCCTGGGCGTCCCCATTCCAGCTTTAATTTCCCTGAGTTTATCACCCTGAAGGAGCGGACGCAGGAAGCAGGGAAAAACCAAGGACTGGGCTGCCGGCGGGGCAGAAGGCCAGAAGCTAATGACCTAAAACGGAACAGGCTGTGAGCAATTCGATCAAACTCGAAATGCAACTTTCCAACAATGTTCTTAAACCGCTGTAGCCCCAGCTTGCTTGGCTTGGGGTGAAAAGTGTGGGAGAAAGTCTTCACGGCCTGCAGACTTGCTTGCCGACTGAGGTTGATCCGGCAGTTTTCCGTTTTGTTTTGAGCGCGAAAGCGTGGCTGGCTGGTGGAGCTCCAATCTATTCCGCAGCACAAACGGCCCTTCTGAGGCTCTGCTCCCCGAGGCTGGCGGAAGGAAGGGCACTGGCTACTCCGGTACCCACCGAAACAAAACCGACAAACGCAACCGAATTAACACTATTGCTTGTTTGGGTCACTGAAGAAAACTTTTCCCGTGTCGACAGAATTCTAGCCCGACTTTCGTTTGGAACTCAGGATCAGACCTTTACAAAATTACCGACCTGGGTTAGAGGTGCCCGCACGTGTCGAGACCATCTGGCCAAGGACAGAGAGATGCCCCCTGGGAGAATGTTTTAACCGGCGCAGCGGAGCCGCTTGGCTGCGCCCGCCGCAGCCCTACTCCCACTCCGTGCACCGGGCTCCGCAGTGACCCGGGCTCCGCAGTGACCCGGGCTCCCGCAGCGACCCGGGCTCCGGTTGCCCAGGTAACGCAGGACGCAGGCGCGAAAGGCGGGTGCCTGGCGCGCGCTGCAGCTCCCCCTCCCCCCGGCGGGCCGCGGAGGCGACGCGCTGCCTGCGCCCTGAGGCGAGTGGTTCTCCAGCCGGAAAATCGCGGCTCCGGTGCCGCTCTGGGCTCAGCCAGTGAGAGGCCGGGGGTGTGGTAGAGAGAAGGAGCCGGCCGGGTACTTAGGACCGCGCCAGCCTCTGAGCCCGGCCTCCTTCGCACTTTCGAGTGCGCGTTTGCTGCCCGCCGCAGCCCGGGCGTTGAAGGTAGTAAAGCGGCCACCCGGCCGCATCATGGTGACCCCCTGTCCCACCAGCCCCTCGAGCCCCGCCGCCCGAGCGGGGAGGCGGGACAACGACCAGAACCTTCGCGCCCCGGTGAAGAAGAGCAGGCGTCCGCGCCTCCGGAGGAAGCAGCCGCTGCATCCCCTGAACCCGTGCCCGCTCCCGGGAGACTCCGGCATTTGCGACCTGTTCGAGTCCCCCAGCTCCGGCTCAGACGGCGCAGAGAGCCCCTCTGCGGCGCGGGGTGGTAGCCCCCTGCCCGGCCCGGCCCAGCCCGTGGCGCAGCTAGATCTACAGACCTTCCGCGACTACGGCCAGAGCTGCTACGCCTTCCGCAAGGCGCAGGAGAGCCACTTCCACCCGCGGGAGGCGCTGGCACGGCAGCCACAAGTGAGGTGCTGGTAGAGCCAGCTCCACGCCGCCGCTCTTCCTCTCCTCCCAGGCTCTCTCCTCTCCTGCCGGCTCGGCCCTCCGAGCGCCCGGGCCCGCGACAGCCCAGGTCCCGCCCCGAGTCGAAGCACAAGGGGCCGTGGAGGGGCGTCACCGGCCTCATTTTACAGATGGAGAAAAGTGGGGCGTAGACGGCTTGAGGGACTTGCCCCGTCCCAAGCTGGCTACTGGGGCACGGTAGAGAGGAATTCGTTTCCGGGTTGAGTCTGGACTCCTACCGAACTCGGGCAAGTTATTTAACACCCCTGAGCTTCTTTCTTCATCTGCAAAATGGAACCCCTCCCCTTCCTTTGAATTGCTGAGCCCATTACGCGAGGTAACGTGTACGACGCTCTCTGCACAGCGCCAGGTCCCAATCCCGGTGTTCCGGCTCAGCACGGCCCACGCGTTTCCCAGTTTCCATTGCGTTTCTCTTTCTGAAATCTTCTTGCCCCTCTCCTGGGAAGCTCCCCGATTCTTCTTGGCCCTTCCTTCCCTTCCACAGTCCCTCTCCACCCTAAGCCCAGCGGGCCCGCCTCCCCCCTCCTTCCCGGCAGGTGACGGCGGAATCCCGCTGTAAGCTGCTCAGCTGGCTGATCCCGGTGCACCGCCAATTCGGCCTCTCCTTCGAGTCGCTGTGCCTGACGGTGAACACTCTGGACCGCTTCCTCACCACCACGCCGGTGGCTGCAGACTGCTTCCAGCTGCTTGGGGTCACCTCCTTGCTCATCGCTTGCAAACAGGTACCTGGGGTATCAAACAGGTACACGCGGCATCTGGGGACGCAGCCAAACTCCCCCGCCACTCCCTGGCCGCCCGTCTTTCCAGCGCGCACGATTCAGTGCTGGGTTCCCAGAACTCATTTTATCAGACATTTGCATACGCATATATCCCTTAGCCTTAACTTCACAATTTCTCCACAAACGAAAAATCCTGTCACTCGGCTTCCAAAGAAATAGCCTAATAGACTAATAGCTGTAATCAGTCCCAAATAGCTCTTTTGGCACCTCTAGTCTAGCCTCCGAAAAAGCCTTCAAAATTTCCCAAGCTTTTTTTTTTTAGTTGGACAGTAGTTAGATCAACTGCGCTGGAAGTACGCTCTAGGTCACTTACGTGGAAGCAGTGGAGAGGCAGAGCCCCGGCTGTCTCTCTGGAAGGGATGGGGAAAGTCCGGGCGTCATACTGGGGTGGGCCTGGGGCCCGGGAAGCCGCAAAGCGGGGTTGAGTGCGCCCTGTGTTGCAGGTGGAGGTGCACCCGCCGCGCGTGAAGCAGCTTCTGGCCCTCTGCTGCGGCGCCTTCTCCCGGCAGCAGCTCTGCAACCTCGAGTGCATCGTGCTGCACAAGCTGCACTTCACCCTGGGTGCGCCCACCATTAGCTTCTTCCTGGAGCATTTCACGCACGCTCGCGTGGAGGCGGGGCAGGCTGAGGCCTCCGAAGCTCTGGAAGCGCAAGCCCTGGCGCGGGGGGTGGCAGAGCTGAGTCTGGCCGACTATGCCTTCACCAGCTACTCCCCTTCCCTCCTGGCGATCTGCTGCCTGGCGCTGGCGGACCGCATGCTGCGGGTCTCGCGGCCCGTGGACTTGCGACTGGGAGACCACCCGGAGGCGGCGCTGGAGGACTGTATGGGCAAGTTGCAGCTGCTGGTGGCCATAAACAGTACTTCCTTGACTCACATGCTGCCCGTTCAGATCTGCGAGAAGTGCAGCCTGCCCCCGAGCTCGAAATAAAACAGATCCTTCGTTTCCTTTTAGTCCCTGGCCCGGCTGCTGGACCTCTCCCGTAGCCTCAGAAGAGTGCAGTACTGGTCCACAGAGAAGGCTTCAGGACCTGCTTGGTCAGCTGCAGGTTGTAAATAGTGTACGATACTAGCATCTGGTATTTTATTTATTTTGCAGCGAGCACATGAGGAAGCTGAGTCTTTCACCAATAAACAGTTGTGGTTTGTCTAAATCCTGCAAGTGTCTGTCTGCGGGGAGGGAAGGTGAATTCAGCTCAGGAATGGTGGTTGGCAACGTTTGCGGGATTTTCCCTTCCCTCTGGGTCCACTCTGTAATTGGGATCTCTGTGGAAACACCAGGTCAGGTGAGGTCCTGGATACTGAATTCCAGAGATTAGTGGAGTCAGGCTTACCTGATGGCTTGGGTCCTGTGACCCTCGAATAGAACCTCTATGCTGTCCAGAGGGTTGCACTTGCTGGTGAGGCAGATGTGGGGCTGGGAAGCTTTGGGGACCACACAGGCACACAAGCAGAAGTGGGGGAAAGCCATATCCAGGCATGAGAAATCCCGTGTTCAAATGGAGCATGTTGGAAACCAAGGATTTGACTGTGGTCACAGCCATTGCAGGTTGAGCCCATTTACCCTGCAATCACGTGGTCCAACTGTTCATGCTACGACATGTGAGCCCAAAGTAACTGGCATAATAGTCATAATGGCTATATTGAGCATTAAGTATGTCCTAAGTACTGTGTTCAGCATTTATTTCATTCTTCCAGCAACTCTATGGAGCAGAGTCTATTATCCCATTTTTCAGAGGAGGATGCTGGAGCACAGAACCATTAAACAACAGTGGAGTAGCCGGGATCTGAGTCTAGAGTCCCACTCTTAGCCACACTGCTAAATGTCCCCCACTTACAGGTTTCTGGTAATTCTCAAAACACCCTCTTCCTGAGATAGGTGGCAGTTATTTACTCAGTGCTCCCCATTCAGTAGGGACTATAGAGAACACATCTGGAGAGCCAGCGCAGTCTGTACCTCAGTCACGTTACAGGAATCGTTTTACAGATGAGAAAACCAAATTGAGAAATGAGACAGAGGCTTGCCGGAGTTTTGACTCCGCCTGTCATATTGTCTTCAGTCTCACTGTTACGAATCTGATGCAGGCACTGAATCTCTCAGCTCTGTCACCTCTAGCAAATTTCATATCCTCTCTGAGCTCTACAATTGATATCAAGGTTGTTGTCAGTCTAAATGAGATTGAAAAGCTTAAATGAGATTAAGTTTACGTGTTATAAGGTAGTATAGTGATTCAGTAAGTGGGTTCTGTATCCAATTTGCCAGGTGACCTTAAGCAAGTCACATATCTATGCCTACGTTTCATCTATAAAATGGGAATATCGGCCGGGCGCGGTGGCTCACGCCTGTAATCCCAGCACTTTGGGAGGCCAAGGCGGGCGGATCACGAGGTCAAGAGATCGAGACCATCCTGGCTAACACGGTGAAACCCCATCTCTACTAAAAATACAAAAAATTAGCTGGGCATAGTGGCAGGTGCCTGTAGTCCCAGCTACTCGGGAGGCTGAGGCAGGAGAATGGCGTGAACCCGGGAGGCGGAGCTTGCAGTGAGCTGAAATTGCAACACTGCACTCCAGCCTGGGCGACAGAGTGAGACTCCGTCTCAAAATAAAAAAATAAAATGGGAATATCAATAGGGCCTATTTAGTAGGGTGGAAGTATAGCTCTAATGAGATGGTCCATACTGGTCCCCCAGCACATAGGAAGCCCTCAAGAAATAAAGGCTAGTGGTAACCTGCACAGTGATGGGAGGACAGGGGCTATGCAGAAAAACTTGGAGCAAAGAAACGAGAGCAAATATGGGAAAATAACAATTTGTGTGGGGTTGAACATATGGTTGTTCATCGTACTGTTTTTTCAAATTTTCTGTATGGTTGAAAAAAGTGATAATTTTTTGGGGGAAAATCTGTCATGTTCCCCTGCACCTAGGGTATATCAAAATGTATGACAAATACAAATAAAAAGCAAACTCAAATTTAGAGAAACTTCTTTGCACTTCTCTCAAAGTGTGTCTTCCAGGTGTTCTCGGAGCCAGGAGTGCCTTACTCTGGGCCCCTTGAATGCCTCTTCTGACATATTGCTATGCTAAACTTTCTAGGAACTTTCTCCTCCTTGGCTGTGGAAGAAGGACGTGGTGATCCCCAAGCTATTTGTGTAAAAGCTGCTCTGTGATGGTGAAAAGGGAGGAGGAAGATCATATCACCTGTTTCAAATAACAAATTATTAGGGCCCTCTGCTTGGTTGTAAGGGGTTGGGGTCTGGTCCCCAGGCAAAAGAGTGACTTTGCGCGGAGTTGTCTTCACCAATATCTGCTCCATTAATCAGCCAAGACTGCTATGAGTTACTGGTTCCAGAATCATCCACACTAGGAGTCATATAATCATGCTATTCCAGTTCCTGTTACAACAGATAATGTGCAATGCCCATATTTTTGTCTACTCCAACTTAGAACTCATTGACGAATATTTGGAAAATGGGCCTATCCTGGAAATTTTGTGACGATCTGCATGTGTGGAGATCGCCCCAAAACTCAGCTAAGAGCTTCCCTACTCATTTTAAAGGCTGGAAAGTGGGTGAGGATGGGGATGGAGATGGAGATGGACTGGCTAGTGGTCGTGCTACTCAGAAACCAGAGGAAACAGGAGACAGGGCTAGGAACAAGTTGTGGGAAGCTGGAAATACAGCTGAAAAGGCTTTTAAAAAATCACTAATTTACCCATACTAAGCACCAGTCACTTTACATAAATAATCTCACTCATCTTCACAGCAACTCTATTGAGGCCAGTGTAACTTTTTTTCCTAAAGACCTAGGGCTCATGGACCTGGTCCTCAGGCACTCTGACCCTAAAGCCAGAGCTCCTCACCATGAGCCATACCACACCAACTCTAGCTGGCTGACCTCACATCAATTCAGTTTCTGCATCTACTCCTGGGTCAGAGAGTCTCTCACTCTATTCCAGCTCTACCATTGGATTACCTTCCACCGCTGTTAGGGTATCTTGTTTCTTACTAGAGGCTCTTTCACTACGACTACTAGGTATAAGGGGAAAACAAGGTGCCCAACATAGGGGGGTGGGTACACAAAGATTCCAATTTCAGACGACTGTTCAAATTGGATGAATATGAGTGGTACTGAGAAAGGTCCCTCGCCTAAGGATGCCCCTCCCTAGGAGATGCCTCGGACTCAGGAAAATGCCCATTCCTTGGAGAGGTGTTGGCTTGGGAATGGCAACTACGACTGCGAAGAGACCAGCCAAACGTGGCGATGGGCCGCTGAGGCCACTAGGAAAGACAGGAACAGGGTTTTCGGGGATTCGGTACTTTCCACTGTGGCGTTTTCAGAAAGTGGAGGAGGGTTCGTAGTGTCACTTTTTCTTAACGGACGGTCTTTTAAAGGCTGTGCTCACGCGCCACTGCCGAGAAGAGTGCGGGGCTTGGGGAGCGGGGCGGGCTCTTGGCGTCAGGCCAAAAGAGACCACGTGGAAATCCATAAGTCAGGACCCAGGATAAGGTTCAGGTTTGAGGGAAGGGGCTTCTGTAATAAGGGGGCTGTTCCAGGGCATCCCTGCCGGTATTCTACATCCTTACTAAATCCTGCAGGAGCGCAAAGGCCGGAGTCTAGCGCTGGCGGGTGTCACTCCACGTTTATTTCGTGCGCCTTGTGGCTGGAGTGGGAAGAAAAGGAAATAATCGTTAACTTTGCCATTCCCCCTGTCTGTAAGCGGGAAGACGGTACCCAGGGCGAGGGAGACCGGCGTTTGCCCGCCCCTCCTTCTCCCTCTCTTCGCCTGGCGCGTCCGGGAGGCGGCGGCGCCAAAGCTCGCCGAAACGGCGCTGGCGGGCCGGGGCCCCGCGCTGGCGGCTCCCGGGGGAAGCCCGGTTGCCAGGTTGGGTTTAACGCCTCCGCCCGCGCGCAGATTGTCCCGGGCTGAAGGCGCCACCTCTGGCGCTCAGGCGCAAGCCACCCCTCCCGCGCGGCGGTCCTCCCCCTCCCCCGCCATCTCTCAGCACCTCCTCGGCAGCCCCTCGGCTCCTTCTCGGTCACGCGCCTGCCCCAACCTCTGGCTGGCTTCGGAGCCTGCAGGCACTGAAGGGAGTGCAGGGTGTGGATCGCTGCCCCAGCCCGGGCCGCCGCCTCCGAGCAGTCGGCACCCGGAGGCAGGAGGCACAATGCAGGCGTGCGGGGGCGGCGCGGCCGGCCGTCGGGCCTTCGACAGCATCTGCCCCAACAGAATGCTGGCACTGCCGGGCCGGGCGCTGCTCTGCAAGCCGGGGAAGCCGGAGAGGAAGGTGGGGCGGTTGATTCGGGCCGGGCGGGGTCTGCGCGCTCGGTGCCCCGAGGGCTGACCCGCGTTCAACGTTTGTGTGCCCGGCCAGTTCGCTCCTCCGCGGAAGTTCTTCCCCGGATGCACAGGCGGGAGCCCGGTGTCGGTGTACGAGGATCCCCCGGACGCCGAGCCCACAGCGCTGCCAGGTGAGCCCCGTGGCACCCACGCTACCCCTCGGGTTCCCCGCGCCGGGAGGGTGCGGCGCGCACAGCTCGGAGGAGCTTCTCTCCCCCGGGCTCTGACGTCCTAGCTGCGAGCCTGGCGGAGAGGCTCAGGGCCCGCCCGGCGCGTGTCTCCCGGTCTCCCCGCGCAGCCCTCACCACCATAGACCTGCAGGACCTCGCTGACTGCTCTTCGCTACTCGGGTCCGACGCGCCGCCTGGTGGTGACCTGGCCGCCTCGCAGGTACCTCCCCTTCTCGTGGAGCCTCGTGGTTTCACGCAACCCAAACCCTCCTCCGGGGTGGTGGTTTTAATTCCCCAAAAGCTCCTCTCGGGTCGGGAGCGCAGGCACACTCAGCTGGTGAGGGGAAGCATTGTGCAGGCACCTGAGCCTCCCAGATCAGAACTTCTACTTGCATCCTAGTATGTTATGAAGACCACATATCCACTGGAGCTGATTTGACCAACTTGATACAGTCGGGCTCATCTGGAGGCCTCCCCTCCTATTTCCCACCCTATCTACTCTTTGGAGCTGTGACAAGATTGCGCACTGAGAGACCAGGCGGGTGGGTGGGAGCAAAGTTGCGCACTGGGAACCTGTTGCATTCCTATCAGTTCTCCCAACACCCCCTTCCTGGCCATTTTCATTCCGTGGGTATATAAGAAGAGTGGAGGTTGATGGATAACTTCTCTATCAGGACTGGAAAAGAGCAAGAGAATTTGCAGTTGGAAGAAGCAGGAAGGACAAAGGACTCTGGAAGTAATCTTGCAGAAAATGTTCTTCTCTGCAGAGACAGTCCTTCAGCAATTGGGCGCTTTTTCAAAGTCCTGTTCAGCCCTTCGAAAAGCTCTAGTCACTTGCCGTGATGGGGCAAAAAGGCACTTGACTTTTTTCTTTTCCCCAAAACCTGTCTTCTTGCTCCCATCCCACTTCCGCCACTTGCTGGTGCTGACGCTTCCCAGGCAGAGAAGGGAGTCTCCCAGCACTGGTGTCTGGGAGGCCAGAAGCCTGGCTCATGGGTAGGACATGAAGTGCCCAGAGGGACAGGAGGTCTTAAACAGATGCAACCCCCAGGAAAAGTGCCAGTTTCAGCTTGCTGGCAATAGGTCTGGGGTTTGCAGACAGGCCCAGTATGGAACTCTACAAAGAATTGACCACCTCCCAGAACTGGGAGTGCTGGTGGAGCAAAACTCAGCCCTCCTCCAAGGGCCTCCTAGAACCTTGGGCTAGAGCCCAGAGACACTCAGTTTAGGTGGCTGCTGAGAGCAGAGATTGTTAAGGCAAGAGTTGGGAGTGGGCACTGCACTGCAGAGGACATTTAATTGTTCTTTTTAGATCTGGATGATCAAATAAGGAAAGATAATGCCTGAGTATCTTCCAACTGACCCAGAGGCCTAGGTCACTCCCTTACCCCAGCATGTTTATTGTGCAAGTAACAAAACCCAAGCAGCTCTCATTGGATGTTTGTCTAAGTATACAGATTCTACATTTGGCATCATGCTCTTTGTTAGAATTTTTTTCTTGCATTTGTAGTTGGAGAAATGCCAGATTTATCTAATTGGGGAGGTAGAATTCAAAGTTTCATTTTGTTTATTTTCTTTTTCTTTTTTTGAGACAAGGTCTCACTCTGTCACTCAGACTGGAGGGCAGTGACATGATCATGGCTCACTGCAACCTGGACCTCCCAGGCTCAGGCGATCCTCCCACCTCAGCCTCCCAAGTAGCCAGGACTACAGGTGCACACACCACGGCCAGCTAGTTTTTGGTTTGTCTGTACTTTTTGTACAGATGGGGATTCGCCATGTCACCCAAGCTGGTCTTGAACTCCTGTGCTCTAGCGATCTGTCTGCCTCAGCCTCCCAAAGTGCTGAGATTACAGGCATGAGCCACTATGCCCAGCCTCGAAGTTTCAAGGACAGAGCTCACATCAGATGGACCAAAAAATCCAGGAATTTTCCTGGGAAAGACAGAGCTAGTTCAGAGGAAAGAGGCCCCCAGGGGAGAAACACTCAGGGAGACCCCTGGGACACTCAGATCACATTTCCCCATTCCTTTCCTGCTGGGAAAGGTGGACAGAGAGAGGAAGTGCTCTAGAAATGTTTGAGGTTCAGAATGGACCAACACCTGGATTGGCATAAGAGGTAGCATTTCCAGGGCCCCAGTTCCTGAGTTGGCCTCCAGTCTCCTCATGAGACTTTTCTCAAATCCCTACCCAGGAGGAGACCTTCCAGTTATTGAAGAATGAGCCCCTTCAACCAGGGCAGCACTCATGCTCCAGGACTTGTCTGGGGCCCTCAGCCCTTCCTTTCTCATCTCCTTTCTCTTATAGTCTCAGCATCCAACTAGTGGCAGAGGTGCTAGAGGCCTCCCTGCTTGACTCTTTTCTCCCAAGGGAAAACTGATACTTGTACATTCTTTGAAGTTAGGGGCAGAGTAAGTTCCTCTTCCCAGAAATATTTTAATAGTAAAGAAGGGCTTTGGGGATAACAGTATGATGAGCGCAAAGGAATGAATCAACAGTGCATTCAGTATAATAAGGTCTTTCTGGTGGGCTATTGGATGCATCTTCTCTTACCATGGCCCTTGAGACTCCTGTCCCCTTCCCAGTGCTGTCTTCGGTGGAAGCCAGCTTTCCTAAAAAGAGAGAAAAGCTAGAGGAAATGAAGTATGGAGGCAGGAGGCCCTATTCCACTACTTCAGAGCTGGGTGACTGGGTAACTCTCTGAGCTTCAGATTCTTCCTCAAAGAGGAATCAGTTAGGCCCCTGCCGCTTCCCACACTGGTATGAGGATGAACTGAGAGACTGTGTAAAAGCGTTTTTATCAACTCTAAATGTCCATGAATTAAGGGAACAAGAAGGCCTATGCGCCTCCAGCCCCTTAGGGTCTCCTTTCCTCTCACACACCCAGACACTCTGCAGGAGGCCGGGAGAGTACAGTTCATAATGTTGGAGGTGCACCGGCTGTACGAGAAAAGAGTACTCCCAACTTTTTGGGAAACTGAAAGAGCAATGGAGGCCGCACTGGCTGTGCGCAGAACAGAAGCTTTTCCCGTATTCTCCTGGCCCCTCGAATCACAGCTTTCTTCCCGCTCGGTTGCATGGGTGGGGCGGTTAGCTGGGGCCAAACCTTGGCGGGAAACGCGGCCTCAAATTACTGCTCGAGGCCCCTGCACGCTGTCGGGTCTTGGGTGGAAAGATCCGGTGTTCAAGACGTGCTCTCAGCTCCTACAGCGGCGGCTCGGTGGCCGGTCGCTGGTGAGTCGGAGTCAAAATTTCGCAGGCGCACAGGGAACCGCCGAGCTTCACAGAGGCGGCTGCTTAGCTAGTTGGTGGGTGGCGGGCTACTCGGCTGCCCGGAGCCGGCGCAGGGCCGCCGCACCGCCGGTGGAAGGACCCATTCCCGCCACGCAGCTGCTCTGCAGGAGCCGCGAACTGCTGCCCCCTTCCCCCAGTCAGTGTCGTGCTCCGTGCGTCCCGCTCCCCACCGTGGCAGTGCAAGCCTGCTGGGTTCCCTGTCTCGGATGGGGCTTGAATTTTCGGGTACGAGACTGGGCTGGCGACGTAAGTGCGAGCAGACCGCCGCCGAGCCCGGGAGGAGGTCTGTTGGTCTAGAAAGGGTTCCGGACCCGCCACAAAAATTGTTTTATTTGGGGGGACTTAGGGGTACAAGTGCAGTTGTGTTACGTGCATATATTGCATAGTGCCTGCCAGATTTTTAACAGGGACGCCAATATTTATTGAAGGCTTTCTAACGCCAGACTCGTTAACCAGTGTACACCTCTGGTTTTTTTCAGAACCATTCCCACCAAACGGAAGCAGACTTCAATCTGCAAGATTTCAGAGACACGGTGGATGATCTCATTTCAGGCAAGTGCAGTCTCCTGGCAGTTAAATAACAGCGGGGGTGTCCCCCACTCCCAAATCAGACTAGTTCAGATTTCGTGGTCGTGAAGGTGGTAAACCCAGCCAACTGTCAACGACTCTCCAGCAACTCATCAAAGAGTCAGCCTTTTCCATATTTAGGACATTTCTCTCCCCCGTGGAGAAGTCGAACCGCTGGATCTACATAGCGCTTTATCTGGGATCGGTGTGAGTTCTGGGAGAGGGAGCCCTATGCTGTGGTGTGGCAGGGGAGGTTGAGTGACGAGTGTGCAGGGTATCGAAGGCCTGTGTGACGTGCAGGCCCAGGGAAGTGTTCTTGATTGAATTCAGGTAAACTTAACAGGCATATGTTGGATACCTGCTGTGTATGTACAGGCTATCAGGAAGGGCCTCGTAATCAGGCGTTTAGGAGTAAGGGTGCTTAATTTAATAAAGAAAAATCTCTACATACACCCTACACCCAGAGTGGCATTTTGCTCCTGTAACTAGCTGGGCATGAATTTGAGGCTGCAAATCCAGCTCCTGCTCTTCTCCAGACTCATCCTCTATGATGTCGCCTACCCTGGCCAGCGGAGACTTCCCCTTCTCTCCTTGCGACATATCACCATTCGGGCCCTGCCTCTCCCCGCCACTGGACCCACGGGCCCTGCAGTCACCACCGCTGCGCCCTCCAGACGTGCCCCCGCCTGAGCAATACTGGAAGGAGGTGGCGGACCAGAACCAGAGAGCGTTGGGAGACGCGCTTGTTGAGAATAATCAAGTAGGGACACTGGTCTGGCGACCAGGAATCCTGGGGCAGGGACAGGATATAGAGGGTGGAAGTGGGGTTTGCAAGGGAGAAGATGAGGTCCTGTGAGTCGGAACCAGTGGACTGACTGGTGGTTCACGTAGCTGCCATTGCTCCGGTGGCTCCACCTGTTTCCAAATTGGTTAAGTGGGAATAATTCTACCCCACCTGATTTTTATTTTATTTTATTAATTAATTTTTATTTATTTATTCATTTTTTTTTTGAGACGGAGTCTCGCTCTGTCGCCCAGGCTGGAGTGCAGTGGCATGATCTCGGTTCACTACAACCTCCGCCTCCCAGGCTCAAGCCATTCTCGTGCCTCAGCCTCCCAAGTAGCTGGGATTACAAGCGCATGCCACCATACCTGGCCAATTTTTATATTTTTAGTAGAGACGGGGTTTCACCATGTTGGCCAGGCTGGTCTGGAACTCCTGACCTCGGGTGATCCGTCTGCCTCAACCCCCAAAGTGCTGAGATTATGGGCGTGAGCCACTGCACCTGGCCATTTTATTTATTTTTAAAAATAGTTTTATTTGGGGGGATTTAGAGGTACAAGTGCAGTTGTGTTACATACATATATTGCATAGTGCCTGCCAGATTTTTAATAGGGACGCCAATATTTTTTGAAGGCTTTCTATGTGTCTGGCCCTGGACTTACCAATTTATACTTTTTCTTCCCACTTAATGCTCACAATCATTGAGCTAGATACTCTTACTAGCCCCGTTTTACAAGGAAATCAAGACATAGGATTGTTGAACTTCGGTGACAGAACCTAGATCTGCCTGTTGCCCAAGTCAGTACTCTTTATCAGCACGCTACACCGAGGATTAATGGAGATAAATTTTGTCCAAGTGCTTTGTTTTAAAAAAAAAGTAAATTGATTATTATTCTCACTAGCGTAAATGCCTGTGCGTCCCCAGTTCCTGATGAGACGTCAGGATCTGGGTTTGATTCATGCCAGATATGCAGACGAGACCCAGCACAGTACCTACCCCTGAATGTTTGGGTCTCCTCCTGCAGCTGCACGTGACATTGACCCAGAAACAGGAGGAGATCGCCTCGCTCAAGGAGCGGAACGTGCAGCTGAAGGAACTCGCCAGCCGAACCCGGCACCTGGCCTCGGTGCTGGATGTAAGTGGGGCGCGGGCGTGTGGGAACTGCAGCACGTCGGAACTGAACAGTTCAGTGCATCCCCGCCCAGCATCGGGACCCGTGGGGGCCCGGGAGAGGAGAGTACCGCTGAGTGCGTGGTGCGTAGCGCGCCTAGGTCACCTTTTGCACGCTCCGAACCCGGAGGGTCCGGCAGGCCCCAGGGCGGCGCTCTTCCCTGTCTTTCGTAGAAGCTGATGATCACACAGTCCCGGGATTGTGGGGCGGCGGCCGAGCCCTTCCTGCTCAAGGCGAAGGCCAAAAGGAGCCTGGAGGAGTTGGTCAGCGCTGCGGGGCAGGATTGCGCGGAAGTGGACGCCATCCTGAGGGAGATTTCCGAGCGCTGCGATGAAGCCCTTCAGAGCCGCGATCCCAAGCGGCCCCGACTGCTGCCAGAGCCCGCGAATACTGACACCAGGCCCGGGAACCTGCATGGCGCCTTCCGGGGGCTGCGCACAGACTGCAGCCGGAGCGCGTTGAACCTGAGCCACAGTGAGCTGGAGGAGGGCGGCTCCTTCAGCACCCGCATCCGCAGCCACAGCACCATCCGCACCCTCGCCTTCCCCCAGGGCAATGCCTTCACCATCAGAACAGCCAACGGGGGTTACAAGTTCCGCTGGGTCCCCAGTTGAGCTGTGATGTGGTCCCCCAAAACACTGCCCTGTGTTTCCACTGAAGTGCCTGGGGGCTTCCCAGAACTTTGCCTTCAGGTTGAATGCCACCCTGAAACACTTTTTCAGGAACAAAAGCATCTTGATACCGATGCATTGTAAATTTCTGCTACAAAACATTGTATAGCCCCTCCCCTTGTCACAGTGAAACTCTGTTTATATATGTATATGTCACATATGTCACAGCCAATTTTAAAAGTATTTATTTTTAGCAGCTTTGAATTATGTATTTTTAGAGCAGGGAAGGATTTAGAAACCATAGTTACTTTTATAATTATGTAATGCTCTAATATTATAAGAAGGAAAAGAAGGCTCTAAGAGATTAAGTAATTTCCTGCAATGGGAAACACTGGAACCTTTCAATCACTTTAACTAGTCACTTAAGGACTCTAGGCCCAGAAGCCTGGTTTCTGGGTGAATGTTTTTATACATCACTCAACTTCCCTCGTCCTAAAAGGACACCTAATTTTGTTACTATTGAAAATTTTTATTTTGGTGGCCAGAATACGAAATCGGGAGAGGTAACCCAAACAGTTGTCTTAGGAAAAGGCAGATTCTCAGAGGCAATGGGCTATCAACAAAATAGGTGCTAAGCACATTTGTTTGTAATGATCATTCATATAATTTAGAAGATTTATGGTAACAGTTTATATTCATTATCCATACAGTTCTATTTGTGCAAATAGAATAACCACCTATAAGCAAACAGTGTTAATGAGAAATATATATTGTTTTAAGAAAATAGCATATACCGCATGAAAAAGAGTGTTCCCTTTTTTTTTTTTTTTTTTGCCAGAAATCAAGTGTGGAAGTCTTGATCAAAGTAAAACTACCTATTTGAACTGCACAGATAAAACTGGGGTGCACAATCATATTTTACATTTCTTGGCTTGATTTATATAACTTGTAAGAAAAAGTTAACTATAAAAAGTCAGTGTGCCTTCACTTTGACTTGACTTCTATTCCCTTTTGTCTGGGATTCTTTTTCCTACTCATTTCTGAAATTATATGAGTGGCATATGTCAAGTAGTGATTTGTCCTGACCTTCACAGTTCTTAACATGAAGTCTACTTCTTGCACTTGGCGGCCCAGCTTGGGCACGTTTCCAGCTGTGTTACGCCACACTGCATTGCTGGTTCTGCCCTCTGAGAGGAGATATCAGGTAACAGGTGACTTGGCAGCGTGGCAGAACCTGCTCTTCCAGTTTGTCATGTATGTACTGCTATCTGTATTTAAATAGCCATTTAGAAACCAAAAAAAAAGCTGATAAAATAGACCATATTTCCTCATATTTTGTCTAACAAATGGACTCTTAAAAAGTACAGTGGATGGCCCAGAATTTTTTTTCATCAGCTCAAATATAAAGTTACCACAGTTCGGGATAAGAAAAAACAAAAAATCACTTCCCTCCAACCTCTTAACCTGTCCCCCAAAACAATCAGCTTGTCATGTCTTTTCCTCTCTCCTTAATGAGTATTCTTATAATGCTTTAATAACAAATAACCAAAAAGTTTTCAATATATAGGTTTTTTTCTGTATGTCTTATGACTGGAGTTTTTAAAATTACATTTCTTCCTGCCTTTAAGATTATATCCCTGTAATTGTCATGTTAGCCATTGGTAACTTGAACTGCTTAAGTATCTTTCACTTCTGAGGCAGGGGTTGGGGTGGGAGGTTGGAGGTTGGGGCGTCATCTTGTGGACTAATGGCACAAGTGACTAAATTAGTTAGCAGTAGTAGAATTTACAAATTAGATTCATTTGTTTATTTAACAGATATTTATTGATTATTACCGAGAATCTTAGTAATACAGATACTAAGTAAACAGCAAAATAACAAAACACAAAAATCTTGCCCTCATGGATCTTACTTTCTCCTGGGAAGACATAACTACCAAACAAATAAATATATACATGCTATGAAGAGTAAGGATAGAGAATTAGATAATTCTGTGTGTGGCATGATAAGAAATACATATTTGGTCTTTGTCTCTGGTTCCTGGCTTCTGGCTTCTAAAATCCTTGGACTCTAACCAGTGATGAGTGCCATCTTGCTATGTTTCCCAGGCTGGTTTTGAACTCCCAGCCTCAAGCAATCCTCCCTTTCCGCCTCAGCCTCCCAAGTGGCTGGGGTTATGGGCCTGAGCCACTACACAGCTAAGAGTGTCTTGTATGTGCTAATGAGATGGCTGGTGTCTGAGAGCCCCTAGAGAGCTTCAAGATGGGGGCTAGTCTTTAGAAAGTCCAAGCAATGGCTAGGTATGGTGGCCACTGCCTGTAATCCCAGCAGTTTGGGAGGCCAAGGTGGACAGATCACCTAGGAGTTTGAGACCAGCCTGGCCAACATGGCGAAACACTGTCTCTACTAAAAAGACAAAAATTAGCAAGACAAAAATTAGCTGGGCTTGGTGGTGAGTTCCTGTAGTCCCAGCTACTTGGGAGGCTGAGGCAGGAGAATCACTTGAACCTGGGAGGCAGAGGTTGCAGTGAGCTGAGATCATGCCACTGCACACCAGCCGCCTGGGTGACAGAGCAAGACTCCATCTAAAAAACAAAAAAAGTCATGATTAGAGGGTTGGAACTTTCAGCCTTTCGGCCTCTGCTTCTTGTCCCCACCTCTGGGCAGAGGGGAGGGGCTAGAGATTGAGTTATCCCAATGGCCAATGATTTATTTAATCAATATGAAACCTCCATAAAATACCCTAAGTGATAAAGTTCAGAGAGCTTCCAAGTTGGTAAAGCTATCTAGGTGCTGGGAGGGTGGTGTGCCCAGAGAGGACATGGAAGCTGTGCCCCCCTCACCATACTTTGCCAAGTGCATTTCTCCTATTTGGCTATTTATGAGTTGTGACCTTTATAATAAACAAATAATAGTAAAAAAATGAGTTCCTGAGTTCTGTGAGCCATTCTAGCAAGTTATTAAATCTAATGGGGTGTTATGGGAACCCTAGACTTTGTAGCCAAGTCAGAAATGTGGGCATGCTAGGCACCTGACTGGCATCTGAAGTGAAGGAAGTTTTGTGGACTAAGCCCTTAAATGTGTGGAATCTGACAATAACTCTAGGTAGTGTCAGAATTGAATTGAATTACAGGATACCCAGTTGTATCCGGAGAATTGGAGAACTGGTTGTTGGTGTGGAAAAACCCCCGACATATTTGGTGTCAGAATCTTGTAAACAAAAATAGCTCAGCGCGATAGTAGGTAGTCTTTGGGCCTGTGTGGTCTACCCTAGTTCAGGAATATGTGTTAGCCTGAAATTACCTCAATAATCACTTCATTTCCAATAGGACCAGGTACAGTTCTAGTTGTTGTGAAGACAACCAGGAACAAAAAACAAGTGCTTGCCTCATGAAGCATGCATTCTAGTGGGGGAAGACAGATACTAAACAGATAGATGATGTCTGATATTTAACACATTATAAAGAAAATAAAGCAAGGTATAGAGACAAGATGTGACAGGAGTTACTGTTTTAGCTAACACAGAGTATTTCTAGAAGTTTCTATGAAAGTAAAATCAGTTTTAAAAAGGAGGTACAGTGGCCAGGCACAGTGGCTCACACCTGTAATCCCAGCACTTTGGGAGGCCGAGGTGGGTGATCACCTGATGTCAGGAGTTAGAGAGCAGCCTGGCCAACATGGTAAATACCCATCTCTACTAATAGTACAAAAATTAGCTGGGCATGGTGGCGCATGCTAGTAATCCCAGATGCTCTGGAGGCTGAGGCAAGAGAATTGCTTGAACCCAGGAGGCAGAGGTTGCAGTGAGCCGAGATTGCACCATTGCACTCCAGCCTGGGTGACAAGAGCAAAACCCTGTCTCAAAAAAAAAAAAAAAAAAGAGGTACACACATTTTAACTAGATTATTATTAATGACATGGCCTCATAATTGCAACAGTGAGATGTTATTGTAAAGTAGTGGCTCTCGAACTGCTGTGTGTATCAGAATCACCTGGAGAGCTTATTAAAACCCAGCTTTCTGGGCCCATCCCCAGATTTCCTGATTCAGTAATTTTGCAGTAAGGCCTAAGAATGTGAATTTCTCACAAGATCCCAGGTGATGCTGGGGTCTGGGACCACACTTTGAGACCCACTGTTGTAAAGAAGCCTTTTAAAGATTATTTTTAAAAGGTTAAAGCAGGCCAGCCCTGGTAGCTCATGCCTGTAATCCTAGCACTTTGGGATGCTGAGGCGGGTGGATCACCTGAGGTCAGGAGTTCGAGACCAGCTTGGCCAACATGGCGTAAACCCCATCTCTACTAAAAATACAAAAAAAATTAGTAAGGCATGATGGCAGGCACCTGTAATCCCAGCTGCTGGGGAGGCTGAGGCATGAGAATCACTTGAACCCAGGAGGCGGAGGTTGCAGTGAGCCAAGATTGTGCCACTGAACTCCAGCCTAGGTGACAGAGCAGGACTCCATCTCAAAACAAACAAAAAAAGATTAAAGCAAAAACCAACTGACCTAATGTTCTTCAAAGATTCTTGTGATTTAGGATTAAGTTTTTAA
The DNA here is from genome assembly GCF_000001405.40 of Homo sapiens. NCBI lineage: Eukaryota > Metazoa > Chordata > Mammalia > Primates > Hominidae > Homo > Homo sapiens. The sequence continues at coordinate 55,215,818 of NC_000005.10, read as the reverse complement.
TAATAAACTCATATTCAGATCCAAAAAAGGGCTTTTATTTCTTTTCTTTTTCCTTTTTTTTTTTGAGATGGAGTTTTGCTCTTGTCGCCCAGGCTGGAGTACAATGACGCGATCTTGGCTCACTGCAACCTCCGCCTCCTGGGTTCAAATGATTCTCCTGCCTCAGCCTCCCTAGTAGCCGTGATTACAGGTGCCTGCTACTACGCCCGGCTAATTTTTGTATTTTTAGTAGATATGGGGTTTCACCATGTTGGCCAGGCAGGTCTCGAACTCCTGACCTTAGGTGATCTGAAAAAGAGCTATATTTCAAACAGTTGAAAGTGACAATAGTGTGCTTTGAAAATGATGTTAAATGACTCTGATAGGGGCTTCAATGATGATGAAAGTATTGATATTAAAGATGCATGTGAAGAGTCTGAATAAAATTATTTATGGAATGTGTTCAGGAAGCTCAATCCAACTGACCTTTATATGCGGCCAAAGAGATTAGGATCTAGTTCTAATTCTTCTCATTAACTGAAAGGTCATAGATAAGAGTAAGGCCAGGCGGGGTGGCTCACGCCTGTAATCCCAGCACTTTGGGAAGCCAAGCAGGGCAGATCACTTGAGGTCAGGAGTTTGAGACTAGCCTGGCCAACATGGTGAAATGCTGTCTCTACTAAAAATATAAAAATTAGCCAGTGTAGCTTGGCGTGGTGGGTGCCTGTAATGCTAATCCCAGCTACTTGGGAGGCTGAGGCATGAGAATTGCTTGAACCCGGGAGGCAGCGGTTGCAGTGAGCCGAGATCACACCGCTGCACTCCAGCCTGGGTGACAGAGTAAGACTCCATCTCAAAAAAAAAATAAAATAAAATAAAATAAAATAAAATAAAATAAAATAAAATAAAAGGAAGAAGAAGAAGAATACTGTATACTTAACACTTTTGGTTGAATAATTAATTTACAATAATAACTAATGATACTTTTGTGCTCTGATGTTTTACCTAAATGAGAACTAAGACAGTAAAATAATTGTTAATTAAAAGCTATTTGGAGCAAAATGTAAGAAGAATCATTTGGGGGATCCTGTACCCCATATGATTGCATATAACTTGTTAATCTTATTGTGTCCTCCTTGAAGTGCATGCTTTGGGCTGAAATCTGTGTCATAAGTGATGATGTCTCAGCTTCAGCATAGAGCTTTATGGGACTTGACAAAATTAGAGATGTGAAGGCATCTACCTGTGGAAAACACATGTAAACAAGTTTTCTCAAATACTTCTTTCTCCTCCTACCTCCCCTGTTTTCCCTTCTTCATCTCTGCATCTCACAGAAAACAGCACCAGTACTCTGAAATTCTGTGCCAGGCAGTTGAGGTATGGATGGAGGCAACTGCATTTGCTTGAGTTTTAGAACAATAAGGGCTTATTTTTCACACGTGTCTAATGGTAAACTGAGACACGAGTTGCTAACATTTGATTCAGCTGCTAATGATGCTGTCGGTGAACCAGCCTTCACCTTTCTGCTTTATCCCCTTACCTTGTTAGCCCTTTATCCTCATGCTTAATAGTTCATGATCAGAAGATTGGTGCTGTGCCTTCAGACATCATGCCTGCATTCAAAGTAGGAAGAAAGAAGGGGGAAGGAGCTTTGAGCACTATTTCTGTCCGTTTTTTTTTTTTTTTTTTTTTTTTTGAGAAAGAGTCTTGATCTGTCACCAGGCTGGAGTGCAGTGGTGCGATCTTGGCTCACAGCAACCTCTGCCTCGCGGGTTCAAGCGATTCCCCTGCCTCAGCCTCCTGAGTAGCTGGGACTACAGGCACGTGCCACCACGCCCAGCTAATTTTTTGTATTTTAGTAGAGACAGGGTTTCACCATATTGGCCAGGCTGGTCTCGAACTCCTGACCTCGTGATCCACACGCCTCAGCCTCCCAAAGTGTTGGGATTACAGGCGTGAGCCACCGCGCCTGGCCTTCTGTCACTTTTATTAGGGAAGCGAAACATTTTCCCAGGAAGCCCCCCGTGGACTCTCACTCCAGTCTCATGAGTTACATATTTATCCCTACCTGCAAGGGGGGCAGGGAATCTAGAGTCTCACTCTTTTTGCCATTACCATAGGAGGCAGGCAAGATAAAAGGAGACTGGGAAAAACTCTTGTGTTATTCGATTAACAGTGTCTGCCAGAGAGGTTTAGTTGGTCTCAATAGGTATGGAAGCCTGAAGGGAAAAGACAAGAGGCCTTCTCTTAGAGCTTGGCCTCCCCAGCAGGGAGTGAGGTGGGCTTTCATCCTTAGAGAGGTTCAGGGTAGGTTCAGGGCCTCCCTTGGCGACCTGGGAGACCAACAGGGAAGGAAGAACTCACAGCCACGTACTGCAGCCTGGAGCCAGAGGCCTGTGTATGTAATGAGAGTCTTTGAATGTGGAAGCTCCTGGGAATGAGATGTAGGAAATGGTTGGCACCCTAATTACATTCTCCTTGATACATTGTCATTTTGACCTTTTAATTTTAAAAATGGAAATCCAAATTTTATGTAAGCAATACATGCTCATTGTAAAAATAATTCAGACAAACAGAAAAGTCTAACAAAGTAACAATGTTTTTTAACTATTATATATTTTTTAACTATCTGAAGATACTACTGTTAACATTTTGGTGTATTTTCTTTAATTATCTGGGACTCAACACTTGTTATCTGTTTGTATCAGCTTTGTAGGACTGCTGTAACAAATTAACATAAACTTTTTAGTATGAAATAACACAAATTTACTACCTCAGTTTTGTAGGTCAGAAGCCTATGTTGGCTCAGCTGGTTTCTCTGCTCTGGGTTTCTTGGAAATCAAGGTGTGGCTGAGCTCTTATTGGGAAGCTCTGGGAAGACTCCATTTCCAAGCTCATTCATTGGTAGGTAGAATCCTGTTCCCTGCTGTTGTAGTACTGAGGTCTCCATCTCCTTGCTTGTTGTAAGCCTAGGGCCTGTCTTTTCTCCCAGAGACATCATTCTGGTCTTTGCACATGGGCCTCTGTATTCTGAAGCCAGCAGCGGTGTGTCAAATCTTACTCAGGCCTGGAATCTGACTTCCTTTTCCTTGTGCTATATCTCCCCTTTGCCTCCAAGTGGAGAAAATCGCTCAAAACTAAAAATACAGGTATGAGTCTAATGTCAAAGGTATGGACATGGGTTAGCTGGAGAGCAATAGTGGTGTCCTTGCCCACAGCTCTATTCTGGAGCTTGTCAGATGGAGGAAATCCAAAGAGTAGCTTTATTTATAAGTGCTAGAAGACATTTACAACAGTTTAACACTCTTAGGCAACTGTGGAGAGAAAACCCAGAAACAAGGAAGTAAATCCAGTTTTCGCTTCCCTGTGGAATTCCTTGCCTCAAGGTACCTCAGACTGTATTATGGAAGAAAAGACGCCAGAGTCCTGGAGGCATCTTGGTCTTGATGCTGTGTAAAACTCTACCTTTGGAAAAGGTGCACTGAGCCGAGAAGAGAGTATTTTTATGCACATCTCAATGTCTTGAAATCTGACCAAGCCTAGAAATGCATTCTTTTTTTTTTTTTTTAAGTGGAGACCGGGTTTCACCATGTTGGTCAGGCTGGTCTCAAACTCCTGATCTCAAGTGATCCACCTGCCTTGGCCTCCCAAAGTCCTGGGATTACAAGCATGAACCACAGTGCCCAGTCTATAAATGCATTCTTTTTTTTTTTTTTTTGAGATGGAGTCTTGCTCTGTTGCCCAGGCTGGAGTGCAATGGTGAGATCTCGGCTTACTGCAACCTCCACCTCCCAGGTTCAAGCGATTCTCCTGCCTCAGCCTCTTTAGTAGCTGGGATTACAGGCACCTGCCACCACACTGGGCTAATTTTTGTATTTTTAGTAGAGATGGGTTTTCGCCGTGTAGGCCAGGCTGGTCTCGAACTTCTGACCTCAAGTGATCCACCCGCCTCGGTCTCCCAAGGTGCTGGGATTACAGGTATGAGCCACCATGCCCGGCCTGAAATGCATTCTTATAATGTCACCACCAGCCTATTAAAAAATGTTATTTAAAAGATTTACATTTTTTTCTGACTCATTTGTTTAACAATTTTTTTTATTGCCCTCTTAACTACCTAACAGATCTTGCTTTGAAAACTCCTGTCTCATATTAAGGAATGCCATTTTCATCCAGTGCCTCATTCTTGTCTGTAGTGAACTTGGATTCACTCATTTATTTATCAAGGCAATGTATATTATTTTCATCTAGTTGTTTACATTTTATTGCCACTTACATCCAAAATAATTCTGAAACCATTTGTAATAAAAATTTACATGAAACAAAACACTTAAAATGAGTACTATTGAATGTAAGAAAATCAGCATGGTTAGACAGGGTAGTAATTTGCTTTGATTCAATCATTCCTAAATTTAAAGATGTATAACCTTCCTTAGGAAAACACCTGTTCAAACTTGCATAGCTAACAGCTATTTTCAATATTTACTTTTAGCTGGTTAACAAAATACTAGGTAAATCAGACATGACAGTTATTTACATTTATTTGTATTGTACTGGGAAAAGAAACTCCACAGATTTACTTAGGATTTATATGAGCAGTCAAGTAATAATTAGAAATTGCATTTAGTTATAGAATGTGGAAAATTCGATTATTTCTAAGCCATGCCATGGTTTAAAGCAAATACAGATGAATACCATATTCTGTGGGTGATAATAATAGCTTTGAGCACTTGCATAAGGTCATGCCTAGCTCCTAAGGTTTCAAGATTTATATTGCATTTATTTCTTTAAAATGAAAGTTCCCAATGTAGAAGATACTTCTTGGCATTGCTTCCAAACTTATAATGAGTCCCCCATTTCTGGGTTGGGTTTGTTTGGTTTGGACTTGTCACCCCCCTTCCTCTTACCACCTCCCCATCGTCCCCATCAACACCAATAGCTGATTGAGCCAGGAGATTACTTTTTAAAACAGATTTATTGAGAAGTAATTCACACACTATATAATTTATCAATTTAAAGTGTACAATTCAATTTTTTTCGCCCTAAGGATTTCTAGTATTTGCACAGGGCTTTGCAACCATATCCACAATCTAATTTTATAATTTTTTGTCCTCCCTAAAAGAAAACCTGGGCTGGTTGGGGTGGAGTGAGCATATAATCCCAGTGCTTTGGGAGGCTGAGGCAGGAGGATCACTCGAGGCCAGGAGTTCAAGACCAGCCTGGGCAACATAGTGAAACCCCATTTCTACAAAAATGAAAAATGAATTATCCAGATGTAGTCCTAGCTATTCAAGAGGCTGAAGTGGGAGGATCACTTGAGCCCAGGAGTTTGTGGTTACAGGGATTTATGATTGTGCCACTGTACTCCAGCCTGGTGACAGAGTAAGACAAATAAAATAAAATAAAAGTGAAAGAAAGAAAGAGAGAGACAGAGAGAGAAAGAAAGAAAGAAAGAAAGAAAGAAAGAAAGAAAGAAAAAGAAATTTGTGTACCCATTAGCAATCATTTCTCATTCTCCTTCCCCATCCTGTAGCCCTAGGCAACCACTAATTTATTTTCTTTCTCTATTGATTTGCCTATTGCAGACATTTTATATAAATGAGCTCATATAATACGTGATCTTTTGTAACTGACTTCTTTCACTTGGCATGAAGTTTTCAAGGTTCATTCATGTTATAGCCTGCTTCAGTACATTATTCCTTTTTATTGCCAAATAATATTTCATCTATGGACGTTCCATATGGTATTTACCAATTCATCAGTTTATGGATGTTTGAGTTGTTTCCACTTTTTGACTATTATGAATAATACTGCTATGAACATTTGGTATAAGCTTTTTTTTTTGTCTGTGTGTGAGTGCATATATATATATATATATATATATATATATATATATATATTCTCCCCCAGTTAAGGATTTAGACATATATTTTTCTCTTGGAAACAAAATACCTCTCCTATATACCTTGGAGTGGAATATCTGGATCATATAGTAATTCTATGTTTAACATTTTAAGGAACTGCCAAACTATTTTTTAAAGCAGCTGCACCATTTTACATTCTCACCAGCAGTGTATGAGGGCTTCAATTTCTCCAGATCCTTAACAACACTTGTTATTGTCTGTCTTTTTTATTGCAGCCATGCTAGTGAGTGTGAAGTGGTATCTTATTGTGGTTTTCATTTCCATTTCCCTAATGGCTAATGATTTTGAATATTTTTTCATGTGCTTATTGGTCATTTGTATATCTTACTTGGAGAAATGTCTTTTCAAATCCTTTGCCCATATAGAAATTAGTTTGTCTTTTCATTGTTGAATTTTTTTTGTTCTTTAAAATTTTTTTAAATTTCTTTTATTTCTTTTTTCCTTTTTCTCTTGTTTTTAGTTTTTTTCTTTTTTCTTTTGTCTTTTTTTCATTGTTGAATTAAGTGTTCTTTCTGCCTTTCTGTGGTTTGTTCTTCACTTTCTTGAAGGTATCATTTACAGCAAAATGTTTTCATATTGATGTAGTCCAATTTATTTATTTTGCTAATTGTGCCTTTCATCTCATAACTAAGAAATTATTGCCTCACTCAAAGTCATAAATATTTATTCTTATGCTTTCATTTAAGAATGTTATAGTTTTATTAGTTAATTTAGGTCTATGATACTTTTTTTTTTTTTGAGACAGAGTCTCACTCTGTCGCCCAGGCTGGAGTGCAGTGGCATAATCTCGGCTCACTGCAACCTCTTTCTCCCAGGTTCAAGTGATTCTCCTGCCTCAGCCTCCCAAGTAGCTGGGATTATAGGCGCCTGCCACCATGCCCAGCTAATTTTTGTATTTTTAGTAGAGACGGGGTTTCACCATGTTGGCAAGGCTGGTCTCAAACTCTTGACCTCAAGTGATCCACCCGCCTTGGCCTCCCAAAGTGCTGGGATTACAGGCATGAGCTACTGCACCCGGCCTATGATACACTTTGAATTAATTTTTGTTTATAGTATGGGATGTCTGACTTTATCTTTTTGCATTGGATGGTTTGTTGGAGACTATTCTTTCCGCATATTGTCTTGACACCCATTTTGAAAATCAATTGAACATAAATGTAAGAGTTTATTTTTGAGCTCTCAATTCTACTCAATTGATCTGTGTATCCATCCCTAAAGTAGTACTATGTTGTCTTGATTATTGCAGATTTATAGTAAAATTTGAAATTAGGAAGTGTGAATTCTCCAACTTTGTTCTTTTTTTCAAGATTGATTCAGCAATTTTGGGTCCCTCATAGTGCCACATACATTTTAGGATTAACATATCCTTTTCTGCAAAAAAAAGTCACCTGTGGTTTTGGTAGGAGTTGCATTGACTCTGTAGATCAATGTAGGCAATATTGCCTTCTTAACAATACTAAGTCCTCTAATACATGAATTTGGTATATCTTTCTCTTTATTTAGATTTTCTTTAATTTCTTTCAATAATGTTTTGTAGTTTTCAGTGTAGAAGTCTTACACCTCTTTTGTTAAATTTATATCTAGGCATTTTATTTTTCTTGATGCTATTGTAAGTGGAATGGTTTTCTTAGTTTCATTTTCAGATTGTTCATTGTTAATGCATAGAAATACAACTGATTTTTGTATATTGATTTTGTATCCTTCAACCTTGTTAAATTAGTACATTAATTCTTGTAGTCTTTTAAATGAATTCCTTAGGATTTTTTGTATACAAAATAATTTTACTTCTTCCTTTCCAATCTAAATAGCTGCTGCTGCTCCTTCTTCTCTTTCTCCTTTCTTCTTCTTCTTCCTCTTCCTCCTTCTTCTTTTTCTTTTCCTTGTTTTCCTTCTCCTCCTCTTGCCCACCTCCTCTTCCTTCTTTTTCTTTCTTCTCTTTGCCTTATTGCCCATGTGCATACCTACAGTGCAATGTTGAGTAGCAATGGGGTGAGCAGGCATCCTTGTCTTTTTTCTCATCTTGGGGGGAAACATTCAGCCTTTCACCATCAAGTATGATGTTTGCTCTGGGTTTTTCATGGATACCCTTTATCAGGTTAAGAAAGTTTCCTTTTTTTCCTGGTTTATTAAGTGTTTTTAAACATGAAAGCGTGTTGGATTTTGCCAACTTTTTTGCATCTATTGAGATAATCGTGTTGCTTTTCTCCTTTATGCTATCATTATATTACATTGATTTTTGGATCCAGGAGATTCTTGATGCAAGATAAACCAATTAGTAATTCCCTTTCCTGGGAAAACTCTGACTTGGAACTGAGGTTTAGTGACTTGTAGTCATTTTAATGTCAAAATTCTGGGAGATGATCCAAAACTTGAAAACATGATGAAAACTTTGCAAGTAAGCATCATTCAGGGTGGGGGCTATGGAGGAGCATTCCAGGTGGTGAGTGACCATCAGGGAAGTGAGCCCTGAACCTTGGAAGAGCTGCGTGTGTATAAGAGAAGCAACTAAAACTCTCCATGCAAAGGAACAGTCATTTTGTCAGGTGGGGAAGGGTATAGGGCAAAAGGACTCCAACAACTAAGGAGCATACAGCCCCTCTTCTTTTTCCTAGTAAAAAGAGACGGGAGATCTTTAGAAGAGAAAGAGAAACAGCTCTCTCTGTATAGAGGGGTCTCGCAGCGGAAAGGACCCGGCTGGCAGTGGATGCACTGGATTTTATTCGAAGATCACGGACAGTAAAGGAGGAAATTATACAGAAAAGTTGGAGATCCTGTTGCCGAAACGCCATTGGGCGGTCAGAGGCTGAGGTCAGTCCAGAAGCCTTTGGATAACGCCACGGGGTAGCCCCCGCCAGAAACCCTCAGTTGCCTCAGGACTACTTCCAGACCCACACGAGGGCTAAGTCCTCCGTGAAAGGAAGCTATTTCAAACATGGCCAACATGCCCTGCAAGCCGTGGGTGCTGGGGATTCTGCATGTTCTCCCCAGCAAGCCTGTCCCCCAAGTCTTTCAAGGCTGGCAGCCATGCTAATCGTTTTTAAATGGCTGAAGGGGGCCCAGTATTTGGTTTGATTTGGTTCTGAAATGGAGGCCGAGAACCTTAAAGTGAAATGACAGAGTTGGAGTCCGCTGCTCTACTCACCATTTGGATGAATGTTGTACGTTGGTATCCCGGACAAGGGCCCAAGATGAAGGGGCTACGTTGTCTGGGATGTATACCTTGGGGTTTGTCATCTCGCGCCAGGAAAATTTAGGACACGGACACACACAGGGAGTTTAGGAGTAGAGGTTTCATAGACAGAAGAGAAGAGAATGAGAAACAGCTCTCTCTATAGAGAGAGGGGTCTCTGAGCGGAAAGAACCCCCATATAATGTTATTAACTATATTGTTTCTATAGCTTTTTTCCAAATTCCTTTTTGCTTGGAGATATTTTGTGATTTGAAAAGTAGACTTTACGTTTGAGTCATTTTAGGTTCACAGTAAAATTGAGTGGAAGGTATAAAGTTTTCTCATATATTCCCTGACCCCACACATGTATAGCCTCCCCCATTAACAACATTCCTCACCAGAGTGGTACATTTATTACAGTTGATGAACCTATTGACACATCATTATTACCTGAAGTCCTTAGTTTACATTAGAGTTTACTCTTGGTGGTGAACATTTGATTGGTTTGGACAAACGTATTAGGACATGTACCCACCATTATAGTATCATACAGAATATTTTCACTGTCCCAAAAATCTTCTGTGCTCCACTTATCCAGCCTTCTTTCTCGCCTAACTGCTAGTAATCACTGATCTTTCTACTATCTCCATAATTGTGCCCTTTCCAGAATGTCAGGTAGTTGAAATCATGCAGTGTATATAGCCTTTTCAGACCTTCTTCTTCTTCTTCTTCCTCTTCCTCTTCCTCTTCCTCTTCCTCTTCTTCTTCTTCTTCTTCTTCTTCTTCTTCTTCTTCTTCTTCTTCTTCTTCTTCTTCTTCTCCTTCTCCTTCTCCTTCTCCTTCTTCTTTCTTCTTTCTTCTTTTCTTCTTTCTTCTTCTTCACTTTTGAGACGAAGTCTTGCTCTTGTTCCCCAGGCTGGAGGGCAATGGCGCGATCTCGACTCACTGGAACCTCCGCCTCCCAGGTTCAAGTGATTCTTCTGTCTCAGCCTCCCAAGTACCTGGGATTACAGGCGCCTGCCACCATCCCCGGCTAATTTGTATTTTTAGGAGAGACGGAGTTTCACCATGTTGGCCAGGATGGTCTCAATCTCTTGACCTCATGATCTGTCTGCCTCGGCCTCCCAAAGTGCTGGGATTATAGGCGTGAGCCACCACAGCTGGCATATTTAGTAATATGCATTTATGTTTCCTCCATGTCTTTTCATGACTTGATAGCTCATTTCCTTAGTGCTGAATAATATCCCATTATCCCATTAAGATATACCACAGTTTATCGATTCACCAAATGAAGGATATCTTGGTTGCTTCCAAGTGTGGCAATTTTGATTTCGAATAAAGCTGATATAAACATCTGTGTGCATGTTTTTGTGTGGACATAAGTGTTCAATTCTTTTGAATAAAACCAAGAAATGTGATTGCTGGATTGTATGATAAGAGTATATTCAGTTTCGTAAGAAAGTGCCAAGCTGTCTTCCACAATGACTCTACAATTTTGCATTCATACGAGCAATGGATGAGTGTTCCTGTTGTTCCTGTTGCTCCACATCCTCTCCAGCATTTGGTATTGTCAGTGTTCTGGATTTTAGCCAATCTACTAGGTGTGTAGTTGTATCACATTATTGTTTCAATTTGTGTTTCCCTGATGACATATGAGGTGGAGCATCTTTTTATATGCATATTTGCCATCTGTGTTTTTTTTTTTGCTGAGATGTCTGTTAAAGTCTTCTGCTAATTTTTAAATTAGGGTTTCTTATTGTTCAGTTTTAAGAGTTCTACCTATATTTTGGATAACAATTCTTTATCCGATATGTCCTTTGTAAACATTTTCTCCAAATCTGTGACTTGTATTTTTATTCTGTAGACAGTGTCTTTAACAGAGCAGAAATTTTAATTTTAATTTTAATTTTAATTTTAATTTTTTTTTTTGAGACAGAGTCTCACTCTGTTGCCCAGGCTGGAATGCAACGGCACGGTCTCGGCTCACTGCAACCTCTGCCTCCCAGGTTCAAGTGATTCTCCTGCCTCAGCCTCCCAAATAGCTGGGATTACAGTTGCTTACCTAATTTTTGTATTTTTAGTAGAGACAGGGCTTCACCATTTTGGCCAGGCTGGTCTCAAACTCCTGACTTCAGTGATCCATCTGCCTCAGCCTCCCAAAATGTTGGGATTACAGGCGTGAGCCACTGCACCTGGCAGAAATTTTAATTTTAATGAAGTTTAACCTACCAATTCTTTCTTTCATGGACCATCCCTTTGGTATTGTATCTAAGACATCATTGCCAAACTCAATATCATTTAGATTTTCTCCCATGCTATCTTCCAGGAGTTTTATAGTTTTGCATTTTACTTTAGAAGTATGATCCATTTTGAATTGATTTTGTAAAGTATGTACAGTTTGTGACTAGATTACTTTTTTTGCATAGATGTCTAGTTGTGCCAGCACCATTGGTTGAAAAGACTGTCTTTTCTCCATTGTGTTGCCTTTGCTCCTTTGTCAAAGATCAGTTGACTATATTTCTGTGGATCTATTTTTAGGTTCTCTATTCTGTTCCATTGATCTATTCATCTATTTTTTTAATCAATACCTCCAATGTCTTTTTTTTTTTTTTTTTTTTTTTTGAGATGAAGCCTCACTCTATCACCCAGGCTGGAGTGCAGGGGCGTGATCTTGGCTCACTGCAACCTCCACCTCCTGGGTTCAAGCAATTCTCCCACCTCAGCCTCTCCAGTAGCTGGGATTACAGGCATGCTTGCCAGCACGCCCGGTTAACTTTTGCATTTTTGGTAGAGATGGGGTTTCACCATGTTGCCCAGGCTGGTCTTGAACTCCTGGGCTCAGGCAATCCTCCAGCCTTGGCCTCCCAGAGTGTTAGGATTACCGGCATGAGCCACTGCACCCAGCCCACGTTGTGTTGATTACTGTAATATTATAGTAAGTCTTGAATATGGGTAGTGTTGGTCCTCCAGCTTTATCTTCTTCAATATTGTGTTGCCTGTTGTGCATCTTTTGTATCCTTATAAACTTTATAATTAGTATGTTGATATCTACAAAATAGCTGTTGACATTTTGATTGAAATTGCATTGAATCTATAGATTAATAGTTGAATCTTCTCAGTACTTGGGAAGAACTGACATCTTGGCAATATTGAGTCTTCCTAACCTTAAACATAGGATATCTCTCTGTTTATTTAGTTCTTTATTGATTTCTTTCATCCAAGTATTGTAGTCTTCCTCTTGAAGATCTTGTATGTATTTTGGGTGCTAAAGTAACGATATTGTGTTATTAATTTCAAATTCCACTTGTTTATTGCATCTTGTTCATTGCTAGTATATTAGAAAGCAATTAACTTTTGAATATTAACCTTGTATCCTGCAGCCTTGCTATAATTGTTTATTGGTTGCAAGAGGGTTTTTTTTGTCAATTCTTTCAGATTTTCTACACAGATAATCTTATCACCTGCAAACAAAGACAATTTTGTTTCCTCTTCCCTAATTTGTTCAACTTTTAAAGATTCCACATATAAGTGAGATCATGCAGTATTTGTCTTTCTGTGTTTGGCTTATTTCTTAGCATAATGTCCTCCAGATTTATCCATGTTGTCACAAATGGCAGGATGTTCTTTTTTACAGCTGAATAATATTCCACTGTATATGTGCACCACAATTTCTTTATCCATTCATCTGTCCATGAACACTTATGTAGTTTCCATGCCTTGGGTATTGTGAATAATATTGCAATGAACATGGGAGTGCCGATATCCTCTCAAGCTACTGATTTCTTCTTTTCTTCTTTCTTTCTTTCCCCCTTCCTTCCTCTTTCTTTCTTTCTTTCTTTCTTTCTTTCTTTCTTTCTTTCTTTCTTTCCTTTCTTTCTTTTCTTTCTTTCTTTCTTTCTTTCTTTCTTTCTTTCCTCTTTCTTTCTTTCTTTCTTTCTTTCCTTCCTTCCTTCCTTCCTTCCTTCCTTCCTTCCTTCCTTCCTTCCTTCCTTCTTTCTTTCTTTCTTTCTTTCTTTCTTTCTTTCTTTCTTTCTTTCTTTCTTTCTTTCTTTCTTTCTTTCTTTCTTTCTTTCTTTCTTTCTTGACAAAGTCTAGCTCTCTCATCCAGGCTGGAGTGCAGTGGCGCAGTCTTGGCTCACTTCAACCTCCGCCTCCCAGGTTCCAGCAATTCTCCGGCCTCAGCTTCCCGAGTAGCTGGGATTACAGGCGCCTGCCACCATGCCCAGCTAATTTTTGTATTTTTAGTATAGTTGGGGTTTCACTGTGTTGGCCAGGCTGGTCTTGAACTCCTGACCTTGTGATCCACCTGCCCCCACCCGCCCTCGGCCTCTCAAAGTGCTGCGATTACAAGTGTGAGCCTCCACACCTGGCCCCAGCTACTGATTTCTTTTCCTTTAGATTATATATCCAGAAAAGGGGTTTCTGAATCACATGTAGTTCTATTTTTAATTTTTTTTTTTTTTTGAGACGGAGTCTCGCTCTGTCACCAGGGCTGGAGCGCAGTGGCGCAATCTCGGCTCACTGCAACCTCCGTCTCCCGGGTTCACGCCATTCTCCTGCCTCAGCCTCCCAAGTAGCTGGGACTACAGGCGCCCACCACCATGCCCGGCTAATTTTTTGTATTTTTAGTAGAGACGGGGTTTCACTGTGTTAGCCAGGATGGTCTCGATCTCCTGACCTCCTGATCCGCCTGCCTCGGCCTCCCAAAGTGCTGGGATTACAGGCGTGAGCTGCCGCACCTGGCCTATTTTTAATTTTTTGAGGACCTCTCCACACTGTTTTCCATAATTCCTGTACCAATTTACATTGCCACCAGCAGTGTACAAGGGTTCCCTTTTCTCCACATCCTCACCAACATTTGTTATCTTTTCTCTTTTTGATAATATCTCACTGTGGTTTTGATTTGCATTTCCCTGGTGATTAGTGATGTTGAACATCTTTTCCTGTGCTTGTTGGACAGGAAAAGGAGAAATGTCCTTTTAGATCCCTGGCCCACTTTAAAATCAGATTATTTGTGTTTTTGTTATTGAGTTGTATGAGTTCTTTATATATTTTGGATATTAATCCCTTATCAGATATATGGTTTGCAAAGATTTTCTCCCATTTCCATAGGTTGCCTTTTCATTTTGTTGATTGCTTCCTTTGCTGTGCAAATGCTTTTTAGTCCCCGCTTATTTGTTTTTGCTTTTGTTGCCTGTGCTTTTGGTGTTATATCCAAAAAGTCATTGCCAAGACCAATATCAAGGAGATTTTCCAATATTTTTAAAAGGATTTTTAGACTTTCAGGTCTTACATTTAACTCTTTAATCCATTTTGAGTTAATTTTTATGAGTGGTATAAGGTAAGAGTCTGATTTCATTCTTTTGCATGTGGATATTCAGTTTTCCCAGCACTAGTTATTGCAGAGGCTATTCTTTTCCACTGAGTATTTTTGGCATCCTTGTCAAATATTGGTTGACTATACTCTCCCTTTTGATTGTGGTAGCATGGTATATCTTTCTCCATCCCCTTTTAATCTATATATGTCTTTATATTTAAAGTAGGTTTATGTAGACAACATATAGTTAGGTCTTGTTTTTTGATCCACTCTGACAATCTATATTTTAATTAGTGTATTTAGACCACTGACATTTAAAATGATTATCAATGTGGTTGGATTAATAGCTACTGTAATTGTTACTGTTTTCTATTTGTTGCCCTTCTTCTTTGTTTCCACTTTGTTCTTCCGTTCTTTTTCTGCCTTTTGTGTTTTGTTTTGTTTTTTAGAGACAGGGTCTCACTCTCTCATCCAGGCTGGAGTGCAGTGGTGTAATCATAGCTCACCGTAAACTCAAACCTCTGGGCTCAAGTGATTCTCCCACCTCAACCTCTTGAGTAGCTGGGACTACAGGCATACACCACCACCACCACCACCACCATACCCAACTAATTTTTTTATTTTTAAATTTTTTCATAGAGTCAGGTTCTCACTTTATCGTCCAGGCTGGTATTGAATTTCTAGCTTCAAGCAATTCTTCTACCTTGGCCTCCCAAAATGTTGGGATTACATGGGTAAGCCACCACATCCAGGCCCAAGGTATAGTCATCTTTAAACGTCAATTAGATTAAGCTGGTTGATATTATTGTCCAAATTTTCTATATTCTTACTACTTTTTTGTCTTATCAAATACTATTAAGATCCCCAACTATAACTGTGGAATTGTCTCTTTCTTTTGTTCTATGAATTTTTACTTCATGTATTGTAATAAAGTCTATTATTAGACACACATTTATTTATAAATGTTATATATATTTTAAGGTATTGACTGTTATGAAGTCTATAGTAATATCTTTGTCTCAAAGTTTATTTTGCCTGGTATTAATATAGTTATCTCTGCTTTCTTATGCATATTGTATGTATGATATATCTTTTTCTCTTGTTTTACTTTCAATTTATCTTTGTATTTAAAGTACTTCTACAGAGAGCACATACTGAGGTGTTTTTTTTTTTTTGAGACAGGATCTCATTTTGTTGCTGAAGTGCAGTGGTACAGTCACAGCTTACTGTGGCCTCAGCCTCCAAGTGACCCTCCTGCCTTTGCCTCTGGAGTGGTAGTACAGGTGTGTTCCACCACAGCTGGCTGATTTTTTGTGGAGATGGGGTGTCTCCCTGTGTTGCCCAGGCTAGTCTCAAACTCCTGGGCCCAAGCTATCCTCCCGGCTTGGCTTCCCAAAGTGCTGGGATTACAGCTTTTTAAATCCAGTCTGGCAATCTCAGACTTTTAATTGTAGTGTTTAGTTTATTTACATTTAATATAACTTGTTATAGGTAGATTTAGGTCTGCCATTTTGCCATTTGCTTTCAATTGGTTGGTTTCTTTTTGTCTGCCCTTTTTTTTTTGTTTTAATAAAATGTTTTCTTAGCATTCTATTTTAATTTCTCTATTGTATATGCATATCTTTCAGTTATGTCTCTTTGCATCACTTTTTTAGTGGTTCCTGACATAGGGATTAAAATCTGCATCTTCAATTTCTCACAATCTACTTAGAGTTGATATTGAATGACTTCAGGCAAAATCTACAAAACTTTTAACACTATAATTCTATTGATCATCCCATCATCTTTCTGCTACCGTTGTCATATATATTTCATCATTGTAAGTTATAAACCCAACAATCCAGGGTATCCCCCCCATACAAATTCTCAGAAAACTATTTATAGAAGGGAACTTCCTCACTCTGATGAACAGCATTTACAAAAAAAATACAGCTAACACGGTGGCTAATGGTGAAAGGATACCCATGCTCACCATTTCTAGCCAACAGTATACTGGAATTCTAGCCAGTTTAATAAGGCAAGGAAAAGAAATAAAAGTCATAAAGATCAGAAAGGAAGAAGAAAGAAAACTGGTGAATGTGGTTTTATTCTTATTTCAGCCAAGCTAATTTCTCTAAACACAATATTAAATCTTTTGAAACCTTTTTTTTTTTTTTTTTTTTTTTTACAGACAATTGTCTTGCTATGTTGTCCCGGCTAGTCTCAACATCGTGGCCTCAAGTGGACCTCTCATCTCAGCCTTCTGAGTGGCTGGGATTACAGGAACAAGCCACTGTGCCTGGCTAAATCTTTTGAAAACTTTTAAAAGGAGCCAGTCACACAGATGTTTAGTGCACATCCTGCATCTGACTGAGATGGTTAACTTAATAATCTTTTGCTTTACTTAATATTCTCTTACTTTACTTTGGTATCAACTACATACAGACATAAATGAGCTGAATAGATAGACATTATCTGTAGAATTTGGACTATGACATTTTGACATAATTTAGTTTGGTTTGACACATATAACATTTATATATACTTTTAAACAGGCTTTATTTTTCAGAGCAGTTTTAGATTAATGGAAAAATTGACAAAAAGCACAGAGAATTCTCATATATACCCCTGCACACAGTTTCCCATATTATTACATTGTATTAGTAATGTACTAATATAAACACTTATCTTACATTAGTATGGTATAATTAATGAAAGAATATTTATACATTATTATTAACAGAAGCCCATACTTTATTCAGATTTCCTCAGTCTTTACCCAATGTCCTTTTGTATTCTGGGTTTTCACCCAAGATACCAATTACATTCAGTTGTCATGTCTCCTTGGACCCTCTTGGTTGTGACAGTTTCTAACACTTTTTTGTTGCTGTTGTTGTTGTCCTTGACAGTTTGAAAAGTACTGATCAGGTATATTGTGGGATTCCCCTCTGGTAAAATTTGTCTGATGTGTTTTCTCATGATTGGAGTGAGATTATATATTTTTTGGAGAACAATCATATTATAGCAAGGTTACATCAACACGATTTATGACTTGATGCTGACCTTGATCACCTGGCTGATGTGACATAGGTGATATAATATTTGTCAGATTTTCCACCATAAAAATACTCCTCCCCACACCCCATACTGTACTCTTTGGAAGGAGGTCACTATGTGCACCCTGCATTTGTGGGGAGCAGAATGTCCACATAAATTGTTTGGCATTCTGCAAGGGAAATTTGTGTCTTATTCCCCATAACATTTATATTGTAATGCTGTCTATCTATCTATCTGTCATCTTTCTATAACTGCTCTTTTCTTTTTAGGTTCAATAAAGCAGTAAAAATGATCTTGCTCTGTAAGGTTCAATATTATTTCTAAATCTAAAGTGATATGTCTTTTCTTTATGCCACAATTAATTAAGCAGAATGATGTTCATTTTATTTGCTTTCATTTTGACTAATATTTGGCTTTTACTTAAATGCCAAATTCTCTATACTTCTTTGTTATAAAGAAGTAGTTTAGCCTGTGGGCTATGGCCATTAGCCTTGTTTTACAGATGAAGGAACAAGGTGGTTAAGAGCCCTTACTAAGTTCTTACAGCAGATCAGTGGATGAGCTGCCTCTACAATTGATTCTTAGCTTTGATCCCACTTCACTGGGCCTTGTTACATTTAATTATCTCTTTGTAAATTGTAAGACTTTTAAGAAAAAATATTCCCCTAGTTTTTTCTCGTTTTTGATCTCTAGTTTAAACTTTCCCCTGTCTTTGCATAATGAACATTATACATACTTTAGACTGAAGGGGAGAAATTACAGCTAGGGTTTTCTGCAATGCTTAGGAAACCACCAAAGAGCAAAAACTACAAAGTAAAATTAGTATGTTAGTTGGAAAGCAGGATGAGCACCAGTATTGAACAAAGCAAATGGCAACTACAAATCTGACAACAAATAGAGAAAGTACAGGTGTTACTACTTAGAGGAACTTTAGCTTTAAGTTCTTTTCTCTCTGGATTGAAAACAAGACATGTTTGCATTTAAATTTGGAAAGTTTTGCTGATACCTAGTCTTGAAAGTAAATACTCCACAGTAAGTGGCTTAACCATAACAGGTGTACACCAGGAATGGAGTATCTACTCTGCTACGTGGAGAGGAGGGAGAGAAAAGTGCAAGTGGCAGAGGAGCTTGGGGTAAAAAGGAAGGTTGAAGAAATGGAGCTATGTGTTAAACTTACTACTGTGGGAATTTTAAATGAATTCAAAGTTGTTAAATGAATAATGAAAATAGCTTTTTTTTTTTTTTTTTTTAGATGGAGTCTTGCTCTGTCACCCAGGCTGGAGTGCAATGGTGCGATCTCGATGTCGGCTCACTGCAACCTCCACCTCCCAGGTTCAAATGATTCCCTGGTCTCAGCCTCCTGAGGAGCTGGGATCACAGGCACGTGCCACTACGCCTGGCCAATTTTTGTATTTTTAGTAGAGACGGGGTTTCACCATGGCCAGGCTGTTCTCGAACTCCTGACCTCAAGTGATCAGCCTGCCTTGGCCTCCCAAGGTGTTGGGATTACAGGAGTAAGCCATCGTGCCCAGCCTACACATTTTTAAAAAGTGTTTTATGTAACTGTGATATGAATAAATTTGAACATCTAAAGCCACCTGTATAACAGGAGAATGACATTTGTATCTGAATTTAGTGTAGAAAATTATTTACCCAAGAAGCATTTTATCTTTTGAACAAAGAACATAAAGTACCCTAAAGCTAGATCTGTGAAGGCACAGATTTTTTTTTTTTTTTTTTTGAGATGGAGTCTTGCTCTGTTGCCCAGGCTGGAGTGTAGTGGCACTATCTTGGCTCACTGCAACCTCCTCTCCTGTGTTCAAGCAATTCTCCTGCCTCAGCCTCCCGAGTAGCTGGGATTACAGGCCCGTGCCACCATGCCAGGCTAATTTTTGTATTTTTAGTAGAGACAGGGTTTTGCCATGTTGGCCAGGCTGGTCTTGAATTCCTGACCTCATGATCTGCCTGCCTTGGCCTCCCAAAGTGCTGGAATTACAGGCATGAGCGACCATGCACGGCCCAGAAAGATTTAATAGGTAAAAATTTTATAGCTAGATTGAAAAACCATCAACTAAATGGAACTAGATCAAAGAAGAATGTCAAATTAAAACATCATTATCACACTGTCAAAATGTAAAAATGTGAACTAGTTTTTGTTATATAAACAATAATGTCCTTATCCTAGTAAATGTATTATATTTGTTGGGTGCAGTGGCCCATGCCTATAATCCCAGCACTTTGAGAGGCCAAGGTGGGAGGATCGCTTGAGCCTAGGAGTTTGAGACCAGCCTGGGCAATATAGTGAGGCCCTGTCTCTACAAAAAAAACACAAAAATTAGTGGGGTGTAGTGGCATGCATCTGTGGCCCCAGTTACTGGGGAGCCTGAAGTGGGAGAATTGCTTGAGCCGGAGAGGTTGAAGCTGCGGTGAGCCATGATCCCGCCACTGCACTCCAGCCTTGGCAACAGAGGGAGACCCTGTCTCAAAACACAAACAAACAAAATGTATTATATTTACTGGTGTCACATTTTTATCAGACCAGTTTATGGGATCTACTGTATTGTTGACAGGTGATTTTTAAATTAATTGGGTAACTAGTGGTTTATTAAGAGGTCTAATAGTCTCTCAGCTTAGGTTAATTAATTTTTGGAGGTACAGTTATAGTGGGAAGATTTTGACTGAACATAAGGTCTTGCCTAGGATAGTATCTATGAATACTTGTTGAGTCAACTCATTTCAAATGCTTCTCCTTAAAAATACCGAAGAGATTGTTTTACCTTGACAGATTATAAAGAAGGCTGATTGACTGGAAAATAACACTCTATAAAATAAATCATGTATAATTTACAAACAAGTAGATGCATGAATACAGCAGATGAAGAAGGGCTGATAGCCTCAGTGTGTGTTTGCAGTTATTTAACCAGTTATTTCCCATGAGGGTGATGACAAAGCCCTGGACCAGAACTGCTGAATATCACCTGCTCTTGATCGATCCTCTTCTTTGAAACATTTCTTTAGTCAATACCATTCCCTGGCCTATTTCTGTATTCTCTGATAGACCATTTGAAATTGACTAGTTATTTGTGTCTGAATTGATAGGCCAATTGCTGGATTTTTGGTCTGTGGTCAGTTGCTCTATGGTTCAGTCTTTCAAATACAGACTTTCCACCTCAACTAGGGAGACTTCATTAGTTATAATCCGTGGTGTGGGCTGTTTCTGTTCTCACTTTCTATTATGTAAATTGGTATGATGTAGGACATTTAGGTGATGTGATTCTCCTTTAATTAATTAATCAATTTTTTTTCAGAGACAGACTCTTGCTCTGTCACCCAGGCTGTAGTACAGTGGTGCCATCATAACTCACTGCAGCCTTGAACTCCTGGGCTTAGGCAATCCTCCCACCTCAGCCTCCCAATCCTTTAATTGTATTCTACTTGGAAGTACTTATTAATATTTATGTATATCTTCTATAACACAGTCCTTAGTATATTATCACTGCTGCATGACAAGAAGTTTTATAAATTGTCTTGGCTTTAGTTCAGAAAAACAGAATCTTTCAGGCTCAACATTACCTGAAATATTCTTTTTCATTATTTAGGAGATCATGTACTTTAGTAAACTCCTTCTTTGGGTTTGTTCCCTCTGAAAGGACAGAAAGAGGCTGGGCCCTTCTAGGCTTACAGCTTCTATGATCATAGATAAATTCATAGAAAATCCTTATGAATCTAAAAGACGGTAGGGTTATTAGAAAGCAGAAAACATTTTCTTTTTCTTTCAAAGCAAACTAATGATTGCTATAAGTAAGTAAGTAAAACGACATTTGAAAATACGTGGTTATCTTGGTTTTAAGATTTTATTATTATTTTCAAAATAGGCAATTTTATTTTTGTGCACTAGAACAACTGATGGAAGCAAGTGAGGCAGGAGGATCGTTTGAGTCTGGGAGGTCGAGGGTTTAGTGAGCTGAGATTGCACCACTGCACTGTAACCTGGGTGACAGAGCAAGACCCTGTCTAAGAAAAAAAAATTCATTGTAAAATTGGACAGACTAAGACTATTTATTTGCATGCAAAGTGAAATTGAGAATTGAGGCAATTTGTTTTCTGGATGTTTCCAGTAAAAGCAATTTTTGATGTACAAAATTCTGAAAATTGCTTTAGTGATCCCTCTAACTTTCTATACAAAGAGAACATCTAAGGTATTTAAAAATGGATTTTAACTTATTTATTCTAATTTTATCCTCTCTCTCTCTCTCTTTTTTTTTTTTTTTTTTTTTTTAAGATGGAGTCTTGCTGTCACCCAGGCTGGAGTGCAGCGGCATGATCTCGGCTCACTACAACCTGTGCCTCCTAGGTTCAAGCGATTCTCTTGCCTCAGCCTTCCTAGTAGCTGGGATTACAGGCATGCGCCACCATGCCCGGCTTATTTTCGTATTTTTAGTAGAGACCGGGTTTCTCCATGTAGGCCAGGCTGGTCTTGAACTCCTGACCTCATGTGATCTGTCCCCCTCAACCTCCCAAAGTGTAGGGATTAATGGCGTGAGCCACCACGCCCTGCCCTAATTTTATCTTTTAAATAAAAGTATAGAATATCTCTATTATTACTATAGCCCAGGGCATCTTCAACTTGTAAAATGAATTCATGTGCAGAAACAGGTGGGCATTTGGTCATTTTCAGATTCAAAAATGGAATTGGGCAAAGAACTGTAAAAAACAGAATTAGATTAGGACAGCTGATGCAAACCAGGGAAGTCTCCTGCCCTACTCCTATGTCTTCCCCCAAATCTTTTCATTTCACTTAGATACATGGTCTGACCTTCCTTTGATTAGAGAATAATTTGGGTTAATAAGTAGCCTCATTTACAATATGTTTTTTTCCTATTATATCAGTTGTAAGTGTTCATTAATTTAGTTTTAGAAAATGAGAATTACCTGTAGTTTTACCTTCCAAATATTCCATTGTTCATACTTTGGTGGATTTATTCTGCTTTTTTATAACCTTTGGTTTAATTTTTCTCATAGTTATAATCATCCAGTTCATAGCATTTGACTCCTTTATTCCACTTATTCAACATGAACTCCCTCCCCATGAATAAGCAGCTTCTTTGATGATTTCTGGGATGAATATAGGACAGTGTAGCATTCAGGATTCAGTGCAATTTTGATATGCTGGGTTGCTTTCCTGCTTCTACCTACCCAAGGTCATATGCATTTGTTTATTTATTTGACAGGCACACTAAACAAGTCTGTGCCTGAAGTCAGGGAAAGTAGAGTCCCTGGCCCTGAGGAGCTCACAGTCTGCTTGGGAAAAACTGTATCACCAAAAGGATGAGAGTTTTGACTAAAGGGAAGGGAGACGGGACACTTGGCCCCTGAAGTACTTTGGGAGACAGGACAAGTCGGGACAGAGCTGTGAAAAACATGACAATTCTATCCTCCAAGATAACAACAGAAAGGGGTCCAGAAGCAGAGGTGGGAGGGTGGCAAAAATAAATGATATATAAAGTTTTCGCTGGGGTGTTGAGCTCAGAGTCGCATGACCTATGGTGAGAGGTAGTGACTGGGAAAAGAGAATGAGGAAACTCTCTGGGGTGGTGGAAATGTTCTATGTCTTTATTTGGAAGATGATTACACAGGTGTATTCATATGAAAAATTCACCAGGCTATACACTTAAGATTAGTGCACTTTATGTATTTTATGCATCAGTAAAAAAGTCAAAGTATTTCCCCCTAGGGTTGGCCCTTTGCCCAAGGTAGGAGAGGTTTGAAAAAGTTCTGCTTCTCCTGCACTCTCCTATACTGCATTGCTCTGTTAATAGGACCTAGGACTCAGACTTGTGTTACTAATACCATGGCTCTGCTACATTATAGGTTAAAAAGGCTTTTGTGGACTAATTTCAGAAGTTAAGTACTACTTAAAATGAACTGTGTAGGAAAGTGCAATTGACTTACAAAAGAACATCAGGAGTATAATTCAACAAACAAGGAATAACTAATTTTACTGTGTACAAATGGTGCTTTGTGCTGAGAATGTCTCCAAGATGAAAGAGACCAGGATCCTAGTGTCAGGAACTTGATCTTTCCTAGGTTAGGGTCTTTCCCATATTATTATCAGTTCAAGTTTTGTTTGCCATGTTTTGGAAATAACCAAAACATAGTGTCTTTGAAAAAGATGCTGTTTTCATTCATTTTATGCTGCATTAACAGAATACTACAAACTGGGTAATTTATAAAGGGCAGAAATTTATTCTCTCACAGTTCTGAGGCTGGGGAAGTTCAAGATCAAGGTGCTAGTGGGTTTGGTCTCTGGCTCACAGGTGCCACTTTGGTTCTCTGTCTTTCAGAGAGGAAGAACATTGTGTCCTCACATGGCAAAAGAGAAGAGAGAGAGAGAGAGAGCTCACTGCCCCTGTAACCCCTTTTTAAAGCAGCATTAATCCGTTCATGAGGGTGGAGCCCTCATGCCCTAAACACCTCCCAAAAGGCCCCACCTCCCAATAACGTTGATTGAGGATTAAGTTTCCAGCACATGAATTTTGGGGACACATTTAAACCATAGCAGATGCTCAACATCATTAGCTATCAGGAAAACGCAAATCAAAACCACAGCAAGATACCACCTCATACTCACTGGAATGGCTACAATAAAGAGATAATTACAAGTGTTGACAAGATACAGGGAAATTAGAATCCTCATACACTGCTGGTGGGAAGACAAAATGGTGCCGCTACTTTGGAAAACAGCTTGGCAGTTCCATAACAGGTTGAACAGAATCACTACATGACCCAGCAATTTTACTACTAGGTATCTAGCCGAGAGAAATGAAAACATAAGTCCACAGAAAAGCTTTTGCACAATATTCATGGGAAGATTATTCATACTAGCCAAAAGGTGGAAACAACTAAAATCTTCATCAACTGATGGATAAATAAAATGTAGTATGTCCATACAGTAGAATGTTACTCAGCAATAAAAAGGAATGAAGTATTGGGTGCAGCACGAACGAACTTTGGAAACATTATGCTAAATGAGTCAGTCACAAAAGACCACATATTGCATAATTCTATTTATGTGAACTGTTGCAGAATAGACAAATTTATAGAGACAGAAAATAAATTAGTGGTTGCCTAGGGATAGGGAGAGGGGAGAATGGAGAGTGACTGCTAAAGGGTAAGGGGTTTCCTTTTAGGGTGATCAAAATATTCTAAAATTAATTGTGGTGGTGGTTGGATAACTATGAATGTACTAAAAATAATTAAAATGTACACTTTAAAAGTGTGAATTTTATGCTTTGTGAATTACATCTTAATAAAGCTGTTTAAAAAACCTAGTGCCTTTGAAGAAAGCGACAAGAAAACCTAGTTAACAGCAGCATTCAATAAAAAGTATCCGAGTGGTTAAGAGGTGCTCTGGCGCAGACCACTGGGTTTTCCTGCTAGGTCCGCCATCTACTAGCTGTGGGATGTAGGTATGTTATTAAGCCTCTCTGTGCCTCAGTTTCCTCTTTGGAAAATGAAGATACTGGCAGAAGCTACTTCATTCATAGGCACATGTACATAGGCTTTATGCATAACTGCATTAGTGAATGAGCCCATGTACATTCATGGGTAGAGTTTAATAAATGTTAGCTATTATTTGTAGAGTGCTCTAACATTTTTAAAGTACTCTTACACACATTTTCTCACTTGATAACACAAGTACTTGGGAAATTTTCATTCCTTCTGCCTCGGTAAAGTTTTGAGCAGCTTGTTTTTGGCCCTCGAAACCCTCCTCGTATTTGTTACTCTCTCTACCTCTCCTCCACTCCATAATACCCAGGGTTTATCATTATTTGATTCTTGCTTTTACCTAATTTCTGCTAAGATGCCAATAAATAACACTTAAAAATGGGACACAGCCAAGAAAACGTCCATGTTAAAAGAGAAATCTTAAAAACCAAAAGGGTCTGTAGAATCCAAAGGACTGGCAAATCTCCAATCACACCATTCAGGAGACAGCCCGTCCTTCTTACTCCATAGACTAGGTTCTGATTTTTGTGACGAGTAGCCTATGATGTAGCAGGTACATTTTGTTTTTTCTAAAATTAGCTTAAAAGTCCTAAAAATGGGCCCAGTGCGGCGGCTAACGCCTATAATCCCAGCACTTGGGGAGGCTGAGGCAGGCAGATCACGGGGTCAGGAGTTTGTGACCAGCCTGGCCAACATAGTGAAACCCCGTCTCTACTAAAAAATACAAAAATTAGCTGGGCATGGTGGCACGCACCTGTAGTCCCAGCTACTCAGGAGGCTGAGGCAGGAGAATCGCTGGAACCCGGGAGGTGGAAGTTGCAGCAAGCCAAGATTGCACCATTGCACTCCAGCCTGGGAAAGAAGAGTGAAACTCCATCTCAAAAAAAAAAAAAAAAAAAGTCCTAAGAATATAAGAATACTCTCATACACACAATTTATACTTCATTTCATAGATAAAATCTCTTATGCTAATAAACTGAGATTCTAAAATTTGCTTTAATTTTGATAATTATATTACAAGTGAAACATCTTATTTTTTTTCTTGCTACAAAATGAATAACTGCAAGCAAAAGTGTACATAAAACACCCATATTTCTCCCACTTAATGGGAACATCCAGGCTCCTTTGCGTATATATACAGACAAATATATACTTAAAATAAGAATTATAACCTGATATGTGCCTCCTTTTTCTTCTAATAGTATTTATGATTCTTTTATGATTTTTATTTCTGAAATATTTTAATGACTTGATTTCATTATATAGACGTGGAGTAATTTATTCAACCAATACCTCGTGGTTGGATATTTAACAAATATGCACTGGATCATTAACTTTCCCTACAATTATTTCAAAAGTGAAGAAAATGCGAGGAAACTAAAGGAAGTAAAGCATTTCTTCCCAAATTCAGCCTTTGGGCATTTATAATGGTGGTACAGTTTTGAGTTCTATAATCTAAGATAAATATTGAAACCTGAGGATTCAGAGGTGTACAGTAAACAAAGCATTGGGAAATAGGAATTGAAATTATTTAACCTTAAGAAGAGAAAGCTTAAGAATGGCTACATTTATGTTTATTTACATAGAAAGAATATCCTATAGGACCTTGTGTTTTCATGATATCACTCTCACAGTGTGTCAGTGTTAGGGTCATTATTGTGTATGTCTCCTCTTCCCATCTAGCCTGAGAGCTCCCAGAGGAAGTTATCTAATTGATCTATTTCCCCAGTCGTGTGTGCTGTTTAAAGAAAAAATGTTTTCTGAACTAAAGTTGATTATAATCACGACATTTCAAAAGAGGAGAGAGCAGACCGGGATAGTTTAGTCCTGCCTATAGTCACTATGCTCATTTTTGTAAACTTCTAAAGGGATTACCAGCCATGTGATTCTATCCATTTTACTAGTATGCTACTGTTTGTTTCTTCTTCTTATAAAGAAGAATTTAAGGGCTTTTCCTCACTGTCTTACTCTAGTAAATCAGGTCCTTGTGTATCCTATTACTAAAATGTAAACATAATTGTGTTGAAATTATGTCCCACTGGCTAAGTTGAACTGTATGAAATGTTAGCTAAATGCTTCTGTATTTACACAGGTATGTTTGCTTACTGGGTAAGCACAGTTGGAAGTGTTTCATTTAAATATGATGAGCTGAGAATTTGGCGGTGCAGCTGATGGGTAAGTTTTCCATAATAGTGATGCGATTCAAGTTTCTATTTTGTTTTGTTTTGCTTTTTACTCAACATTTAGGCGATAAAGTTGTAGAATCTCTATAGGAAAGTTGAGAATGATAGCACACTTTTGGCACACACCAAATTCATGTATTCAAATTATGTGGGCTCAACCTTTGAGGGATGTTTAAGATTTTAGCCTATTGAGCAGTAAGGTCACTGCAAACTTTTAGGTTGTTTGAGTCAAAACTTCCCACAGTTGATGACAAAATATTTTAGTTGGCTTGTGCCTTCCTAAACTAGATCTGATTCTGGTGAGGGTTGGTGGTATGTGTTTGTTAACAAAAAAACAGAAAATGTCCCAATTAGATCTTCATTTCTTCCTTTCTTTTCCTTTTCTTCTTTTTCTTCTTCTTCTTCTTCTTTTTTTTTGTAGCAGGTAACAAAATAAAAGCTCTTAGTCAAGTCTCTAGTTAATAAAGACAAACATCATATCTTGTCTCCCTATATGCTGTCCCAGAAGAAAAGCAGAGAAACAAGTTTATAAACTCTAAATTTTCCTAGCAAAATCATGTCAGTTGGAGTTGTGGGAATTAACTACTCTTTTAAAATAGTTCCTGCCTTCATTTTGCCACTGAAGTACAAAAATGCTATAAAGTATTTAAAGTGCTTAGTATTGTGGTTGAAAACAGCATTCAATAAATTTTAGCTGTTAGGTTTTTTTTTTTTAAAAAAGAAAACAACATCTTAATATAAAAACTCACTCAAAAAGTCAATGGGCCCAGTTAGTATAGACAATACATTTGATCTCAAAAAGGAAGGAAGAAGAATCAAAATGAAAGGAAAATAGCAATTTAAATTATCAAGGACATCAGAATAACTGAGATGTATATAATTTGTTTTTTTCTTTTTTTTGAGACAGGGTCGTGATCCTCTCACCTCAGCCTCCCAAGTAGCTGGGACTACAGGCATGTACCACTGCTCCTGGCTAATTTTTTTATTTAAATTTTTCGTAGACATGATGTCCCACTCTGTTGCCCAGGCTAGTCTTGATTCCTGGCTTCAAAACATCCTCCTGCCTTGGCCTCTCAAAGTGCTGGGATTACAGATGTGAGCCACCGTGCTTGGCCTATTTTGCATTTTTTTTTTTTTCAATCTGATAAAATAGGCCCACAATCCTGGATAATGTGAAGAGAGCTAATTACTTTCCATGTTCACAGTGCCACCTTCAGGAAAGAAAGTGTTCGTTTTAATTTAGTGCAAATGCATCTTTATTGGAGAAGGTTGGGCCAAGTACCTGAAGATCAGGTGTGTTAATGACGATGTTTAAGTTTGACTGTCATGAGCATGTTTACTCTGATTTCTGCCTGGTTGTGTTCAAAGCAGAAGACAAACTGCTAGCCTTTAAATTTTGAAATGGGGCATTAAAAATTTGATTAGAAATGAAATACATATAATTTCCTATTTATTCTGTTTTGCAACACCATACTTAGATCATCATATGTAAATTATGGAATTTTTATATATCTCCAAGAGGTTTAACAATCTCCTTTGATAATTGGTTCTTTTAACCAATCTTATAAGAAAATTATCCACTATATTGAATTAAAAATGGGACTAAACAATAAATTCTAGTGCTTGAAATAGTACCCAATGGATGAACAACTGGTATAGGAAGTCAGCATGGGTCAGATTAAACAACCTTGGGAAGAGGAGGGGAAGAGCTCCTAGAACTCTCTAGGGCTACATTGTCTTAGGTAGCCACTAGTTACATGTGGCTATTGAGCACTTGAGATGCAGATTAGTACAAATCGGGATTTGCTATAAATGTAGAACACACAAAGGATTTTAAAGACCTAATGCCAAAAAATCATAAAATATCTCAATATTTTTTATATTGATTATATGTGGAAATTATAATATTTCATATATGTTACATTAAATTAAATATATTATTTAAATTAATTTTACCTATTTATTTTAAATTTTCTTACTGTGGCTACTAGAAAGTTTGAAAGATTACTTACGTGGCTTGCATTATACTTCTATTGGGCAGTTATGCTCTAGGGCATACAAATTATAGTGGAAGCGGCCCCCATGATAATCATAGATTACTAAGCACATACCACGTGTCTGGTATTGTACTATGTGCTCTTAAGAAAGCTTTATGGCCAGATGCAGTGGCTCAAGCCTGTAATCCCAGCACTTTAGGAGGTAGAGGCTGGAGAATTGCTTGAGCCTAAGAGGTCGAGGCTGCAGTTAGTTATGATTACACCACTGTACTCCAGCTTGGATGACATTAGAGGCCAAGATTTGGGAGGAAGGTTCAGTGTGAATAGAAGTTTGAGATGCCTGGGAAGCCTACTGGTCTGGATTAGGTATGGATCACAGACACTATGCACCAGGTCGAGACTGCTTATGGAGTACAGTGTTAGAAGAAGCCCTCTGGCCGGGCGCGGTGGCTCACGCCTGTAATCCCAGCATTTTGGGAGGCCGAGGCGGGCAGATCACAAGGTCAGGAGATCGAGACCATCCTGGCTAACACGGTGAAACCCCCTCTCTACTAAAAATACAAAAAATTAGCCGGGCGCGGTGGTGGGCGCCTGTAGTCCCAGCTACTCCGGAGGCTGAAGCAGGAGAATGGCGTGAATCCGGGAGGTGGAGCTTGCAGTGAGCCGAGATCGCGCCACTGCACTCTAGCCTGGGCGACAGAGCGAGACTCCGGCTCAAAAAAAAAAAAAAAAAAAAGCCCTCTAGTGTTGAGCTGTAGCTGGTTTGTACCGTTCCACGAGCCAATTCGGCTCTTCTCTTCCCGACTCTGTTCAGTGATATAATGTTGGGAGCTTGAAATCAGCTATGGTAGGAGTATTTACACCACAGAAATTGTCAATTGCTTCAAATCAGGTCTTCCTCCTCCCGCCTAACCTGGTGCCCCAAAGCTGTTTTACCAGCATACCATTTAAAACTTAAACATTTCCAAAGCCTAACAAGAAGGATAAACCAGTAATGATTACTGAGAAGGAGGAAAACTGGGAATGTGTAGTGTTGATTTAAAAAACAGAAAAAATTTTAAGCAGGAAGAAGTGGTGAATTCCTCCTTTGGAGGAAGCAATATTCCTTTTCATCAAGGAAGATGATGAATTCCTTTAATATACTTGTGATGTTTCTCTGGACGAGATTCTTGATATCCATTATGAAGTATGACACTCAATTGTGATATGTACAGATAGGGTCTGTCTAGTACAAAGGAAGAAAAATCATTTCTCTCCTGAGCAATATTCCTTTTTCATCAAGTAAGATGAAAAATGAGACCTTTTGAAGGTAGCAATGGGGAAATGATGGTGAATAGATTGAGGATGAGCTAAAGTTAGGAAATTGAGATTGTGCATGTAGACAAATCTTTTGAGAATCTTAGCTGTGGAAAGGATAGCCTGGAACAATAGTTGGAGATTTGAAAACATTTAAATGCTTATTGGAAGAATCCAACAAAGAGGGAGAGCTTGCAGATGAGGAGAGATGGAGGGTACTACTACAGCATGGACCATGAGAAAATGGTAAAGTTCTTGGAGAAATTAACCTTAGGAGGAGGGATATCTTCTCTATTGCAGAGGAAGAAGTGCAGATGGATGGTGTTACAGGGTTGGTTGCCCAGAAGTCAGACTTGGGTTTATTTTCTTCAGATTTGCTTCCTAGTCTACAGCCATACCACCCTGAATGTGCCCAATCTCATCTGATCTCAGAAGCTAAGCAGGGTTGGGCCTGGTTAGTACTTGGATGAGAGATTTGCTTTCTAGTTAATATGATTTTTTCCTAGTTAATGTAATTTTTTTTTCTGACATGACCTTTAGATACTTTAATATACTTGTGAGGTTTCTCTGGATGAGATTCTCAATATCCATTATAAAGTATTATACTCAAGTGTAATATCTACAGTTAGGGTCTGTCCAGTACAAAGGAAGAAAAATCATTTCTCTTTTGGGGACATTACATTTCTATGAATAAAGTCTAAAATGTTTATGGTAGTTTTATCAACATCATCCTATTGACTCATACTAGCTTGCAGTAAATTAAAACTCCCAATTCTTTATTTTATGGTGGTCCTTTTATTTATTTTTTTTTTTGAGAAGGAGTCTAGCTCTGTCGCCATGTTGGAGTGCAGTGGCACAATCTTGGTTCACTGCAACCTTCACCTCCCGGATTCAAGCGATTCTCCTGCCTCAGCCTCCCGAGTAGCTGGGACTACAGGCGTGTGCCACCATGCCCAGCTACTTTTTGTATTTTTAGTAGAGATGGGGTTTCACCCTGTTGGCCAGAATGGTCTCGATCACTTGACCTCGTGATCCACCCGCCTTGGACTCCCAAAGTGCTGGGATTACAGGGGTGAGCCACTGCACCCAGCTGGTGGTCCTTTTTAATCATCACTTTTCACTCTCCACCATAAGCATCCTTTACTTGGAAGATATGATTTTTGTTAGTTTGTGAGTTTTTGCTTTTAGAATATGTATAGATTTTACATGTAGTCTAATGAAGTATTATTTTGGTAATTGATGTATTGTTATAAACTGTAGGGGTAATTTTGGATTTTGATACCATGGAATTAATGCTTACAGATATGTTGACTCTTTTTCAAATCTTTTGAGTATTTTAGATGACAGAAAGATATCTTAAAAGCAACTAATACAACTACAAAATACAAATGATAAGCCCATAATAGCTATTGGGCTAGTGAAGAAAGTCTTTAATAAGTGGACTCTGTAATAATACTGCCTTTACTTTTTCAAAGGTGAAATTTGAGATATTGATTATCCCAATCACTAATTGTTATTTGTTCAAATAAACTCTTTAAAATTTCATTGTGTCTCAGTTTTCCTTTTAACAAACTGGAGTGTGGGAAGAGAATCATTCACATAAGTCAAAAATTCTTAATTGTACTATATTTCTAGTAGCATTGAAATAAAAGTTACATTAGCGTTATGTTCTGAATGTTTAGATTCTCCCAAAATTCACATGTTGAAATCCTAACCCCCAAGGTGATAGTATTAGGAGGTGGGACCACTGAGAGATGATTAGGTCATGAGGGTGGAGCCCTCATGAATGGGATTAGTGCCCTTATAAAAGAGTCCCCTTGTCACTTCCACCATGTGAGGATGCAGCAAGAAGGCACCATCTAAGACCATGAAATGTCCTCACCAGACACTGAATCTGCTGGCAACTTGATCTTGGGCTTTCTGGGCTCCAGACTGTGAGAAAGATATTTCTGTTGTTCATAAACTACCCTGTTTATGGTATTTTGTTATAGTAGCATAAACAGACTAATTAGGCAAAGATTCTTTGAGAGCAAAATAAATGTTAATATTAAACTGCAATAAGCCATTTTGACCCCTATGAATCTCTTTACTCTTATTTTGTATTTTAGTTATGGATGCAGAAGTGATTAATAAGCACCAAAAGAAGCAGAGTTTTAGTTTAAATTTGTATTTATAGGCATTGCCCAATTTATTTAAATAATAAATTAACTGTCATCTCTTAAAATCAGAGCTAATTCCTAAGGTATCTTGAAAGTCACCCTTTTCATTGTAATAATAACACCAGCAACAGATGTTTATACATATGTGTGTGTATATATATATGTCATATATGCCTCTGTACATATTTACTTATATCATTTTTTAACAGAGTTAAAACCTGGAATCAACCAAAAAAGCAAAATATTTTCCCTGTAGATATGAACAATACAGTATTTCCAATTTACCTATAAAACCTTATTTCTTCGTATTAGTGATACACTGACACAAATACTTTCTACACTATTTGCAAGAAATGATACCACTTTCTTGTATAGAAGCTGCCACTATTATTGTGTACTGGTGTATGGGAACCCCAAATGGTCTAGCATCTTTTCTTTAAAGATTCAATTTGATGAGGATTGAGAAAGGATTAAATAAAATAAAAGGACTAAAATATAATGAAGTAATAGTGGCCTCTTTTGTACCTTAGAAAATCTGAAGACCACTATTCAACTCTGACTTATTTTAACTCTTGAGATTCATGTTGGAATCCTTGGCTATCCCTCTTTCACGAACCCCTCATATGACAGAGTTAGTCTCAGAACTTCATAACTATATGGGCCATTTAATCCCTGCAGGTGAGGAAACTTGCCTAAAGTCATATAGGAAAAGTTAGGGCTTCAGCTGGCCTACACTTGCTCCATTAAATTGCACTGAGCTGCCTCCTGCTGATGGGTCTAAATGAAAATAAATATAAAAGATAAAAAATAAAAATAAAAAAGTCAATAATAAATTGCACTGAGTTGATAAGTCAGAAGTTAGATTATAAAGCTTTTATGTTTGGCACATTACTAAGTACATTGTGGTCATTTAGCAAATATCCAATAATAGAATACGAAGACAATATGAAGAGTTAAAGAGAGAAAATTCATCCTTGGTCACTAAATTTAAAAATCCCAGGCTTGTGAGAATCTCTTGAGTATGTTTTTCTTTAAACAGTGTCCCATTTAAAAATAACTAAAAGAACATCATGCACTGACTTTTTTGACTTGAGGGGAAATTGTAGAATCATGAGGAAATGAAGGCATCTGTTCAGGGCAGTGCTGAAGCTCGTAAGTCTACTTACTAGTGTAAACACTTAAGTACCTGTGGGTTTATCTATTGTGGGCTATATACAGATCTGCTTCTCTTTTGATGCCTCCTGTCTAGTGTTTTATTGTTTCTTGGTGCATCCAAAAAAATAATGAACAAGATGAACAAGGGAGGAGGTAAAAGCAAAATTATACAAAAGATATCAACTGCATTTGGAATTCTGACAAATGATGGTAGAATGATGACATGGATGAAACTATTGCTTAAATGAGATTTCAGGATTGCTTCTATATAATATCTAAAGCAATTTTCCTCTATTAGCAGATAAGTGGGAACTGATTATATCATGGTATGTTGAATTGAATTTTCTCCCTACAATGTGTAATTCGGATGTTGATGTGGCAAAAGGAGAGAATTACATATAGAATAGTCTCTTGAAACATGGAGGGAACATCATCCACTGATGTACTCACATGGGGCAATGGCCCTCTGTGGTTGCATATAGAGCTCTGTAAATAGTCTGTGTGTCTTGGGGCTTTACAACGTAGTTCTGGAATATGGCACCAGTAAGCAGTGTATATGGCAAAGTTAGCATGGGCATTCTTACAGCAATTCAGCTGTTGTTTTCTTCTATCTTGACCCAAATATTTCATTCATTGGTCTTGAATACTGAAATAAAAATCAGAATACAGAACATGTGTGTAGAGTGTAAGAAGTTGCAGAAACACAACAAATTTTGATATGGTTCTTCCTTTTAAAAAACCATTTAAAAATAATGGTACAATTTACATAGAGTAAAATTTACTTGTTTTTAGTGAATAGTTTTATGAGTGTACAGTAATGCCTACAGTCCTATAACCACCCCACAATCAAGATATAGAACAGTTCCATCATTTAAAAAAATTCCCTATGCTCCTTTGTAGTTAGCTCCTCCCTGGCAATCATTTATCTATTTCCTGTCCCCATAGTTTTGTCTATTCCAGATTGTCCTATAAGTTGAACCATATAATATGTAGCCTTTTGAGTCTGGTTCTTTCAATGAGCATATTGCATTCCCAATACATCCATGATGTTGCTTGTATGAATAGTTCATTCTTTTGTGTTGTTGAATCCATTGTGTGGATTTACTATAGTTTGCTTGTTCATTCAACAGACGAAAGGCATTTTGGTGGATATGGGTTGTTTCCAGTTTTTAGTGATTGCTTCTTGCCTTTTACAAAGTTTTCTCTCAATTTCTTTTTACTTTTTATTTTTTTGAGATGGAGACTTGCTCTCACCTAGGATGGAGTGCAGTGGCACAATCTCGGCTTACTGCAACCTCCACCTCCTGGGTTCAAGTGATTCTTGTGCCTCAGCCTCCCGAGTAGCTGGGATTATAGGTGTGCACCACCACGCCTGGCTACTTTTTGTATTTTCAGTAGAGAAGGGATTTTGCCATGTTGGCCAGGCTGGTTTCGAATTCCTGACCTCAGGTGATCTGCCGGCCTTGGCCTCCCAAAGTGCTAAGATTACAGGCGTAAGCCACCGCTCCTGGCCTCAATTTCTTTTCCATCTGGTCTTCACAGCAACATATGAAATAGATATTATTAGTATTTTGCAGATGAGGAAGCTGAGGCTCTGGAAGGGAGTGTTAATGACTTGGCTAAGTTCACACAGCTAGTAGATGGAAAAGCCAGGATTCCAACAGGTTCTCTGACTCTAAAGCCTGTGTTCTTCCCACAGCTCTATGCTACAAAGAAGCAAAGGGGCAAGAGGGCGCATATTTTATGTCATTCTGAGTTTAGAGGAGATAAAAATCACTAAAAGTAAAATTCACTAGGGGCAGAAGCCCTAACATTTGTTTTGGAAGACACTCCTCCATGGTCTCTCATGTTCCTACATGTCTTGCTGGACATGCTAAGAATGTGAAATCTTGATGACTCTTTTATCTGGGCTCAGAATTGGTTTGCAGCATGCCATTTTACAGGTTGAGGTAATCTGGGACAAAGAGCAACCTTGCTTTTGCTTACTATAAAAGCAGAAGATTTATATCTAAAGTATCAGTAGTCCCTGGAAAACTTGGAAAAAGAAGGCATAAGAGCAATCATAAAATAAGTTAAAAAAGAACAAGTATTGATCTTTAAATTAGTCAACTTTTTTGTGTATGAGTTTATCTAAACTGTTTCTTCAACATTTCACCCTCTGGAAAGGAGCCCGGGTTTTAGGGCTTAAAACTCCAAATTGCCCCTTGGTGTTGCTCTGCTTCACTGCATGTTAAGCTCTAGAAAACTAACTTCTTATGTGTTCGTGGGTACTCTTTCTGTGGACTTTAGTGTTGCCATGATCAGACATGTTGAGAGGCTGATTGGCTGTGATTCCAGATAGCTTCCCAGTTGGGAAGTTCCATGCTGAGGTCACTCTGGTTGGTAATTCGTGAACTATAATGATACAGAGGTAGAAAGAATATTAGAGTTTCCTCTGTTTAATGTCTTCATTTTATAAGTAACCAGACTTCTGGGGAAGAGTAACTTGACCAAAATTATACTGCAAGTTAATGGCAGAGCAAGAATATCTGGTCCGGAGAGAACGCCATTGTTTAATTCACCACTCTGGTTCAAATCTACTTCTCCAGAACTATTATCAAGACATAGCAATCATTGGATACTGACTTACATTAACTAAGCTCGAGTCTGGTAGGTAAGCCAGAATCCAATTCACTTACCATTGGAGGTATGTAGCTATCTAGAATCAGGACCCTTCCCTTTCAGAAGCAAGTCTTCCCAGACTTAACCTTAAGTCATAAATCAAGTGGTTGCCTGGTGGGCACAGAATTGGAATACATTTAAATGCAAATGTTTATTCTCTGGTGACATAACCATCTAACTAGATTAGCCATATGGATTTCTCTTGATTTAGTATATTACTAGTTAAGGAACTGAGTTGGAGGTTTAGAATTCACTCATATTATATTTATTGACCACCTACTATGTGCCACGTACCTAGTATATGGCTCTGGACCTAAGGATAGTGTCTTCTGGAAGTGCTTTATAAAGACATATTTATTATCCAAATACTCATTTTACTTAGTCATCTAAGTTCCACCACTTCATTCTCAAAGAAAGAAATGTATACTTTTAGAAGCTTTGTATTTTCTCTCTTGATCCTCATCATAAATCTGTACAGTAGATAATAATTATCCTATTTTACAGTTGAGGAACCTGAGACTTCAAGGGGTAGAATAACATGTTTCAAGTTATACAATTAGCAGGTGTCAGGCCTAGGACCTGCATACTTTTTAACTCACATATTTCTTAAAACTGAGTTTATCACATTCCAAATATGGCATGTGAAAGTCTTTCTTTTGTGATTCTATATTGCCACTTCCATGATTTGGAAAATGTTCTAATCTCATCTACAAATTGGTTCACTGAACAAATTATTGATCACCAACCAAGTGCAAAACTTCCTATGCGCAAAGCACTGAGCCGATCTCTGAAGAGGAAATCAAGATGAAAAACACAAGATTCTTGTATTCTTGGAGCTTACAATATACTGGAGAATGTATGTAACACACACACAAAATCTGGAAGTAAGCAGACTAGAAGTACAAACAATATGGTATGGGAACAGAGGGAAGATAAAGAAATTCTAACTAGCACGATTTGATTTGAGAAGGCTCTTTGGAAAAGGTGGCTGAAATTTGAGAGTAAGAATTTGCCAGGAAGAGATAAGAAAAAAGACAATCCAAAAGTAAGGCAGCCTCAACAAAGACCTGAAGGCAAGAGAGTGCTAGTATCAAGTACATCTGAAGATAGGAGGTGTTGGTGGTGTTGTGGGAGATTATGAGAGAAAGGCAGAGAGAAGTTAAGTCCTAAAGGGGTTTTATGTGAATTAGAAACTTAGAACTTAATTCTAAGTGTTGAAAGGCCGGGCGCGGTGGCTCGCGCCTGTAATCCCAGCACTTTGGGAGGCCGAGGCGGGCGGATCACGAGGTCAGGAGATCGAGACCATCCTGGCTAACTCGGTGAAACCCAGTCTCTACTAAAAATACAAAAAATTAGCCGGGCGTGGTGGCGGGCGCCTGTAATCCCAGCTACTCTGGAGGCTGAGGCAGGAGAATGGCCTGAACCCGGGAGGCGGAGCTTGCCGTGAGCCAAGATCGCACCACTGCACTCCAGCCTGGGCGACAGAGCAAGACTCCGTCTCAAAACAAGAAAAGAAAAAAAAAGAAGGTTTTTCAAGGGACTTGGGGCAGGGGAGAAATATGATTAGCTTAAGATAAAGCTTATTGCCTTTTATGGCTTTATTATTGGATCTCTACTTCTTTGCATAGTGCATGACACTTGCTGGGTGCAAAGACATATGTTAAATGAACGGACTGGAGAAGGAATAGATGGAGATTATCAGGTTATCGTTATTGTTTAAGAAGAGGGCAGGTGTAATCAACACAGCAGAGGGGAAAATGTATTTGATAGGTGGATTTGGGCATATGGGGGAAGGGAAAGAGTTAAGGAAAGCTGACTTTGCCTCTGCTCCACCAGGAAGATGGTGATACTGGCAACGGCACACAGAGGGAGGAATAGATAGATGGTCTGGGCAGAATGGGAATAAGGAAAGATTCTCAATTCTGTTTTGGATTATGTTGCATTTGAAGTTCTGGAAGAATATCTAGTGAAAACAGATTTTCAGGTCTAGAGCATTCATGAACCAGCTTTTCTTTGAGAGGGGATCATTTTCATATGCCTGATTTCATCCATTGTTTTATACAGATTTGAATTAATTTCATTTTAAAATTTTCTTTGCATTGCCTTAAAATGGTAGAGAACTACCTTATTTGGGCAGTTACCCTATGCAAGAACGACCCTAAGGAGGATGTGAAAGGAAAAATGCCCTAAAGGAAATAAGTGGTTGGAAGTGATCTTAAGATTTTCATGCAGTGAAGCTGGGCAAACCTTTCCCTCTATCCTTGTTAATTTGGGTATGAATGGAGAAATAATTTTAAAGGACAGACCCTGTACTGTACTTAGAAATCAGGCAGTAATAGAAAAATATGCATATACACGAACCACTTGTAATCGAAAAAATAAGTAATA
The DNA here is from genome assembly GCF_000001405.40 of Homo sapiens. Classification (NCBI taxonomy): domain Eukaryota; kingdom Metazoa; phylum Chordata; class Mammalia; order Primates; family Hominidae; genus Homo; species Homo sapiens. Next base: position 55,177,048 of record NC_000005.10, on the reverse strand, counting down.
AGCCATGTAACCAGAGGTGATGTGCTACTTTATTGACCACTCTTCTGACTGAGGCTTTTACACTGCTGGAACCTTTGCAATTTAAATTTTTGGAGCCCTTTGTAAATTAAATTTTTGGATAGTCTGCATCAAGAGGGCTTCATTCGTCCATCCATGCTCTCGCTATACTGAGCGACGTTACACCGGGGAGCAGAGAGTTTATCAGTCTGGGACGATGTTTTTCCTTCCCTTTCTTTTTCTTCGTGGCTGACTTCCTTGCGCCACCTGAGTGCGGTTATCCTAAGCTCTCCCCTTCTGCAGTCTAACGCCTGCCCCGCACAGGCTGGAGCTGTATCAGCCCCCACTGGCGTGGCGCTTTCCCTCACACTCCCAGCTCGCGTTCCCCAACCCCTGCTGGGCGGGGAAGGCGTGCCCCAGGGACAGTTGGAGCAAACTCCCAACCGTCCCTTTGGCCCAGTAGGCGCGCGCAGGGGCTGCAGGGCGGCGCGCAGAAGCTAGGGGCGGGAGCGGGCGCGGGCGCGGGCGTAGCCAGGCGCGAGCGGGCTGAGGGCGAGGCACCAGCCTGGAGCAGGGCGGGGAGTAACCGCGGGCCGGAGGGGCGCGCAAACCTGCCGTTGGCGCTGGGAATGGGGAGCTCTCCGGTTTGCACTGCTCGGAAATTAGTTGAATACAGTGAATTAGAGAAAACAAGTTGAAAAATGATAAGTATAATGAGATCTCATTTGTGGGGAAAGATCCACAGGGCCAGACTCTATGTGTGCACGTGCAAATACATTGAAAAGGGTCTGACGAAGGTCGGGGAAGGAGGAGGTTGGGAGAGCGGATTGAAGGGAGTGTACTTGGTATATTGCACATTCAGTGCATATGCCGCTGAAGCGAGCCCATGTATATGGCATATTTTTGAGATATTTAACATTCTTGATGTTTAGAATGAAAGTGTAATTGAAAAAAAAAAGAGATCGCATTTGGGAAGCTTGAATATCCTCTTGCTTCCCATTGATAGGGACCTACTGAGATTCTCAGAGCACCGGCGACTTTGAGAGTTAAGGGAAGCTTTTCCAAATTCTTTCTCTCCCTTCCTCCACTAGTCCACCTCCCCTCGCTCCTGTCGCCTTTCTTTCCTCAAAATCCTTCTTATTGGCCTTTGTCCAGGAGTCTTCCTCACAGCCTTTCTCATTGTCACATCCTCCCTGCAAAACCCATTCTCAAAGAGGAAACATTTGAAAGATAGTAAAGCTACTCTTAGGCGCATAAATATTTGAATTGGACATTGTTCCTAAACCATATTTGATAAAAATTAAGATAATATGTTTACAGGATGTTTCTGTTTTCCCCAAACAGTCTTACCAAAGTGCTTTTTAATAGAATGACCACATGATGTTAAATATTTTTCATTTTGAAATAATTTCAGGCTTAGAAAAAAGTTACAAAAATGGTACAAATAATTCCATTATATCCTTCACTCAGCGTTCACAAATCTTAACATTTTATATAGCTATAGTACAATAATCATAACTAGGAAATCAGCATTACTACTACTCTATTAACTAATCTGCAGATATGGATCAATTCAAATTTCTACAGTTATCTAACCAATATCTTCTTTTTTGTGGTCCAGGATTCAATCCAGGACCTCGCAATGCATTTGGTTGGCATGTCTTGTTTCTTTTAATCTGTGACAGTTTCTTACTCTTTCTTTATTGATGACTATGATACTTTTGAAAAGTACTGGCCAATTTTGTGGAAAGTCTTTTAATTTGGGTTTGTCTAGTATTTTCTCACTATTAAGGTTATGCATTTTGTGGGGCAAAAATATCACAGAAGTGATGTGTCCTTCTCATGAGGCACAGTATGTCAACATGTCTCACTAATGGTGATGTTAACTTTGATCACTTGGTTAAGGTGGTCTCTGCCAGTTTTGGCCAGTGAAAAGTTGTGATTTTATTTTTTGTGTTTAATTATAGGGGGAAGTATTCTCATCATATGCAAGGTAATTTTAGTATTCTTGACAGTTATTACTGTAATATTTGCCAAGTGGCGAGTTTCTGTTTCCATCATTCTGAAGTTAAGTTTTAATCTGAATATTCAACTGCATAATTACTTCCTAAAGATATTTGACTAATACTTTCTCTACTTCACACTAGGGGAAAAAAAGACATTTGGAGGCTGTGTATATGTATGCTGTGGAATTAATGGCTATAATGGAATTTATAAATGTATTTTTACAGATAATTGCATTCTAAATGAATGATTCACTATTCTTAGTACTTGTAAGAAATTGGATTCTAAAAATCCCAATTTACATGGATTTATGAGCTTATTAGTTGAATTGCTTTTATTCTGTGTTTATACAAAATGGTTAAATGTAAACTATATTTAAAAATAGAACAAAGATAATATGTCCTTCATATTATTTCCAATATACTTTGAGTTTTAGTTGGCATTTGCAAAACTGATCATTTAAATTAACAATGCATCTGACTCTCATCCAATAATAGTTTACTTTTATTTAGTCTTAATGTTTGCTGAAAGATTTACTGGAATTTGGAATGAGTACTCCACTGCAAGGAAAATAGACTTCTTGTGGGTGAAACTTAGAGATCTTTTAATCCACTAGTTATTTGACTATCAAACATTTTGATATATGTCATTTGAAGATTAAGTTACCCTATGCAGCATTATTATTGTACATAGAAAACTGGTCTAAGATTGGGTCTTAGTTCTAATGCCATTTTTTCTTGCTTTCAGTATGAAGGAAAGCAGGGGAGTGAGTTTTAGGTTTTTTTTTTTTTTTTTTTTTGGATCACTGACCCTTTTGAGTATCTGCTATCTATGAACTGTTTCCCCAGAAAAACACACAAACTCACATTGCCTTAGAGCAAAATACAATCCAATGTCAAAAATGGTTGGGGGGTTAGCAAGGGAGGGACAAACAGGCTGCCAGGCTGTCAGAGGCTTCCCAGATGCAGTGTCCCCTCCTGCCATATGGCACAACTCGGCTCTCTTGGCAGCTCAGATGGGCAGCTAAGGCTGCACAGCCCATCTGGTTCCCTGTCATTTCCCGCCAGACCTCTTCCTCAACCCTCAATATCTTCCTCTCCCCCTTTATCACGGAGTCCCCAGTGTGCTCAGCTTTCTGGCCCCCTCTTCACGCCTTATGAGGTCCTGCCTGTCACTGGTTCTTTCACTACCTCTTCACCTCTCTCACCTACCCCCTGCTAAGGAACAGGGCTCAGAAGCCCGAGTGAGAGGACCTGACTACTCCCAATGTATAGAGCAGGGAATAATTTATTGCATAAATATGTCAACGCTCTCCCTTTTGATCGGCATAGAAATCTTGCCACGTTTTCTTGCCTTCTGAAAACGAAGAGCTGACGAACACGCCTCACATCTATAGCTGACACAGCGATTACCAACGGACAGAGGCCGGAGAGCTGTGCACGCTCGGATCCTGCAAAGGCAGGGTGTGGTTGGAGAAAGAGAAGTGGGTGCAGAGGAACAGGGATCAGGGCCGTTATAAGGAAACATTCTTGTTTCTGAAAATGGAAAGATCGTGAACTCCCAGAACCCGCTTCTTCGCCCGCCAACCCCTCCGCCTCCTGCCGCGGTGGCAGCCCCCGGCGCCAGGCCCAGCCGCAGGCCCGCCACGGCTCGCGGCAAAGCTTGGCGCCCGGGTGCGCGCCTCGGCCGGAGGCGGTGGCGGGGCGGGGCCCAGAGAGGGCCGGCAGGGGCGGGGCCGCGGCGCGCGCCGGGGAATCCCACCCGGGCTCTGACGACACCGCGGCGCCGGCCAATAAGAAGCCGGCGAGGGGGATTCCCGCGCCGACTGCCGCCCCGCCGGCTTTTTAAATGGTACCCTGGGGAACACCTTGCAGCGGCGGTGGGAGGAGTGGGGGACCTGGAGGGAGGTGGTGAAATAGAATGGTCCTGGGGGACGGGACTCCAGGGGTTTGACGATTAGGCGTCAAGACTGACTTAGACCTGGGAAGAAAACCAGAGGCAGTCGAGCAGAGAGGCCAAACGCCAGGCAGGGCGAAGTCAGCCGGAGATGGAGTGGAAACTGGAGCGCACCGCGCCTCGGAGGGTCCGCACGGAAGAGGAGATGCTGTGGGTGAGTAACACCCTTTTCTGCATTCTCCCTAACTCTCTAATGCGGGGCCGAAGGCCCCGTTCATAATATCTGTTTAGGACCAAGAGGTGGTACGAAACTCTAAGCCCTGGTCGTAAATTTGAGTGATGTAATTTAGTTATATTCTGAAGGTGCCTAGTTGCCAAAAAAAAAAAAAAAAAAAAAAAAAAGTGTAATCTGACAAGCACAAGATCTAGAAAAATTCCACACCTGAAATTATGATTTTCCTAAATAGTTTCTCCCTCAATATGTTATCTGTGTTTTCAAAGGAAAGTATCATGCGTGTGCTCTCCAAAGACTTGAAGCAGAAGAGAAGTCAAGATTCCGCCAACGTGAGTCCAGGGCTTGTTCTTGTTCTCTGTTTTAATTCTGATCTTGAACAAACGAATTCTTGGTAAATAATGTATTTGTAGGAAGTTTGAGCTGGTCTGAAAATATGAGAATTTTAGTATCTTATTACATACTAAAAAAAATTTCTTTATGAAACTGAAGATCCCAGACAAATAATGCAATCGTTTGCATCTGAATCGTACTTTCTAGTTTCTGCCTCCACAGCAAAGGATAAAGCTGGGATGTGTCAGGTAGGCAGTGTATTGCTAGCGGCTGTTAATGATTTTAACAGTTGCTAGTTGCACTCCTCTCTGTTGCATTCAGAAGCACGCCCCCCAAAGAAATGGAAATGGTGCCATCTTGTGGACAATGTGGAGAAGTGGCATAAACCATGGTTCTTAACGTGAGCAATTTAAAGTTGATCCAATGTAGTACCTGTTCTCCTTGAAAGACCAAACCCAAAGGTCTTTAGTGTCTCCTGTAATCAGTGTAAAAGGAAACAAATTTAAATGGTTTTATAAACGTGTTTCATAAAGAGCCTTCATCTGCTTTAAATCTCTGTCACCATTTACCATGCTTCTCTCTAGGCTCAATAGTTCATCTTCCTTTGACCTGTACGCAGAGATTCTAGTTCCAAATCCACCACCATTTTAATAGATTTTTCTAGATCTTATATAAATTTTGCAACTAGGCACTGTGGCTCATGCCTGTAATCCCGGCACTTTGGGATGCTGAGGCAGGAGGATCACTTGAGGCCAAGACTTCAAGACCAGCCTGGACAACACAGGGAGACCTTGTCTTTATAAAAAAACTGCAAAAATTAGCTGGGCATGATGACATGTGCCTGTAGTCCCAGCTACTTGGGAGCCTGAGGCAGGAGGATTGCTTGAGCCCAGGCGTTCAAGGCTGCAGTGAGCTATGATTGCACAACTGCACTCCAGCCTGGAGGACAGAGCCAGACCCTGCCTCTTAAAAAAAAAAATTCAGTATTCAAGTGGTAACATCCTATATTGAATACATAATTGCATTTTCAGAACTCGATTACTAATGTCATTTCTAGTAGGAGAAAACTAATTGCATTTAAGCCCTTACATTTCTTAAATACTTTAATGTTGATTTTTTCCCCCAAACACTGCTGCAGTTTTGTGTCGTGCACAGCTTATGTATTATCACGACTCCTAGATATTTTACTGTCTAATACAGACAAGTAGTCTTTGGATCAGTAAACAGAAGTGATTTGAAAAGCTATAGTTAAGTAACTTTTTATTTATTTTTTTGAGACAGAGTCTCACTTTGTTGCCCAGGTTGGAGTGCAGTGGTGCAATCTCGGCTCACTGCAAACTCCAGCTCCCGGGTTCAAGTGATTCTCATGTCTCAGCCTCCTGAGTAGCTGGGATTACAGGCAGCACCACCACGCTGGGCTAATTTTTGTATTTTTAATAGAGACGGGGTTTCACCATGTTGGCCAGGCTGGTCTTGAACTTGTGACCTTAGGGGATCAGCCAACCTTGGCCTCCCAAAGTGCTGGCATTACAGGCATAAGCCACTGCGCCCAGCCTACAGTTAAGTAACTTTTAAAATTCATTTGTACTGTAGAACATATTTTTATCCAAGCATTTAATTTGGAAAACCTAAATGTAAGTATTCTGAAAGTTTTAAAGTTTTTGTTTAACTTTTATGTTTTTGACTAGATTCAAGCAAATATTGATTTTATTTCTTATAGTCTTGAAGTAATACATTTTGTGTATAAGTTTTCTTTAATGTGACTATTAAGATTAGAGTTCTGCCACTATGTTTCATGTTACAAATTTAGCCTCAGTGACTGCCTGGGCCACGAGAATCGGCAGTGACCTGAATCAGGTAGGCAGTGTATTGTTAGCTGGCTGCTTGGGTCAAGTCAGCAGCCACAACTACCCTGCCACTTGCTTCTGGATAAATTCTTCTTGTCAATGAAGTGCTCTGGATACCTGTGTGTGATGAGCTGGCAGTGTATTGTTAGCTGGTTGAATATGTGAATGGCATCGGCTAACATGCAACTGCTGTCTTATTGCATATACAATGAACATCAGAGTGTAACTGAATCTGTAATTAGTGTGTGTTTATGTGTACTTTCTGCTATGAAGCAAGCCACTATTTACCATAATATATTATTGCCATTAGCTTATAATACAGTAATACTTACAATGCACAGTTTTATAATGGTAAGGAAAGTATTACAATTACTTAAATTTTTTCCTTTTAAGAAAAATTTACTTATGCCTGCTTTTCCATAACTAAAAATTTTTAAGAAATATTTTTGGAGTCTTTGGAGTCTTTCGGAGTAGACAGTGTTTAAGTATTTATGAAATTACATGTTTTTAACTATAAGGTTTAGAATGTAATAACAATGTGGAATGGACCTACAATGTGTCCCCAGATTTTCAGTGAAGTCTTTAGGATTCTTTCTGCATTATTAGTTTCTTTCTTTTTTTTTTTTGAGACGGAGTCTCGCTTTGTCGCCCAGGCTGGAGTACAGTGGCGCGATCTCGGCTCACTGCAAGCTCCGCCTCCCGGGTTCACGCCATTCTCCTGCCTCAGCCTCTGGAGTAGCTGGGACTACAGGCGCCTGCTACCATGCCCGGCTAATTTTTTTGTATTTTTAGTAGAGACGGGGTTTCACCGTGTTAGCTGGGATGGTCTCGATCTCCTGACCTCGTGATCCACCCGCCTCGGCCTCCCAAAGTGCTGGGATTACAGGCGTGAGCCACTGCGCCCGGCCTCTGCATCATTAGTTTCTAAATACAGCATTAGAATTGGTTTCTATAGCCATGACTGTGTGTGTACCAACTGAAGGGAAAGTTGAGGTAATTTTCCAGATGAGTCAGTCAACTAAAACATTTTTCACTTGAAATATCAAGAATATTGGGGATTTTTTTTGGGTGGGGGATGGTTTACATTTTTTTGGAAGATCTACCTCAATCCTTTCACTTCATTTTCTGTAAAATCACAGGTTCATGAAATATTTGGAAGACAGCATGAGATCTAACAACTTGTGAAGTGGGAAGAACTGACCATACAATATGACCTTAAATATATTCTCATTACCTTGGAGGCATTTTGACCCACGAAGTAGCATAGATATGTGCTGGCTTCCAGACATGCAGTATTCTTGTGCGGACATTTGCAGCCAGTCAGTGGAACTGACTTTGGTGGTGCCATCAGTTAGTTAAGCCATAGATGAGATATAAGAAATATTTCGCATTCTCTACTGTACTGGATTATAAGTTATTGGTAAAATAATTTTTATGCTTTCCTTATTTAAACATATTTCTAGAACATGGGTTAAATAGATATCTATAATTTGATTCTTACGCATTTTACTACTTTCAAATCACATCCTCTTTTTGATGTTGCCCAGTGTTATTCACTTTCAGGAGATTTATGTTTAAGTATATCTTCCATGTAAATATTATTTTCATCTTGTCTTTTTTTAAGGTTAAATTTCAACATGTTATTTTCTATAAAGAATCACTGACCTAGTGATAAAAATAAAACCTACTAAATTTAGAAGCTTTGGCTTTTGTGTGTTAGTTTTTTTAAATTAAAGAGCAAGATATAAAATGCCAACTTTATTTTATTTTAGATCCAGGGGGTACATGTGCAGGTTTGTTACATAAATATAATAGGCGATGCTGGGGTTTGGGCTTCTAGTGAACCTATCACCCAAATAGTGAACATTGTACCCAATAGATAGTTTTTCAGTCCTTGTATTCCTTCCTTCTACCCCTTCTGGAGTCCCCAGTGTCTACTGTTTCCATCTTCATGTCCATGTGTACCCATTGTTTAGCTCCCACTTAGAAGTGAGGAACATGCCGTAATTGATTTTCTGTTTCTGAAAATGCCAACTTAAATTTTTTTAAGTTTTCTTTTTTAGAACTTTTGATTCTGTAGGGAAACCAACTTTATATTCAATAAACAGAAGACATTTAAAGTTGTGGTTTAGTCTCATATTATCGAGATGATGAGAAAAGAGGGAAGGAATGGAATGAAATAAAAATATGTTAAAGAAATAAAAAATATGTTAAAGAGATGAATGGGTTAGGAGGAAAGTGAAGATACAAATTAAAAGAGAAAATGTTTCCATAGGTGGGAGAGGGAAAGAAAGGGATACACACTGGGATGTCAAGGGTCAAGCAGAGGGAAAAGGGATGGTAAAAAGAGGAGGGAGGTTCTGCTGATGGCAAAGTATTTTCTCCCAGGTGTTTTCTCTTGGGGCAGTCTCTTGGCTGTTCACTGGTGCTGGGAATGTCACTACTTCCCATCGCTGCCCTCTGAACCTGTCACTATTATAGTGATAGCTTCCTAATTTCTCTCTCTCTGCTGCTTTTTATTCCCCTGCACTGCTCTGCAAGAGACAGCCTTAACAGTTCAGCTGGATGAGGGGAAGGGAAGAGTGGGAAGGAGTGTGGTGGATTAGTTTCTAGGCCTAACAATTATTAGAATTTTATTTGATGGGAAAGATAAAATCAAGCAGAGGACTAAATATGGATAGAGTGTCCTCATATCAGCTCCACCCAAACATGTCATTTTTCTTTCAAAGGAACACCACAAATCAATGTGGTGCAATCATGGCTCACTACAGCCTCTACCTCCTGGGCTTAAGCAATCCTCTCACCTCAGCCTCCTGAGTAGCTGGAACCACAGGTGTGTGCTACCGCACCTGGCTAATTTAAAAATTTTTTTTGTAGAGATGGGGTCTCGCTCTGTTGCCCAGCCTGGAGTTCAGTGGAGCCATGTCGGCTCACTGCAGCCTTGACCTCTTTGGGCTCAAGCAATCCTTCCACCTCAGCCTCCTATGTAGCTGGGACCTGAGGCATGTGCCACTACACCCAGCTAATTTTTTGATTTTTTTTGTGGAGACAGGGTTTTGCCATGTTGCCCCAGGCTGGTCTCTAACTCCTGGGCTCAAGTGATCCTCCCACCTCAGCTGCTTAAAGTGCTGATATTACAGGCCTGAGCCATCATGCCCATCACCAATTATCACATTTTTAGAAATTTTGCATCCTAGTTACTAAACCAGTGGTAGATTGAAATTGACCATGAGGGAGCATGAGCATTTACATTGAGCTGGCAAATGCTGTATGTCAGGATTCCTCCTCCAGAGTCTGCTATTAAACATGTACCAGCCACCATTATATATATGCTAGATACACTGCAGTTATTAAGAATTATATATATGTACACGTATATATACTATTGATACAGTGTAATTGTTAAACATTTAAAAAAATGAAATACAACTTTCAGGGCACATTTCAGCCAAATTCATATTTATTCCAGTCTCTAACACTCTGTTGTTATGTCTGCTGTAAGATGATCAGGAGTTAGTATGAAGTATTCTTCTCTACGCACCAAAGAAAACAAACAAAGCAAACTTCAAGTCAGTGAATTAGTTACCACAGTTAAAATGCATTTGATTTTGTCCTTTTCCTTTTTCACAAGAACGACAGCTGAATACTCTTTCATGTGATGCCTGATATTTTTCTTTTTCTTTTTCTCTCTTTTTTGAGACAGGGTCTTTAAGATGGGGTCTCGCTCTGTTGCCCAGGTTGGAGTGCAGTGGTGCAATCTTGGCTCATTGCAACCTCAGCCTCCTGTTTTCAAGTGATTCTTCTGACTCAGCCTCCCAGGTAGCTGGGATTACAGGCATGTGCCACCGTGCCCGGCTAATTTTTGTATTTTTAGTAGAGATGGGGGTTTCACCATGTTGGCCAGGATGGTCTCGAACTCCTGACCTGAAGTGATCCACCCGCCTCGGCCTCCCAAAGTGCTGGGATTACCGGTGTGAGCCACTGTGCCAGGCTCTGATGTTGATATTTTTCTGTTACAGTCCTTAGCCCAGGCATCCTGTAGCACTCTGTGTCCCAGACTTTTTGATGCAGAAACAAGACTGAAGGAAGATTGTCCAATATAGGAAAGATTCAACTTTTCCTCTATGTGTTTGTCCGCTGGTATTCCTATGAGGCATTTGAGTTACAGGTAGCAGCACATCAGCAAATGACTCCGCTCCCTCTCTCAGCACACATAGCCTAATTGTTACAGAACCCCGAAGGGACACCTGAATGTCCTTTCTTTCAAGGCAATATGTATGACACGCTTTCAAATCTCCTCCTGCCTACTCTGCTTACCTAAAGGGCAAGGGGAGAAAATCCAGCACTGACATAGAGTCTGTAGGTTGAATAAGGCAGCCAAGATTAGAGAGATGTAAGTGAAGAAACCCACTTTATCTGGCTTTGGAGAGAGCTAGTGACTTAAGGCAGGATGTTCATCTGTATCATGTTGACTGGGACAGTCCTGGTTGTTCCCAGTGCAGCTCCATTATCATCCATCTGGCAGTGGGGAGTCTCTGCTGCCCATGTGGTGCTGGCATATGCAGTTCTGCTCATGCTCCTAACGTGAATGCATAAAACACCCCTGCAGTGCCACAGCACTGCTATGAGTTCATGGAAGGCGTAGGTGAGGATACAAGGCAAGAGTGCTCTGGCACCAACACTTGGAGGGGCCACCTGAGCATAAGTTTTCTTAGAGGCTCAGAATTCAAATTGCTAATAGGCTCTTGGAGCAAAATTGCAAAGGACAGATAGGCTTGTTGGTGGCTTCTGTTTTCTTCGCTAACAATCCAGGTTAGTTCTGATTTCCTTCCTGGTCACTTAAAACACCTTAGTAAGTGTGTTAATTGACTTTTAGAGTTGCAAAGGGCTTTTTATTCCATTCAACCCCTGTTCAATTTACAGGTGAGGAAACTGAAATAAGGTACTTAAGTGACTTGCCTAAAGTCACGCAGCTGGCGAGAGGTAGGAGCAGGCTTTCTGACACACTCATCTGGCATTCTTGAGGCTATCCCTACAAATCCTCTTGACCTCTGGTAGAAATTCCACCTCCACCAAATATCTTTCTAAATACATTCATAGCTGGGTGGCTGGATATGGACTCTGAAGCAGAAGATGCTTCATGAAATATTTTTGGTTTATCTAATAACTTTGGTCCAAATACGTATACAGAACTATATACTGAGGTAGCATTACTGAATTTGCCATACGAAACATCTTCACTTTCATCCATCAGGTCAGAATTTGGGAGTCAAGTCACAGACTACTTAAATTGGGTCTTTTTCTTCTTAGACAAATTTATACGACTTTTTTACATTTTTGGCCATCTTCCTATTTAATTCTTTTATGCGATGAATGTATATTTCATGAGGCAATAATTAACCTTCACCAACTTGGCAGGTTGCTTTGTTAGTCAATTATAAGGCTAACAAAATATAAAGGTCATGACTTTGGGAGAAGAAATGCCTTGTGACTCTAAGAGGTTCAGTGACTGCTGATCTACACTTTAGGACTTGTATGATCACCCCCTTTTTATACTAGAATTTAGGCTGTTTGGAGTTGACTTTTACTATTTCAGCTATCAGAATGATGCAGCATTGAATTCCTCCCAAGTGGCTAATCTAGTACGAATACATTAGCAACCCAAATCAGCCTATAAGGAATCAAGTTAAATGATCTTATACTCATGTCCTTTTTTCTACACTTGGGATTTTCACGCAAAAATAAAGACTGACTTACTTGGTAATATTATGATTACAGAATTTGAGTTGCTTCTAAAAAATAATGCAGAGAGAAATACTGAAAATGATGAAGACTTTTTCAAATGTTATAATACGGTCATTTATAAATGACTATTTATATATGTCAGTTACATACATAGTGACAGTTATAGTAAAACACTAGGAACCTGTACTTAAAAAGAAAAAACAAAATCCTGTACACAAAACAAGCATACATATATAAGGATTTGAATCTATGTATATATATTTTACATTTTTCAACATTTGTGTTTTATTCCATTAACATAACCATTTACAGTTATTCCAGAAATTTCAGTCATACACAGTGCTCTTGAATCCAAAGAGTGGTCTAGTGTGTTGGCATTTTCATCAAGTACAGTCCTAGAAAATGTCAAGTTGAACAATAAGATATTGAGGCACATTGGTCACTGTGTATTCTGAATTCTTTAGTATGGTCAGAGGAAGTAGTTAATATATTTCATGTTGATTCTTTGGCTACTCTTGATTTTTGCTTTGGGTAACATCCTCATCCTGGGAACATTCATTACCACTTAATAGCAAGATAACATTAAAAAAAAATCCTTCATTGCCACATTTAATAGCATGTTTAAAAAGGCAGAGGTTGCAATGAGCTGAGAACGCACTACTGCACTCCAGCCTGGGTGACAGAGTGAGACACTGTCTCCAAAAAAAAAATGTTTAAAATGAGACCAAACCCTCATGGAGACATTTCTCTGTTCTATTAGAAACGCAATGGCATTCTCATAGATCCTCTTTCTTTTTTATGATCACTTGTCTAACCAGAGCTGCTATGTCAGGCCTGATGACTTCAATGGGCTCCTCTGGCTTCCAGAACTTCACAACTTGACCCTCAGGGTTGACAAGATACTTCCAAAAATTCCACCTTGGTTCCTTCTTTGAAGAATCTAAAATATCCAGAACATATTTTCATGAGCATAATTTTATTCTTTGTCAAGATTTTCACTTCTATTAGTATCTGCATAAATGATAACTTTAGTATCAAGTTCTAGGACTGTCATAATATAAAAAACAAAACACCCAAACGAAGTGAAACTCAAGGTTAGAGTAACCAGATTTCAATATACTTGATGACTTCACCTATGAGTCTACTCATCTAGTATGTGATCTTAGTATCAAGAAATGAAGCAAAGTAGGCTGGGAGCCGTGGCTCAGTCTGTAATCCCAGCACTTTGGGAGGCTGAGGCGGGTGGATCACCTAAGATCAGGAGTTTAAGACCAGCCTGCCCAACACGGTGAAACCCCATCTCTACTAAAAATACAAAAAATTAGCCGGGTGTGGTGGTGTGCACCTGTAATCCCAGCTACTCGGGAGGCTGAGACAGTAGAATCATTTGAACCTGGGAGGTGGAGGTTGCAGTGAGCTGAGACCACACCACTGCCCTCCAGCCTGGGGGACAAGAGTGAAACTCTGTGTCAAATAAAATTAAAAGCCAAAAAAAATGAAGCAAAGTTGTAATCCCAAATTGCTGGGATTACAGGTGTGTGCCACCACACCAGGCAAATTTTTGTATTTTGAGTAGAGATAGGGTTTTGGCCTCCCAAAGTGAATAATCACCTTATTTTGAAAAGCAATAACTTTTTTTTTGGCAGGGTCTCGCTGTGTTGCCCGGGATGGGCTTGAACTCCTGGGCACTAAAGTGATCCTCCTGTCTTGGCCTCCCAAAGTGCTGGGATTACATGCATGAGCTACCATGCCCAGCCATGATATCCTTTTGATAAATCTTAATTTATGTAAGAAATGTAGATTTTTTTTCTATTTATACCACTCAAGATTTATGTTCATTTTATTGACTAACATGAGGAAAAATATAATAATTATAACTAAAATTTATGAAGTGCTTACTATGTGCCAGATTAATGTACGCTCCGTGCTTCAAATTGATCCTCTCTTTTAATCTTACAGGGACCCTATGAGGTGGGTATTATTATCATCCCCGTTTTGCAGATGAGATAAATGGAAGCCTAGACACAAGGTCACGTGGCTAATGAGTGGTTGAGCCAGGATTGATATACGGGCCTTTTACTCCAGAGCTCATGCTCTTAACCTTTGGGCTCTATGATCCTTCCTATCTAAGTGGAATGACACCTTAACTCACTGTTACCTTTTTGATTACACAGGCTAAGAAGGGTTTTAGAAGGTTTGTAGTGATAAAGAGAAATAACCTATGAGCTATTGCACCCACGTATCTGGCTGCTGTAACTGAAGAATGATTAGTTCAATGGCATGTGCTTGGGCTTTTCTTTCCTCAGTGGACCTTCAAAATAAGAGGAATAAAGACCTCACTGTGGTTGCCATTTATGGCGTTAGGCATTATATCAACTTTCCCTAGAAATTAAATATAATGTTTTTAGAAGATTCTGACTTCACATTTATGTGAAATATTATAGATCACTATTTGGTTTGTTGGATTAGAAGCTTGATTGCCTGAGTGAGGTAATAGTTTGATCAAAACTCAACTTATTTACAGTGAAAATAGGACTGAAGATGTCATCAGAATAAGTTAGATGAGAGAACATTAGCTAATGTCCTTTATTTATTTATTTAAGATGCAGGCTTGCTCTGTCGCCCAGGCTGGAGTGCAGTAGCGCGATTTCAGCTCACTGCAACCTCTGCCTCTGGGTTCAAGCGATTCTCCTGCCTCAGCCTCCTGAATAGCTGGGATTACAGGTGCCCACCACCACACCTGGCTAATTTTTGTACTATTAATAGAGATGGGGTTTCACCATATTGGCCAGGCTAGTCTCTAACTCCTGACCTTAAGTGATCTGCCTGCCTCGGCCTCCTAAAGTGCTGGGATTACAGGCGTGAGCCACCGCGCCCGGCCTTTTTTTTTTTTTTTTTTTTTTTGACTAATATGGTTTAGAACAGTGTCTGGCACAGAGCAAGCAGTGTATAAGTACTTTATTTTTACTATTAACAGACTTAATTCCAAACAATCTTAAGAAGGCGGTACTATTGATAGCCCATTTTACAAATGAGAAACAGGCACAGAGAAGTTAAGAAGCCACATAGCAAAAACAAAAGAGCAGGGGTTTGAACCCAGGTAGCTTGAGGCCAAAGCCTATGCTGTCTGTATGCCTCATGACCTTTGTGCTAAGTGACCTTGGCAAGTCTTTAAACAGATTTCTGTAGCTAGCTTAATTGGAGAAATAGCCTAACACTACTGCCCTCTGAAAAAACCAAGTTATATGTTTTTGGATTTTAGCAAAAATCTGGTAAGCTGACATATTCATCTTTGAGAATATTGTTTCAGATAAGAAAGACAACATAAAATTAGCCACAAACATATGTTAACTAATAATGCCCAGCACTATTCATGAGAGCTGTGTGGCTATAATGACGGGAAGGGACATTTCTCCAGATGCTAGTTACAAGAGAGGAGAATTAAGATATTTTGTGAAAATAGCCATGGGCACACTTTAAGTAAATTCTTCAGGAAGATGGTAATAAGGAATAAAATATATTGGAATAGAATTCTTTTACCATCTAAGAAGCTAAAACATTGATTTCAGGGGAGCATAACTCCTAGAAGTTACAAAGGATGAGATTCTGGCTCTTTGATGATAGTTTTATGAAGCTTTCCCGATACAACGTTTCAAATGAAATAGGAAAGTATTGTCCTGGTATAATTGTTTAAAAATGAAAAGCAATTTAAAACAGCATATGCAAGGCAGATATTTACCAACAAGAAATCTAAATGCAGGTTCTCCTTCAGATCCTAGAATCTTAATCTTGTGGAAGATGGGGAAAGTTACTCCGTAGTTTTTTCTTGCAAAAGATTCTACTTCCTTGCTTGGGCGGGGCTCCGATTCTCCAAACTGATTGCAGGGAAAAGCCAACACGCTGAAGTGGGATGGTCCAAACTCTTTGTGCAGTTCCTTCAGCCCTAAGTAATTTCTGTCTGTGAGTTGGCAGTCACTGGCCACGTTTACAACTAGTGAAACCTCCCGGAAAAAGAAAAAAATCCAACCGGAAAGTGAAGCAAAAGATTTTAAAAAATTCTGCAAGTAGTTAAAATCCTAAACAATTTGGGGGGGACTATAACCTCTGATTGATGTTTTTTTCATATTTTTGGACATACACAGTTCTATTGAAAACTGTAACCTAGATGCCTGGGTTAAGGCCCTGAAATAGTACTGCCATTAAAAAAGCATTAGATACTCATGAAAGTTTATTTTTAAATTAAAGATAAAACTATGATCCTTGATAAGTTCTTTTTAAAGTTATTAGATTATAGAACCAATACTTTTATTAATAAATGTCATCATGTTCACATTACTAACTATAAGTATTTTCCAAACAACTTTACATGTCAATTCAGCACAAAATTAAAGCATTTTAAAGAAAACGAGATAATCGGAATTTATTATTTAGAAGCAAACTATCAGAACTGTAATAACTAAAGTGATGTACTAATACCATTACTCTGAAGACTAAATTCCAACTTATGACCATGTAACAGCAAAAAATTGATTTTATTAAGAGGAATAAACAGAGACAAGGAAAAATGATAACAATAAAAATCAGATGATGCAACTTACTTTGCCTTTATACTTTTCCAGAGAAACAGTTCTTCCTTTTGCATCCTTCACTTCAAAGGCATAAAAGCTGTTGATTTTAGGTTTGAGGAATTTTAGTTGTAGAAGAAATAGCGTTACTGTGCATAGAACTATAGACAGCAAAACTGCAAATACCTTTGCTCTGGGCCCGGAACATTTTAGCGGGTAAGCTGCAAGAGGCTCCATGTTGGAGGATTCTAGAGGGAAGTCTCAGCAGCCTGGAATTCAAGGAGGAGCTGAAACTTGAAACCGGCTTAGTTTAACGGAAAACCAGGAAGGACAGGCTGACTGCTTTCACTGCTAAGGAACAGAAAGACCACTTCTCAGAGGGGAAATGAAGCGAAACTCCTGAATGAAGCAAGGAGCTCTACAGAATTTCAAAGTATTTGTGATGTAATTATAATTTTTGCTAGAAAAATCAGGACATTTTTGGTAGGTCTTTGACATTCTCCCTACAAAGAAAATATTTCGCCAGAAGATGGTGCTCTTGTAACTCGAAAGCTACGGAGGGCTCATTCCCCATGCTAAGCTGTGTATTTATTGAGCAACTGTTTGGATGCAGAGGATGGAGTACGATGCTCAGCAATAGTTTAGAATGTAGATTAAATGTGACCTACTCATATGGTGTATACCCTGAAGGACGTTACTATTACATGTATGGGTTAAACATGCTATATGAGTTCAGGAAATTTATAGTGGAAAGAGCAGGGAAATATCTGAAAAAGGCTATTTACCCTGATTCATCTAGCTAAGGCAATCAAATACCAAGTGAATACAGTCAAAATAAATATGTTAAAAACAGTGAAGGTGTTAAAAGAAACCCTTCTCTATCATAGAGCAAACTATAGTCCAGTGTTTTTCAAATTTCTACTCATGACCCCCAGTCAGCAGTGCACTTTACAACATAACTGGGTACAAACAACACACAACTGAGAAACAACACTTCTCCTTTGAACTGTGATGCACCCCCACCTGTTGCATTTTTAAACAACCCAGTTCTGACCTATCAAAATGATTTCATCATTCACCGATGCACTACAACCTGTAGATGGAAAAAACTGAGGCCGGGCATGGTGGCTCACGCCTGTAATCCCAGCACTTTGGGAGGCCTAGATGGGAGGATCACTTGAGCCCATGAGTTCAAGACCAACTTGGGCAAGAAAGCGATACCCCTGTCTCTAAAAAAGAATTTTAATTAGCTGGTTGTGGTGGTGCATGGCTGTGGTCCCAGTTATACAGGTGGCAAAGGTGGGAGGATCGCTTGATCCCAGGAGGTTGAGGCTGCAGTGAGTCGTGTTTGTAGACTGCAGCCTGGGTGACAGAGTGAGACTATCTTAAAATCAGAACAAAAGAAGAAGAGGGAAAAAAGCAAAAATTGAACTCGATAATAAAGTAGTAATTTAACAGTTAAATAAGGCAATTCTACCAAAAAAAATCCCTGAAAACAAACAAACCCTGCAAAACCCACCTCTACTTGGGCACGTCATCTAATTGCTTCGTTTTTTCTCTTTATTTCCCTCCCCTGGCTGTTGCCTGGCACAGGGGGCCTAACTTTGCTGTTGCTAACGGTCATGAATTTTAGGGGTAGGTATGGGGAGGCAATTGAGGGCTGTATATCCTAAAAGCCATTCACTTTCAATTCTGCTCTGTTTAAGACTCATGGCAAGATCTGGATGAAGGGGCATTATGCCATTTGATCATGATGTGTTTCCAGAAAGTGCAGGGAATGAGCTGAGATGTTTGTGGAGTGCCCTTCCTGTCACTGTTAGCTTGTGGAGCTTCAGAGAGGGTGCTCAGGGTGCTGCCTGCTCTTCTGGTTCCCGCTCTGTGGCATGTGTGTTTTCGGGTGGCTGAGCAAAGCCCATAGCCTACTGTGTAAAACTTGTGAGAGGAACCGCTCGACTCCTACTCTCATGGCTCAGTAAGAATGGATACAGTAGAAAAAGCAATGATTATGCAGAAAGTATTCCCTTTTAAACATAATTCCTAGTAAAGAACAAAAATGTATGTAAGATGTGTTGTATCACTTCCTGATAATTTTACTTTGGTGTTCTCTGGCTGAATTGTTTAAAAAGTCAAAGTCCCTGTGTTTATATGACATGAACACTGCTATGTTGCTTAAGCTCTCTGGCCTTGCTCTCTAAGTGGGATCTGGGACCTTCCACAGTACCATCACCTGGGCATTTGTTAGAAACACAGCATTTTGGGCCCCACCCCAGACTTCCCGAGTCAGAATCTGTACTTTTACAGGATCTCCTCATGACACATACACACGTTTAAGTTTGAGAACCTTTAGACCTCAAACTTTTTTTGGTTTCAGAGCAACAAGAGTCTTTGGTTTGTCTTTGTTTTCCATAGTGGATGTGTTCATGTCTCTATGAATACACGAGATATTTTAACTCCTCAGGCTGTACAAGCAAATGGCTTAGGAACATGCATTTTAAAATTAATTCATAGAATACCTGCTGTAATTTGAGCCGTGTAAACCCAAGTCATTATAACTGTGTTTTGAGGTGGAAAGAGAGTGATTTATCTTTGGCAGGGATGTTGACTGACCACCGCTTAGGCAGGGCCCCCTAGGGTGATATTATTTTGATAAAATCACTGTGATAGTTTCTAGTCCATTGTATTATAAGTACAGAAACTCTTATCAAGTGATCCAGAGATGAATGGATTTGAAAATGCCAAAATTATGCTGTTACAAACTTGCTTGTGATTGCTGAATAAGCCAGTTTTTACACCAGAAATAAAACATTATGCAGGCCTGATGTTGAGGTTGGTTTCACCACAAAATTCCATATTATATGAATACAACTTTGAAAACTTACGTGTATATCTCCTGTCAAGGATGAAATCAGAGCCAGTTTGTTAATTTAATGTTCCTAAGGCTTAAGAGCTTCAAATAATGAAGGCATGATATATAAATTTTCATACTGACCCATTAACCAAACATTCAGACAGCACTTTGGAGAACTTGTGCGCTGGACAGCATTGGATGAACACAGATTTTGGCCCTGTCACACCTCTTCTTTGTTGTTTTGGCAGTCTTTCTCTGCACACATTTTGATGTCATCATCTCTCAGCCTTCTGGGGATCCACCATTATTGTTTTCATGTTCTGTCTATACTAACTCTATTCTCAGACTATACATATATCAAAATGGCACATTTCTCTGCATAAGGGGTAGTATGTTAGAAAAACCACCAGCGCTCTTTCAGTAAATGAAGGAAGGCTTCTATAGGAGGAGAAGAGATTGATGAGTTCATGATGAAGGCAAGAGGAAGCTACTGGGTCAAGAAGGGCATAAAGTAGTTGACTCAGTTATCAACCAACTCAAGCACTGGAAAGGATACAAATAAGGTGCAAGGGAAGGAGCCAGCCTCATGCAACTGTAAAAGCAATTTTGGAAATATGAGAACACACAAGAAACGGAAGGATTACAAGGCAGTAAATAACTGAGTGCTAAATAAATGACTTATTTTTTTATTTATTATTATTATTTTTTGAGACAGAATCTCACTCTGTCGGCTAGACTGGAGTGCAGTGGTGCAACCTCGGCTCACTGCAACCTCCATCTCTTGGGTTTGAGTGATTCTCCGGCCTCAGCCTCCCGAGTAGCTGGGACTACAGGCACGCGCCAAAATGCCCGGCTAATTTTTGTATTTTTAGTAGTGATGGGGTTTCACCATATTAGTCAGGCTGGTCATGAACTCCTGATCTCGTGAGCTGCCCGCCTCGGCCTCACAAAGTGCTGGGATTACAGGCATGAGCCACCATGCCTGGCCAGTGACTTATGTTTTTAGAGAGCTTTATACTGCACACAATCTTCTTTAGTAGACACATTACCTTCTTCACAGTAATTCTTTGAAATAGGGAGCAGTTAACTCAGCCAAGATCACAGAATTAGTGAATGGAACAATGAAGAATAGAGTTTTGAACTTTCGACTTCATAACCAAAATTATTTCAACTTCATGAAACTGTTTCTGTGTAATAGGTGAATAAATTTATTTAGAAGAAAACATTGTAGGTGAGATGGCTGTAGTACTCTGGTGGAGGGGTCATATGGTTTGGCTGTGTCCCCACCCAAATCTCACCTTGAATTGTAATAATCCCCACATATGAAGGGTGGGGCCAGATGGAGATAACTAAATCATGGGGGTAGTTACCCCTATACTGTTCTTGTGGTAGTGAATAAGTCTCACGAGATCTGATGGTTTTATAAATGGGAGTTCTTCAGCACAAGCTTTTGCCTGCTGCCATGTAAGACATGCCTTTGCTCCTCATTCACCTTCTGCCATGATTGTGAGGACTCCCTAGCCATGTGGAACTGTGAGTCCATTAAATCTCTTTCCTTTATAAATTACCCAGCCTCAGGTATGTCTTTATTAGCAGCATGAGAACAGACTAATACAAGGGGTTTCATTCGTGAGGAGGCATTTTGTTTTATAAGAAATCACTGTATAAGCGCCCAGAAAGGGGAAGGCATGGAGAACACCACCAAAAGGCTTTTCTGTGTGTACTGAAGTTATCTGGAAGGGGCCACGGGAGGTCTGCAGAGCAGCAGGTCCAGATGATAGGCGAAGAGTCTTAGTGAAGGTAGCCTTGGCCAGCATGATGGAAGGAAGGGGGTGGGTGCTAAAGATGCTCTGTAGACCCTGCGGGCAGCTGCTGGCGATAGAGATAAAGGATGATGTTTACCTGAAAATGACCTTGACAGTGTGTGGGTCATATTGCCTACTAGGATGGGAGGGCGTTGAAAGTTCAAACATGAGACGATGAACATTTTGGTCTTCATGACTAATTTGAAATAGTATTGAGACCCTACATTTGAAACATCTTGTGGACAGAATGCTGCTGCATTGGGCTGGTGGTGGGTGGGAGCGGCACACACTCAGAGGTTAAGGAACGGGGTTGGGGTATGCTTCAGAGCTACCTGGGCTGTCTTTGCTACTTTTATCTTTCTCTTGAGGTTCTAGCAAGACTAGCATCGCCAGCAGGTCTTTTCTGGGATGTCTAGGTTTTTCCAACCCACTGGATATTTGTGTGTCAAATTATTTGTCAGTAGACATATTTGTTTCTATTTTCTCAGTTGTTTCATTCTGCTACTTCCTGACCTTATTTTTAACCCCTCTGGGTCCTTTTCTAATTATTTTTGGCACTGGTGCTCTGAATTCCTCCTGGTTTAATGTCACTATGATGTGAACTCTACAGGTAAACAAGCTGAACTGATGTGCTTGGAGTACCGAGTCATTCATCCCTTTTCCCTTCTTTGTCTTACTTTTCTTATCTTCCTCTTCCTTTCTATTAATAAATACTTGAGTCATTCAAAACTATGCGACAGGCATTTCCTTGGCAGGAGATAGATCCTGGAACAGAAGTTTAAAAATACTGAAGATGAAATAGCACAATCTGCAGCAGTGTTTCCTTCACTGCAGTCATTGAAGGAGTACCACCTCTGTGATTTTGCCATATCTGTATATCGTTTATTTGCTTAACATTTTAATACTCATACTAACAAATGAGTATTTAAATACAATTTATTTTTCTAAAATTAATTTTTCTAAGGAAAACTTTACATCAAACCTGAAAAATTATAAAATGACATTAAATACATAATTATTAGTGTTCATCTATACCACTATGAACCATATGTCCCTAGTGCAGGGACTGAGAGAATTTTACTTTATATTCAAACTGTGCTCTCTTTCAAAGTTCTCTGAATTGAATCTACCCCTTCATGGGTCCTGGTTGTATCACAGGGAGCAATATAAAGTAAGTTTTTCTTTTATTCATAAATTGCATCCCTTTAAATATTTGAAGACAGTTCCTTTTGGGTTTTCCTCTTTTTTCTTTTTTCTTGGGAGACACGGTCTCACTCTGTCACCCAGGCTGCAGTGCAGTGGCATGATCATGGCTCACTGCAGCGTCGACCTCCCAGGATCAAGCAATCCTCCCACCTTAGCCTCCCAAGTAGCTGGGCCACAGGTGCGTGCCACCATGCCCAGCTAGTTTTTTGATTTTTATTTTAGAGATGGGGTCTCACTTGCCCAGCCTGGTCTGGAACTCCTGGCCTCAAGTGATTCCCCCTCTGCACTGGCCCCCCAAAATGCTTAGAGTACAGGTGTAAGCCACTGCGCCAGACCCTTTTGAATCTTCTTTCTCCTAGACTAAGCACCCCAGGTTTCCACCCTTGGATGTGCTGGGGTGTTGTCCCATTACGGTGTTTACCTTGACCCCTGTCACTGTGGTCTCTTTCCTCCAAATGAACTCAGGGTTCGAATCCTGACTTGTCCATCTCCCTTCTTGAAGAACAGTTCTGGGACTGGACGTGGTTCTCCAGATGTGTTCTGAGCGGTGCAGAGACACAGAGTTTAGATTGCTCCTGTTCTGGACACTATTTTTCTGTTAATGGGACCTAAAATCGTACTGATTTTTTACAATAATTTCACCATACTGTTTGCTCATATTGTAGTGGGGTCTGCCTAACACTGCCAATCTTTTTCACTGCATGTTGATTCTCTTCCATCTTATGCCTGTGCAATGAAGAAAAAAAATCTAAATAAGAATATTGTTCATGCAACTTTATTGAATTAAATTTTGCTGCTTTGGCCCTTGTCCCAGA
Organism: Homo sapiens; assembly: GCF_000001405.40. Taxonomy (NCBI): domain Eukaryota; kingdom Metazoa; phylum Chordata; class Mammalia; order Primates; family Hominidae; genus Homo; species Homo sapiens. The sequence continues at coordinate 55,153,755 of NC_000005.10, read as the reverse complement.
CTTTATTCTGAATTCTATTCTGTCCTTTAGTATTTTAACTATATTTTCAGCTTAGAGTAATCAACAATTTTGATAAATAAATCTCCATTCAAGCTGCTGATAACAAGTTGAATAGCAGAAGGCCAGAGACTAAACCTTCAGTCCACCCCGGGGGGATTTATTCAGGCTAACGTGGATCTGCTGACTTGTGCCATCTAGGACACTGGCAGCAAATTTATTACTAGTTACTTGCTTCTCCTATTGGAGAACCATGAAAAATAATACATATATCTATCAGGGGGCATGTATTTTTCTTATTTGTCATGTTTTGCTCATAGATCACTAACAAGTATTGGTTCTGAAAGTGCTGTCATTACTCTGGGTTTTATTTATTTGGCCCTACAGACTTGAACTTGTTTTAAAAGCCCAGATACACTTTTGTTGTTTCATTTATCTCATTCTCTAATTTCTGCAGAAATGTTTATTTTACTCTGTACAATTTGAAAATTGTTCTTTTTTTTTTTTTTTTTTTTTTTATGAGACAAGGTCTGGCTATATCGCCCAGGTTGGAGAGCAGTAGCACGATCTTGGCTCACTGCAACCTCTGCCTTCTGGGCTCAAGCCATCCTCCCACCTCAGTCTCCTGAGCAGCTGGGACTATAGGCACACACCACCGTGCCCAGCTAATTTTTGTATTTTTTGTTCAGATGGGGTTTCGCCACATTGTCGAGGCTGGTCTTGAACTCCTGAGCTCAAGCCATCCACCTGCCTTGGCCTCCCCAAGTGCTGGGATTATAAGCGTGAGCCACCGTGCCTGCCCTGAGAATTGTTCTCCTTAATGGAGAAGGATGAAAACAGCTTATTTCCTTGCCTCTGGATTCTTTCTCAAATGCCTTGTGCCTTTTTAGTACTAACTGCCTCTAGGGGAAGAGATTCATCTATTTATTCATTATGGGGTTTCTAGATACCAATGTCCCGAGGATAGTAAGATAAAAGACAAAGTCCCTGGTCTTAAGGAGTGTATGATATAGCAGGAGAGAAAGTAAAAAAGTGGAATATGAGCAGACCTGCTTTTTAGCATAGGGATTAGACTAGATTGATTTGTCAGAGTTCAAACTGTGGCAGGGTTGCTCTGGTTGGTTGTGAGGGTTGTGCACTGCATATTCCAGAGGGTGCCATTCATAGAGACAATGATCTATACAGCTGTATGTAGTGTACAGCTGCCTATTAGCTCTATATCCTTGCTAAAATTACCTAACCCCATTAAGATTTGTCTTCCAACTCTGTATTCTGAAATAATACTAGTACCTATTTCAGAGGGTTGTGATGAAACTAAAATAGACACTCCCTCCGATTCATATATCCCAGGGCTTGGCACGGATTAAGTGTTTGGTAAATGTTATTAGCACAAGGTGGTCATGCTGGAGCATGCACAGTGAGTGTGGAAGCACAGGGCTGAGTATTTGTTCCCTAGGGCTGCTGCAACAAATTACCAGAAACTTTGTAGCTTAGACACACATATTCTCTTCTAGTTACGGAGGCCAGAGGTCCAAACTCAGTTTCATTGGGCAGAAGCTGGGGTGTCAGCAGGGCCTGGCCTCCTCCAGAGGCTCTAGTGGAGAATCCATTCCTTGCCTCTTCTGGTTTCTGGTGACTGCCAGCATTTCTTGGCCTGTGGCCCTATCACTCCGGTCACTGCCTCTTTGGTCACATTGCTGCTCCTTTTCTGTGTGCAGTCACATCTCCCTCTGCCTTCCTCTTACAGGGATACATGTGATTGCATTTAGGGCTCATCCTGACAATTCACAATAGTCTCCTCACCTCAACTTAACTTCATCCTGAACTTACATCTGCATAGCCCCTTTGCCATATGAAGTAACATTTATAGGTTCCAGGGGTTAGGATCTGGATCTCTCTAGGGACCATTATTTAGCTACCATTGGCTGCCTAATCTAGTTTGGAATCGGGAGGAAGGGAATGTCAGAGACACCTTCCTGAAGGAGTTGATGGCTGAACCCAGAAGTGAAGGTGGCTGGGATTTACCCTGGCAGAAAACTGGGGATGAACATCCTAAGTGGGAAACATTTGGGGTGGACAGAGTGACGGTAGACGAATCACAGAAACTCAGACCTGCTAAGGCGGTAGGATATTGTTAACGTGCAACTTCTCATGTTGTTTTCGCAGACATAGCTGACATAGCATCCAATTATTATTCTTTAATTTCCTCTTTTAAACCCAGAATTTTAAAAATGTATATTTAAAGTTTAGAATTTCTTTGGAATTTTGCTCTAAGGAAACTTTTGAGCAAGTGTCTCTGTCCTCTGCCATGTTTTCTGCAAACTAAGTTTATCTTCCAATGCGGTGTCTCCTCCCTTTCTTGGTACCTGTGAGGGTAAGGGCTACCTGGACATAGTGGAGCCGTTGCAAATGTAGCCCACTGAATGTGGCCCACAGACATGCTCTGTTGAGTCCTCCAGTCTTTTTGAAAAATTAGAATCAGTTGAACACTTTAAAAAGTGGGAAAATTCATATGAAAAGTCTAAATTTCTAATATCTTTTATGAAATGAGACGATGTGTCTCAATGTGTTCTTGCTGTGGCTAAAACACAAGCATTAAAGTTTGAGAGATTCCCTCAGTTTCTGGGGCTGAGACCCCAAAGCCTCTGAGCTGGTACTGCGGTTTTTTTCTTAGCGGAGAGAAATAAAAAAGTGGGGAAATGAAAGTTCGAGTGGCCCTGTGAGGGGCCTCATACTTGTAATCCTAGCACTTTTGGGGGCTTAGGTGGGAGTATTGCTTGAGCCCAGGAGTTAAAGACCAGCCTGGGCAACATGGTGAAACCCCGTCTCTCCAAAAAACACAAAAATTAGCCAGGTGTGGTGGTGCACACCTGTAGTCCCAGCTACTGGTGAGCTTGAGGCAGGAGGATCGCTTGAGCTCTGGGAGGTCGAGACTGCGGTGAGCCATGATTGTGCCGCTGCACTCCAGCCTAGGTGACAGAGTGAGACTGCCTCAAAATAACAAAGCAAAACAAAAAAGAAGGCCAGAGTGGGCCATGCTTCTCATCCAGGCTGGCATTACTCATCACCTTACCTGCTGCCCCCTAGTCAAGGTTTCTGAGATTGAGATGCCTGATTGACATGTACAGCCTCTTTTCATCCTTCCCATTCCTACTCAAAAACCAAGAACTACAAGACAGAAAAACTGACCCCCAACAACACTTTACAACAGCTGTGGCCTCAGCCTCTTGGCTCCTGTCTTCTGCGAAAGAAGTTCTCTTTGGTCAGCTGGTGGGGAGAGCACAGAGCAGCAGTGGAGAGAGAGCCGGCCTCGCCCCCTGGGGGCTGCAGGCAGGGTGGGCCAGCACCCTCACACACGCTTAGTAAAAAACCCAAACTGAACCAATGCTTACTGCTTCAACATTCTAGCATATTCCCTTCCTATCTTTCATTTAGAGCTAGGAAGTAGGACTGTATTGGAATACTCTTTTATAGTCCCTGTTTTACAGCTAGCAATATATTGTAAGCATTTGCATGTTTTATTCACTATTATCCTATGTTACCATTTTTAAAAAGATTTCTTTTATTGAAGTGAAATGCACATATTTAAAAAAACCTTTATTTTTTAATTTTTTATTTATTTTTTTGAGACGGGGTTTCACTCTTGTTGCCCAGGCTGGAGTGCAATGGTGCGATCTCGGCTCACTGCAACCTCTGCCTCCTGGGTTCAAGCGATTCTCTTGTCAGCCTCCCAAGTAGCTGGGATTACAGGCACATGCCACCACGGCTGGCTAATTTTTGTATTTTTAGTAGAGATGGGGTTTCATCATATTGGTCAGGCTGGTCTTGAACTCCTGACCTCAGGTGATTAACTCACCTCAGTCTCCCAAAGTGTTGGGATTACAGGTGTGAGCCACTGCACCTGGCCAAAAATAACCTTTTAAGTCACCAATTCAGTGGTCTTTAGTGTATTTCCAATGTTCTGGAACCACCACTTCTCTCTTGTTCCAAAATGTTTTCATCACCTCAAAAGAAAACTCCATACCCATTAAGCAGTTGCTCCCCATTTCCTCCTCCCCTAATCCCTGACAATGACCAATCTGTGTTCTCCGCCTATGGATTTTCCTGTGCTGACTATTTCATATAGATGGAATCACACAATATGTGACCTTTCCTGTCTGGCTTCTTTCACTTAGCATAATGCTTTCAAGGCTTATGCAGATTATGACATGTATCAGCAACTCATTCCTCTTGGGAGTGATATGTAGATCACTTGCATATGTAGATACGTCCCATGATTTGTTTATGCATTCATCTGTTGATGAGTGTTTGGGTTGTCTGCACCTTCTTATTGTGATTAGTGCTACTATGAACATATGTGCACATGAATTTGAGTTTGAGTACATATACCTATGAGTGGACTTGCTTGGTCATGTGGTAATTCTAGGTTTATCTTTTTGAGGTATCACCAAACTAATCTTCCACAATGACTGCATCCTTTCACATTCTGTACACTTGCAATGTACAAAGATTCCAGTTTCTTCGCATCCTTACCAATGCTTATTAGTTTCCATTAAAAAAATTCTAGCCATCCTCGTGGGTGTGAAGTGGTGCTTTGGTGTGGTTTAGTTTACATTTCCCTAATGTATGTCATTTCTGATGGCAGCAGAGCAGTCCCTCTTAGAGATGTCCTGTTAGTTTGCCTAGTCAGTTCTCCACTGGTAAACACTTAGTCTCTGTCTCACATCTTTTTGTACTTACAAACATGTAAAATGCAGTACACACCCTCATGTTCTCAGTTGAGAGCCTGGACTCTGGGGTCAGACAGGTGAGCCTCAGGTGTGGCATCGCCACTTACTGTGTAGTCTTGGACAATTCACTTGACCTCTAAGCCTCAGTTTCTTCACTGATAAAATGGGCGTAAATAAGATCTGCTTCACAGATGTTTCTTAGGATTAAATACAAACGTGTAAAACCCTGTACATATGGTTTCATACATAGTAACTACTCAATAAATGCTGGATGTTTTCTCCATCTTGGCTCATATCTTAGATTTCTTTTTTCTTTTTTTGTTTTTATTTTGAGACAGGGTCTCACTTTGTCGCCCAGGCTGGAGTGCAGCAGCGCCAATGCGGCTCACTGCAGCAAGCAATCCTCCTGCCTCAGCCCCATCAAGTAGCTAGGACTACAAGTACACACCACCACGCTCAACTCATTCTTGTATTTTTTGTAGAGACAGGGTTTTGTCTTGTTGCCCAGGCTGGTCCCGAACACCTGGGCTCAAGCAATCTGCCTGCCTCAGCCTCACAAAGAGCTACGATTTCAAGCATGAGCCGCCACGGCCGGCTGATTTCTTTTTTAAATTCTTAGAGGTGATATTGCTGGGTCAGTAGAAGTTATGCACATATATGAAGGCTTTTGACGCACATTGTCCAAAAGTCCTTTCCAGATACTAATTTAACCTCCACAGCAGTGTATGCCAGTGTTTGTTTTTGGCACCTTCAACACCAGGGATTGTCACAAAAAAATTATTGCTAACATCTCATTGCTGTTTTAAATTTGCATTTCTTTGATTGCTAGTGAGATTAAATATCTTTTGGGCATTTATATATCTCTTTTATGAATTGTCTTTTTAATGTCCTATGGCCCAGTTTTTCTGTTGAGTTGGTAAACTTGTCAATTTCTATAAGAGCTCTTTATGACTAGGATTTTAATCTAAATTGTCTGTCATTTTATTAAAAGATAATTCCAGTTTGTCACTTGCATTTTAATTTCACATGGCTACATGGGATGGTTCACTACTACAGGCTCTATAAATATCAAACTCCTGGTGTTTCTTAGAGAAGATGGACAGATGTTGAGCAAATCACTTACTTTCTCTAGGCCTCAGCTTCCCCATCTGTGAAATGAAGGGTTTGGACTAGAAAATTGCTGTTTATATCCAGATTTGAAATTTTATCATTTCATACAAACATCTTGCATGTTCAGTACATAGTGTTATATCATATGTCATATTTTACACTGATATGTAATGGTAATATTTATAAATGTAATTACTCCCTAAACTACATTGGTATACCTACAGACCCTTGAGCAGAGGCTCTAAGTAAGTAGTGGCATTTTGGTGTTTTTTAGATAGAAGAAATATATATCTATTTTACATATAAAATAATATATTTCACATATAAACATAAAAAAATAACATTTTACACATAAATACATATAAAAATGTAACAGTTTACACATAAATATATAAAAATACGTAACATTTTTATATATAAATACATATAAAATAACATGTTTTATAAATATAAACATAAAATATAACTTTTGTATATAAATATCAATATAAAAATATATAAAATATAACATATTTTATATATAAATATAAATATATAAAACATAACATACTTATGTTTATATAATATATAAATATATAAAACAACATACTTATGTTTATATAATATATAAATATATAAAACATAACATATTTATGTTTATATAATATATAAATATATAAAACATAACATATTTATGTTTATATAATATATAAATATATAAAACATAACATATTTATGTTTATATAATATATAAATATATAAAACAACATATTTATGTTTATATAATATATAAATATATAAAACAACATATTTATGTTTATATAATATATAAATATATAAAACATAACATATTTATGTTTATATAATATGTAACTATAAAATATAACATTTTACGTATAACTATATACAAAAATATATACAAATATATAAAATAATATCTAGGTTACAAAAATTAAAAAAATCTCATTATATATATTTTATTGGTGTTGTACTAGATGAGTCATTTGTAATTCTCTTATAGGGAATTTTTACTTTTGCATCACTGAGGCCAGTGGACTTACAGCTGTTTTTGTTGTTAAACAGGTACTCGATTCAGTTAATGCTACGTATTCTGACTTTAAGAGCAACTTTGCGAAGAGGCTGTCCGCAGAGGTTCCTGTTGCGAGTAGCCCCATTACCACAAGGTGGCAGCAAAGTCAAACTAGGGCTCTGTCCTCTGATTCCTTTGGGGAAGAGCAGTCAACCACCTACCTCCCAGAAGCTTCCGGATCAGTGCTGAAGACACCGCCTGAGAAAGAGACCTTGACTCTAGGTGAGGTGCCCCAAACGCCACAGCCCCGTTTTGCAACGTGAATAAAAGATATATTCCTGAGAGAATCTTTGTCTTGTAGAACTAAGGAGTGTCACTTTGAGTCAACTCTTTTCTCTTTTTCTCCCTTTGAATAAGAAATTTCCAAGGTGGGGAGAAATGACACAAAAACAAAGGAAAGGTACTGTATGTGTTTAAAAACAAAAACAAAAACAAAACTTTAGACAAATTAAATTTTACAAAGTTAATTGTGCAAAGAACCGTTGGCCAATGGGCAACCAGAGAGCCACTCCATGTGGGGGCGGGCAGCATTTATGGATAGGAATTGGAAGTGCGTAGGAGCCGGCCTGATTGGCTACAGCTCAGTTCGCCTTATTTGCACGTGGTCTGATTAGTTGGCCGCCTGTGATTGACTGAAGCTCAGCTTCTGTGATTGGCGGAGACTCAGCTAAGTTAGGCTTTCAGTTAGTTTACATCCCAAGTTAGGTTGCAGTTTGAGATGTAGGGACTCATCCTACATCCTCAGGCAAAATTTAGCTTAATTTTAATATGTTTTTGAGACTTGCATTGGTTAGATGATTACTTTTGTAAAGATTGTATGAATGTATATGTATATATGTATATGTACACATACACACATATATATGTGCTTTTGTTTTGCAAAGTATAGAATTTTAATGACTGGTAAGGTTACTGGTATACAGAGTCAGAAAAAATTATGCGTTAGTAATGGAATAATCAGATGTGAAATGGAAGAAAAAGACAGAAGCAGGAGAGAATGAGAGGAAGAGAAAGTAAGAGGAAGGAAGCAAGAGAGAGGGATGAGGGGATGGATGGGGGGAGAGAGACAAAGAGAAAGAGAGAAGAGAGGAGGAGACAGAGGAGGAGGAGGAGGAAGAAAGAAGAAAGAAGAACCTCCAAGAGTAGTAGGGAAGAAGAAGAGGGAAGGAAAGGAGAGTGAGAGACAGTCTGATGCCTATGTTGGGGCAGAGATGGGGGAGTGGGCTCCAAACCACCAGTGTGATGGGCAGGATCCATGATCAACCTGCCAGAGCCCCGAAACACAAACTCTCTTTCTGAAATATGTAATTCTCATTTGGGCACAGACATTTTCATTCCCATCCTTCAGAAGCAAAATTTGCCACCTATCATCAGCTGATGTAATTCCCATTCTTTCTTTTGAGAATCCTAGGCAACATAATTCTTTTGACTATCAGCGTATTTATTAAGACAAATGTTAATAGAAGTGCCAACTCTTTTCAATGACATCAGACATGATGATGCATTGCAGTTCTGCAGATTGAAAGGGAGCCCAGATTTTTTTCAAATCAATGAAATTCCCATGTAACGACAGGCTTTAATACTGAAAGTATTTAATAACCGAGGAGGGAAGCAGTAGGAGATAAAGGGTTGTGAAAAACATTGTTATGACTATCTTCTGAAAGAAATCTTTTGTATCTCATTGCAATTGAGGGACAGTTTTGATGCTGATTGTTTTTGGAAGAATTTCTGGCTAAAATTAGGGGCTCCCTTTTACTTTCTAGGTTCTTAATTAATTTATTGATTTTTTAAAAAAGTATGACATTGTGTGAGAAATTCAGAAATCAGATATTAACAAAAAGGATTTTACAAGAAAGACCATTTTATTTTCTACTGAAGTTAATACTAGGGATTAATCAGATCTACTGGTTTCTCAGTGCTTTGCTAGTGGGGTTTCTTTCTTTTTGTTTTAGAAGAGCAGATACTGAAGATCCTCCCATTCCAAAGGGACATTTACAGAGAGGTTCATTTTCAGTCATGCTCTGTGGACAGAACCTGAGAGGTCCCTTCTTTCTTAGGCTGATGGACCTGACCTCTTTGTATATAACTGTGATGATTGTCAGTACTAGCCTCTGACTGCAACTTTTTCTTTCTCATTTGAAGTTCTGAGAGCTGGCTTTTTCTCCCCTGTACACTTTTACAAATAGCACAAGAAAGCAAGCATGCATAATTTCTCAGGACAAAGAGCAAGATCTAAAACTTTGACCAGCATTTCATATTTTTATCCTTCTTCTCCCTAAATGTAATATATATTGCTTAAATTTTGAATGTCCCAGTACTTAAGGTACTAGGCTCTAGGAACATTAGTGAGAATTTATCAAGCTCATGGTTGTCCAAATGAAGAAGAGATTGTCACATGGCAAAAGGCTAAGATTTTCCAATGGTCCCTTGGCTCCTGTGATGAACAAGTGATATGGCAGATATTTAGTTTTAGAGAATGACTTGACAGGTTTCCAGGGCAGTTGAAAGTCTGGTAAAGGGCTTTCTCAATCTTGAGAAGAGAGTAGATAGGAATAATATTGATGCAAGTAACATTGACCCTTCTATTACTTTAACTTAGAAAGTATTTCACTGATGCCATCTTAAACTATCTTTAAAACATCTTTCTGCAATAGAAAGGGGGAGAGAGGCAAAGTGATTTGCTCATGATTATGTAGTGAATGTCAATGCTGGCAAAGCAAGCATCCCATAATGTTTTCCTTGCAGGATGACCATAGCTCGGGCAAACCAGATACTCTTTCCACTATCATTTAAAACTATGGAACTGTTTCTATCCATTCTTCAAATGTGCAAATCTGGTTTTTTTTTTTTTTTTTCCATACAGAGATAAAGCATTCACACTGCTGCTGCAGCAAATGAAGTCAGGTCTTTAATCTTGGCACCTCTTCCCTGCTCTAGAGGCCACTGAGACAGCTTTCTCATTGAGTGACAACCTTATGAAGTCAGCAGTCTGGATAGGATTCTGTACTGCTCTCTGCAATGGACTTTGGAGCGACGAGAGCCTGGGCTTTTTCACTCTGTCCTGCTCTCTGCAATGGACTTTGGAGTGACGAGAGCCTGGGCTTTTTCACTCTGTCCTTCTGTGAAAGATGCCACAGCCAGACCTACAATCAAAGTGATTATCTTGTTTTAAAAACCAAATTCAAAGATAAATGTCTTTCTTGTAGGATCCCGCAAAGAACAACTGAAGACCCCCAGCAAAGGAATTTCTGAAACAAGTAACTCTGCTCTCCATTTTTGCAAGGCACCTCATGCAATGGACAGAGACTGGAAAGAAAGTGTTGCCTCAAAAGGGCAGGTAGGTAAAGAGAAAAAAACTGAAGATCCCACATCTAGAGAAGCTGAGACAACTTAGTTGCAAATGTAAGGGAAGAGTTGCTTAGTTCTCTTACCAATCAATAAGAAAATGATGCATTCCTGATAAAAAATGAATAATTGAAGGATATGAATAGAGCCACTTTGTAAAAGAAAGAAGATATCCCCCAAATATATGAGAAAATGTTGAGTTGGGATTAATTAAAAAAGTGAAAATGAGAATAACTATTTTATCTTTACAAACAGGTAAAGGTTAAAAATATAATGAAATTATACTTATTACGGTATGCTTCCTCTTAGCCTAAGGATCTCTTGCTGTCATCATTTCCAACTATTTGATGATGTGATCTGTCCTTTGGGGTCTCTTAGGAAAAGTTGAATTATTGCTCTATATGATGGTCTTTTAAATATTTCCCTTAAGCCTTTCTTGTTGTTTGTTTTTTTCTTGGTTAAGTACATTTATTACATTTAGGTATCTTTTATTTATTATAGTTTTAAGATCTTAGGAGTCTGACGTAAATCTTTTGGGCACATTAAATATCAACAGCATGTTTTTGAATTTATCAAATCCAATGAAGAGTCTTTGAAGGAATCCATATTTCAGTTCGAAAGCTTTGAACTAGAAAAGTCATAAATTCTCAATTTAGGCAAAATTACTTATTCAGTGTATGCCTTTTTCTGTGCTTGGCTATTTTGCTAGAAGAATAATAAAATATTGTTCATATAAATTTTAGTTATCTGAACTCATATGCAATTGGAAGTGAATGTTTTAGAGCAGGTATTTTGATGTGTGCTTTATTGTTGGATATGGGTTTGGGGGATAGGGAATGGCCGGGGAGTCCTACTGAGATAATTAGGGTGCACTGGTGGCCTCAAACATGGGCCAGATTATTGACACTCCTGTGTTTTCCACCCTCTACTGCTGATTGGAGTTTTTGCTGCCCTACCCCTTAAGACTTCCTTTTCCTTCCTCTTATCCTTTCTGGTAACTGGTGGCAGCAAGGTTAGTGGCTCCATCTGTGGGCTCATGATGGTGTTGGCAAGATACTCCTTAGCAATTGTTATACCAGCTGGAACATCATCCCAGCATCACTGAAGAACCTGGGCAGGGGATAATGGAAGCTGTTCTATGGTGTTAAGGAGAGCATTTTTTGTCATGATTAGTTAGAAGTCAAATAGCATCGAGAGTGGTGAAGACTCAAAGCGAGGTCTTTCCCCTGTAGAGTAAACGTGTGTCTTCATGTGGTCCTCACTGATCATCTGGAGGGTGTTTCCACAACGAGGGCCTGCATAGCCGTGGAGACTTTCAGAATTCATCTTCCAGGAGCTCCATATTAAGTTGCTGATTAAAGTAGTAAGTCGATCTCATCTAGGAAAGAGCACCCCTGCACCCACAGAACAGAAGCGCCTGCTAAACCTTGCTGTGATCAGCTTTGTGGTAACTGTGGGATTCTAAAGAAGTGAGTCTGTGAAGAGTTCATTGAACTACTGATGAGCAGGCCATTTTAGGAATATTATTTTATACTAACGGTTCTCAACTCAGGGTGATTTTACTCACCAAGGGGCATTTGGCAATATCTAAAGACATTTCATTGTTACAACTCAGGGGGAGAGCATCTTGTGGGTGAAGGCCTGGGTTACTGCTAAACATCCTACAATGCACAGAACAGCTCCCACAACAATGAATTGTTGCCCATAGTGCCAAGATTGGGAAACCCTGCTTTCTAGTTAGTTGTTCTACCTTGAATAACTAAAAACCACGATTCATTGACAGCAATGCCAATTATGTGACATAACATCAAGGAAGAAAAACAAAATACCAAAATGTTGTCTGTCAGAGAGACTTCTGTCTGAACCGTGGGGACCCAGAGTGTAAGGAACATGGCTGTGCTTTGGTCAAGGATAGGCCGAGGTAGGATGTTTACATTCTTCGTGACTCAGTGAGTATAGAGCACAGGCGTATAACTCCACTTGTCATCATAGCCATGTAGACACAACATAGAGAAGCTCACCACTATAGTTATAACACCGGGAAGGCCATCACTTGGCTCTAAGCCACTATTGTCCGTAAAAGGTATAATTGCCCTGTTGACACTGTGCAGAAGCTGGCACCTGGAGAAAGAGAAAGCCAGAGCTGTCTTTGCAGATGGATGAGGGGAGCCAGGACACAGCTTGGCTTGCTCGTGCCCAGAGAAAGAAAGTGTTAAGCTGCTGACCCTGAAGGCAAGGGAGAGCCAGTCTTGCAGCTGTGTGTGTGGGTCATCAATTAAGCAGCCAAGATAAAGGTGAACAGTGTAGAGAGCTAGTGTAAGAAAGCTGTTGATGAGAGCTGCTGCTGAATAAAATCATTCACCTGCCTACGGCCCCCCAAAGTGTTCTTTCTGCTCATCCACCCACTCCCTCCAGACCTCAACATGACCTTTGGCGTAGTTCTGAACCTGACACAGTGTTTGTCATATTTGGGAGAGCAAATATTTTATTGTGAAGAAGCAAAACAGAATCTTCTCTGCTTTAATCATTTATCACTATGTTTTTAGGAAATTCCAACAGTTATTTTTCTTTCCACTTATTACTAATTTTCCCAGGTGTTTTTGATTGAAGTTGGATGTAAGAGTGTCAGAAGGGCTCTTTATATATTGGCCCAAAGGGATGGGACCCAGATTTTTGTGCACATGGAATTTTAGTAAAGTTACTTAAGAGCTCTGTGAAGGTGTTAACAAAAAAGGACCTTAAGATGGCCATTCAGCTGTGGCAGGCTTTGCTGATATCACTGGCCTATGGTGTATAGGCTAAACAGATTTTTAGGCTAGAAGAGTAAAAAAAGATTTTATTCTAGCCAAAAAATACCTGCTCTATGGAGTTGTTGAACTCCATAGTTGAGAAATAATATATGTAAAATGCTCAGCACTGTTCATAATATATTGTTTAGTTAATAAATAATAGCGATTATTGTGGTGTTGGCTTTGACAATGTGGAATCTTTGAACTCCTTAGTGAATTACCAGTTGTAATTCTATATTATACATTACATTTTAGTTGTACATGTATGTTTTTAAAGAAATATTCTCCTTATGTGTGTTTATTTTCAGAAATGCCTAAAACAACTCTTTGTAACCCAGAACGTGGTTCAGCAGGCTAATGGAAAAATGCAGCTCTGTGAGCAATCCGAATGTGTTTGGAAAGGTACAGGATCAAGACATTGTCCTTCTTTCCTGCGCTCCTCTCTCTCTGCCTCCTTCATTTCTTCCTAATCTTAAAATATATTATTTTTAATATTTACTAGACTAAATCAACCTAATTGTAAAATATGAATAATTCTCATAATCCTCTGTTCTAACTACCCCTACCTCCAAGTCCCATTCTCTATAGGTGACCACCTTTAGTTCTTCCAGCTGTCCTCCTGGTATTTACATCTATTTTCTAAATAATATTGGTAAACTACTATTTCTTGTGATTTTAGACTTAATCATGACTTTTTTGTTTTTGGTGTTGCTCAGGCTGGAGTGCAGTGGTGCGATCTTGGCTCACTGCAACCTTTGCCTCCCGGGTTCAAAGGACTCTCATGCCTCAGCTCCCTGAGTAGCTGGGATTATAGGCATGCACCACCATGCCTGGTTAATTTTTTTGTATTTTTAGTAGAGTTGGGTTTCACCATGTTGGCCATGGCTGGTCTCGAACTCCTGGCCGCAAGTGACCCTCCTGCCTCAGCCTCCCAAAGTGCTGGGATTACAGGCATAGTAGATAAGAATTTAGTTCTCTTCCTGCCTCATTCAGTTTCATCAGTTTCTCGACATGCTTATATCACACTTTAAAAAAGTAAAATTAGTAGTTAATGTTTACATCATATTACTACACAACTATTATTCACTATCAAGCCAAATAATATAATTATGCTTCTTTTCTAGTATAATTGTTTAGCTGAGTATTAAAAGTTGCCTTAGTTTTCATTTACTAGATAACTATGACACCATTAATATTTCCTCTAAATGCTCCAATGTTTTATTCCGTAGCTGTCAATAACATTTTCCATGCACTCACTCACTCCAGTTTCTTCTTTTCCTTGATGTCCTCCCTTTCAGAGCCTGCTGAACAGGCTGCTTTCTTGGCCAGTTGCACAGTTGTCTTCTGGGACTTTTCATCAATATTATATCCACTATTTTTGGGCAGCTATGTTGTGCTCTTTCTGGGTTTGCTGGTCTGAAGATGTCCTTATTTTTCTTTTATGCTTGATTCATAGTTTGGCTGGCTATAAATTCTAGTCTCACTCAGAATTTTGACAATATTGCTTTATGGTTTTCTAGTATCCACTGTTGCTGTTGAGAAGTCATGTGTTAATTTGACTTCAACTTTGCTTTTTCTCTCTTGATGCTCTTAGAAAAGTCTTTTATCACCAGTGTTCTAAGATTTCATGATGATAAAGCTTGGCATTAAAAAAAAAAACTCATTGTAAATCAAAAGCCCATTGGTGGATATTTTCATTCTTGGAGATCCATATCCTATAGTTCTTGGAAAGTTGCTTGAATTATTTTTTAATATTTTTTTTATTGTCATTTATTTTTTCCTTCTTTATGAAATATCCTGGATTGACTCTCCAATTCTCTTATCTTTTATCTTCTATTTTTCATCTCACTTTTTTATTTTTAAACCTTTTGGGTGATTTCCTCAACTCTGTTCACCAACCTCGCTATGAAACTTTTTATTTTGGCTATCCTACTTTTAATTTTTTAAAAGCAATTTCTGTACTCTGTTCCTTTTTTTTTTTTTACAGCATCCTGTTCATGCTTCATGGATATACTATCTTCTCCTATATCTCTGACAATATTATTTTATAGATTTTTAGAAGTACTTCTGTGCTCTCTGTGTTGTTTTCCTTTGCTTTGGTTTTCTCTCCCTCCAACCCCCCATTTACTTTGGCTTCTCTCAGAGTGAAAACTTTCCTGAAAGGTGTGCTGTTTTAAAAATAGTACTAGGGTAAAGAGCTTAGTTCTCCTTTCGTAGGTTAAAGAGTACCAGGGTAAATTCAGTATAAAGATATTAGTATAGGCGCGGTGGGTCAAGCCTGCAATCTTAGCATTTTGGGAGGCCGAGGCAGTGGATCACTTGAAACCAGGAGTTCGAGACCAGCCTGGCCAACATGGTGAGACCCCATCTCTAGTAAAAACACAAAAATTAGCTGAACATAGTGGCTCACGCCTGTAATCCCAGCTACTTGGGAGATTGAGGCAGGAGAATCACTTGAACCTGGGAGGCGGAGGTTGTAGTGAGCCGAAATCACGCCACTGCACTCCAGCCTGGGCGACAGAGTGAGCTCTGTCTTTTTTTTTTTTTTTTAACTCAAAATCTATTTTTTTGTTTCATACATCTCCATGGTGCCTGGCGCTATTGAATTAAAAAATTGTCATTTTTATTTATCCAGAGAATAAACATCTGGTTTCTTCTGGTATATCCATATATGTGTGTCTGTATTTACTTGGTTGGGCAGGGTGTGTGTGTATGTGTGGGAACTTGACAGTCTTTTAACTAACCCACCTCTCAGTCTTCTCTGTGCCTCGGAGCCCTTGTGGGATTTTGCAAGGCAAATCAGCTTGTTTCTCTTCACTGTCTCCCTTTGCAGGCACTTGAGGGGTAGTTTCTTATGCTCTTCTTGGTCAGTTATTAATCCTTTATCCACTGTCTAGAAAATTATTGGGCTCTCTTGCCCACTGCTATATTCACTCCCATAGTGTTTGTTCTTGTGTCTTCACCCCTTAAAAAAGTCATTTGCTGTACTTAGGTTGAAAATAGGAGGCAGAGGAAATAAACTTACATGGCCATTCCTCCAACTTGACTTGACTTACCTATGTCTCTCCCCTTCCCATAGATCACTTTAGTGGCAGCATGAAGAAACGATTTGAACAGGAGGATGTTGGTGGCAAAGACTAATTGAGAGGCCCTCTGAATACTCTATGCAAGGCTCTGTTGTTGATTCTTTTAAGGGAACTTAAACTATGAAACAGATCCCACATAAGCCAAGTAATTGCTCATCAGTGGATCACGGGGACAAATGTTATCCAAATGCTGTGTATATAAAGCAATTCTTTATGCCTTGTCCATATCTAATGACTCTGAAACCTTACAGCAGGCAGCCCCTGTAAACTTTCAGGTGTACCTCTTTGCCGAAAGCTGGTAGGAAACTTTGGATGGTGGTGTTGTGAGCGTTATCAGGGAAGCTCTGTAGCCATGCAGTGGGGAGATAATTGCCTGTGGCAATTTCTAGAAGGTCCTGTTCCATGCTACATTTGGAGCTCTCAGTGCTTTCTTTCTTTTTTTTTTTTTTTTTTGAGACAGAGTCTCGCTCTGTTGCCCAAGCTGGAGTGCAGTGGCGCGATCTCAGTTCACTGCAACCTCTGTCTCCCGGGTTCAAGCGATTCTCCTGTCTCAGCTTGGGATTACAGGCACACACCACCATGCCCAGCTAATTTTTGTATTTTTAGTAGAGAAGGGGTTTCACCATGTTGGCCAGACTGGTCTCCAACTCCTGACCTCAGATGCTCCACCCGCCTCAGCCTTCCAAAATACTGAGATTATAGGCATGAGCCACTGTGCTTGGCCTCCCAAAGTCTTTTGACCCTGAGCCCCATGTGTTTTCATTCCTACTTTCTGTTGCCATCATGGACGTTTTTGTGTTATTCATGAGATTATTGTCATGGCTGGAAAATAATTGTTTGGGAGCCAGAATTCTGTGTGAGAATCCTCTTGAGAGAACTAGCGTGGTTCATTTCATAAATGCCAAGGAAACTTGCCTGCTACATTTCCCCTCTGGAATAAGTTCTGGTAAGCATATCCATGGGGTGCTTTGGCAAGGTCTCAAAAATAAATGTGAACAAGGAGACAGAAATCCTCAATGCTAAAGTAGACTTCTATTTTTATGGCTTGTCCTATTTTTTTTTTTTTTTTTTGAGATGAAGTCTTGCTCTATCGTCCAGGCTGGAGTGCAGTAGTGTGATCTTGGCTCATGGCAACCTCCACCTCCCGGGTTGAAGCAATTCTCCTGCCTCAGCTTCCTGAATAGTGGGGATTACAGGCCTGTGGTACCACACCTGGCCAATTTTTGTACTTTTAGTAGAGGCAGGGTTTCACCATGTTGCCCAGGCTGGTCTTGAACTCTGGCCACAAATGATCTGCCCACCTTGGCCTCCCAAAGTGCTGGGATTACAGGTGTGAACCACTGCACCTGCCGTGTCCCAATTTTTTATTAAAAATATTTTTTGGGGCTGGGCACAGTGGTTCACGCCTATAATCCCAGCACTTTGGGAGGCCGAGGCAGGTGGATCACGAGGTCAGGAGTTCGAGACCAGCCTGGCCAACATAGTGAAACCCTGTCTCTACTAAAAATACACACAAAAATTAGCCAGGCGTGGTGGCGGGTGCCTGTAGTCCCAGCTACTCGGGAGGCTGAGGCAGGAGAATTGCTTGAACCAGGGAGGCGGAAGTTGCAGTGAGCTGAGACCGTGCCACTGCTCTCTAGCTTGGCTGACAGAGTGAGACTCTGTCTCAAAAAAAAAAATATTTTTTTTGGAAATTTTCTTTTAAAAATTATGTAGATAACACATAGATACACACTTTTAACTTCTAAATACAGAGGTGTCCAATCTTTTGGCTTCCCTGGGCCACATTGGAAGAAGGATTGTTTTGGGCCACATATAGAATACACTAATACTAAAGATAGCTGATGAGCTAAAAAAAAAAAAAAAAAAAAAATCACAAAAAAATCTCAGTGTTTTTACAAAGTTTACAAATTTGTGTTGGGCTGCATTCAAAGCCCTCCTGGGCTGCATGTGCCCTGTGGGCTGCAGATTGGACAAGCTTCTAGCTAGAACTTTGTGCATGTTTATTCCTCAAGCGTCTGTTTCCCAGCAGTAAAAAGGGGAAAAAAATTGAGTTAGATGCATAAAAATAGGCACAAAATTTCAGGCCTTCTAAATGTTCTTTTGGGGGTTTGGGAATATATGGTTGGGATGAGAGTGTGAACCTTGTCTTTTCCTTAGAATGATATTTTCTTAAAAGCAAAATAAAATATGTGGGGACATGTCTTTCCTCAGCTCCCTCGTCTTTTGTCCTAAACAGCAACAAGTTTTTGTTTCTGTAAGGTGCTGAGTATTTGGCTTAGAATAAAAAAATATATGTTCTATGAAGCCAGAGATAATGTACCTATATTATTCTGATATTTTAGGAGTCTCTCTCTCTCCCTCTCTCTTTCTCTCTCTGTATATATATATATATAGACACACACACACACATACACTTTATTATTTAGATTTGTTTTAGGTTCACAGCAAAGTTAGGCAGAAGGTGCAGGTTCCCTTATATCCCTTGTCACCACACATGCACAGCCTCCCCCGTTATCAACATCTCCCACCAGAGTGGTACATTTGTTACAATCAATGAACCTACACTGACACATCATGGTCACCAAAAGTCCATAGTTTACATTAGAGTTCATTCCTGATGTTATGTATTCTATGGGTTTGACCAATGTATAATGACATGTATCACTATTATAGTATACAGAATAGTTTCATTTCCCTAAAAATGCTCACTGCTTTGTCTGTTCATCCGTCTCTCCCCTTCCCATAGAAACCTTTTTACTGTATCTATAGTTTTTCCTTTTCCAGAATGTCATATAGTTGGAATCATACAATATTTAGTTTTTTCAGATTGTCTTCTTTCACTTAGTAATATGCATTTAAGGTTTCTTCATGTCTTATTTTTTATTTTTTTTAGAGACAGAACCTCACTCTGTCACCCAGGCTGATGTGGAGTGGCGCTCCTGGCTCAAGTGATCCTCCCACCTAAGCCACCCAAGTAGCTGGGACTACAGGCATGTACCAGCATGCCTGGCTAATTTCTGCATTTTTTGTAGTGACAGGGTTTCACCGTGTTGCCCAGGTGGGTCTCAAACTCCTGGGCTCAGGCAATCTGCCTGCCTCAGCTCCTAAAGTGCTGAGATTACAGGCATGAGCCACCGTGCCCAGCCCCAGGAGTTTTTTTGTTCATTCTTTGGGTATTGATTTTTTTTTTAACCTTGTTGATACTTTATCAGCAAGCCTAAGTATTTTTAGTAATCTTGCAGTTTTGCCCTCAGCTACAGGTTTTCATAGCTAACACGGAAGCAGGAATTTATGAGTAACAATTTGGTTTCTTGGTGTAGCATTGTGAAGCTCTCATGCTTTTATCAGAAGCCATCTGGTCATAGACACCACAAGTCACCTGGGTGGTCTTGGTTTCTTTTGATTTTATCATTCTCAGTTTGATCACAAGCTGAGTGGTTGGAGATGAAAAGACAGCGGCCTGTGGTTTGAACTTAGTATGGTCTTTTGATGAGAACTGAACAAAAGATAGAATACTGACCTTAGATAGTCATGGGTAAAATTAACCAAAAGCAGACAATCTGAAAAAACTAAATATTGTATGATTCCAACTATAAATATATTAACAATACTCCAGTATTGGAGTCTGTGTGCTCCAATACTGAAATATTGAGAGAAAGAGCTAAAATCAACGAATCAATAAATATTTATTGATGAAGTCTCAGAGTAGGGCATAGGTGTACCAGGTAAGTCTTGGTGTGGAAAAGCAAAATTCACTTTGGTTTTAAAATCCCAAATAACAGAATAAATATTCAAAGCATGATGTAGTATCTCTGTGTACTCCTCACAAGATCTATCTTCTACATTCAGGTCTGTATGCATGTGCTTTTTAGTAGGAAGTGTCATTGAAAAAAATTTTAATCTTCTTGTTTAAATTAATACTGAAGTGCTCTTCATTTCCTTCCTTCCCCGGCTCTTTGTACTGTAGTTTTATCATGATGACTACTTATTTTCCACTTAATTAAGCTTTTTCACTTAATGTTATTTCTTAATTCCCACAAGAATAAATATTATATTTTCAGGATCTTAGAGCTGTGTAGAAGTGTTTGTTTCTTGTAGGCTGCAAAGATGGAGTCAGAGATGAATCCTTCCATCTTAAAAGTTCTGGTGATATAAACGATTCCATACTCCAACCAGAGGTGAAGATTCATATTACTGGTCTTCGAAATGACTACTGTAAGTTATCATTTAGATTGGGAATTAAAAGTTGAAATGACAAAATGCATCCTGTGCTCTGGTATAAACTTGAAATTTGATTAAACCAGATGGCCTTTATGTCTCATATCCAAATAGTGTAGCATCCAAATATGGCTAATATACTTGGCTTTTCCTGGTGCAACTTTCATATTTAGGGATGGTATTGTTAATGTTGGCATGGTGTGGGAAATATACATTTTATGTTACTGTATTAGAAAGAATTGTACTAATGATGGTCTATTCTTATGTATGTATTTTAAATATGGGTAAATCGAATCAGTCAAACAACTGCATTGGGTCTACTTGTTATGTGCCCAGCTTGTAATCTAGTTTGGAGGACAGGACTAACTGACACGGAACTGATACCATATGCCAAGGTAGATTATAAATAATAAATCATGGGATATAAGGAGCTATAAAGACTAGAAGGAGCTTAGTGAGCTTCGGTGTTGTCCAGAAAGACGTTGTGGAGATATTTATACTTAAGCTGGGTCTTGGAAGATCATTAGAACTTGGAAAGGTATAGAGGAGAAGGACCATTTTTGGTATTGTTAACAGCATGAAGAAGGCAGGATGTTGGTAATTAAGATATTTAATGGCAATGAAGAAGATACATTGGGGACTGGTGAATAGGTGGGTACAGATTATGGAGAAAAATTCAAATTCAGAAATTTAGATTTGTTTTGGGAGTTGTTGACTAAGAGAAACATCAAAGGAAAATTCATGGCAGAGTATGCAGAATGCACTTAGTAGGAAAGAGCTGCCAAAGAGTAAAGGCTTATTTTTCCTCCATGAAGAAAAGAAATGGGATGAGAAATGAATTCATGATTATTCCAAGTTTTTGAAGCAGGAGAAAGAAGGGTGGTGTCACTGAGAAGACAGATTGGCAGAGGAGGTGATTTGGAGAGGAAAGACTATGCTTGAATATTATTTTAAAGGAGACAATCAGACATAGAAGCAGTTTGGCAGATTATTTGAAACGAATGCTGGTAGTTGAAAGAGGATGGACTAGCCCGTAGGTCAGATGATTATGATTGAATCCAGGAGCCAGTGTAAGCTCCCTAGATGAGGGAGAGAGGAGCAGAGGGAAGGGGTCTGGGCTCCATGGAATATCTAAAAAGAGGCATGAGCTGGAAAAAGAAAAATCCCTGAAGGGAACAGTTCTCTATCTCCCTATTCCTTCAGCTCCTTCTCCAAGAGAATGTATTGTCATGACCAACTAAGAAGGATGGATTTTCAAAAAATGTTAAAAAACTGTTATATTAAAAAGAAACAATGTTTGTTCCCATTTTTCCTTTAAGCCACAGCCCTTTTTCTTTCTTTCTTTTTTTTTAAACAGAGTCTTGCTTTGTCACCCAGGCTGGAGTGCAGTGGCTCACTGCAGCCTCCGCCTCCTGGGTTTAAGCAATTCTCGTGCCTCAGCCTCTTGAGTAGCTGGGCGTGTAGCTACAGGCATGTGCACCATGCCTGGCTAATTTTTGTATTTTTAGTAGAGATGGAGTTTCACCATATTGGCCAGGCTAGTCTCGAACTCCTGACCTCAAGTGATCCGCCTGCCTTGGCCTCCCAAAGTGCTGGGATTACAGGCATAAGCCACCATGCCCAGACGCACAGCCCTCTTTCTTTCCTCCCTTTGACAGTACAACTTTCAAAAGATCTTTATACTTATAATTTTCTATTTCTCTCCCCATATTGTCTCAAATCCACTCTAGTCAAGTTTTAAGTCTCATCATTCAATTGAAACTACTCTTCCAAACATTACCAAAGAACTCCTCATTGTTATAGCCAACAGTTACTTCTTAGACTTCATACCGAACCCTAACAACTATATTTGAGACAGCTGATCAATCCCTCCTTCTTGATATCCCACTCTTTTGGGTTTTGTCCAAGAGTGTCTTTTGTTCACTCTTTCTCATCCTTTTTTGCTGATTTGTGTTTCTCTTCCATTTCCCTGACCTCTAAATGTTGGAGTACCCAAGGCCTGTTCCTTGGACATCTTTTCTTTTTTTACTTCTGTTCTATTTTAATTGATCTTAGCTTTTTGGCTATATCTCTTTGTATTGTGTTTTGTCGTCATTTTTCTAGGGATTACAATGTAATTTTAACTTTCTTAGTCTACGTAGAGTTACTATTGTACACATCACACAATATATAAACATCTTGCAATCACATAGGTCTCTCAAAGTCCCCACTACTTTTTAGGTTATTGTAGTTGTCATGTGTTTGTTTGTTTGTTATTGTTTTTTGAGGGAGGTTTTGAGGGAGGTTTTCACTCTGTCACCCAGGCTGGAGTGCAGTGGTTCAGGCTGGAGGCTGTAGAGGCTTACTGTGGCCTCTACCTCCTGGGCTCAAGTGATCCTCCTGCCTTAGCCTCCCAAGTAGCTGGGCCCACAGGCACATATCACCATGCCCAGGTAATTTTTTGATTTTTTATAGAGATGGGGTCTTACTTTACTCCTCAGGCTGGTCTTGAACTCTTTGGGCTCAAGTGATCCTCCCACCTTGGCCTCCCAAAGTGCTGGGATTACAGGTGTGAGACACTGTGTCTGGCCTGTCATGCATTTTATATTTACATACACTGAAAACCATCCAATTGTAAACGTTTTAAAATTTAAAAAGTATTTAAATAGCTTAAGAGGAAAAAATGGCTCCTATGTTCACCCAAATATTTACCAATTTCAGTGTTCTCCTTCATTTCTGAAGATCCAAGTTTCTCTTTCATATATTGTCCCTTTAGCCTGAAGAGCTTCCTTTAGCAGTTCTTGCAGATCAGGTCAGTTGGCACAGACTTCTGTTAGATTTTCCATCTTCCAGTTGATGAGATTTTTGCTGGATATAGAATTCTGGGTTGAAAGATCCACCACTGCCCCCTACCCCCAGCATTTAAAAGATGTTGTTCCATTGACTGTGGCCTCCATGGTATCTGGTGAGAACCCCATGGTCACCTTGTTATCCTGCTTCTAAGACCTGACTCTACTTACACATATGTTAGATTTTTGGATATTATTCCACAATTCGCTGAGGCTTCATTCTTTAAGAAATTTTTTCTCCACATTCTTTAGATTGAATAATTTCTGTTATCTATATTCAAGTTTACTCTTTCCTCTATCACCTCTATCCTGCTATTCAGTGTATCCAAGGAATTTTTCAGATATTATATTTTTCCATTTTAAAGTTTGTATTTTGTGGTTTTTGTATATTTGATTTCCATTTTAGAGCTTTGTTTTATGGTTTCTATTTTCTTTACTTAGAAAATACTTTTGATTTTTCTGTTTATCTGTTAAAGCTTCATATAAAGTTTCATATAAATTTTCATTCATTTCATGTGTGTTTTTCTTCACTTCATGGAGAATATAATGGCTGCTTTAAAGTCTTTGATAATTTCTATACCTAGGTCACCTTGGAGTTTTCATCTATTGGTTATGTTTTGTCTTTACATTTATCCAGTAATTTTGAATTGTGTCTGGATATTGTAGATGTTATGTTATAGTCACTGGGTCCTGTGGAGAATGTTGATGTTTTGTTCTGGTTGATGTTTTTGTTCTAGTTAGGTTCACATTTTAAGTTTTGTCTTGCCATTTGTGGGTGGTGTTTCAAATCTTAGATCAGTTTCTTAAACTTTGACCATGCTGGTTTGGGTCTGTATCTCATACATGTGGATCAGAGCCTAGGCTGAGACTTGTATGGATGTTTCAAATCTCAGTTCGTTTCTTAAAGCCTTTACTAAGGTGATTTGAGTCTCTTCTGCATGTAGGTGATTTAGGGGTAAGGCTGAGATGTGTGTGAATTAATATACTCACACTCAGAGGATCTCTTTCTTTTGGCTTTCCCATGTCTAGGACTTTTCCCTCATACTGGTATCAGTTCTATGCCTCAGGCTCTTTTCCATGGTTTCTCTGACCAGAAATATGGTGGCCTTTTTGTCAGAGTCTTCGCTGGCACTCCATCAATGGGGCCTGTCCTCAGGGCAAAGGTGTGAAAGAAGAAAAGTGGGAAACTTACCCCCCGCCAGTTTGCTTCTCCAAATTTTGACTCCCTTACTTAGTTTACTGCTTTTCCTTACTTTACAGGATCTCCAGGTGTTTGTTTTTTATATTTCATTCAGAGTTTATATTTATCATGGGGACGGAATGTATTGTAGGGGTTTAAACTACTGTAGGGGAACTGGTGTGCTACTTAGTTTTATACTGATACGTGTCAGTCAGGAGTTTCTGACTGATAAGAAATAAGATAGGGTATATTTTAATAAATGGTCATACAAATATGTTTTCTCTTAGCAGTCAAAGGTTTCTTATTAGTATAAGCTATAGAATACTGTTGAGAACGTGTAGGTATCATACATGAACCACCACCTCTTCTAGCTGGGTGGTGTTTTTGGTTAGAAATGATGGTGGCATCTCCCATATAGATATCCTAGGTCCAAGAGTGTCTCCATAAGAATTATATGCTTTTAACTTTTACTGATCCGTTAAACGAAGTCTACATGTACTAATAATGGTAGATGAATCTGCCAAGTTCTTTAAATGGCTCTAAATAAATATATTTCAGTGTAAATAATAAGCATTATTGCTTATTAGACTGTGAGTGTTGACACTAGATTCTATTCCACTTTTCATTTTTGAACTTTTAAGGATTTTCATGGTTCCATGTTTCCATTTTCCAGCTAACCATGGGGATGGTATTATTCTTTTCCCCCTACCTATAAAGTTGTTTATTTGAACATGTTTTCATGTGGCTGTATAATTATACTAATTTGAAGTGCTTTTCTTATAGATCTGAATATCCTAGATTGGAGTTTTCAGAATCTTGTTGCCATAGCCCTGGGCTCTGCTGTATACATCTGGAATGGGGAGAACCACAATGGGATTGAAAACATAGACTTAAGTCTCACTTGTAACTATATCTCTTCTGTGTCCTGGATAAAAGAGGGAACTTGCCTGGCAGTTGGCACCAGCGAGGGAGAAGTGCAAGTACTGGCCAGTTTTTTTTTTTCTCATCATGTTCTCTGTGTATTATTACACTATAATTGACTTTTAATAACAAGTTAATGTAAAATAGAGAAACTAGGTGTGGCTCTTGAAGTATGGGGAATAAAAGGAGATGACATTCCGCTTTTTTTTTTTTTTTTTTACTGAATGGTTTTTAATGAAAACGTAAGGATACTCTGGTTAGTTTCCACCACAATCTTTCTGTCATATTTAAAAATATATTTTCTCTGAAACTAAAGTTGGGCTTGTAGAATCTCCAGTTTTGGAGCTTTGGAGAGAGGAAGATACTTTCAGTTCTCCTTTTCACCTGAAGCCGTGATTAAGAGTACAGTTATAGAAAATGAGTGAATTTTTTTTTCTGATAGGCTCCTTGAGATGGGGATTTATCAAATTTCCATCAATCTATCTGATTTCTCATGTATCATTATTATTGTTTATTACCAATAGAATAAACAATATCACTCATGTGCAAATGACTTAGGAGGGCCACAGATGGCTCTCTCACTGCTTTCTCATCTCTGCAATGATAATGAATGCTGTGAAGTCTATGTCATGATTTCTTCTTACACCAAAGTTGTCATTCCCCATGTGGATCAGAATATTATCTGTAGCTCGCAGGAAGGGAGTCTCTTAGCAGTAAGTGGAATTACTGATTCTAGGAAGTGTCCGGGTACCCACATCTTATTAATACATTTGTTGGTAACTGTGGGTAGATTTCCAGATTTGGAATTCTCACAATTTAGAAGGAGCTAGAAATGTGGTAATAATTCTCAACCCTTGGCTGCACATTGAATTCACCTGGGGAGCTTTAAAACAACTGCCATATATCCCCAGGCTCTACTCTACCAACTAAATCAGCATCCATAGTGTTATAGACTCCCCAGCTGATCCTAATACACAGTCAGAATTGAGAACTGCTGGCTAGATGTGCTGGGTTTTCACTTAGTACAAAAACTAACAATATCAGCAGTAATTGGCTCTCAGGCCTTTGAGAAGACAGTGGGCTGTGAAAACTCCAATGCTACATAACTCTCCTTGTTCATTTTTTCAGTTATGGGATGTGGTAACTAAAAAGCGGCTGAGAAATATGCTTGGTCATTTGTCAGTAGTTGGGGCTCTGAGCTGGAATCACTTTATCCTCAGCAGGTAAGAAGCGTCTTGTTGGAGACAGTTATGTTTGTATTAACAATTGATTATGGGGCCTGAGTAAACAGTTGTAATATTCAAAACCTAAACCAATCAAAAATAAAACAAAATAGGCCATTGGACTTAATATCAGGTATGATCCCACCCTCTCAGGTATTCAGATCTGCTGGTCATGTAAGTGTCTTGGTGGCCACATGTATCATGTGTGCCTTCTGCATGGGATGCACTAAATTGTTCAGATAAAATGTGAAAATCCCTTCAAGCAAAAGGTTTCTCTGTGCTAAGTAATAGGTACTAAAGGGATATTTTGCTGAAATCAAGTATTTATTGCTGTCAGTATCTATACTATGGAATATGTTAAGCTCTCTGGGACACATTTCCAATTCATAGACCCACAGAAATTAGAGCAGAAGGAACCTCATAGATTATCCTGTTCAGTAGTTCTCAAACTAGAACATGTATCAGAATCACCTGGAGAGCTCCTCAAAATGCAGATTGCTGGCTTCACTTGAGGGACTTCAGATTCATTAGGTCTTGAGGGGCTGATAATTGGCATTTCTCATTTCCCAAGTGATGCTGATGATACATCCCTTTGAGAACTAGTGATTTAGTTTAACTGCTTCTTTTTAACCAGAAAAATTAAGGGACTTTTTCCTATGAGCCTACATAACTGGTCTAAATATATATTGCTTTTAATCATAGCCATTCATTTTCATATTGTAGTTCTTAAGGTTAAGGTAGACTTAAGTTAGATAAATCCCAAAGACTGTTTTTTTTTTTTTTTTTTTTTGACATGGAATCTCACTCTGTCACCTAGGCTGGAGTTCAGTGGCGTGATCTCAGCTCACTGCAACCTCCACCTCCCGAGTAGCTGGGACTACAGGCGCCCACCACCATGCCTGGGTAATTTTTGTATTTTTAGTAGAGATGGGGTTTCACTATGGTGGCCAGGATGGTCTTGAACTCCTGACCTTGTGATCCACCTGCCTCGGCCTGCCAAAGTGCTGGGATTACAGGTGTGAGCCACCGCGCCTGGCCATCCCAAAGACTTTTAAAATGTATTTAAGTAATCTGATGTAAACTTGAGACTTGAATATCTTGTGTTTTTGGCCGGTCTTAAAACAACTTAGTTATTGCAGTCAATTATGTACTCAAGCTCCTTTTCTAATCTGCATTGTTAAAATTTAGTTTCATTATCCACGAGGAAAATGAGCAGATCCTTTCTTATAATAATAGCAGCTAACATTTTCAGACTACTCTGTGCCAGGCACTGTGCTATACTTTTTATGTGTGTAATTTCATTTTAATCACTGCAGTAACATGATAAGGTGGTCTCTTATCCTCAATTTTGTTTTTTCAAATTAAACTAAGACACTAGCCTGAAGTCACATGGTTAGTAAGTGATGGAGTTGGAATAACCCAGCTGGTCTGGCTCCAGAGCCCATATTGTTAATCACAATGCTGTTCAGCATTGCATAGTTTTAAACAATGCGACACTGGACTTTGAGAAATGTCTGAAATAATTGTGGAACATCATTTACTTACTCCTTAGAGAAAATTAAATTAATCCAGAAAGCGTTCATTATCTTTGAAAAAGTGATGTGATCTTTAGTTGTTTAGATTCACATCACTGAGCATGAATGGAGACATTATCCACTGCTTAGGAATCATATTGCAGTTTGCTGTGACATTCAATTGGTTTTAAACTTCTTTTACAAAGAAGTTTAGTTCTTTAGCAAAACTAAGAATGGATCTATAGGTTAATAGGACTCTACCTGTTAGATATTTATTTCCTTTTTCTATGTCTAACATTTTACTGTAAATATATACTGAAACCATTTTGTTGAGATAATCTGAAATATTCAAAGTTGCAGAAAAGTGTTAATATTTCCTAGGTCCTGTATATAAACTAGTCTTTGGGAAAATCTGGTAATCTTCTCAGCTTATTTTTCCATCGCTGCTTACATCAGATTAAAGTCATTAGAAACATCTATCAAAGGATATTTTTAAATCTAGACTTCAAACTCTGCCAGACAAATCAATTTCACTTGTGAAAAGAATCCTCCAGGCAGAACACTCCATCCTTATTAACCCAAGGAATCTCCACCTGTGTTTTGAATCTGTCCTAGGGGTCTTTCAGAAGTTTTACTTTGAACTATGCTTTCCTCCATGTTTTCAAATGTTTATGTAGCAACAGGGCTTAATTTTTTTGTTATGTAAACTCGCAGTGGGTCAAGACTGGGGCGTGTTTATCATCACGATGTTCGGGTAGCCCAGCATCATGTTGGAACACTTCGCCACAAGCAAGCTGTGTGTGCTCTGAAGTGGTCACCGGATGGCAGGCTGCTTTCCAGCGGCTGCAGTGATGGACTGCTGACAATATGGCCCCACGATCCAGGTGCCAGTGCACAGGGCCAACCGCTGAAAGTCATAACCCAGTCTACGGCAGTCAAGGTAAGAAACCCAATAGATTTCTAGGTTTCCTGTTACTCAGAGGCCACTGGGTATCCTTCACATATAAAAAGAAAATCATTAAGCCAATATTTTGAGATTTTTCTTTCTCTAGAATTTGCTTTGGAGTTTGTCATCACTCTCCTGAAAGACAACCCTATTTATACTTTCCACTGGTCAGATTTTTTAGTTGTAGGTGACTGAAACCAAAGTCAAACTTAAGCTTAAGCAAAAAAGTAAATCTATTTTTTTCATGTAACTTTGGAGTCCTGGGTACATACAGCTGGTTTTAAATATCAGCTGGATCTAAGGCTTTGAGTAATGTCATTTGGGCCCATCTTTTTAGCTCTTGGCTCTGCTTATCTCTGGTTTCATTCTTCCTTCAGACTTCATTTTCTGGGCAAGATGGCTCTTGGCAGCTTCAGATTCAGATTCTTCCAGATGGGCGCTGGATAAGAAGCCATTTTTCCTTATAACTCTGGTGGAAATGTGCCAGGGAGGACTCTAGTCTGCCTTTGGTCACATTCTCATCTCTCAGTTAATAATTGTGGCCAGAGAGATGGGCACACTGATGGGCCTGGGTCACAAGCTCACACGTAAGAAAAGAGATCAACTGTCAGAAGATGGCAGGGTGCTGTGGAATTAGATCAATGCTCCACCATGTTCTGCATAATTATTTATTTCTCTTTTAAATTCTTATTTCTAGTAAAAAAATTCCATAGTTTCCTTCTTGAGGACTTGGTGACACAGATGTGTCTTGACCTCAACGTAGTCCCAGAATATATGTCACTCACAGAGCAAAGAAATGGTTCTACCTTATTAACAGTAAGCAAATTTATTACAAGAGGATTTAAAAGTTATTACAGGGCTTCCTAATATAGGTTGAAATATATAGTGACTGCTGCCACTACATTGTACTGGCCCAATATTCCTGGCTTGTAGTTTTTCATGTCTACAGGATATTGAGAATGATGATCGGTCCAAATTCCCAGTATTCATGACTTGAAGTAGGCAAAATATATGTAAAATACGCTGTCTGAAAACAACATACAAAAACAAAACAAAAAATTAGTTGAAAACCCAAGCCAAGCAAGACAAGTTACCTTTTTAAATGCCTTGTTGTCAAAAATCTGATGCAGTGAACTACTAAATGGGAGTCCTTTTCACTAAGAGAGAGTCTCCGGAAACCAGAGCAAGCCAAGCCTCCTGGCAGTCAGCACCTGGGGAATCACTGAACAGTCACCAGTCGTGTCTCTTCAGTCACCAGCTAACCAACAGGTGGAGCAGGAGTAGACTTTGCAGGTTGACATGTGCGTGATTCCTCTCATGGTGTAGCTTCTAGTTTTGCCAAAATATTTATTATAAAAGCTATCTGGAAGTGTAGGATATTTAAGAAAATGATTATTAATAAATATAAAAAATTATTATCCATCATATGGTAAAACTGGGGCCCATGGGCTCAGGGGAATTTCTGAGCCTCTTGAAATTGCAAAATTTTGTGTTCTGTGAAATAGCCCTCTTCTCCAGCCTAATCAGAGGTGGAGAATGGTTATTTGAAAAAGACAATTAAAGCAGGGAACTTTAACTTATGATATATATTGTAGATATTTTATTTTGACTGAAAACATTACATTCACCAGATTTATTAAACCGTACATTAATTCACCATATGAGACCAAGACCTCTACTTTGAGTGTAGGTAGGCTGATGAGAATTCCTCATTGTCTTTCTTGTATGAACTATAACCATATTTCATTGTTCAAGGTTTCTGTTTATAGTATCTGTCTGGTTATCTATTGCTGTGCAACAAATTACTCAAAAACTTAGTGGCTTAAAACAATAATCATTTCATTATCTTTTATGGTTTCCTGGGTAAGGATTCTGGGAAAATGTCATCTGAGCAGTTCTGGCTCAGGATCACTCATGAGGTTGCAGTCAGACAGCATCGGAAGCTAAAAGTGTGGGAGGCTGGACCACTTGTTTGCCAGCTGCCTGGGCATGCTCCTTCTTGTAATTCCAGAGCATCTTCATGTTGTGTGGGCTGATTTGGGTTTCCTCACAACATGGTTGCCTCAAGCCAGTTGGGAGTTTGTGCTTCAGGGCAATAGGTCCAGTGCTTCAGAGAGCAAGGTGAAAGCGTTAACACCTTTTATTAATATAACCTAATTTTGCAATTCATGCAGTGTCACTTTTGTCACATTTATTGGTTCCAGGATAGTCACAAGTCCCACATTCAAAGGTAGAGGAATTAGATTGTACCTATTGATGGAGGGAATGGGCGAGGCTCAGAAGGACTTGTTGGATGAAAGACAGTGTTGTAGCTATCTTTGGAAAATACAATCTGCCGCAGAATCTTTAAAATAGAGTGAGGCCAGGTGCAGTGGCTCATGCCTGTAATCCCAGCACTTTGGGAGGCTGAGGTAGGTGGATCGCTTGAGCCCCAGGGAGATTGAGGCTTCATTGACCCTTTGTGGTAGCACTGCACTCCATCCTCGGCAACAGAGTGAGACTGTGTCTTAAAAAAAAAAAAAAGAGAAAAGACTTCCAAATTGTTTAATTTAGTTCATAGAAGTAACAGTCATCTTTAGTCCAAATAAAGTAGGTGATTTAATTAAACATTTACATGTAATTTGATGAAATCACAGTTATAATAACAAGTTCACCTGTCATAAACAGGTTTGGCAAAACACAGTGGGCTCTATAAACCCACAGCTTAATTAGTGGGAGTAGAAGTGTGGAGCATTCTAGAGAACAGAAGACTAGCATGCTATGGGTAGGAGTAAGTATGTTTTACAGAAGGAGTGGAGAACTTTGGTAAATTTAGCAAGTTGGTTAAATGAAGAATGAGAGCAACTATTGTATATTCAGATGTATGTTTTTAAAAAATGGACTCAAACTTGTAAGAAAAGCGTTAAGATGTAGGTGCTTAGATGGCAAAAAATCCACATGGTGGGAAGTGCTAGAGGAACATAAATACACAGAAAAAAGTTCATTCTTGCTAAGAAGAAAATAAATTACCCTTATAATCTGTTTTGTAATGATTTTAATTTCACTAGATGTAAAATAACATTTTTAACTTCATGTAACCTTTAGCCAGGGTGAAATTAGTATACTCATTGGATGCTGGTGCTGTAAAAAGTTATAACTGCTTGGAAAACTTTATGTCAACTCTTTTGAACCTTGGAATTTACTTAAAAAATTTGTCAGAAAAAAAGACATGTAGAATGTATTCATTACAATGTACTTTATGAGAGCAAACAGCAAATAAAACACACGCACAAAAACAAAAAAAATACTCCTTTCCAAAAAAAATTAACCCAACCCAATACAAATCAAACCACAATACAACAAAAAACCAAAACAGGTCCAGCATTAGCAGAACAAAAATTAATCAGGATATAACGACACGATGGAATATTATGGGATTGTTAAAAATTATAATTGTGAAAAGTCTATTAAAACGTGGAAAACTGTTTATACAATAGGTGAAAACAACAGAAAATAATCAAATAGTATAAACACGATGTTTGCTACTTTATAAAATATTTTTATGTGTAGAAGAGAGGATGCAAAAATGAGGGTAGTTACCAAGATGATTGATAAGGATACACAGATACATATAACTGTAGTATTTGTTAAAATGTCCTTTAAAGTGATTATTATTAGTAATTTCAATTATCAATATAAATGTGTGATACTAAATCCTATTTTTTAGAATTAACTATAATTATAAATAAATAGAAGGCAATTTTATTTTCTGAACTGCTTTAAGATTTGAAGTGCTTGAGACTGTTGAGTTGTGAGCAATCACATATAGTTCTCTTTTCTCTTATCTGACCACTACCTGGAACATAAGGACACAGGTAGACAAATCAGAGAAAGCCTGCATTTTCAGAGCCAATTTGCAAGGGCACATGTGAACTATCCCAGCAGCAGATTTTTGCCCCATAGGATGTATTGCATGTAGTTTTTCAACTGTTATTGCATAGTCTATGTTAAAAAATCCACAATTGTTATCATCATTTGATAACAATTTGATTTGAGTCGTATTAGGTACCTTCCCTTCCAGAAGTGACTGCTAGTCCCTGAGGAATAATCTCTGGAGGGTGCAGTTGCTCCTGCCTTTAGATAGCAGGCCCAGGAGAGCTGTGACAGGTGCAGACGTGGGGACTTGCTGCTTACCTAAGTGCATCACATTCATGAGTGCACCTCCTTTGAAGCTGACCTGTCTGTGCTATTATGTGAAACTTTAAAGGCCATGGATTGGTGTCCCTGGCAGTCTGGGGTCCTTGCCATTGGAGGAGGAATGAAGGATGGACGCTTACACATCTTGGATATAAATGCTGGGAAGAGCATCCAGACCCCAAGCACAAACTCACAGGTTAATATCTCCTCTGGGCTTCATCTTCATTTTGATCTTCTGGAATCTTGTGAAAATAGTTTACAACAGAGCCTATGCCCCCAACAAGCTCTCTTTCTCTATTGAGTCCATAAGGAATTTGAGTTCTCAAGAGTTTCTTTTTATTGTAAAAACCTCTTCATTTGTGAGTTCAAAGTTAATATAATTTGTGTTTTCTTTTTTTCACATTTCCTTTCTTTCCCCATCACTGCTTTGACCATGAACTTTGAGAGTAATCTGGCTCTTCCTGGCCAATGATCACAGTTCACTTAAATTCTTCAATTTATTGCACCTAAGCCTATTTGTATACTTGATCCTTTGTTGCCTTGGGATAAACTTTCCTAGAATGGTTGTAATTTCTTTAACATCCTACCCCAGCTGTACTGGAGGTTGGGTCATGGACAGTGCATACTGCCTGTAACCAGTTTAACTATATTCATAAGGAATCAGAAATTGCAAGAATTCTCTATTTTTGATCATTATTACAGATTTGTTCCTTAATCTGGCTACCTAAGACAAAGGAGATTGCAACTGGTCAAGGTACTCCCAAGAATGATGTGACTGTGTGGACCTGTCCCACTGTGTCCAGGTCAGGTGGGTTTTTTGGTAAGCAAATGGGTGAGTAAAATGCCATGCACCTATAGCAAAGTGAGCTGTTGTTGGGGGGAAAAGCCCTGAATGAAAGATTTTATCCTTCTGGTTTTTCTAAGTACACATTTCATCAGAGGAAAAAGTCCTACATCCACCCTACCTCAGAGAGCGTATAGTTGAATGTTTCTGAATTTGCCTAAGATTGTTCATCACTTTAAATTAAGTCATCTCCTCCTTGCATATGTATATGAATGATGGAGTGGTGATCTTGGGCAGTTTTTGAACTCGAGTTAGCATCACAAATCATCTTATTTTGAAGAAAAACCAGCGGTGTAGAATGGGTGGAAGATAAAGCGATCTGAAAGGGCAAGACATTATGTGTCAGGAGGCCACTAATGACCATGAGCTTCCTCTGTGAACATCTGCCCTTTCAAGGTAGACCACTACTCTTCTCAGCTTCGTTCTACAAACTTTTACTGGGTACTTCTTGAGAGAAAGACCCCATGATGGGGAGCAAGACCCAGGCCCTGTCCTCTGGGCCTTAAATCCTCTTTTGTGCATCTAGAATGTTAAAGGGGGCTCAAGGGTGAGTAGAGTATCTCCTCTACCCAGCCCAGGGAAACAGGAAGACAAAACTGGTGGTCGATGCAAGAACAGGGCACCGGCATCCAATCTCTTGTAGAACTCTGATTATATATCCCGTCTTTTTCCTCTGTTCACTCACCTGGCCTCCTGGCCAATCCCTGAGGTTTACTTATTGATTATTTATTTATGAAGCATCTATTATGTGGGAGGTACTTTTTGGGGTGCTGGGGATACACAGGTGAACAAGAGAGACAATGTTCTTGCCCTCAGGGAGCCTACACTTTTGTGAGAGGAGACATGCAGAAAACAAATATATGCAATGTTAGGTAGTGATAATACCATGACTCTCTTTGGAGATTCTGAGAATATTAGTGGGCAACAATGAAACAGCCTTATCAGATAGACTTCCTGCCTCTGATGATGAGCCCGACTGGACCTCAGCCTCAGAATGACCTTTGTATTCTTCAGCTGTCACACTCTGTGGCCTGGATCAGAATACAGGGAACTCTTAGCAGAGCCATTTTGGTGATCAGGTGCAAGTGTAGGAAGAGCATGAGTCAATCCTCATATTTTTAATCAAAAGACATGCAATTCCCTGGACCTTTTCAGATTAGAGAAGTATTGTAAATCAAGCCTTAAAACCTGGTTGTTTACAAAACTAATTCCAGCAGCTAGGTATGGCCTTCAGCTAGGTGGGGGCATGTGATAGGATATTCAAATCAATTTGCTGATGCTTAGAATAAAGAATGTACTTACCAGGTGTATTTCCTTGTTTCTCTGGTCCTCACAAGCTATAAGTACTTTAGTTTTAACTCCTTGCGAGTTTTTTCATTAATATTAGAATTTCCAAGAGTGCATTTAACCTTTTCTCTTAAAATGCTTATAGTTGGAGATGAGGTTACTTTTGAGCTCTTAGACACTCATTTTTATCTCTAACCCATTAGTTTCTTCTACATACAGTATTTCTCAAAAGTGTTTAGCAGTTATACAAAACATACATACAAAGTTGTTAATACAAAAACATACCATGTGGTCAGTAAGTTTGGAAATTTGGGGTTAAGCTAGAACAGTTTTTTCTTCTTCTTTTCTTTTTCTTTTTATTTATTTTTTTTGAGACAGAGTCTCACTCTGTTGCCTAGGCTGAAGCTCAATGGCACCATCTCGGCTCACTGCAACCTCCGCCTCCCAAGTTCAAGCAATTCTCCTGCCTCAGCCTCCCAAGTAGCTGGGACTACAGGCGCCAACTACCACGCCTGGCTAATTTTTGTGTGTATTTTTAGTAGAGATGGGGTTTCTCCATGTTGGCCAGGCTGGGCTCGAACTCCTGACCTTAGGTGATCCACCCACCTCGGCCTCCCAAAGTGCTGGGATTATAGGTATGAGCCACCATGCCTGGCCACTGTTTTCTTTCTTAAGGACCTTCCAAAGGCTTGGATAGATTATGTGTGTTGTGCATCACCAAGAGAAGGTGATAGCATTTGTTGTTTCCCAAACACATTTGGGAAATCTGTAGTGGGTGACATCTTGAAGTACTTGTTCCATGAACACACTGAGGGAGCACTGCTGTGTCCCCTGGCCTAGGTATTTAATTTTTATGGCTTTCGTTGTGAGGCTGTGTTTCCATTGTGGGTCAAGAACAGCGCTCTTGACATACACCTGATGACTGAGATCTGGATCAGGGTCTTCAAACTGGGGGTCATGACCATTGGATTATGAATGTAGTGAGTCAAGATCAGCAATAAAAAGTGAAATAGAATAGTATAGGATGGGAAAATGGAAAATTAAGTAGTATTTTATGAAACTTATGTTATAGTTATGTAGTACATGTATGTGCCTGTGTATGGGGTTGCTACATAAAATATAGTTTTGGCTGTGGATTGTGGTCACAAAGTTTGGAACAAAACTATTCTAGATTCTGGTCACACCTTTACTAAGCCGTACCCTGTTAACCATAGTCATGATTTTTTTTGGGGGGAAAATTTCAGTTAAAGAGACCTCACCCACCTGACTACAGAAGAAAGGTAACTTATGATTATTCCCACCTACTCAAGAGTTGTAATTTTTAAGCTTTAAAATAGGAGTAGGTAGCTTTTTAGCTTATAGGGTGAGATCTGGCCTTTGGCTTGGTTTCATCATTCCATGTATCAATATGTGGTCTCATTTATGACTATAGTTGCAGAAAGAAGACAACGTTTTCATGCTTTCAGTGTCTGTATTCTTAGAACTTGAGAAAATAAAGCCTAAAAAGGACCTTTGTCCGAGATAAAGACGACATTTCCCACTATCTGGTAAATTAAGATTGTCACTGATGTGAGAGAAAAACTTCAAGAATGTCTTTGCGTCCAGTCCAAATGCCATTTTCCTAACAAATTCTAAAAGTAGCTTTCCAGTTTTTAAGTCAAGATAGTTTTCAGTACATGCTTTGGAAAAGATTGGGATTTCCCCCCACCATTATTCCTTTTCCCTTTTTCTCTTCTTCATCATAACACAAAAGAGTGAAGGCATATTTATTACCTATTACATTTGTTGAATAGACTTTTCTTTCTTATTAATTTAAAAGCATCAGCACAGCCTGGGCAACATGGTGAGACTCCATTTCTAGAAAAATTACAAAAATTAGCCAGACATGGTGGCACACTCTATAGTCCCAGCTATTTGAGAGACTGAGGTGGAAGGATCACTTGAGTCCAGGAGGTTGAGGCTGCAGTGAGCTGTGTTTGCACCACTGCACTCCAGTCTGGGTGACAGAGTGAGACCCTGTCTCAAAATAAATAAATAAATAAAAGCATTAGAGTAATGTTCTATTATATATTTATCCTCTTCTTTTTAGGAGGCTGGATCTTTCTATGTTGCCCAGGCTGGAGTGCAGTGGCTATTCACAGGCTTGATCATAATGCACTGTAGCCTCAAACACCTTGCTTCAAGTGACCCTCCTGAGTAGCTGGGACTGCAGGCGTGTGCCACTGTGTCCGTCTCCTATATTTATCCTTTTAAAACAACTAAATCAAGTTGCTTTTCATTTATATGGTTTATTATTTTTTAAATAATAGACAGTGGTCTTCCATAAAAAAAAGAGATTCTTTCATCAGGGTTTGGAGTGTGGTCTGAATAGTCACAGCATTGAATTGGATCCTAGTTCTGGCTCTGTCATTGATTAGCTGTGTGACCTTGGGCAATACATTTGGTATCCCCAAATCTTTTCCCTCACCTATAAAATAAGGGGCCTGCATTGTCGTTATAAATGTAAACTTTTTTATGTCCCAACACACCCAGGGCCAATCCCATGTCCCCTTGGAGGCATCCTTTACTGGTGCGTGTGTGTGTGGTGTGTGTGTGCGTGTGTGTGTGTGTGCTTGCGCATGCACGTGGACAGGCACAAAGGAGAGTGTTGGGAGTGATGTGTGTAGAAGAATAAGCATCTCAAATATGTCTCTCTTGGGAGTGGAATAGTGTTTTCACACTCCTTTCTGCTGAGAACCTTGTATCAGAGTACACGATCATTTCTGAAATTCCAGCTCTCAATTGAGTCGTAGGCAGTACTGGTCCTTTGAGCAGTGACCACCCATCTAGTTTGATTTCAGCTGTGCCCACAAATAGCTACCCACTCAAAACCATATCTGACCTCCTTTCCTCCCTCATTCTCCTAGCCTCAGGCTCCTTTCATAGAGTCAGCTTCACCTATTTTGGCCTAAAGTTTTGATCATTAAAGTCACTGTTGGATTGGGCCAGATTTTGCAAAGCATTTTCCAAGGAGCACTAGCCCTTGAGATGCTCAAATTAAAAGAACTCTGTGGTCAGATAAATCTGAGAAGTACTGCCTGTTGTTGCCTCATCTCCGAAACATTTGTAATGCTTCTAGTAGTCCTAAAATGAAGAAATCCTGAAATAAGGAAATGTTTAATTTTCTTAACTCAAAGCTTCCAAATTAGTGTGAACATTAAACAGTCTTTTTGTTTTTAATACCTATTAACCTCTCATAGGACTACTGTGCCATAGAATGTTCTTTGGCAAATAATAATTTAACAGAAGGAGAAGTATTATCTCCAGAACTTCCTAAGTGTGGCTCATGCATGCTCTGTGGGAGAGCTTTTTTGGTCCTTTTTCATTAAGCTGCTTCAGTTTATCTGATTAGTTTATTGAAACCTGGGGCCCAGTGGGATACTTCTGGGGGAAGGCTGGGATATGTGGCAGGAGCATAGCACTGTCATTCGTAGGAATGGTTGGATTAGAGAAGACAGAACTAACAACAGTATAGGGCATGAAGGGTGTGGTAGGCTGATAAATGGTCTCCTAAAGGATACCCATGCTAAATCTCTGGAACCTCAGACTGGGACCTATTCAGAAATATTGCATTTGGAGATGTCATTAAGGATCTGGAAATAAAATCATCCTGGATTATCCAGGTGGCCCTAAATCCAATGGCAAGTATCCTTGTGAGAGACACACAGAGGAGAAAAGACACACAGAAGAGGAGGAGATGTGGTCTCAGAGGCAGAGCCTGGAGTGATGTGGCCACAAATCAATGACTGCCAATAGCTGCAAAGCATGGAATCCCCTCGAGAGCCTCCCTAGGGAGCACAGCCCCTGTGACCCCATGATTTCAGACTTCCCATCTCCAGAACTGTGAGAATCAATTTCTGTTGTTTTAAGCCACCCAATGGGTGGTAATTTGTTATGGCAGCCACAGGACACTGATACAGGGGCAAGAGCACTGAGGGAGAAAACTGTCCCAGTCGGCCCTGACTGCTGTCTCCCAGCATGGCTCAGTTGGTGGCAGCTCTGAACCTGGTGGGTGTGGGAAAGCCCTTTATCCTGGGATGGGACTCATGGCCCCAACTTACATTGCCTACAGTCCTGAGCAGCAGCCCATGTAACGTGGAGGAGTATGAACTGTCTTTCCTTCTTCCCCCAGGCCACAGGGGCAGAGTGCTGCACCTGTCTTTGAGTCCAGACCAGACCCGGGTGTTTTCTGCTGCAGCTGATGGGACGGCCTCTGTATGGAATTGCTACTAGCACCCAGCCCCTCTAGGTTTCAGTTTCCTTATTTCTGAGTGAAGATGATGATGTTGGCTATGTCTTCTCCATGGGGTTTTTATGAGTATCAAACAAGTTGAAATACTCTTCTTGATGTGAATGCCTGTTCTCCTGTTCTTCTTTTGCAGATTGCTTTACTTGCTCTGCTTCCCAGAGATCCGCTTCTTTTCTTCTCTGCTTTCTTCTTTCTGCCCCTCTTCCTCCCCCTCCTCTTCTTCCTCCCATTCTTACCCCTTTCTAGAGATTCATTTTCACTACTTTATTCAGAATAACATCTATAGCAAAGATTTCTACTTCTTTCCCGTATGACTTTTCTCCCCAGCTCCAAACCTCATATTTCTGATTGCCTCAGGATAGTTCCCTTTTGAGATACTTTCCTGTCTTTAGCTCAATCTCAACACATTGAAAACACAACTCATTCACTTGAAAAACACTTACTAAAATCTCACTATATGCTAGGCAGTATGTTAAGCATGCATATTGCTCTCTCTAAAAATCAGTTCTGTAGGAATCCCTTTCCCCTCCTGATGGTCTCATCCTTATCCTGGTCTCCCACTCAGGGAACCTCCTGATTATTCTGCTCTGTGCTTCCTCAGTTCACCCTTTGCTCTCTTTTCTTTTGCTTCACCTAGTCACATCCTGTGTGCCTGACAGCCAGTCTGCTGTAATTGTCTTAGAACTGATCCTCTTGACTCCACACCACTGCTAGGTTGAACATCTAAAAGTCCTGTGCTGATCCTCTCAGTCCCCTGCTCATCAACTCTCAAGGACAACCTATTACCAAACACCTTTGACCTCAACCTCTGGAGTCCTCAGCCCAGGACTTGAAGTTAGGAGATCTTTTTTTGCCTTGGCTCTGCCATAAATACACCCTGTAACCTTGGATGTGTTGCAACATCTGCAAGGATAGGAATTTGATCACTGCTAAGGTTCCTTCAAACTTGATCAGTTCGCTGTTCTGTCTTTTGAATGTTAATTCACATTCATCTCCTATATTAAGACTTTGGCTAAGTCTTGTGATTTCTTGCCTTATTGGAGCTTTTCTTCTAATCTGAATTCTTGCTTCTCTCTCCTTTTCCTTTACACACCCACACAAGTCCTAACCTCTCCAGGAAGTGTTTTGAAATGATGTTACCTGGGTTTGAGTTCTTGGCATTAGCCTGTATCATCTATTTGGTATTATTATACTATTATAGCTGTTTAAAAAAATCTTTTATTACTGTTTGAATCGTTGGTTGTTTTGTTTTAACATCCTGAGGAGTTTGAATTGAGGGCTTGAGGGAGCATGCGTTATATTTTTTGGTGCTCCTTCATATGTTCTGCATATGCCAGATATCAAATATTGGTTGATTATTTTTTTTTGCTTTGACATGAATTTTTTTTACTAATACATACCTATTCCCTATGCCCCCAAAATCAACACAACAAAACAAAAACTTTAAGAATTCAAAAGTAGAATATTATATACCAGGGGAGTTTAGGACTCTTCTGTTAAATTAGTGTTAATTTGTCAATATATATTTTTATTTTTCCTGTTTTTTAAATTTAGATCTGTTTGGTAATGTTAGTAATTCTTGCCTTAGAAAATTTTAGGCCACTGAAAGCCACAGATGTGATAGTTTTCTGCAATGCACACTCTTCTTTAATGGTTTTAATTTGATCTTCCTAATATGCCAGGTATTACCTGTAAGAAAATGTTTAGAAGAAAATGAGCAAAATGATTAGACCATTTCCAGTGTCCCCTGCCATTCTGTTCTGGATACTTCTGTTTTAATACTCTCATGACACTATGTCATGACCAAAGAGCACTTCTCTCAATTAATACTGGCATGTGAACAAGAGGCTCTCATTTAAGAAAAATATTAATATATCTGTTACTACAATTAGTTTTGTTGGGAAATTTGGAATATGGTTTTCATAAAGAAAAAGGTAAGCTTTCAGATAGCACACAAAAGCCTGGGCTACAATTTATTTTTAAATTTTGTAATTAAAATTTTTTCACAGAATAATAATTCACATATAGTAAAGCACATAAGTCTTTATAGCTTGATGAGTTTTAAATTTATGAATAAATAAGTGTGTAACCAACATCTAGATCAAGATACGAACATCTCTAGTACCCTAAAGGGATCCCTCGTACCCCCTCCTAGTTAGCAGCTCTACATTTTTCTGACTGCTATCCCCATGGATTAGTTTTTCCTTATGCCAACTTTCAGATAAATGGAATCTCATCATGCATATTCTTTTTTATCTCACTTTTCCTCAACATTAAATTTGTGTTGCATAAAACTGAAGTTTGTTCTTTTTCATTGCTGTGTAATATTTTATTGTATGCCTGTGTAACGTTGTTTATCCATTTTATTGTGTGTGGATATTTGAGTTATTTCTAGTTTTGACTTCCAAGAATAAAGCTGCTGTGTACATTCCAGAACACATCTTTGGTGGATAAAAGCACTCATGTGTGTTTGGGATCTACCCAGGAATGGAATTGCTAGGTCATAGGTTTATATATATGTTGAGTTTTAGTAGACACTG
Source organism: Homo sapiens (assembly GCF_000001405.40). NCBI lineage: Eukaryota > Metazoa > Chordata > Mammalia > Primates > Hominidae > Homo > Homo sapiens. Next base: position 55,111,661 of record NC_000005.10, on the reverse strand, counting down.
CCAATTTTCCTATGAAGTTGTACTAATTTACACTTCTACCAGCAATTAACAAGGGTTCCATACAACCATTTTTTAAACAGAGTTCAAAATCTGTAATACATATTGACAGTAGGGAATATTCCATCCTCTTTTTGCAGTTAAAATCCTAACTAGCAATGAGGGATTGTAGCAAGTATTTAAAATATCATCGTAGTTACTCTCTCAGAGCCTCTCTTTTATATAGTAGCACCAGATCTCCTTTTCTAGTATAAGGGTTCTTATCCCTGGCTGCATATTAGAATCACTGGAGAGCTCATACAAAGAATACTACATCCTGGGTCCCACCAAATACCAATTAAATCAGAATCTCTAGAGGTGGGACCTGGGCATTGGTAATTTTAAAGAGCTTGGTGAGTCTAATGAACTACCATGGTTGAAAACGAATTTACTATTATTTTAGCCAGTCTTTGAGCTATGCTCCTTCCTTTGTTGTTGGTTTTTTTTTTTTTTTGCACTTTATTTTAAGAGCCTGTCTCTTTGTGTTGCTGTATGTTATTGGTTTGAATATGTATTATCCATGTATATATGTGTGTGTATATGTGTATATATATGTGTGTATGTGTATATACATATATAATATATGTATATATTGAAATTTGTATTACATAATATATAATATACATATATAAAATTTATATTACTAAAGGGACTATAGAAATGGAAAGAATCTGTTCACATAATCACATCTTGAAATGACTGCAGGCTGATGACTACCTACTAAATTCACTATGTTGAAAAAATATTATGACGGTTTTTTCCAAAGAAAACTTTCTGGCTACAAGTCAACACTCACTCCCTACTATGGGATGGCAGCCACTGTAACCACCATGTTGATTGGATCTACCCCGTCTCAAGAACAAAGAGAACTGAGAAATCACCTAGGTAATCCAAGGCTTAAATGCAAGGCACTGAGAAAGAAGGCTGACTCTCTATTGTATAATTTTCTTGGCTGCCCAAGCACTTTATTTGTATGCCCTAGAATTTGGAAAATACCGTAAGGCATTGCTTGTTTCTTTTTCTCCCATAGACTCAGGTTCTTGTGTATAACATGAAAAGCAGGTGTTAATGTGGAACAATGCCCTATATTTCCTTTTAACACAAATGTTCCAGACTGGCTGTTTCTGTTTCCTGTGGAATTGTGGAGGCCTTTACTGCATTTGTTATTAGACCTGATCTTAGGGTTGTTCTTGCTGGATTTCATGGAGACAGAGAGATGAATAATTCAGGAAGCATTCCCATGTCACTTGACGCACAAATGACTCTGGTGACATTGATCACGTAATCCTTGCATTATCTACAAGGCTGCCATGTAACTCTGCTTCACTTTGCTGGTGCAGATCTGCCCACTAAGGTTACAAGAGAGAAACAGGTACAGTCATGCAAATTGATTTTATTTGTGAAAAGATTAAGAAGCCACAGTAAATGAAAGGAAACGGTTATTTAAACTGCTCCCTTGATAGTCATAATTATCCAGTTGAGGTGTTTCTTTGAGAGAAGAATATAGACACCAGGCCCACGAGGGTCTCCGCATTTATTTTCAAGGCCAAAGGAAGTGACCCCTCGGAAAACACCCTCGCACAACAAAGGGCTTCCAGAATCTCCCTGGAGGAAAACAAGAGGGGTAGGGTGTGGGGTCAGTGTTCAGCATTACCACTAGTGAAATGGAAGAAATTCTGCAGCATTTAATATGCAGTTAAGACCAACCTTGACTTAATTGAAGATAGTGCTTTAATTTTAAAAATTAAAATGTTTGGAAATATTTTAATATTTTTGAATTGGTTCACTTGGTTTATTTATGAGCCAGTGAAAATCGAA